>NC_000002.12:221864618-222489618 GCF_000001405.40 Homo sapiens | reverse complement strand
CAGTCAACCATTCTTTGTAGATTAGAAGACTTGATTTTTTTTTTTAAAGCTCAGTCTCTAACATACATTCTAAAAGCTTTCTATGGTATAAATTTAGGTTTAAATTTCTAATTTCAGCCTCCAAAAAGACAAAGTCCTGAAACAACCTTTAGCTTGTTTAAAATGCTTACCCAAGTCAATGAGCCCTGATCTTTTTTTTTTTTTCTTAATACATTCTAATTAACAGTCAACATACAGTCCTTGCTGGCTACAGAAAAAAATGGAGACTTTTAGTCCATCACCTTGTGTCTATTCCTTCATGCTAAATATTTTTTTCAGTTATGTAGACAAACATTGAAAATTGTTCAACCTCTATTTATTTTGCAGAATTTGTTTAAGAAACCCTTGAGGGTGGGCTTGGATGGGTTCATCCTGCTGGCAGTAGTGTTACAGGTGTGCAATTACTTGTAGAATTTGTAGTAAATACAAGGTTTAATGTTCTCCTTTGTCTAGATCCTCAATTAAGGCCTAATAAAACAAATCAACTCTCTTACTCATTTAGCCTTTGTTTGTTTCACCAATATTAATTTAAAAGGAAGCAAGCTTACTGCTGCTCGCAACTTGCTAATTTCCAAGTTACAGTGTTTTTGGAAAACCTTCAGAATGTCATTCCCCAACCCCCAGAATCAAATTGCTATGTATTTGAAAAGCATTTTCAAATTGAACAAACATTTTTGCCCCTCTGATTTCAGTGCCTGTGAATGCGAGAAGAAATTTAATTTTAAAAGGAACAAAAACCTAACATCTGTTTCTATTAAATCTGAGTATATGCTATGCAAACAATGAATTTATATGTGTGTCTATGTTTGTACACACACACATACACACACACACATCCCCCTAAGCTGAGAGTAAGGCTTGCATGTTTGATGTTCTTCATACCTTTATGCCTGGACTAGGGGAGCCCTGAACTCACATGGAATTCCATACCCTTTGGGCTTGTATTTGTAAGGCCACATGATTCCTAGTGACTCAAACTTAGGATAGGTTCAACCAGTATCTCAAGCAGCAGTTCCCAGCCTATTTAGCACTGGGATCAGTTTTATGGAAGACAATTTTTCTGCAGATAGGGGTGAGGGAAGATGCTTTTAGGATAAAACTGTTCCACCTCAGATCATCAGACATCAGCTAGAGTCTCATAAGGAGTGCACAACCTCGATCCCTTGCATGCACAGTTCACAATAGGGTGCATGCTCCTAAGAGAATCTAATGCCACTGCTGATTTGACAGGAAATGGAGCTCAGGCAGTAATGCTCGCTCACCCACTGCTCACCTCCTGCTGTGTGACCTGGTTCCTAACAGGCTACAGTACCAGTCCATGGCCCAGGGTTAGGGGACCCCTGTCCCTAAGGACCCCTCTCACAGAGGACCATTAATGATTGCGTCCTCTCCCTATCATGGGGGACCACAGGAAAATTGGTAGAAACCAACCCAGTCAGTTATGTGGGGGTCACCAAGGAGAGATTTTACAGGGTGCAAGGTAAACGCACCTGATAGCAATAATTTAGGCACACATTTAGAATGACCCTGTAAGGCTGATGCACCTGAATGTGTGTTCTGAGCTAGGGAATCCAGGAGTGGCCAATGTGTGGATTCGTTTGTTCTCTATGATAAACATCTGAGCCCCACTCCTGTCCTGTGGAGTATGGGTTGTAGAGGGGATTGAGGCCCTGAGTTGAGTTAAATGAAGGTTGCCAAGCGGAACTCTTCTTTATTGGTGGAAGGGAGGTGGGTGTTAAGTGACATGCTATATAAACTGCATGCTATTTGCAAGCGGTTGCAGATTTTCTGTACAGCCCACCACCACTGGGCTGCGTGGTTATGTTGTCCAGCCTGCCACCACTGGACAGGAGGAGGATGGATATGTTGCCAGCGCACTGCCACCGGACTGTCTCTCCTGTGAAAGCCCCTAATAAAACCCCATGTCTCGTTTGCTCACTCCAGGTCTCTTCTTTGGCCTCCTGAACCTGGTGTCTTCTCTAGTGAGGTTAATAGGGGTTTGGCACAACAGACGGCAGATGCATGGTTGAAGCCATGGCATATGATGAAAAACACTAAATATCCTATAAGATGCATCACCACCAGTATTTTTATCATCATAAAACTTTCCAAATGAGAGGGGCCCTGTGGTCATTTTGTTCAACTTCACATTTCACAGATGGTTGAACTGAGGCCCAGAGAAATGTCAATTTGTTAGTTATTAGTAAAGGCCGAACTACAATTCATTGCACACTTGTAACATCCAGCGGGCTATAAGCGCATCCCAACCTGGCTATGTCCTCCCTTTGGATTTCTCATTCTACCTTACTAGAAAAACATGGGCTAGGTAAAATAAATAGAGGCTGAGCAATTTTCACTTGGATTATAAACCAGGTCACCTAATTCTTAAGAGGAACAAACCATCCTTTGATTCAATTATTCCTTTTAGGTTAAAAGACTCATGAGTCTTCTCCAATGTCCATCCCGTTTCTCACACATTCATCATGAGTTATAAGTCATTTCTAATCGTATGTCAAACCACTTATCCTAAGCACGATATAAACTGTATGCTGAGATCAAACACAACAAAGGACAGAGAGAGCGATGGAAGGAAAAGGTGACTTACTCTCAAATCAAACAGTAGGATTTAAGAAAAAAATTTTAATTTTTAAAAATTTAAAATTTTTAATTAATGTGGTTTACTACCCACAAAATGAAAAATGAAATTTGTTGGAACATGTTTAATACAGACAAAAAAAAGCCTTAATATATACCATAATTAAGGGAAAAGGTTAGAGCAGAGTACAGAAGTTCATAGCCAGGATTCTGGAATCAGAGAGTTACTGGTTCGAATCTAGGCTCTACACCTCTGGCCATGTCAGCTCGGCTGGCCTTCTCACATGGTTTCCTCCCCTTAAAATGAGAGTCATAATAGTAGTGCCTACACTTCGCTCAAGAATATTTATAAAGGCCACAACCCCGCATCTAGCATGTAGTCAGGACCTGTAAATGATGGCCCTTGCCACACAGAGAGTGAATATCTTGAAAGTTGGCAAATAGTCCATACTCACTGAAGGAATAGCCAAACTATGGCCACACAGCCACATGTGGCTCATGTTTACAAATTCTATAACGTTATTTATTCATAAGCAGCCATATTGTGGCTCTTTGCAAATTATTTATTCAAGACCCTTCATTCCACCTCACAGAGGACGGAATAATAATAATAATAACGATGATGCTAATAATAATAAAAAGAAGGGTACGCAAGCAAGGAGACCACTGGCCAGGGCTTCAGGCACCAGGAGATGGTCAGGAATGCTGGGGGAGGGCAGATGTCCAGAGAGAGGGGCTGGCACCCATGGAGTCAAATTCAGAAAGCCTCAGTTTCCCAGAGGTAGCCTCAGCTGGCTAAGGCCCAGCTTCCGCATAGCAAATGCAGCACCTCCCTGCCACCGTGCAGCCCATCGAGGCCACTACACCAAAAGAGCCTGAGAAGCATCTTGTGGCAGCCAAACCCACAAGAGAGGAATGGAGGTCAAGGCCAGTTCCCTGAGGCCGGGCCCTCTAACTAGAGAGGGCTCCCTGGGAAGCCCCACCCTGTGCTGGTGAAAGGAGTGGGAAGAGAAGCAATAACAGCAGTTAAGTTAAAGACTGCATTTGTTTTGCAGTTCTCAAGCTTTCAGAAAATCCCAGAGGCCAAAATAAACGGTGGCCTCTTTAGCTGTGAACAGATAGAGCACTTAACCAAGGAAAGCCTCTCCTTCCCCTTCCCAGCATGGGGAACACTTGCTAACCCTCAAATGCGACAGGAGAGCTGGTGAGGAGTTGGAGGCTCCTTGTCACTCACACAGGAGCTGGACAGGCCTGGGGTGTGGGGAAGATGAAGGCAGGCAGAGGCAAGAAGCCTGGGAAATTCGTGTAGGGGGAGGAATTGACAAGAAAAATACCCAGTCCCCTTAGGTCAAATCCCTAGCTCCTAACAGGGACAAAGGGCCTGCTCTTTCCCTCACTCCTTCTTTTCCACTTGGCTGCTTTACAGAATAGGATAAGGAAGTAGAACATGGGCCCAGGAATGACAAGCCCACAGGATCTGCAGGCAGCCCTCTGCAGGCCTCCAGCTCCGAAACAAAAGTACCAAAGCCCTTCTCCGCCCTGCTAGGTCCCTGTGATGCTCTGGCCTTTCGAGTTCGTGTGAAAAATCTGGGACACTCAGTCTGTCAAATGCGGGGGTGGGAAGGGGACGCACCAGTACCAAGGCATGGAGAACTGGAAGGAAAATATCTAGAAAATCTGTGACATATGGCTGCTGTAGATATAGGCACTTGCAAATGAGACTGTAATGCTAAACAGAGCCTTTCCAACCAAATAGGCAAAGCACATTTCTGAATAATTGGACTGGGGAGAAGAGTAAAGTTTCGCCATCTGAGGCAACATGGCGCAGTGGAAAAGAATGGATGGGGTTTAGAGAGCGCGCCAGGGATGAACACTACCTATTCTATTTACTGGTTGTGTCCCTTTGAGCAAGCCACTTCATCTCTTTGGACTTCAGTTGTACTCATCTGTAAAATGGGTTCTTGAGTGTAAAGTACTTGTACATGTAGCGGAGGGGCAGTGAACAGCTTCCATGAGAACCATAACAATTCAAGACGGCAGCTTTGCCAGTGGAATTGATTGGTTTAAAAAAGAGAGAGAGAAAATTAAGATTTTGTTTGAAAATTTTATCTGAAAGTCCTCCATGGTCTACAAATTGGCTCATTATCTTTCCTCTTGTTTTACAAATGAGTAGGAGAGAACCTGGAACAAAATCTAGTCTGGAACAGTGCCTTTGTAAAGAAGCCTCTATGGGGACCAATCCGCCTGCAGGCAGTAGAGGAGGAATCAGGTTTAGCCACAGCAAGAGAGAAACTGAGTTCCTTACCCTCTGCCATATCAGGATGCTCCTTGGTTTGGGGTCTACATGTAACTTGGCAATGACTGTTTGTTTTTTCTCGGTAAGACATTACAGCTGGCATAAGTCCAAAAGGAGGGAAGAAGGATGAACTCCACAATAAAACTCTGTATGAAGTGTTTAGTTCTTTGCATCACTTTAGCAGATCCAACCGAATTTCATCTTTAAAAGTTTCCTGCCTCCAGGATCCTGATGATCCAAACAATTTTCTACCTGACAAAGCTTTAAAGCCATTACCCATCCATCCACACGATACAGTAAATGAAGCATCAGAAATGATCCTGGGGGTGAGGGGAACAACGGGCTCTATCTGGGACAGCTACAATTCTACTCCACCAACAGCATTGCAGTCTTAGCAGCTGTGGGGAAGGGGCAGCAGGAAGGAAGGAGAGAGGGACGGAAGAATGTGAGCACGTTTTCCAGTCATCATCATAAAAAAAGAGAATCATTTTTCTGGTAAAGATGGTTGATAATTAGAGAGATCTAAACTTATTTGTTCACCACAAGTCCAGTTTTAAGAGCTTTCTTTTTTTTAAACCTACACTAAAACCAAACCTTTTCCTTATTGTGTTTCAAAACCAAACCAATGCAGTTTTTATAATAAACCCCCTAGAGACATTTACTTAATATTTAACTAAGGCTAAATTACAGATTCCACTTCAGAGGGACTAGGCAGAATCTCTGACGCCTAATTCTATTCCGTTCAATGCAAGTTAGTGAGGGTGACAATCTGGCCATTGTTGAATACTTTTAAAGACTCATTAATCTCAAGCAAGAACCAACTTAACAAGCAGGGCAATCTTTTGAAGTGTAGGGGTAGTGGTTTAAACAGAGGATTAAGAGATAATCACATTTAAAGTCATCTTTTGGCACTAAGACTGACCCCAGTCTAAGGATTGTGAATTACAGGGATGGGACAGGCTTTTTCCCTCTTGTCTTTAACCAGGTGACAGACTCCCTTATGAGACAGCCAGATGGCAGCCTGCCCACATCCCAAAACACACTAGTCTGTTTTGACACATTATCACAAAACGTTTACCTCTTAACCAATTTATGACTGTTGCATAAAATAATACCCTAAACTCTACAGCAGTTAAACACTATCTAAATAGTATGTCCAATTTAAATGTAAATTTTCAGTGTAGTTTTTACTGTAAGTATCAGCTAGCTAGCTGCTGATAATCAGAATGTGAAAGATACTGAAAAACCACCATTTTAAACTTGAGCTCTTTAACATAATTTGTCTTAGAAGGATAGGAACAGAAGAACCTGCTAAAAGGAATCTTCCACTTTTAAGGCTTCCTTATCACCAGGACTTTGGCTCTACAGAAAAAAAAAAAAATGAAATTTATATTTGCCACGCAATTACGCATTTTCCTTTAAAGCATTCCTTCAGTCATGTTGAATACAAAACAGCAGACAAGCTAACAATTATTTAGCAATGGAGTTGATATGCATTTCAAGTGTACTGTCTCATACTGAGGTGATTCAAAACACAAGACAAAATAAGTAAAGCCATATTAGCATTCAGTCTGCACAAGCGATGAAATACCTTCTATTCTATTTTTTTAATGTTGTCCCGCCCAACTTTCCTTCTTTTCCTTTTTCCTCTATACCATGGATCAATCTGTTTTAAGTGTCACATAACAAACATATAATGAAGAGTCATGACATCACAAGCCTCCAAAGATCCTCTAGCTGGGTCCTTTCACTCTGAAGCTAGGAAATCTGCAGGGCAGAATCTCCAAGTTCCTTGAAGAAGGTTTCACTGCTAAGATTGCAGTCCAGGTCTCCTGATGTTCCAGAACCTGGCCCATGGCTCTGTGGCCCTAGTTAGTTGTCCATCCTTACCCAATACAGCTGTTTGGACCAAGTACAGCCAATCTATGCATTGGCCAGAGATGGATGGAGTTTTGCTACCAGACTACACCAGGGGCTGTGTCTGGCTGTCTTGAAAATCTGAACTGAAAGACAGTTGAGGGGTGACCCATGCCTATAATCCCAGCACTTTGAGATGCCAAGGTGGAAGGATTGCTTGAGGTCAAGAGTTCGAGACCAGTCTGGCCAACATAGTGAGACCCCCAACTAAGCCAGGTGTGATGCTACATGCCTGTAGTTCCAGCTACTTGGGAGGCTGAGGTGGTAGGATCACTTGAGTCAAGGAATTCGAAGCTGCAGTGAGCTATGATTGTGCCACTATACTCAAGCCTGGGTACCACAGCAAGACCCTGTCTCCAATCAATCAATCAATTAATCAAATAAAAGACAGTTGAGAAAGTAACCAGCCAACAGAAGGAGATAAAGAAGAAGATATCAGGAAAATCACAATTGAATTATAGCAGACAGCCAAACTGTTCACTAGCATTTGTTCCTGTGAGCTTCTGGTTCTTAGATTTTCCATCACTTTACAGCAAATTCCTACTTTCCTGAGTTAGCTTGAGTGGGTCTCTGTTTCTGAAAGCTAAGAAACACTACCTATATTACATCAGCCTGGTGCTCCTTTCATGGTATTATAGGACCAGAAACTTCTGACCAAACCTCAAAGCTGCTGGTGAAGTAGAAGCAGCCCCACCCTCTTCTCACACAGGTACTCCTTGCTTCCAATCTGGGAGATGATCAAAAGCCAATAATTATTAGAAGAGAGATTAACCCTGTCTGGAAACTCTCAGGGACAACCAGAGCTTCAGCATAATCAGAAAAGCCATAATAACAGTTCAGTTACAATAACACTTACTTAAAAATAACCATGCTATGTTAGAATGGTGGGAAATATGTCTTTTGATGTTAGGTGAAAAAACAAATCTTACAAATGGGGAAAAAAATCAAGAAGAAACTCAGAAACAAATTTTAACTTTACTGGAGTTCAGGCAGCATGTACCAGGTTTTCTAAGGGCTGGTCACCCCCCACAGTAAGCTCTTTTATGCAGGGAAACTACACACCAGAAACATTAAGTGCCCGAGGACAGGAGTCCCACATTAAATGGCCTGTAAAGGACCTGGGAGGTCATAAAGGGTAAGACATAAAGGGAATGGTGAGGTCTGTGCCTAAAGTGAGCACTCAGTATAAAAGCATTCAAATTCCATTTTAAAGGATTTTCCTAGGTCACTATTGATGATACTATAGAATTAAATACCACTTCTCAAAGTCTTGAACTTCTAAACATCTTACATATAAAGATACACTGCCTCTGAGACACAGAAAATTCAGTATCATTCTACGTTAACAACTGGTGGAAATCAATAAAAAATGAAAGCCCCTTTTAAAAAAATACAAGGCAGACTGACAATTCATACAAGTTAATACAAATGATTAATAAAAGTATGAAAAATGTTTTCATCTTCACTAATTATATATGAACTGGAAGTTAACTGAGATATCATTTTTCTTTTTTATTTCAATTTTTATTTTAAGGTCGGGGTACACGTGCAGGATATGCAGGTTTGTTGCATAGGTAGACATGTGCCATTTTGGTTTGCTGCACAGATCCCCATCACCTAGGTATTAAGCCCAGTATCCATTAGCTATTCTTCCTGATGCTCTCCCTCCTGCCAACCCCCAACAGGTACCCAGTGTGTGTTGTTCCCCCTCACGTGTCTGTGTGTTCTCATCAATCAGTTCCCACTTATAAGTGAGAACATGCAGTGTTTGGTTTTCTGTTCCTGATAGTTTGCTGAGGATAATGGTTTCAACTCCATCCATGTACTGGCAAAGGACATGATCTCATTCCTTTTTATGGCTGCATATGTACCACCTTTTCTTTATCCAGTCTATTATTGATGGGCATTTAGGTTAATTCCATGACTTTGCTATTGTGAATAGTGCTGCAATGAATATACGCATGGAAATACCATTTTTCTTTGGTTAAATTAGCAATGATTTAAAAATGAGAACACCGAAAGTTCAGGAAAAGGAGTCAGAATGAGTACTCTCACACAGATGATAAGCGGGTACTGACACCAGATATTTCTGAGAAAATAATTGAGCAACATGTATCACTAGCCTTGACAATACACTATCAATTTCACGAGTCAGGAAAAGGTTTGCTCTCTTAGAAACAGGCTTATGATTTCCTAGTGGATAGCATAACTTCATTTTGGTCGGTCAAGACAAAGCTCAAATATGAATCTGTGGCTCACCTTTGAACCAGCATGCCACACTTCACTTTAGCCTGGGCTTTCATCTTCTATTGTATCTGTGCTCTCCTTACTTTCACTTTGTATCTGTTTATCTCATTTTTTCTACATCTCATTATGAATGCCATGAAGTATCCGTGGAAAGAAATATCAGTGTAAAATATCACAATAAAACAGAGAAAATGAGGCTTCCAAACTCCCAGGATGAGTTGCGGTGTCAATGTTTGCATTGCTATTTCACAAAATGAGGAATTTAGCAAAAAAGTGAGTGAGATTTTGCCTCATGTTACAAAACTAAATACCTCCCAAGTTCAGTGAAGTTGCCTCTAACCTTTTAAAGATACAGAAATATAACTTTAAAGCTTTTATTTTTTTGTTAGGTCTGTCACCATGCCAAAATGAAAGTGAAGAGATTAGATAATCATGCCATGGGGTAGTGACTCATCTTCTGAAACATCATCCTCAATATCTCTTTATAAGCATTCTAATCAGAAAATCCATTTGCTGTCTTTTTTGGCTCAATGTCTAAAATTCTTTTGAGCCCAAAGATAGGTTAAAAACCTTGATACAGGACAGAGGAGAGAAGTTAGTGAATTGATTGATGTGTTTCAGTTAATTTAACAAAAGCTTATTCCATACTGTGGGGTTTGTTAAGGTTTGTTAACCCATTTATGCTGGAGGTTGCAAATTTTTGTGTGTGAAAAATCAGACCTTAGCGATGACCTTGAGCAGTAGGATATAAATAACTCCCACAAGCTTCGCGTTCCAATAATGGAACACTAGGCATAAATGGGTTAAGAAGGGTAGATAAGAGGCCGGGCGCGGTGGCTCACGCCTGTAATCCCAGCACTTTGGGAGGCTGAGGTGGGCGGATCATGAGGTCAGGAGATCGAGACCATCCTGGCTAACACAGTGAAACTCCGTCTCTACTAAAAAATACAAAAAATTAGCCGGGCGTGGGGGTGGGCGCCTGTTGTCCCAGCTACTTGGGAGGCTGAGGCAGGAGAATGGTGTGATCCCGGGAGGTGGGGCTTGCAGTGAGCCGAGATCGCGCCACTGCACTCCAGCTTGGGTGACAGAGCGATACTCTGTCTCAAAAAAAAAAAAAAAAAAAAAGAAGGGTAGATAAGAAACAGTCAAGCAGAGCACAGGGTTAATAAATGCCATAAGAGCACAGCTGGAACACAAACCAAAGCAAATATTCAATAGAAGAAAACTTTGGGCAAATCATTGTAATACTTGAAGCCCCAGTTTTAGCATCTTTAAAAAATATTGTGCTCCTTATGCTACTTAGCTGCGTTCTTCTAAGAAACAACCACGGCAGCTTCCCCTGGTAGACAAGGCCTGGGCGCAGGAGCAAATCCACCTTGCCATTTAATCCAGTGTGATCTTGGGCAAGTTATTTAACCTTTCTACATTTCAGTTTCAGGATCTGTAAAGTGGGCTGGTAATAACTATTTCTCAGTATTGCTGGTAGGATTAAGTGAAGTAAAATATGTAAAGCACTCTGACAGCGAATGGCATATATACTAAATGCTCAATATAGGGTATGGCTTATCAATATTTGAAATATTACTATTCCAATCTAAAAAATGATACTGCCCATTGTTATGAAGCTCAAATAAGATAATGAACATAGATGCCTATAAAAGCAACAAAAGATGTACAATACAGGTGAGGACTAATTATGATTGTGAGGAGAGAGCACTTGATAACAACCATAAATTCTGCTAAGCTACTTCAGACAGTGTGAGTCACCCTTAATGTAACACAAGATTTTTAAAAGCAATAAAACCTATATAGGGGCTTCATCCAGTGACAATTCCCAAATTAATATAAAATGTGCCAAGCTTTGGCAGTCCTGAACAAAGTTGCCTTCCAGTGAGTTTTGGGCGAGATAAGATGTTCAGTTACAAGACTTCAAGCTCTGTCCCTTATGTAATTAACATTTCTTAATCCCTACCCCTTTGAAGAAGCAGCCACTAATTTAGGGATATCGTTTTCTGAAGAAAGGCTGCCTCAGCAGGAAGCTGATTGCCCTGGCTGGCCCAAGTACCAGAACCTAACCCTTAACCACCCCAGGCTCCCAAATCCGCCCCAACCTCCGGGACTTGCCCTTCCTTTCATCCACCTTCAACTCTGGAGGCAAACCAAATATCTCTCATTATTGTCTCTGTAGCCCATCAGAGAGCACCCCTAATCCCAACACGCGTACGTATACACACACACACACACACACACACACACAAATGCATGCACATACACGAAGATGCACAAACACACGCAAGCACACCCGCACCTCCCTCTCCCCCTCCCTCCCTCCCTCTCTCCCTCTCTCCCTCTCGCCCCTTGGAATGGCCTCCACTCTCTCCCCAGGCACTGGCAGGAACGCACACACTACCTTACGCTTCTCACACTGCCTTCTCACATTACCTTACGCTTCTCACACTTCCTTACAATGACCACACAGAATAACTACAGAACTCTCAGCACAGGGGGACTGGTGAACCAGGCCATGCACCGATTTTAAAAAGTCAAGTAACAGGTGGCCAAACCTCAGGACAAACTGCAGATTCAGAGGTTATTTCTTCCTTTCTTGGGCAAAGATTTTATTTGCCTCACTCTATGACAAAAGCTTGTCATTTTGCCTCAGACAAGCACTCTGACGCTTTGAAGTGAGGAATCCGAAGCAGAAAATAACCACCAATAATGGCAACGAGAGTGTCCCCTAGCCACAGCCTTCTATAGAGTCTAGAGGTCTTCCCAGCTCTCAGGGAAAGTTTTCCACCCTCAGTGGGGGAGATAATTGGCCATGAGCAGATCAAACACATTATAAGATATTCCTGTGTAATGTACTTCTCATCATCTGCCCCACTCAACAATTATTAAAGTTTTGGGATTTAGAACACACACACACACATATATATACACACACCTATATACATACACTCACACATATATACACACCTATAAACACAAATACACATATATACACAGACATATATATACACATAAACATATATACACACCTATATACACACATGCATACACATATATACACACCTATATACATACATTCACACATATATACATACCTATAAACACACATATATACACACCTATACACATATATACACACCTATATACACACATACACATATATACACACCTATACACACACACATAGACACACATATATACTCACACCTATATACACACATATACACACCCATACACACATACATATACACCTATATACTCACATACATGTATATACACACCTATATACATAAACATATATATGCACCTATGCACACACATATATACACACATACACATATACACACACCTATACACACACACAGATATATACACACCTATATACACACACATACACATATATACACACCTATATACATACATTCACAAATATATACATATCTATAAACACACATATATACACACCTATACACACATACACATATATACACACCTATATACATACACACATAAATACACAAAATATACACACACCTATATATACACATATACACACTATACATACATACATACACACCTATATACTCCAATACACATATATACACATCTATATACATACAATAAACACACATATATACACACACCTATATATACACATATACACACCTATATACACACATACACATATACACACACCTATATACACGCACGGATATACACACACCTGTATACACACATACGCATATATACACACCTATATACATACATATACACACACACCTATATACACACATACATATATATACAGTTATACCTTACACACGCACACACACACATCTTAGAAAATAAACGACAGTAGGAAAGAAACTCAAGCCCATAGGTTTTCCAAGGGTTTTCAGATGTTAAGAACAGAAGGACCACTCCCATTCTCTCTCTCCTGCCCCCATCCTGCCTGCTCCGTGGACACAGAAGTGGCCTCAGAAACGGGGAGGGACAACTGGACTAACGTTCTCTTTATGATTTGCAAGATGCCTATGCTTTTGCAGACTCTCAGATTATACTTTTAGACAGAAGCTAGATTTCAAAAGAGGGCTATTGGGAGACAGGGATTTGAAGTCCCAGGTGGAGCCAGGGGCAGTTGCTCCCTAGTCCCTCTGTCACCACCTGGTGAAGAATTTGTGTGGATACCCCGCCCTTGCCACCCCTCACCCTGGCCCAGGACATTGCTGCTTTATTTCTGTCCCCTGCCCCTGAGAACATTCGAATTTATGACCCCTGATCAAGTCCATTCTACTTGTTCTACAAATGAGAAAACATAATGCTCACCATAGGAAAGTCACTTGCTAAAATCTTCTCTTTTATACCCAACCAAGTGCTTCTGAACCTCTATTTCTAGTGCAGAATCTTGAGTCAGGGCAACAGTCTTGTCTGGAAGTTCCCTCCACCAGCTAAATAACCTTTGACCTTAGAGTTGGTTGATCTTCAAGACTCCTTCGCCTTCATGCACCAGTCACTATGCGTTATCATGCTCAAATAGCAACCTGCAGAGTCCTCCACATGCCAGGCCTAGAGCTCTGTGCACACTCTAGATATTCCCACGATGATTCTGGGGAGGCACATTATTCACACAATTTTACAAATGAGGAAGGTAAGGCTCAGCGCAAGGGCACACAGATGGGGCCTGGACTGTACTTGAGCTCAGGCCTCTCTGATACCAAACCTACATATCTGGAGTATGCCTTGCTGCCTTGCAAATGACTACCATCTCCTTCAATGAGACACAAAATCAGAACTCATTTGGCCCTGAACAAAATTAAATGCCAGGGTTACCAGTGAAACAGCAGAAAAAGGCTCTGCCTGTCTACCTGGGATTGTCATATGGTTTCTGTGTATTTGCAGCTGCTCCTGCTACACTAGACGTTCTCTCAAGGAAGCTGCTTTGCCTTATGTGTTTTGGCCTCTCCCATGTGTATAATCACTTAATACTGCTTGGAGGTATTGCTCAACAGCTTCTGATTTTAGGTTCTGATCAAATTTTACTAAAATAGGCCTCTTGGGAGGATGCATTTCATACCACTCTATGGGTCCTTAGAAAGGTTCCTTTCTTCTCTGGTCATCACTTATGCCCTCTCCTACTTTGATCTACCCTTGGGAAAGTATATCTCAAAGTACACAAAATCACAGATTTGGTTTTTACAAATAAAACAAGTTGTGTTCATAGCAGTAAGAGATAAGCCTGGTCAACATGGTGAAACCCCATCTCTACTAAAAATACCAAAATAACCGCGTGTGGTGGTGCACATCTGTAGTCCCAGCTACTTGGGAGGCTGGGGCAGGAGAATCGCTTGAACCTGGGAGGCACCTGACCTCAGGTGATCCGCCCACCTTGGCTTTTAGTTTAGTTTAACTTTGAAGCAAGGATGATAATTGTCCCTCCCTAAAACTGGTCCTCTCCCTGTTGGGGGATGAAAACCACCTTTGTAAGACTAATGAAAGGCCACAAGATTAGAATTTTGGGAGAGTCCTGAATTCTGCAAAGATGTAGGCATCATTAAAGGACAACCAGCCACTGTCCCCCAGCTTACCTTTCTACAATTCCCTTACTGTTCAGGGAACACAAGTTGTGTCTATTGCTTTCTAATTTTTCCAAAGGAAATTAGGCAACAAATTCAACTCTAAGTGGTAAAAAAAAAAAAAAAAAGAAAGAACATATTTGCAAAGTACTTGAGTATCAAAGGAAGTAGTTGTTTTAGAAGTAGCATCAGTTAATGAGTAGTAATAATACTTACAACCCATATGATGATCAATCTTCTGGATAAATAAGGGTCAATATTCCAGTGAGTGAATGGAAGAAACGTGATGTAGAACACTTCTTGGCCCAAAGCAGCTGAAAATTGGAATAGGTAATAGTAGAAATAATTCTTCACGACGTACTTCTGTACATAAGCCTAAAAGACAAAAGTTAGAAGACTCTGTGAGTTCATGCAATATGTCAAGTTTTAAACATCTCTGTCTAAAACTCACAGGTCTCAATTGCCAAGACGCTGTCTCCTCTCCCATTATGTTATTAAGGTATCATTGCTGTGGCTGAACACTTTTCAACCTCAATTTATTCAAACAAACACAGAGGCTGTGAATTTTTTGTAAAATTAAATAAGCAATATCCAAGACAGAAGTACCAGGAGAAGACACACACAAAAAAAGCCAAAAACTTTTTTCTTGTATATGCAGAGAGCTAGAAACCTGGAGAAAGTCAATTCTGTTAGGACATTATATGGGTCTCTGCAATAGGCAGAGTAATGCTTCCCTCAAAGATTTCTATGTCCTAAATCCTAGAACTGAATATATTACCTTACAGGGCAAAAGAGACTTGAAATATGCAATTAATGATCTTTCTATTTTAAAATTTGTATTGATACATAATAATTGTACACATTTATGAGGCACATGTAATATTTTTATACATATGTATAACACATAATGATCAGTCAGGGTACTTCAGATGTCTGTCACCTCAAACATTTATCATTTCTTAGTGCTGGGAACATTTCAGACATTTTCTAGCTATTTTGATATTCTTTTTTTTTTTTTGAGACAGAGTTTTGCTCTTGTTGCCCAGGCTGGAGTGCAATGGCACAATTTTGGCTCACTACAACCTCCGCCTCCTGGGTTCAAGTGATTCTCCTGCCTCAGCCTCCCGAGTAGCTGGGATTACAGGCATGCACCACCACACCCAGCTAATTTTGTATTTTTAGTAGAGATGGGGTTTCTCCATGTTGGTCAGGCTCGTCTCAAACTCCCAACCTCAGGTGATCCACCCACCTCGGCCTCCCAAAGTGCTGGGATTACGGGCGTGAGCCACCGTGCCCGGCCTGACAATAACATATTCTTAACTGTAGTCACCCTACTGTGCTATCCAACACTATAACTTATTTCTTCTAACTGTATATTTGTATGCATTAAACAACCTCTCTTCATCCCCTCTCCTTCCCAGCCTCAAATTAATAATCTTGAGATGGGGAGATTATTCTGGATTTTCTGGGTGGTCTCAACCTAATCACAAGAATTTTCTTTAGAAATGGAAGGAGGAGGCAGAATGGTCAGAGTCAGAGAACGATTTGAAGATGCTAAGCTGCTGGCTTTGATGATGGAGAGAGTGGCCCCGAGTCAAGGAATCTGGAGAGCAGCCTCTAGGAGCTGGAAGAAAGCAAGGAGTCAGATTCTTCCCTCCAGCCTCCAGAAGAAATACCACCTAGCTGACACCTTCATTTTGGCTAAATCAGATCCACTTTGGACTTCTGACCTATAAGAGAATAAATCTGAAACTGCTTTTGCAAAGATTATGAAAGAGAAGAAGTCTAGCCTGGCTGACTCTATCTTGCTTCTAGCCTCACAGGCTGGCTGTATTCACTCACTCCTGGGTGTAGGCCAGGCTACCCATGGGAGGAATTCAGTTTAGTTTAACTTTGTTTATTTTTTATTTTTTGTTTGTTTGTTTTTTTGAGACCGAGTCTCGCTCTGTCACCCAGGCTGGAGTGCAATGGCACTATCTTGGCTCACTGCAACCTCTGCCTCCCAGGTTCAAGCGATTCTCCTGCCTCAGCCTCCCAAGTAACTGAGACTACAGAAGTGCACCACCATGCCTGGCTTATTTTTGTGTTTTTAGAGAGACGGGGTTTCGCCAAGTTGGCCAGGTTTATGTCCAACTCCTGACTTCAGGTAATCTGCCTGCCTTGGCCTTTAGTTTAGTTTAACTTTGAAGCAAGGATGGTAATAGTCCCTCCCTAAAACTGGTCTGCTCCCTGTTGGGGGATGAAAACCACCTTTGTAAGACTAATGAAAGGCCACAAGATTAGAATTTTGGGAGAGGCCTGAATTCTGCTAAGATGTAGGCATAAAGGACAACCAGCCACTGTCCCCCAGCTTACGTTTCTACAATTCACTTACTGACCAGGCGTGTGACTTCCTCAATTGCTCCTATATCTGTATCATCATCATCATCATATAACATCAGTATTGCAGAACCTAAGATTTGTCTTTTGAGATGTTTTCCAGACTTTTGCATTCTGGTGACCAACTGACTCCACCTAGACCCATGACTCATGACTCCACTGGTCCTGTTGCCCCCACTCAGAGGCTGATTGGAGTAATAAACTCTCGTCTTCCACTTGGCTAGTGGGCCCTGCATTAATTAAACTCTTTCTCAACTGCAATACAACCTGCCTCAGTGAATTGGTTTTATTTGTGCAGCAGGAAGAACCCATTGGGAGATTACAAATTTGCATTTTAAGCCACTAAGTTTGTGGTAATTTGTTACAGCAGCAATGGATAACTAATACAAAGATGTTAGAAAAATCACTTGCCTCCGAACCTTACAAATTCATCTTTTAAATGGGACTAATGAAGTTAACCCATCACAATGATGGTGTGAGAAACGCTTAGCAGAAAGTACACACAAGACCTGTTAAAATGCATTCTCATTTTTTATCATCCTTTTCTTCCTACTTACCCTGGGAGTGGGCAGAAAAGAAAGACTTAGGGAATTAAAACAGAAAATCAGCAATCTAGTAAAAAATATGGTAAACACCTTTATATTATGGGATCTTAACAACTTAAAAAACAATAACATGGTCACCCTGTTACATGAAACTAAAAAGCATAATTTTAATCCTACTTAAGGTAGTCGTAAACTTTATAAAAATAAAATCAAAGTAAAATGCCAACACTAAAATAGGAGAGAAAAAGAGACAACACTGTTACAGGGAGATTTTTCTCAAGACTCTTAGAGATCTGGATTTTTGTTTTGTTTTGCTCTACACAAAGTCTGAGGTTCTGGAATCCCGGGGGATTTCAGAAAACAAGTTACATTTGTTTATGTATTTATCCTGTAAATATTCATTCTGTGCCTATGATGCCCATTCTGTGCTAAGTGCTAAGCATACTTGGAAGAGCCAGGTGTGATGTCTGCTTCAAGGAACTCTTATGGGAGAGGGGGGAAGAGCACAATTTGGGGGAATAAATTTTTAAAGGATCATTGTTGTATTTAAGGCCTTAAAAAGGCTGAGAGTACTTTTATACTTCAGAAATAAAAAAAAATGACCTTGGAAACTGCAAGAACATAACTGTACTTGACACTATTGGCTATCAAGTATGCATTCCTCTCTTTTACCTCACTAAGAGGTTCCCAGTTTTGTTCCAGCAGCTCTACCTCCCCAACATAGCCCTGAGGGAAAGTTGACACTCCTCTCTGGGAATGGATCTAGATTCATCCAAAGGAGTCATGATAAGCATAAGAATTCAGTCTCAAGCCGAGCAGTGCACAGGACTACCGGGAGACAGTTACTGGTCAGGGGTAAGTACATGTAATCTAAAAAGGGGTCTCCCACCAGGGATAAACTTTACTTCCAAGTGAATTCAATTGAAAGAGAATGGCAATACATTCATCCTAAACAGGAATGACAATAATGCACAAATGAATTAGATAAGGAAGTGTAGAGTTTCACCTCTCTGCTAAGATACCATGGTTGCATTTGCAAAACAAGGACAAGGGTCCGAGACAAGTTAAGTGACAAATGCCTCTCTCTAGAGCGGAATCATGAACTGCCTGAGGTAAGGACTAATCTCGGCAGGTTCTGTTTACAAATATACAATCCAATAGGCCTGACCTTGAGGCACACCCTATAAAGAGCTCCTTTTCACATAAAGGTTTGTTATTTTAGCCCATCAGCTACCAGATACACCTGGTAATCTTTCCAGCCTTGAAGCTTTACAAGGATAAATTTTGCCGAACTCTAACAAAAGCCTCGCTGCTATCATTTCATGATACCCAAGTGTTATATGACATTATAAGTACTCAGCAACCATCATTACCCTACTCTAGAGACCGACCTGAGACCTAGTAAACAATTGAAAAGACCACCAAAAGTGATAGCAAACTGCTTTAGTGCTACATATCACTAACTAATATCTTTAGACAGGCTTTATTACAATCTCTCAGGAATTTGTTTTTTGAGGGAAAAGCTAACTATTCTCCAACTCTTCTGAGGAACAGAATAACCAAAGGTGAAGTTTAAAATATCAGCATATATAGATGACACCCCAAGGATTTCTTAGATAACTTCTCTGTATACATGATTAAATCGCTTGAGAGCCAATACTTTCCTTTAAATTCTTGGGGGCTTAGATGTACCTAAATAAAACAACATGTACTTGTCTTTTTTATTTTATTTTTTAATTTCACTTTAAATTCTGAGATACATGTGCAGATCGTGCAGGTTTGTTACACAGGTATGCGTGTGCCATGGTGGTTTGCTGCACCTATCAACCCATCATTTAGGTTTTAAGCCCCGCATGCATTAGGTATTTGCCCTGCTACTCTCCCTCTCCTTGCCCCCCACCCCGCTGACAGGCCCCGGTGTGTGATGTTCCCCTCCCTGTGTCCATGTGTTCTCGTTGTTCAACTCCCACTTATGAGTGAGAACATGTGGTGTTTGGTTTTCTGTTCCTGTGTTAGTTTGCTGAGAATGATGGCTTCCAGCTTCATCCATGTCCCTGCAAAGGACATGAACTCATTCTTTTTTATGGCTGCATGGTATTCCATGGTGTATATGTATCACATTTTCTTTATCCAGTCTATCATTGATGGGCATTTGGGTTTGTTCTAAGTCTTTGCTATTGTAAATAATGCTGCACTAAAACATAAAACAACACATATTTGTCTTTTTAGAAGAAGGATGAGTTTCCTTTGTAGTAAATCTCAGTGTGTGTGACTTCAATACATCTTTGGAAATAGTAGGAATTTCAGTTCCAGTGTGTGTGTTGTTCCTACTGGGAACAATTAGAAAAGGAAGAAATAGTGGTTAGAAATGGTAGGTAAAATAGAATGGCAGAGAAGAGAGGAGCAAAAGCTGAGGCCAATGAAACCAAGTTCCAGAATTCTACCTCTACATTTCTGACTAGCCAGCAAAAGAGCTGATGGCCTAGGCTTTGATGGCAGACTTTGAGGAGAGCCACTCTTAGAAATAAAATGCTTCAGCCAGGCGCGATGGCTCATGCCTGTAATCCCAGCACTTTGGGAGTCCGAGGCAGGTAGATCACGAGGTCAGGAGTTCAAGACCAGCCTGGCCAAGATGGTGAAACCCTGTCTGTACTAAAAATACAACAAATTAGCCGGGCATGGTG
Organism: Homo sapiens; assembly: GCF_000001405.40. NCBI lineage: Eukaryota > Metazoa > Chordata > Mammalia > Primates > Hominidae > Homo > Homo sapiens. The sequence continues at coordinate 222,469,334 of NC_000002.12, read as the reverse complement.
GCACATGTCTGTAATCCCAGCTACTCTGGAGGCTGAGGCAGAGAATTGCTTAAACCTGGAGGGGCGGAGGTTGCGGTGAGCCGAGATCACGCCACTGCACTCCAGCCTGGGTGACAGAGCGAGACTCCGTCTCAAAAAAAAAAGAAATAAAATGTTTCTTAGCATGCATCTCATCTGTCACACAGCAAATGAAGAAGTGTCTGACAAACAAGAAATGATAAAATGAAAATTACCCACATTATTATTACCCATTATTACTAGCTGCAAAATGTTACTGATATTCCTCATGAGAGGCTCTTATTTATTAGTTTATTTTTCTGAAAGTTTTTTTTAAAAAAGGTTTTCCTAGGGCTCCTTATTATCTCAGGCTCCCAACCCCATATTCCCTTTCAGGTCGTAAGTTCTTTAAATGCACATTTCCCTAAAATGGGATTTTTTCAGCCATTTAACCTTGTGGTTGCAGAAGAGCTACTCTATCTTGCTGATATTGGAGTATTAAGTGTTGTTTGCAAGGCTGCCTTCAATGTTTAAATAAACCAGGGAAGAAGGGGAGGCATGCAGATTGACTGCATGGTGGAAGAAAAAGAACATTGAGAATGTATGACTTACTGACTAAACCCTGCCAATGAACACCTGAACAGCGCTTTGCTTTCCAAACACATACAAAGGAGTCCTAAATGCAAAGGAAATATACCCAGGTCAGCGCCACTGGACATAATAAGGGCTGATCTACACAGCAGAGGAGCGAATGCCCAGCAGACTTGGCGGCCAGCCCAGCTTTTGAGCTTTCAAAGGAGGAATACAAGAAATAGCTTTCAGTCAAAACAAAGTGTGACCTTGGGGAAGTCAATTTGCCTTTCTGAGCCTCAACAGCCTCAACTGCAAAGAATGCAATGGATGGAGAAGGATTAGCTCAGTTGTTTTTTAATGTACAATTTTTTTTTTTTTTTACAAGGAAGGAAAGGCTCATTAAATAAAATGTTACCCTAGGGCCTACTATATAAAATGATATAAGATTGAAAGTACTCATTGAAAGTACTGTACTAATTGGCTGAAAATGAAGTAGGGTCCACCAAACCTCTATCCCAGGCCAGCCGCTCCCCGCCCTGCCACAACCGCCCCACGCCCCAGTCCTTCTCTAGAGGGAGCATCCTCTCAGAGCAGAGCAGTTCAGTAATCAATCTGAAAATCATGGACCTCAACCTCTTCCAGACGCCAGATATCATCTTCCTGTAATTAACTTTTGGTCTCAAGTACACAGGCTATAGCTATTCTGACCTTGAGGTCTTTAAAGAATTTGATAAACTGTAGACCAATGTCATTGCAAGGTTGTATTACTTCCTCTGTTTTTTTTTTTTTTTTTTTTTTTTTTTTTTTTTTTTTTCAGATTAGAGCTTTAAATATACATTTTCTTCCAAAGGTCAAGTCCAAGATACTCCACCACTTCAACAGAGCCAGGAGTTCACATCTCGGGGGGATGGTAATCTGCAACTCTAAGCCATCCAGTTTAATTGGAAACAGCAGAAAGAGCTTGTTCTCTGGGGCTGAGAGAGATAAAATCTACACAGGGTACAACTCAGTCTTATTTTAAGATAATGTTAAGATTCAAAGCTCTTTTACAAAACACGCCAAGAAGCAGCCTTCCCTCCACAGTGGCTTTGCTTTTGGAGTTTTGCAGACTGACTAGAAGGAAGCAAATGAAATGAATATGGAGTGAGCTGACCTGGCCAGCAGGGAAGAAGGAAGGCCTAGGGGAGAGGGAAATGGATGCTAGAGGCAAAGTGTCTCAGATTGAACTCAAGCTACCTATGCTCCCTACCCGGATAATTTCACATAAATGACTTGATCTCCTGAGCTTCAGCTTCCTCACCTGCTAATGGGAATAATAAGAGTACATAGCACACAGAGACCTTGGGAGGATGAAACAAGATCGTGTTGATGGTGTGTGCAGGGTACTCAGATCAGAGCAGGCAAAGAAATGTCTCAACAGGACATGGCTGTTGATGACGATGATGATGGTGGGGGTGGTAGCAGTGAGGCTTCTAGAAAGAACTTCTCAATTGTAATATGCATCCGAATGACCTGGGCATCTTGTTAATGAGCAGATTTTGATGTAGTTGACCTGGGGCAGGGGAGAGACTTCTCAGGAGCGCAGGTGATGTTGACGTTGCCATGTTGCTGGCCCGTGGACCTCACTGTGAGTAGCTTTAGGATCAAGAACACCCCAGTGAAGGGTCTTTCAACACAAAAGTAAGGCTCTCAGATTTAATCCTCAGTATTAGAGGTTATCTCAACTGGCATTAAGAGAGTAAGTAATGTGATCCAGGTGATAGATTAAAATGCCAGTGACAAACCAGAGGGGAACAGTGAACAGATACCATGGAGGATCCTGCAACACAGGAACTGAGCCCAGACAAGCACCTCAACCCTAGAAAGTACCAAAGGGAAGGCACAGGTAAGACATGCCTCCCTGAGACAGCAGCCTGATCAAATGACTGACTGATGATGCAGAAAGAAATATGCTACTGCACTTCTTGCCTTGATTTGAGAGGTTTACATAAATACTGGAATGACAAATTTGAAATTAGTTAAGAAGGAGTAATGAAGTTTGAAAGCCTTTCCTAACTTCTCAGAGCATCACAATACCAAAAAAAAACCCAAACCATGTTTCCCTAAGAAGGGCTTTTGCACTACTGTCAGAATCCTGGCTTAGAAACAGGTTTCTCAGGCCTTTGCAGGGAACAACTGTCGTTATGTTTTCTGAAAATAAAAATTAAGGCTGGGCACAGTGGCTCACGCCTGTAATCCCAGCACTTTGGGAGGCCGAGGTGGGCGGATCACGAGGTCAGGAGATCGAGACCATCCTGGCTAACATGGTGAAACCCCATCTCCACTAAAAATACAAAAAATTAGCCAGGCATGGTGGCATGCGCTTGTAGTCCCAGCTACTTGGGAGGCTGAGGCAAGAGAATCGCTTGAACCCAGGAGGTGGAGGTTACAGTGAGCCGAGATTGCGCCACTGCACTCCAGCCTGGGTGACAGAGAGAGACTCTGTCTAAAAAAAAAAAAAAAAAAAAAAAAGTTGAAAACAGCAAAGTTTTTCCAAACAGGGGCCATGTCTACATAGAACATTCATTTACTGTGTATGCTTCAGTGATGTAAGGTTGACAATAAACAAGACTATTTTTAAAATATTATTTTTAAGTAGAGATATGGTCTCACTATGTTCCTCAGGCTGGTCTTGAACTCCTGACTTCAAGCAATCCTCCTCCTTTGGCCTCCCAAGGTGCTGGGATTTCAGGCATGAGCCACCACAGCCAGCTAGCAAGACTACTTCATTTAGCAATAAGTGCTATGACGAAATTAAAGCAGGAAATGGGTTACAAAGTGATCAATGTGTGTCTGGGGATGCTTGCCACAGAGGAGCCATTTGAGCTGAGCCCTGGATAAGGAGAGGTGTTGCTTCTTTGAGGGTCTGCGGGTCAGAGAGAGAACACTTAGTGAAAGGCCCCAAGCAGGAGGCAGCTCTGCCTGCTGGGATATGTGTGAAAGAGACAGAGAGGAGATGACCTCAAGAGCAGACGTGAAACCAAGCCCAGACTTGAGACTGAGGCTGGAAGGAGCAGAAAGCCATGGGAGGGTTTTAAATGGGAGCACAACTGGATTTACTCTGGTGAGACTAGAACAAATTTTGGCTCTGAAACAGTGGGATGAAGCCCTGCTTTAATTCTTTTGTTTTTTGATTTCTTAAACTTGGTGAGAAAATATCATTAATTCCCAGTTCTGAACTGAAAAGCCACTGGGGTGAAATGGCATCATTTCTACCATGAGGGAGACCTGTGGTGTCCTGAATTCACAAATCTATTTACTAACCTGGCCCGTCACTTTTAATTACTCACTTTTTTTTTTTTAAGAGAATCAAGACTTTCCAACCTATAAAGAAAATTAAATGATGATTACTCAGGAAGCCTAAGAAAGACTGACAGTGTCCCTTGAAGGAGAAAACAGAAGGAACAAAAATGCACGAGGGCTTCTTCTTTCATCTTCAAGTCCAGATAGAATTACAAGTTGGGTGATCTAGCCAATGTCTAAGCAGCGCTCAGGTGATTAAAATTTCAGGATGGCGAGACTGAAAGTCAATAAAATGTAAGGACAACTTATTGGAGTCAGCTTGAGAGGGAACTGCACACTCATCACTGTCACCTGCTTAGTGGGCGTTTGTCGGGATCCCTCTGCTGCGTCCAAGGATAGGAGGGAGGGTTGAGGGGACTGAGCCCAATGTGGCTTTCATTTTACAGTGGAATTTCAGTTGTAGTCTTTTACACAATTTGAACTGTTTTCCTCTTGATAATCTGTCATATTTCAGCTCATCCTCTGAACATCTAATATCTTTTCTTCCTTTTCCTCAAGGTGGACCAGGACTACAAATTAAGAAATTCTTGAAATTGTGAGACAGTGACCCATGGTGGCAACAATGCTCTTCTTGACTCTAGAAAAGGGTCTTGTAACTAGAAAAAACACTGTCTCATCATCACTTAAAACCCTGTGCTTGGGCTGGGTGCAGTAGCTCATACCTGTAATCCCAGCTGTTTGGGAGGCTGAGGTAGGAGGATCGCTTGAGGCCAGGAGTCTGAGAAGAGCCTGGGAAACATAGTGAGACCTGTCTCTACAAAAAATTAAAAATATTAGCCAGGTATGGTGGCACACACCTGTGGTCCCAGCTATTTGGGAGGTTGAGGTGAGAGAATTGTTTGAACCTGGGTGGTAGAGGCTCCAGTGAGCCATGATCATGCCACTGCACTCCAGCATGGGCAATAGAGTGAGACCCTATCTCAAAAAAGCAAAGAACAAAAAACCTCTGTACTTGAAGGACACAGCATTTGCTTAGGAACCAAATCTGGGCATAGGATAGTGAGAGGGTTAGAAGCAAGCCTTTATCTGGATAGGACAGAAATTTGCAGTCATCATTTCAGAGACCAGGAATGTGAACTTCTGCTAGAGAATTTCTTCCACAGACAATAAGAGACATTGGCATCGATACAAAGAACAGAAATAACCACTGCCATTTTTAAAGTGGGTGGGAGAGCCAGCTGCCCTTTAAATAATCAAAATGTCTTAAGAACTTAACTGTTTTTCAAAACATCTTGGATCTGCTAAAACCTGAAACACATTGAACCGAACATTTTTCCATTTAATTATTAAGCCCTTGTATGTGCGGAGGGATTTGGCAGGCAGATGTTTCTGATTCATTTATATTAACTTATCGAAATGATACTTGGAAGAGCTGTATGATGTTCGAGAAGGAGTGTTATAAACTTCAGTTTACTCGTTTTCATCCAGGCATTTCCCCTCACCCCAACACACGTACAGGATTCAGAACTTGGGAGGGTTGATTCAGTCTCTTCTAACCTGGCAGCATGTCCTCACCCATCCCTACCTCCCTTCAAAAAACATTTTCTGAAGCATTAAAAGGCACTGCCAAAAATGTAAGAAAATTATTCAGGCATAAATAAAGTTTTTTCTGTGATAATCTTTTATGTACCAAGATTTTAAAAGCAAATAGGTAAATCATACAAACACAAAACTGAAGTCTGACAAATTTGTCACCAAAGTCAAGGTGGTTTTATACAAGGGCTTTCCCACTTCCCTCTTTATTTGGGCTAAATGGCCACACAATTTTTAGCTTGGAATTTTCTTTCAGGACAGTCATGTTAGTGGGTGCATGTGTACGTGGAGAAGGAGGCTGAAGCAAAATGGTATCTTCATGCTACTCCTCCCATTTCTTTCATTTTTTAAAAATAGAGACAGGGTCTCACTCTGTAGTCCAGACTGGGCTCAATTCTCAAGAGACCCTTCTGTGGCACCATGATCAACTATTTTTTTTATATTTTGTAGAGACAGGGCCTTACTATGTTCTTGAACTCCTGGCCTCAAGCAATCCTCCTGCCTCCCAAAATGCTGAGATTATAGGCTACTGTGCTCAGCCGCTTCCCCATTTCTTGAATCCAGCCCTTTGCTTTTCAGAGCTCTAAAGGAATCCAAGATGGTAAAGACAGTGCTTGGGAAGGATTTTCCTTTCTTGATCCTTCCCAGTCCCTGGGGTGACTGTGGATATGTGGTAGTGGATATCCGTGATCAGTCAGGGATGGAATAGACTAAGTGGGGACAGAATGGAAGAGGGAGGACATTTTGCCAAAAGAGTCTTGCTGTCTCCACGCTCCTCCTAAAGTCTTGCCTAGAGCAGAAATTCTTGAGAAGTTCCATCAATTTCCGTCACATTTTCACACTGTAGTTCCCCAATGGGAGGCTGTCGCTGAGGAAGTTTAAAGCCATTCGTCACAAAAATAAACTCAGGAAAAGCTTTGAAGTTGGGTGCATACACATGAAAGAACATTAAGAAGAAAACCATGCTGGGTGGGAACAATGGTCCTTCCCACCCAGACTACCTCCTCCGACCCTGCTTGCTTTGTGCTCTGAGAATTTTTGTTTGTTTGTTTTTCTGATTATCTGATTATCAATTTTTTTTCTGATTAACACATTTTACTTGAGAACATCATGGAAGTTCCAAAACTATATAAAAATAAAATCAAAACTGCCATTGTCCCACCCCTCAGACAATCCTCTGGAACATTCCTCGTGGTCCCTTTACTATGCATAATCGTGAGTGCAGGTGGTGCTATGTATCTTAACGAAATTGTGATTGCGATTAAGATCGAAAATCTTAAATTTTAAAGCATTATTACATTGTGAGCATTTCTCTAGGTCCCTAAATATTATTTCAGACCATTCTTTTGGCTGAGCTTAGCTTTTTACCTGTCTAGATCCAGTTTTGCTGCGTTTCACTTCCTCATCCACCCATTCTCACAGCAGATCCAACAGCTGACCCCTACAGCAAACAAGCCCACCAGATGACCAGTGTTGACGTGAGCATGAGTCTTGTCACCCAAGGGTCTTCTAACTCCCTGCTTACTCCCTGCTCACTTTTGCTCTAACATGAGTCTTGTCACCCAAGAGCGTTTCTAGCTCCCTACTCACTTCTGCTGGGGTGCATGGAGACCCCATTCCCATGGACCTCTTTCTACCCTGCTCATTCCTTAACCTGACCAAATAAGCATATGTGTTGACCATGTTCCCCGCCACCATCTGCTTGAGTTTCTTGGCCTTACGATGTTTGCTTGTGTTATTCTCCTGAGGACCCAAGATCTCTCTGCCATGTTTTGCAAAAGCTTCAAGCATACGCTTTAAGGCCTCTCAAGGACCACAGCTCAGAGATACACTGCTGAAGAAATAAAGAACGACCTGGGGACAGGCATGACTCATGACGGTCGCTGTGCTGAGGCAGAGGGACAGTCCCCTAACCCATTTCACACAGGTAAAGCCAAGTTCTCTATACTTTGGAAGTCACAGGGGTTTGTACACAAGCTGGAGACTTCCTTTGTTGGCTCCAGCCAGCTGTGGTTGAGATAAACGAATATGAACAGAACCTAAGAGCAGGTCCCCAACCCCTGGGCCATGGACTGGTTCCATTAGGAACCAGCAGGAGATGAGTGGAGGGTGAGTGAACATTACCACTTGTGCTCCACCTCCTGTCAGATCAGTGGCCCCGTTAGATTCTCATAGGAGCACAAACCCTATTGTGAACTGCACATGCGAGGGATCTAGGCTGTGCACTTCTTATGAGAATCTAATGCCTGATGATCTGTCACTGTCTCCCATCACCCTTAGATGGGACCATCTAGTTGCAGGAAAACAAGCTTAGGGCTCCCACTGATTCTACATTATGGTGAGTTGTATAATTATTTCATTATATTAATATATTACAATGTAATAATAATAGAAATAAAGTGCACAATAAAGGCAACGTGCTTGAATCATCCTAAAACCATCCCCCCACCTGCCCAGTCCGTGGGAAAATCGTCTTCCATGAAACTGGTCTCTGATGCCAAAAAGGCTGGGGACTGCTGCCTAAGAGGCTCTGGGTGTCATCACCAGCCTTGGGACCAATGCCGGACATGCTAGGTAACTCTGGGGAAGTCTGAACTTATAACTTCACCTTGCAGTGGGGACAACACCAGCTTCTTTACTAAGGCATTTGGAAGGGGAAATGGAGTCACTTATGTAAATCACATGCTACCCCATCAGGCACACAGCATGTGTTCAATAAATGGTCATTGTATTTGCATTTCTATTAACAATGTAAATCACAAGACAATGTCAAAAGAAAGTCCAGTTGGAGTAGAACACAGAGGAGAGAAAGACGGTAAAAAGATTCGAAAAACAGCCGAATGTGGTGGCTCATGCCTATAATCCCAGCACTTTGGAAGGCAGGAGGAGTGTTTGAGCCTGGGGGTTCAAGGCTGCAGTGAGCTATTATCATGCCACTGCACTTCAGCCTGGGCAACAGAGTGAGATCCCATTGCTTAATTAATTTAAAGAGATTTTTTAAAAAGGCATCATGAAGGGAGAGGAAAGGAATTCACCCTGGAAGGAAGACTCAGATTTTAACAGAGAAGGGAAAGAGGGACATTCCAGCAGAAAGGAACAGCAAGAGGAGAGGCATGGAAGCTGTGAGGCACCGTGTTCCTGAAACAGTACCTGGTCCACGACAGAGCAGCCAGGGTGTGAGGGATTTGTAAAGGGAGTCGTAGGCAGCAGAGCTAGAAGTGGAGGCCAAAGCCAGAGAGGAGAGCCCTGGAGGTCGTAATAAGGAGGCTGGGTTTAGAACTTGGGTAATAGGGAGCCTTTGAAAGTGCTGGAGCCAAGAGGTGCCATGATCAGAGATGTGCTGCTGTAAACGGTCACCAGTGGATTCACATTCTTGTCTTTTCTAAGTAATTTTGCATTGTTTTTCAGATTCAAATGTATCTTAAGGAGAAGTCACAGACATATTGCCATGAAGCTCAACCGCTTATGTCGTGTTCTCAGGGGTTTTATACACAACCCAGCCTCTGCCATCCACAGCCCAGCAGCCCCACTGGAGCCTCCCTGCGCTCCCACCTCACATCTGAAATAACAGCTGGGTACTCAGGGAGTCTCATGGGCCATCCTGGAAGATGAATAAAAATTGGTTTCTGTGTTTGGCCTTGGCGCTGCCATGTGGGATCTGATGATACAGTTATTTAGCAAGAAACCACAGGAACAAAAACAACGTGATAAAACCCAGAGAAAGTGAGTCCTTCTTCTGTGGATGGCAACTGAATGCCACAGGCTGTGCAATGCCCACCCCGAGCAAACCCGGAGGCCCTGGGTTTTGACTGAGCCCCGTCACCGAGGGCCGCGCGCTTCAGATTCCTGCTCTGAAAACAGGGACTGTGGTTCCTATGCCCAAGGAAACAGAGCTTGTCAAAAATATTAAAGTGTGGGAAATGTGGTTCTCATTTCTTTTCACAAGAATGCAGTTTCCAGAAAGTGCTGTGTGACCAGAACCAATGACCCTGGTGCATCAGCGATGGTCAGAGGAACATAGTTTTGCAGTCTTGATAAAGAAGGGAACCAAAGTTGAACAACCTGCAGTATCTCAGTTTTACAAGGAGGATGGTGAATCAGGAAGAGCATGGAGTTGAAGGCCAGAAAGGAGAAAAGAAATGTACAAAGTCCTCACAGCCCTCATTTCAGAATGGTAGATAGAGGTTCATGTTCCGGGAGCCTCTGCCCACTGCCCATCTCTGTCTCTCTCTCTCTCAATCTCTCTGAGACACACACACACACACACCCATGCACGCACACACACATGCATGCATACACACCACTCCCCTCATGCTTTCTATGCTATAATGGGACTCTGCCATACTAAACCAATTCATTGTCTGAAATGGAGGCTGCTTTGGTTAAAATAATGACTTCAGCATCCTGTGTCCTTCCTTGTTCTTTAAAATGTGGCTTCCATGCTAGATGTGGTGGCTCATGCCTATAATCTCAGCACTTTGGGAGGCCGAGGCAGGCAGATCATTTGAGCTCAGGAGTTTGAGACCAGCCTGGCCAAAATGGTAAAACCCTGTTGTCCCTACAAAAAATATAAAAATTAGCCAGGTGTGGTGGCATGTGCCTGTAGTCTTAGCTACTTGGGAGGTTGGGGTGGGAGGATCACTTAAGCCTGGGATGCGTAGGCTGCAGTGAGCCAAGATCGTGCCACTGCACTCCAGCCTAGGAGTCATAGTGAGACCCTGTCTCAAAAAAAAAAAAAAAAAAAAAAGAAAGAAAGAAAGAAAGAAAAAAAAGTGTGTCTTTTTTAGACAAGCAGCAGCACTCCTTGAGAGAAATTCAGAATTTCAGGCCCTACCCAAGACTGGCTGAATCAGTGGGAATTTTAACCAGGTTCCAGAGTGATTCTCTTGCCCATTAAAGTTTGAGAAGCACTAACCTACATCTACTGAGAAAACAAAATATCTGGATGTATTGAGATTTTGCTATTCTATCTGGGCCTACTTAATATGTACACATGTATAGGGAAACCACTTTAAAAGTACGAAAGCCCTCAGTGAGGAAGAGGCAAACTAGAGAGACAAAGTCAATTAGTGCTTGCGCTGGGCTGGGGGTGAGGTGAGGAAAACGGGAATGCTTGCTAATGAGCATGGGTTTCTTTTTGGGGTGATGAAAATGTTCTAAAATTGATTGTGGTGATGGTCACAATATACTAAATTGAGAATATACTAGGAACAACATAGGTAAATTGCATGGCATGTGAACTGTATTTCAATAAAGCTTGAAAAAATTTAAAAGCACTCGGAAGCCTCGGAAATAGCAAACTGAAAACTTCTGACTGTAAAAGAGACCACCTGTAGAGCCAGATCTTAAGGATGCATTAAAGGCCATCTCATCTTTTCATAACTTCATACATAATAAATATCAGTAACTTATTTTTGCTCTAAAACAATATAGGACATTTTAGCCCTCTAATAAGTAACTGCTCTGCTGTCCTGGCTTGGTGAAATGTTATCACGGGAATGTTAAGGAGCAGAGTTTCTTTCAACAGAGGCACTGGGCCAGGCACGGTGGCTCACACCTGTAATCCCAACACTTTGGGAGGATGTGGCAGGAGGATCACTTGAACCAAGAAGTTTGAGACCAGCCTGGCCAACGCAGTGACTCTCCATCTCTACAAAAAATTAAAAAAAAAAAAATAGCTAGGCATGGTGGCACTTGCCTGTAGTTCCAGCTAATTGGGAGGCTGAGGTGGGAGGATCACTTAAGTGGGAGGTTGAGGCCGTAGTGAGCCATGATCTCTCCACTGCACTTCGGGCTGAGTCACACAGCAAGACCCCATCACAAACAAAAACAAAAACAAAACAAAAAACACAAAGAGACACTTAATGGTCATCGGCTCCTAGAACCAGGTAACTGGGGTTCGTATCCTGGACTTTCTGATTTAGGCCCCCTGCTCTGACCCTGCTCCAGCCATGTCCTTCCCTATGAAGCGAGAGAAGATGCTCAATTCTCTAGATCATTCATTGGCAATCCCAGCATTTCCTACCCAAATGCCTGAGCCTGCATCCCAGGCCTGCACAGGTCTCTGCCCCAGGTCTACCCTCCCTGGGGTGGAGGACAGCACAGACATGCACTACCCTAGACTGGAGGCCTGGTTGAGGATGGCTGTTCATGCGGGAACATAGACCCAGACAGAGCCCTTCTGTAGTCCTAGACAGTAGACAGGCTGCCTCCCTTACTTTCCTACTTTTTAGTGTAAATCTCTAGGCCGAGAATTCTAAATTTGAACCCAACTTTCCAGGTCACATGAAGACACAGATGTGAAGATAAGAGGCCAAAACATTATATTTAATGGTTTCTTAGTTTAACAAATAATGTTTAAATATATTGACCTATGGAATCTCAGTCTACATTTGTGTTTACCTTAAAAGCTCGCAATTTTAGAGGTCGCCTGATTGCTTTTTTCCTTCTACATCTGTCAGGTAATAAGAGAGTATTTCTGGTCTTCTATGGAACATGCCATATTTTATAGGCAAATATTAATGCATAGGCCTTACACATTAAAGGTCATCTCATCTTTTCATAACATCGTACATAATAAATATCAAGAATTTATTCTGGCTCCAAAATAATACAGGAAGTTTTAAGACAAGAAACATCTTAAACTTGTTTACCTTCATGTATGCCTCATATTTGCAAAACATGGTAGTTAAAAAAAAAACAGGAAATGAACAATTAAAAAAACCACTGAATATTTTATAATATTAATAAAGCTTAAGGCTCCTCCTGGGCTACTTTTCTACTTATGAAGGATGGAAAAGCAAATCCTCTAGACAAAAATGCAAGGCTCTGAAGATTTTTTTTTCTTTTTTCTTTTTAAATAATAGAAACAGCTTAAATGGAACTTGGGGAGGGTAGGGCTTAATGAGTTTAACCATGAGAGTTTAGAGTCTTTCATGGCGCTTTGAAGCTTCTTAAATAGTTCAGGGACATAATCCTAGAAAGGGTGATTTTGTTACTATTGTCACATGCAACCCACAAGTGGAGCAGGAGAGATAACCTTACTTTATTGCCCTCTTAAAATATTCTGCTTTGGGAATTATTTTTATTCGCTGTGAGTTGTGAAGCTGGGGCTGAGGTCATCACTTGCCTTTGCCTTCCATGAGCATACAGATGTCACCCATGTGTTGACAACCAGGTTAACTCCCACTCAGATCCTATTCTACCCCAGAAGATGCTTAGAATCTGTCATCCATCCTTTATGCCTCTTGTCATCTAGATTCCTTGTGGGAACTCTCCAGCTTTTTCTTTGTACTGAGGATTAGGTATAAATACAATAAATATGCTTCAACATTTCAATCATTTTAGACACCGGGGAGGTAGGAGAGACGGGGAAAATGATCTCAGATAAGACTATGAATTTGTAAGCTGCCATAGAGCTGTGCTGTTCAATATGGTATCCATATGTGGCTATTTAAATTTAACAAAATAAAAGATCCAGTTCCCAATAGTACCAGTTGCATTTCAAGTGCTCAACAGCCACGTGAGGCTAGTGGCTCCCAATATGGACGGTGCAATACAGAACATGTCCATCATCACACAAAATTTACATTAGATGTGTGGAATGGGAGAGTCTGAGTGTTTTCTCCATCATCCCAGCCAAGTTTTCTTTTATTTACTCCAGGATCAGTACTATGATTTCCTATACCATCACATTTTTTGCAAATTAAAGCAATTTATTCTTAAATTCTAAAAGCAGATAATAGTGATGGTTGCACAGCTTTGTGAATATACTAAAAACCTCTGAGTTGTACATTTATTTATTTATTTTAGAGACAGGGTCTTGCTCTATTGCCCAGACTGGAGTGTAGTGGCACAGTCATAGCTCACCATAGCCTCAAACTCCTGGGCTCAAGCAATCCTCCCACCTTAGCCTCCCAAGTTGCTGCGACTATAGACACATGTCACCACACCCGGGGAATATTTTTTAATTTTTAAAAACTTTTGTAGAAACAGGGTCTCACTCTGTTGCCCAGGCTGGAGCACAGTGGTTCAATCATAGCTCACTGAAGCATCAAACTCCTGGGCTCCCAAAGCATTGGGATTACAGGCATGAACCACTGCACCTAGCCGAGTTTTACATTTTAGAAGAGTAAACTTCATTGTATGTGAGTTATATCCCAAGTTAAGAAAATAAAGCCTAATTAGTCAAATATCAAGTAATAATTTTATAACCACCTTGTCAGGTATTGTACAGAGCAGCCCAAATGGTCTTATTCAAATGAAAATCAAGAATCAATTCATTTCTGAAAACAATCTCCATCCTCCAATGGCTCCCAATCACACTCAGAATAAAGTCCCAAAGCACAGCCATGGTCAAGGACTGAGATCTGACCTCTGCTCCTCTCTCCTACCTCCCTGCCTCTCCTTTTTTATGTTCCAGCCACTCTGGCCGTTGCTTACTGCCTCTTACTCGAGCATGTCTTGCACATTCCAGCCTCCTGAGCTTTGTCCTAAGCACACTCTCCTCCTGGTTGGCTCCTTCGCATCTCTGAGATTCCATCTCCCCTACACATCTCCGTTCAGAGATGCCTTCTCAAGCCCTCACCTCCCTGGCTCCACATCATAACCCTGTTCTATCTTCTTCATAGCTTGTAGCCCATCTGAAATTCTCTTAAACTTTTTTTTTTTTTAAAGAGATTGGAGTGGTGGGGGGTCTCACTATGTTGTCCAGGCTGGTCTTGAACTCTTGGGGTCAAGCAATCCTCCCGCCTTGGCCTCCCAAGTAGCTGGGATTACAGATGTATGCCACCATGACCAGCCTAATTCTCTTACTCTTGTACCTGTTAGTTTTTTTCATCTAAACTAGACTTCAAGCTCCTTGAAGGCAAGGACGCTGGGCACCTTGTTCCTGCAGAATTCCTGGCATCAACACAATGGCTGTTGTTCTGCCCACCACGCAGTAAGCATTCAACAAATGCTTGTTGTCTGAAGAGACAGAGAAATAAAAGTGGAGCATGCCATTAGCACACATTCTGGTTAGAAAGTAGCCATCTACGGGTTCTTAATGACACCCAAGGAGCTTTGAAAAATACACATACCTGGACTCTACTCCAGGAGCCTGATTTACTAGATCTGGAGTGAGGTTCAAATTGGCCTGTTTTTTTTTTTTTTTTTAACAGCTCCACTGTTTGGTCCAATTGCCTCATTTTCACAGAAGGGAATGAGGCTCACACTTGCCTGAGTTTTCAGCTAATCAAGCAGAAGCCTGCTTGTCAAGTCTAAGAAGCTCAGCTATCCAGGAACAAGTCTATGTGTGTTTCTGGTCCTCCATTACACTGTACCTGTGAAATCACTGTGGTTCACATTAAAGAAAATCTACTTTGACCCATAGGTCTGAAAGGGACTTTCATAACAGACCACTTCAGAATTTATCACAAGATAGAGTCAAGTTATTTATCTCTGAACTCACTCCTTCCTCATCCAAGCTCTCCTATTATAGTATTGAGGTTTTCACCTTGGCAGAGAGTTGTAAGCACATTTCACCTTGCATGCTTTTCTCCAAGTCAAATCCAGACAGCAGATATAAAACACTGAACATCAGCAATGGGAACAGCATCTCTCAAGAGCCACCTGAGTCATATTTCCCGTTATCTTTTTGAGAAAGATAAACACCAGCAGGCTCTCCTCTCTTTATCTTCAGATGCTTGCAGGTTAGAGAGAAAATTTTCTGTTTGTATTGGCAAAAAAAATCATGAAGTAAAAATGCTTAAATTTTTGAAGGATTCAAAAGGACCTCCTTGCTAGAGAGGAAAATTAAATGGTAATTGTTAACAAAAGTAAAAGATTACAAAATGCATCTACACTTTTGGAAATAAACCAAATGTTCTCTAGCACGCTTATCAAAAGAGGCAGGTCAGTACTATTGTTAAAAACTTGGGTTTCAATCCTTGCTTTACTATTCACTAGCTGTGTGGCCCTGGACAAGTGAGTTAATCTCACTGTGCCTCCGTTTCCTCAACTATATAACATAAAATACAGTTGACCCTTGAACAATGCACGGGTTAGGGGTGCTGACCCCTGTGCAGTCAAAAATTTGCATATAACATTTGGTTCCCTAAAAGCTTGACTACTAATAGCCTACTGTTAACTGGAAGCCTTACTTATAACATAAACAGTCAATCAACATATATTTTATATGTTCTATGCATTATATACTGTATTCTTATAATAAAGTAATCTAGAGAAAAGAAAATGTTATTAAGCAAATCATAAGGAAAATATATTTAATATTGATTAAGTGAAAGTAGATCATCACATTTTTTTTTTCCTTGTCTTCATGTTGAGTAGGCTGAGGAGAAGGAGGAAAAGGAGGGGTTGGTTTTGCTGTCTTAGGGGTGGCAGAGGTGGAAGAAAATCTGTCATTGACATTTTGCTGGGCTGAGCTGGTTGCCTCCTGTTGTTGTGGAGGTGGCTCACTTCATCCCAACTTCTTGATACTTTCACTTCTGGAGGTCATATTTCTCTAAGATCTTCCAGAAAAGTCTTAACGCTGCCTTAGCCTTTTTTCCAGTCCAGCTCTTAAATTTTTTACTTCTCTTCCCCAGTAATAACATGAGTGTGAATCCAGCTTGTCCCCAAACCTGCCTGGCTTCAAAGCATCTGATTGTAAAGAATCTTCACCTATGCCTGTCATTTGTGGGCCTGAAGAAACTATCCATCCTTGCAAATGTCTCCTGCTGAGATGCCTCACACTGCGACTGTCTCTCCTCTTCCTTCCTCCATGGATCTGAGGATAGTCCTGATTCTCCTACCAGTCCCAAAGGCAAACAACCCACTGCTGCAGAGAATAGCGCCACAAAAGAAGGAAGACAAGGTCCCAGTCAAGAAACAGAAGACCAGAACTGTGTTCTCTTCCACCCAGCTGTGTGTACTCAATGATAGATTTCAGAGACAGAAATACCTCAGCCTTCAACAGATGCAAGAACTTTCCAATATCCTGAACCTTAGCTACAAACAGGTGAAGACCTGGTTCCAGAACCAGAGAATGAAATCTAAGAGGTGGCAGAAAAACAACTGGCCGCAGAATAGCAATGGTGTGACTCAGGCCTCAGCACCTACCTACCCCAGCCTCTACTCTTCTTACCACCAGGAATGCCTGGTGAACACGACTGGAAACCTTCCAATGTGGAGCAACCAGACCTGGAGCAATTCAAGCTGCAGCAACCACAGCCTGAACATCCAGTCCTGGAGCAACTACTCCTGGAACACTCAGACCTGGTGCACCCAGTTCTGGAACAATCAGGCCTGGAACAGTCCCTTCTATAACTGTGGAGAGGAATCTCTACAGTCCTGCATGTAGTTCCAGCCAAATTCTCCTGCCAGTTTGCCTTGGAAACTGCTGGGGAAAGCCATAACGTAATAAAGCAGACAACTAGGTATTTTAGTACTCCACAAACCATGGATTTATTCCTAAACTACTCCATGAACATACAACTTGAAGATCTGTGAAGGAGAGTGAAATTGATATTACTCAATTTGACTCTGGGCACTGGCTGAATCCTTCCTCTCCCCTCCTCCCCTCCCTCATAGGATTTTTCTTTTTTGGAAACCACATGTTCTGGTTTCCATTATGCCTATCCAGTCAATATGATGGAGGGTGGGGTATGGTTGAAGCCTAATCAGAGAGGTTTCTTTCTTTTTTCCTATTGGATCTTCCTGGAGAAAAGACATTTTAATAACCTTGGCTGCTAAGGACAACATGATAGAAGCTGTCTCTGGCTATAGATAAGTAGATCTAATACAGTTTGGATATCTTTAGGGTTTAGAATCTAACCTCAAGAATAAGAAATAAAAGTACAAATTGATGTGAAAAAAAAAGAAAATCTATTATTAGTGATCCCAAACAGTTCAAATCCATGTTGCTCAAGAGTCAACTGTACTTACTTTACAGAGCTGTGAAAATTAAATGCATCGATGCATGAGAAGCATTTAGACAGTGCCTGACATACAGAAAGTGCTGAGTAAATAAAAGTTCTTGTTGATAATAATAATGATGATTACTCCACCCATCAGCATTAAACAACTGCTAGGCCATGAGTTTCCATGTATCTCTGCTACCATGCTCAGCAAACATGAAAAAATATTTTTGAATTTATAGATCTTTTCCCTTCTCTTCCTTCCTTTGATTAAGAGTTTGATATTTATCTTCCTTTACTTTTAGTCCCCTTGCATTGCCATCAATCTATAAACCGAGGCACAAAGCTGCGGGGAGCCTGTGGTCAGTGGGAAAGTCTAGCAAGTGGCAGATAAAAGCAAGGCTAGCTGGAGATGGCTGTGCCTCACGACACAGCCCAGGGCTCAGCACATCAGCCCTTCAGACATCTGCTCTGCAGTTTCTCAGTCAGCCACACAGAGCGTGTAGGGTTTAGGTGCCTTGGGCACATCAAAATAATTCTGTACACACTTATGAGACCAGACAAAGAGGCAACTGGAGTGTCTCATGTGTGGTCACATACTTTCTAAATGATTAATATGACTTTCAAAGTATTCGCCATCAATGGGGTGAGAAGTTGATTACATCCACCTGCCCTTTTTTAGGTCACATGAAGAAACTAAGCTAATCATTTTACAGAGCACTTTTTTCCCTTTAAAATATCCCTCCAGATGATTGATTTCATAGGAACTTTGAAAATTGTTTCTGGAAAGTTTGGTTTTAGTGGGGAGTTTTGTTTGGTTAAATCTCTGATTGCAGTTTTTTTTTTTTTTTTCTCTTTTTGTATGGTTTTTATTCATTTGCTACTTTTCATTAAAAGCAAAGAAATGGGGGAAGGGAATGTTGGAATTCCAGTTAATTAAGACAATAAAAATGCATTATACATTTGGTCAAAATACATTTTCTATATTATGAAGGAAATTCACAAAGAGGTTGTTGTTTATAAATCAATATGAAGTAAACATTAAATAGTTAAAAAAAAGATGCAGAAAATAAAAAGAAACCCATTACCCTATTCATCCAGAGAGCTCTTGGAACTAAAGAAATGCTTTCATCAGAGTTCGAGTTCTAGGATGCATGGGAAAGCCAGTGAGAAAAGTGAGGCTCTCTTCCTGTCTTTCTCTCAAACATGGCAAAGGTTTGGTACCAACCCCCTTTTCAAACCCCAGGATTTGGTCTGGGAGTGGGAGGGAAGATGTGGCATCCGAGGTAGAACCTCCCCTCCAGGTTCCCATTAGGTCGTCTGCCAGCTGTGTCTCTCTCAATGCACGTTTTTGTTTAACAGAATGCACCATCAGTAAGCAATTCGATTCACACCTGAATCACTGAAGTTGCGGATCCTGGATGAAACCCATCTTACTGCTTTTGGAGGTGGAGTCTGTCCACCTACCTGAGGGTAACAATTGTTTCATCCTCAGCTATGTCCAGTTGATTTCTGCAATGATATCCATAGAAACTAAAAATATCTGTAGAAAATGATAGCCTATAACTAATTGATGGAAGGAAAGATAAAAGAAGAGAAAGATGATTATTTGGAAAATTTCCACAAATGGCTATGCTGCTGCTAAAAGGAGCTTCAACAATGTTAATATTAAAGCCATTAGTCCCAGGAAGGGCAGACTCTTTAAGCTGCTTGGTGCAAATGAGAAGATGGATGTTACTCAGGCAATGGCTGATGTCACCTCCATCTGCCAGGCATGGTCTGCTAGTAAATAACGTGGGGTGCTGGAACAGTTAGTGAGTGCTTTCTTCGTCTCAGAGGAGGCAGAAATGTTTGATGCTGCAGGACAGAACACAGTCTATATTTCATATTCTAGTTTCTCTTAAGTGGATGATTCCTTTTAGATTGAAGCACATGAAATTGACAATATTTGATTATTGTTGATACACAAAAATGTCAATTTCTTATGGTTCAGCTCATAAATATAAATATAGAGGTTTTCCATTTTAAAAGACAAATTCTGCCACCTCAAACCCGTGTCTGAACTTGGAGAGATGCTCATTCCCATACTTGCTAGCAGGGCCAATGGACCAAGGTGACCTCACAGATCAGAAGTCACAAACAAGCACCCTGCACATGGAATTATGACCCACAGATCTACATTCCCCTTGGTACACACATAACTGGCTTTTAGAAAATTAGTTGCCAGAATTTTAAAACTCCCCAGATTTCATACTGCTCTTGAAAATCAGCTTGGCAGCAGTGTGCATTCCCACAGTCCTTGTGATAAGAATTGGCTAACATGGTGAAACCCCATCTCTACTAGAAATACAAAAAATTAGCAGGGCGTGGTGGCAGGTGCCTATAGTCCCAGCTACTTGGGAGGCTGAGGCAGGAGAATCACTTGAACTTGGGAGGCAGAGGTTGCAGTGAGTTGAGATCGCACCACTGCACTCCAGCCTGGGTGACAGAGCGAGACTCCGTCTCAAAAAAAAAAAAAAAAATTGGCTGACCTGAGTAAAGGCTGCATCCTTAGGATGGGGCACGTGTTCTCCAAGTTCTTCAAAGTTGTAAACCTGACCATTTTTGTTTTTCACCTGGCCCAGGTGGGCTTTTCAGTCCTAGGTTAACTAAATGAATTTGTGTTTGTGTGTCCTCACCCAAAATGCCAAAGCCTGCAATCAAAATGTCAAAAAGTGGATGATGTTCTGACCAGTTAACTGTGAGCTCTTTTCCCTTCTCCAAATAGCAGCCCCACCCTCAATGTCTTAGAGAAGGTTCATTTGGTTTCAACGACCAGATGGGTAGAAAGGGAGAGAGACAAGACAGAACGCACAGTGGGAAGGCAGCATCTGTAGTCATCTCGCAAACAAGAACATGTTTTCGGAATCTCCACAGACGGAAATTCTACACCCTCTCTCTGTAATCCAGTCCTAATGTTGAGCAACCTTCACGGTCAGGAAATTCCACCATAAATAACCCAAATCCTTCATGCAGCTTAAACCCATTTCCTCTTACTCGCTGCTCACTGGAGATGGGGAACAGCTGGTCACTGTTCTCTGTACCAAGTCCTTTGTCAACTGGATGACTGGATTCTGGCTCTGGACTGCTGTCATAATTAGGAGCCTGACTGGTTCCATATTGTGCTGTCTGCAAAAGCATGTAACACGGGAAGATAAAATTTTGAGCATGCTGTGCTTCAGAAATATGCCATCAGGGGAACACAGTGCCTTATCATGTCACCAGGCTGTTCACAATTTATAAACTTGTGAATTTGAGACTTCTGCATGGAAAAGCATGTCTTTCTGAGGCTAGCTCTGCAATGTGAGCATAACAAAAAATAATGCAGAGTTTCTAAATGCTACCAACAAAAACAACACAGCGCTTATTAAGCATTTCCTGTGCTCCCATTATCTGTCTTATCTCACATGTTCTCCACTACAACACAGTAGAAACTCTGCAGGTGGGTAAACTCAGTCCCATAGAGGCTAACTTGCCCATGTTTATGCACCAACAAGTGGGAGAGTAAGTGTGCAAACCCAATCAGTTGGACTCCAGAGCCTGTGCTCTTTTCAACCATCCCTCCAGCTTGCACACAAAGCAGGTGCTGGTATGTCCCACATGGCTCATGGCATGGTGGGGTACAGTCCTTTTGTTTGAACAACCACACTTGGCCAGCAGAGACCAAGAAGTCATGGTAAAAATCATGCATTGAGTGTTCCTGATGTAGAGCAAAGATAAAACTCCAAAGAGCTTTATGGTACAGAGCTTGAATTCTTCTCACCGAGTCCCATGAGAGACTCCAGCTCTCCACTTAGATGCAGACACTAAATGTTTCCCCAATTCCCAGCTGCATGACGTATTCCCAAGCATGTGCTTCGGAGTCCAACCTAGATCATAAGCAAGGTTCTGCCGAATACTACCTGGTCACTTGGGATTCTAGCTGGCCTGCCTCAGCATCCTTGGCAATAAAATGGTGACAAGAGAAATTGCTTCGTGGTGTTGGAGATACACCTCTCTTGCTCTCTCTATCCCCTTGTTTAGCTATGAGTTTTCTTGCTGTGCTTATTTCTACCTGACATTATTTGTTATGTGCCCCTCTGGTTATTTTTTTTTTACCTCCTTCACTAACCCGTGAGCTCAGCATTGAAGAGGCTTTGCCTGTTTTACTCACCACTGTATTCCCAGTGCCTAGCTCAGTGGCTGGCATATAGTAAACATTCAATAAATGTTTGTAGAATGACTAGGTTCTCAGGAGGAAAATTACATGAATTAAATGAAACCATCTATGTAAAATGCAGTAAAGCATAGTTCTTCTCACTTCTCATAGGGTTTTCTCCTTCAAATGGAACAATCTGTTATTTAACTTGTGTCTGATTAGTCAACCTCTGTTCCCTCTATGGTTCTGCAACAATCACTCTAATTTTCTCTTTTATTATGGATCCTCGGCCCAGATATCAGGGGTTCTTTACTGCCCCAACAAAACCTCGTGAATGCCCAGGAACTCAATTTCTCAAAGCATAACACACAGACACTGTTAATTGCTTACCGGACACTACCCACTTTCTTGTGGCTTGTTAGCAGAACTCAAACTCAGGCCAAACCTCAGGCAATAGTGCAAGTCAGTCTGGCAATTCAACTTCCTTCTTTCCCAACCTCATTTGCAATTAGGGGTGGCCATGACACTCAGTCCTGTCAGTGAGAAGTAGGGAGGTGGGTGGGTCAGAGGCAAGATCTTCTGGATATGCTTTTGTTTTCTTTATAAAAAGGATACAAGCAGCCATCACTACTCCACCTTGTTCCTAGCTGGAACATGGTTCTGATGTCAGAAGCAACAGCAGCTATCTTAGCATATGAGGCAACAAGCCAACAGGCAAAACATGGAGGAGCATAAAGAAAGAGGCAGCTTGAGTCTGAT
Source organism: Homo sapiens (assembly GCF_000001405.40). Lineage (NCBI taxonomy): Eukaryota > Metazoa > Chordata > Mammalia > Primates > Hominidae > Homo > Homo sapiens. The sequence continues at coordinate 222,447,056 of NC_000002.12, read as the reverse complement.
GATATTGTGGAGCAGCTGAACAAATGTCAGCATTCACCAGCCTCTAACCTCTTGTTCTATGAGAAAAGAATAAAAATTTCAAGCAACTATTAACAGGGACTACTGTCACCTATAGCAGCAAAAATTTCTTTACTACTGAGTTTACGGACTTCCTTTACAACTCAATCCTTCTTTTTTCCATATTTTCTCATTTATTTCAGTAACATTTCCATCATGCCCCAAATCCTTCAGGCTCCAAATGTTGAGTTATCACTGGATACGACGGACAAAGAAGGCATCCATCTTTGATTCCTGTCAATCTGTTCAAAATGGCTCAATCAAATCAATAAGGATATCCACATTAAATATTTATTCCACTGTTTAGCCAAAAATGGAAAGGATCTTAATTGGCTGGCAGAGATAAATCATGATGAATAATGAACAGCCAATGAAATAGTGATTAAAGTTTTGTACATGAATGTTTATTGATGTGGAACAAAGCTAAAGATGGACTTATACATTAGAAAATTAAGCTGGAAAACCATACTTTTATTAAAGATGGATATAACCCATGCATAGAAAACATTATCTAGAAAGCTATTCCCCCGGATAGCAACAACAAGTAACCCTCAGGGTTCTGGGTACTCGGATCGACTGTTTCATTTAAAACTTTTGACTATTTATAGTTCCTACATTAAAAACATACTGCTTGTGCAATAAGAAAAAAGGTTTTCTTGGGTTGTTTGTTTTGTGTTTGATGTCTCTGACTCATCCCTGTCTCTCCACTCTCCTGCCATTACCAGCATCTAAGAAATCCAAGGTGACTGAAGTCACCACCTTCCAATGACTCCTCCACCTCTTATCTCTCATTATTTCTACCTATACCGTACTCAGCTCCCTCATCATCAACACTCTTCAGGCTACCCCCTGATTTAAAATTAACAATGACTGGTTTCTCTAGGTATAAGCCCCCAGAGTGTTCACCTAGCATTCAAGGGCAGATTGAGTAGACCCATGACTTTATTTCTACTCGTTCCTCTGCTCTTTTCAGTCCCCAAATGTTCCTTCCACATGGCACATTTAATCCCACTTCTAGTTCTTTGCTCTGTAGTTCCGCCCTTCTGGAATGTTCTCTCCAACTCTTCTGACAATCTGAACCCTTTACATTCTGCAAAGCCCACTGTAGCCTTTCTCTTCAGCCTAGGCCAAGCAGGAAGCTCCTGGGATAGTACCCAGATGATGAGGCAGGTAGTAGATCCATCTAAGCCTGGCATTGGGAGGATTCAGAGGAGAGGACATCTAAGCCTTCGGGGTCTACAGAGCAGGCACAGAATAAAAAGACTTCACACCTAATTGCTGGTCATCAGCCTTTTCCACACATCCTCCCATCGAGAGCGGCAGCTCTGTATGGTCTAATCGTTCCAAAGTGATTCTGAGCCTCTCCTCTGGGGACTGCCCACTACATCAGGGAGCATTAGACGGGGTCATCCTAGTCCCAAGGGTAGCACAGTCCTTCTCCCTCAGGAACCATGGCTATTCTCCTTCTCTCTGGAATTTTCTAGGCCAGGAGTCATGAATTGAAATGCCTATGTGGGTCAAGCAACTGGTGTGAGTCAGCAAAGCAACTGCAGGTGTGGGACAAGAGGGAGCCCTGGGGACTGAGGGAGCTGCTATGGTGCAAGGAAGCAACTGGAACTGGAAAGCAACCTCTTATGGTTATGCAGGAATGCAAGCCAGTGCTGCTACAGCTTCCATTGTCTCAAAGAACAGAAGGCAGAAAGTTTAGACAGGCTCCACTAGTAAAGCTATGTGTGAACAAAGCATGTCAGTGGTCAATGTTTGGTCCAACAAGTCCTGGTTTGTGACCCCCTGCTCTGAGGTTCAAGGAGGTCCACCAAGTTCAGCAAGGCCAGGTTCCAGCAGCAGCAGCAATTAGTTACTATCTTCACCTTACACAGGATGATCATTACCCATGGGGGCTCCACAGAAGTGGCCTTATTCTCATAACTTTGCTCAGAGTCAAGGACCTCTAAAGGATCCTCTCTTCCTGGTCCCTGGACAGTTAACTGTCTCCTGGGTCGGGGTCTGGTCAGGGACTAATTGGAGTCTGGATGCTTGCATGCTAAAAGCTTTATTTTATTACCCATGCTCACAATTTATTTTCCTATCTTAAAATTCTCTTAACATAATATTTTAGTCTTATGCATGAATCCATACTTCGTATACTCTAATAAAAAAAACTCCAAAGATTTTTTCCCCCAAAGCTGCAATGTATTGTTTTCTAAAGCCTGAGATCTTCTGCTGCACCTAGTTCTATCCTTGATAAGTTTCAAATCCTCTTAACATTTCTATCAGGCGTCTTGGAGGCAACGGCACTCAAAATTGTTGGTTTGGTGTTTTCTTATGGGGAATCAAGGACTCTGAGAAAAAGAGATCTTGTTCAGATGAACTTTGAAAAAGAATTTGTCCTTTTCCTGCATATGTCCTGCTCACCTGTTTACCTGTCTCCACCAATGCACTGAGAGCTCTTCAAGAGCAGGGACCAGCAGGCTTATCCACCCCAGAGGGTTCACAGTCTGGCACATTGTATCCACTTGATAGACACTGGCTGAATATTAGTAGTGTTATTTCAGAATAAGAAACTCTCTAAAAATTTCCACAACTCAGTAAGCGTAGATGAAAAGAAGCAGAACCTGGAAAAGCACTTTTATGGCAAATGATTGGGTGCCACAGACCACCAGAAGGAAGGACTGCCAAACTCCTACCACGCAAATCCTGGAAAACAATATGGCTGAATGCTTCCCTATGCTGCAATGCAACAATTTAAAGCACATGATTAGCTCAAACTAGAGTCTACCCTTATGAAGTGGCATAAGAAAGTAGATCTGCACCATCTGTATGGTCCCAAGGTCCCTTGTCTCCCATCACCCATGCTCTACAACAAGAGAGGAATTTCTTCTTGGAAAAGACCTTGTCACATTAAAATAATAGAAGTGCCATTAGCAGTAGTAGCAGCAACAGCAGTGTTGGTAATGGTGGGATGGTAGAGACAATAGTAAAAATAACCTTTGAAGGCTGACTTGACACCAAATACCATGTGTTCAGCACTTCCACAGATGATCTTATTTACATCTCAGAACTCTAGGAGGTATATGTGATTATTTCTCCCCATTTCACAGATAAGGAAACCAAGGTGGTAGAGGTTACAGTAGAGGTTACATGACATGTTTTAGATGTGTAAGAAGCCAAGCACCATCTTAGCCTATTACACTGCCTCCCCTGCAAAATACAGCACAGACATGGAACACACAGACCTCTGTGAGGGGCCATGTGAGGCCCTGAAAGGCTCACTATAGCCAAGATCCCTGTAGCACACAACCTAAGTCAACAGCACCAAAACCAATGGTTAAAAAAAACAAACAAGTGGAAAACAAACAATATCTACTCTTGGCACAACACAGACCTGCAAAGAAAATACCAGCGAGAAGAAATGGCAGAGGGAAGAGCAACAGGAAAGAAAATTGTCATTATTCCTTTTCTCTACGGTAGCCCCTCATAAATCCTTTTCTTTGGAAGTAAAATAAGCTAAAGAAACCCAGATACTGCATGTTCTCACTTATATGTGGGAGCTAAACATTGGGTACAAACAGACCCAAGGATGGGAACGATAGACACTGGGGATTTCAAAAGCGGGGAGGGAAGGAGAGGGACAAGGGTTGAAAAATGACTCATCAGGTACTATGGTCACTACCTTGGGCGATGGGATCGTTAGACACCCAGACCTCAGCATCACGCAATACACCCATGTAACAAATCTGAATATGTACTCAATGAATCTAAATTAAATTTTAAAAAATTAGTAAAATAAAGCTGAAATTAAAAAAAATATATGATTCATAGGGCAAAGCCGAGAATGGTTTCAATCCATGATGCAGCACTTCTACTTCACCAGACAATGGCCATTCTGGTAACATTTCCAATTTTAAGATTGTCACAGTTTTTTAGAGGAGGAAGCATTAAAAATGTCATTTTCAAGCGTGGGTATTTTATAAAGGTCACTACAAGCAAATGTGACAATTACTTCGGAGGCATTCCTTACTATAATGTCATGATTCAATATTTGATCGTTCTGATTTCAGGTTTGTTCAGCGAGGCTCCACTCTGACTGATCTATTGACTCCTGCTGAGCTTGCGGTCTGAATCTTAATATTGAGGGCTATAAAACTGTCTGCTCTGAGGAAGGGTAAATTTAAGGGTCCCCTGAGACAGATCTTTCCAATGTTACACCATTATATTAGAGTGGATTCAAAAACCATTAGATACTTCAGAGTTCAAATACTAGTACAGAAACACATTGCAAAAAGAAACTACATTTTGGTTTCTTAAAAAGCATTTTAGATTCTTAGCCAAAAGAAACTCATTTAGTAATCACCTAGGGGACTAGGTATTTTATATGTTCAAGGATATTTGCATAATTAATCAAATTTTATGATACTGGTATCTAATATTCACAGACATGAAGATGAATTACACAATTAAATTGTTCGATGTTTTTCTGTACTTACGAAAAACATCACCCAACAAAATCAAAAAAGGGAGAAGATAAAAAGATACTTTTAAAACACACCAGTATAAAAAGTCTGTCAGATAATATTTTATGTCTGCTATAAGTACTAAGTATTGTTATTTAATCTTACTTTAAAAATTCCTTTACTTCAACCACTGTCACCAGATGAAGAGAAACCAAGATCCAACAAAAAGCATGCCCAAGACGTTGCCTGCAAGTGAGTAAATAGCTAAAACAATGACATACAACAATTAAAAGAGATATTCAAAAGCAACTTTTAAAGAAACAACAGAAGATACATGCCAAAAATATACCAGAGGGAAGAGGAGATATAACATTCAACATCTGTATCTCTTAAGATGTTCCTGAGTTCTTTAAGAATATATTTTTGCCCAAGGAAGGATATTTTTAAGGCTGAAATCTTTCAGTGCATTAAGAAATTCCCATTAGTGCAAAAGAACATTATGTATTTTAAGTTCTTAGCATTTCATGTGGTTGCTTGGACAGAACAGGAAAAGATATACTGTAATTCCATGTGGCATCTTCATGTAGAGACATGGGGGTACCATTTTGTTTCGTTTAAGAAAGCTACTGGAGTACTTCACATAGTTTAATAAATATTTCTTCAAGGTAAGGTTCCTAATCAATACAGTTGATATTTGGCACTTTATTAAAAAAGATGTCAATGATAATTTATTTAAGGTTCTAATGTGGATCAATGGTAATAATCTTAGTAACTAATATTCCTCAAAAGTATAAAATGTCCTTAGAATCTTTTTATAAAATTAAAATAATTTAATTTTTTCTAAACATAAAATTCCTACCTTCGTATTGTAAACAATGCAGAGTATACAGAAAATTACAAGTAAGAAAATAAAAATGACATTTAAACCCTCTGTGCCCAAGAACAATCCCTGGAAACATTTGGTTCATCACTCCAGATCCTTTTGAAAAAATATATTCAAATATATACTTTACAGTTTTAAAATGTGTACATTTAAACTTCATATTATAAACTCTACTTTTTAATCTGCTTTTTCTGGTTGAACAATAGATCATGAATGTGTTTCCATGTCTAGATGTATATGGAATTTTAATTACTTTTATAATATCCTTTGGATATTGTGATTAAATTTTTCCCTTTGTAGAACACAGTTGAACAAATCTTTTACAATTGGATATTTGACAAATACTTTCTGATGATGAAAACTACTTGTGGGAGAAGAACATAAATCTATTAAACAAATGTAATGGTTCTACCACGTGAGGAATGGCTATTGTTGACCTTGAGGCCAGGGAAAGAAGCCACTGAACCATGAGTCAGCCTCCCTGCCAAAGCCCTGGGCCTCACCATTGAGAATACAGTTTAAATACAGAGGAATCTACTTTTTATGTACATCAGAAGAGAATTAACTATTTTAAAACTTTTCATTTAAAATTAGACAGCTACTCTCAATGAAATTACACATGGACAAAGTAACCCTCAAAAATGATCTCTTATGCTGAATACACTTTCCTGGTTTTATTTTCTTTTAGTTCACACTATACCAGCTAGAGTCATGCAGCAGGCATGAAATGTGTGAAAAAGTAGAAGGGAGTGTAGATCTCAGATGGCTCTTTTAAGATGTTCCATGGTTAAAGGAAGCAGAGAGTGTCAGATTCCAGCGCTGCTAGGCTGAAAGCTGATGTTCTGCGGTGGGTGAAGACGGGGATTAATGACTTGAAGTATGTTTGTAGACTGAGGAGGAAAAAAAGACAACTGGAAGAGAGACTGAAGTTGTCCTAATGTGCAAATTTGATCTACTTGCAACACCAGTTTAAAGTAGCTTAACAAAATGTTAAAAAAACAGTATTTTAAAACATAAAAAACAGCCAGGCGTGGTGGCTCATGCCTGTAAACCCAGCACTTTGGGAGGCTGAGGTGGGCAGATCACAAGGTCAGGAGTTTGAGACCAGCCTGACCAATATGGTGAAACCCTATCTCTACTAAAAATACAAAAATTAGCCGGGCATGGTGGTGGGCGCCTGGAGTCCCAGCTACTCGGGAGGCTAAGGCAGGAGAATCTCTTGAACCCCGGAGGCAGAGGTTGTAGTGAGCTGAGGTTGCACCCTGCACTCCAGCCTGGGCAACAGAATGAGATTCCGTCTCAAAAAAAAACAAAAACAAAAACAAAAACACACAAAACATGAGGCTATAAAACAAGTCTGTCAAAATAAAATTAAGGACAAATGTGCTTTTCTGACACTCAAACACTTCTCTGTGCTCTCCTTGGCACATAGCAGCAGTCAGTGAGCAGAAGGTTGACAGCCAAGCCCTGAAGCTCTGGAAACAGCAGCACAGCAGGCTCAGAAGCCACCTTCTCCCAAATGCTATTCTACATTTCCTTGTGCAGAAAGTACAAATAATGCCTGTAGTAAAAGTTGCGAGAAAAATGGCAGAACCAGTTTTTATAAGGCAGTATTGATTTTTTAACTTTATTTTGAAATAATTATAGATTCACAGGCAGTTGCAAAGGTAGTAGAGAGTTGTCCCATATACCCTTCACCATTTCCTTCCAATACTTCCTTCTTACATAATTATACCCAACAGCAAGACCAGGAATATGACCTTGGCACATGTGTAGAGCCATTTTATCACAAGTGCAGACTTGTGCAATCAAGACAGAACATTCCATCACCACAAAGATCTCCCTCAGACTACCCCTTTATAGCAATCCTTCCTTTCTTACCCTTAGCAACTACTAATTTGTTTATCACCTTTATAATTTTGCCATTTCAAGAACATTATATACATGGAATTCTACAGAACTTGATCTTTTGAAATTGGCTTGTTATTGCCCGTGACATACATCCAAGTTATCATGTGTATCAATTGTTCATTCCTTTTTACTGCTGAGTAGTATTCTATGACATGATGTATTGCAGTTGATTTAACAATTTATCTCCTGAGGAACGTTTTGGTTGTTTCCTTTTTTTTTGGAGATGGAGTTTTGCTCTGTTGCCCAGGCTGGAGTGCAATGGTGTGATCTCAGCTCACTGCAACCTCTGCCTCCCAGGTTCAAGTGATTCTCGTGTCTCAGCCTCCCAAGTAGCTGGGGTTACAGGTGCATGCCGCCACATTTGTCTAATTTTTGTATTTTTAGTAGAAAATCACGGCCTCTTAATCAATTTCCAGACTTGAGCCAGTTTACAGACCCAGAACACCTTGAATGAAGGGGAGGCCAGGTCCCCTTGAGGAAGGACCCCATTACATTACCGAAAATTTATGCAGTGAATCTTTCTCCCATCCTTCCCCAAGGAGACCTCTGGCCTTTCACCAGGGTAACTGTGCACTGGGGAAAGGGAAATGATCAGACATTTCAGGGACTAGTGGACACTGACTCTGAGCTGACGTTGATTCCAGGGGACCCAAAACATCACTGTGGTCCTCCAGTTAAAGTAGGGGCTTATGGAGGTCAGGTAATTAACAGAGTTTTAGCTCAGGTCCAACTTACTGTGGGTACTCATCCTGTGTTTATTTCCCCAGTGCCAGAAAGCATAATTGGCACAGACATACTTAGCAGCCGGCAGAACCCCCCCATTGGCTCCCTGACTGGTAGGGTGAGGGCTATTATGGCGGGAAAGGCCAAATGGAAGCCATTAGAGCTGCATCTACTTAGAAAAATAGTAAATCAAAACCAATATCGCATCCCTGGAGGAACTGCGGAGATTAGTGCCACCATCATGGACTTGAAAGACACCGGGTTGGAGATTCCCACCACATTCCCATTCAACTTTCCCATTTGGCCTGTGCAGAAGACAGATGGATCTTGGAGAATGACAGTGGGTTACTGTAAGATTAATCAAGTGGTGACTGCAATTGCAGTTGCTGTACCAGACATGGTTTCATTGCTTGAGCAAATTAACACATCTCCTGGTACCTGGTATGCAACCACTGACTTGGCAACTGCCTTTTTCTCCATTCCTGTCCATGAGGCCCACCAGAAGCAACTTGCCTTCAGCTGGCAAGGCCAGCAATATACCTTTACTGTCCTACCTCAGGGGTATATCAACTCTCCGGCTTTGTGTCATAATCTTATTTGGAGAGACCTTGATCGCTTTTCACTTTCGCAAGATATCACACTGGTCCATTACATGGATGACATTATGCTGATTGGATCCAGTGAGCAAGAACTAGCAAACACACTGGACTTATTGGTGAGACATTTGCGTGCCAGAGGATGGGAAATAAGCCCGACTAAAACTCAGGGAGCTTCTACCTCAGTAAAATATCTAGGGGTCCAGTGGTGTGGGGCCTGTCAAGATGTTCCTTCTAAAGTGAAGAATAAGTTGCTGCATTTGGCCCCTTCTACAACCAAGAAAGAGGCACAATGCCTAATGGGCCTATTTGGATTTTGGAGGCAACATATCCCTCATTTGGGTGTGTTACTCCAGCCCATTTATCAAGTGACCTAAAAAGCTGCCAGTTTTGAGTGGGGTCCAGAACAGAAGAAGGCTCTGCAACAGGTCCAGGCTGCTGTGCAAGCTGCTCTGCCACTTGGGCCATATGACCCAGCAGATCCAATGGTGCTTGAGGTGTCAGTGGCAGATAGGGATGCTATTTGGAGCCTTTGGTAGGACCCCATAGGTGACTCACAGTGGGAGTCTCCAGGATTTTGGAGCAAGGCCCTACCATTTTCTGCAGATAACTACTCTCCTTTTGAGAGACAGCTCTTGGCCTGTTACTAGGCTTTGGTGGAAACTGAAGATTTGACTATGGGTTATCAAGTCACCATGAGACCTGAACTGCCCGTCATGAACTGGGTGCTTTCTGACCCACCTAGCCATAAAGTGGGTCGTGCACAGCAGCATTCCATCATCAAATGGAAGTGGTATATATGTGATTGGGCTAGAGCAGGTCCTGAAGGCACAAGTAAGTTACATGAGGAAATGGCTCAAATGCCCATGGTCTCCACTCCTGCCACCTTGCCTTCTCTCCCCCAGCCTGCACCGATGGCCTCATGGGGAGTTCCCTATGATCAGCTGACAGAGGAAGAGAAGACTAGGGCCTGGTTCACAGATGGTTCTGCATGATAGGCAGGCACCACCCGAAAGTGGACAGCTGCAGCACTACAGCCCCTTTCTAGGACATCCCTGAAGGACAGCGGTGAAGGGAAATCTTCCCAGCGGGGAGAACTTCAAGAAGTGCACCAGTTGTGCACTTTGAATGGAAGAAGTGGCCAGATGTGCAATTATATACTGACTCATGGGCTGTAGCCAATGGTTTGGCTGGATGGTCACGGACTTGGAAGAAGCAGGATTGGAAAATTGGTGACAAAGACATTTGGGGAAGAGGTATGTGGATGGAACTCTCTGAGTGGCCCAAAATTGTGAAGACATTTGTATCCCATGTGAGTGCTCACCAATGGGTGGCCTCAGCAGAGGAGGATTTTATTAATCAAGTGGCTAGGATGACCCATTTTGTGGACACCACTCAGCCTCTTTCCCCAGCCACTCCTGTCTTCACCCAATGGGCCCATGAACAAAGTGGCCATGGAGGCAGTGATGGAGGTTACGCATGGGCCCAGGAACACGGACTTCCACTCACCAAGGCTGACCTATGGCCACTGCTGAGTGCCCAATTTGCCAGCAGCAGAGACCAACACTGAGCCCTCGATATGGCACCATTCCGTTGGGTGATCAGCCGGCTACCTGGTGGCAGGTTGATTATATTGGACCTCTTCTATCATGGAAAGGGCAGAGGTTTGTCCTCACTGGAATAGACACCTACTCTGGATATCAGTTTGCCTATCCTGCACGCAATGTTCTGCCAAGACTATCATCTGTGGACTCATGGAATGCCTTATCTACCGTCATAGTATCCCACACAGCATTGCCTCTGACCAACGCATTCACTTTACGGCTAAAGAAGTATGGCAGTGGGCTCATGCTCATGGAATTCATTGGTCGTACCATGTTCCCCATCATCCTGAAGCACCTGGATTGACAGAATGCTGGTATGGCCTTTTGAAGTCACAATTACAATGCCAACTAGGTGACAATAGTTTACAGGGCTGGGGCAAAGTTCTCCAGAAGGCCTTGTATGCTCTGAATCAGTGTCCAATATATGGTACTATTTCTCTCATAGTCAAAATTCATGTTTCCAGGAATCAAGGGGTGGAAGTAGAAGTAGCACAACTCACCATCACCCCTAGGGATTCACTAGCAAAATTTTTGCTTCCTGTTCCTGTGACATTATGTTCTGCTGGCCTAGAGGTCTTAGTTCCAGAGTGGGGAACGCTGCCACTAGGAGGCACAACGATGATTCCATTAAACTGGAAGTTAAGATTGCCATCTGGACACTTTGGGCTCCTCCTACCTTGAAGTCAACAGGCTAAGAAAGGAGTTACAGTGTTGCCTGGGGTGACTGACCCAGACTATCAAGATGATACTTCACAACAGAGTTAAGGAAGAGGATGCATGGAATACAGAAGATCCATTAGGGCATCTCTTAGTATTACCATTCCCTGTGATTAAGGTCAATGGGAAAGTACAACAGCCCAGTCCAGGCAAGACTACAAATGACCCAGACCCTTCAGGAATGAAGGTTTGAATCACTCTACGAGGAAAAAAACCACGACCTGCTGAAGTGCTTGCTGAAGGCAAAGGGAATGGGCAGTAGAAGGTAGTCACCAATACCAGCTACGACCACATGACCAGCTACAGAAACCAGGACTGTAATTGTCATGAGTATTTCCTTATTCTTTTGTTAAAACATGTTTGTGCACGTATACACTTGTACTAAGAAAATACCTTCATTTTATTTCCTTTCTCCTTTATCATGTGACATAAGATTTATTGACTTCATATCAGCATTTAAGTATTGTTAACTTTATGTAATAGTACTTGCGTTGGGGCGTGGTGAATTTCCTGTTGTATGAAGGATAGTTGTATTATGTTAGACATAATTATAACCTTATTGTTATCTGTATATGAAGATTACATATGATCTCAGGAGATGTACATGGGTTCAAGTTGACAAAAGGTGGACTTGTGATGGTTAATACTGAGTGTCAACTTGATTGGATTGAAGGATACAAAGTATTGATCCTGGGTGTGTCTGTGAGGGTGTTGCCAAAGGAGATTAACATTTGAGTCAGTGGGCTGGGAAAGGCAGACTCACTCTTAATCTGAGTGGGCACAATCTAATCAGCTGCCACCTCAGCTAGAATATAAGCAGGCAGAAAAATGTAAAAAGAGAGACTGGCCTAACTTCCCAGCCTACATCTTCTCCCATGCCAGATGCTTCTTGCTCTCAAACATTAGACTCCAAGTTCTTCAGTTTTGGAACTCAGACTGGCTCTCCTTGTTCCTCAGCCTGCAGAAGGCCTATTGTGGGACCTCGTGATTGTGTGAGTTAATACTAAATAAACTCCATATATATATATGTGTATATATATATGTATATGTGTATATGTGTGTATATATATACACATATATATACACACATATACACATATGTGTGTGTGTGTGTGTGTGTGTGTGTGTGTGTGTGTATATATCTCCATTCTGTTAGGTCTGTCCCTCTAGAGAACCCTAATATACAAACCAACTTCTAACAGAGGCTCCTTCCATTTGTCAAGCTTTAAACAAAATACTTGATGTTCTATTTCACAGCCACCCTTTAATTATCTTTCACCTAAGCCCTTTCTCTACCAATTAAGGCCTGGTCTTTTTTAGCTGCCGACACATTACCCCAGCAGCCTGTGCATTCACCACCACACCCACAGGAATCTTTGCTTTGATGGGCAGTTTTTCATAAAATTTTATGGAAACAAAATTTTTGCCATTTGGACAAATCAAAACATACCCTGAGATGACAGAAAGGGCATTTCTTATGAAGGCATTTACCAAATAAACAAAGTAACAATGAACCAGGTGTTTTCTCATTAAACAATAGAGGTATAGCACTGCCAATGAGCATTTGGGGGAGGAGAGAATAGTATTTAAAATGGTTGAGGGAAACCACTGCCCCCTTTCCCAAGACTCCCAAGCCTTGCCTTCAAGATCTTAGGTAGTTGGTGCCTTCCCTTTTCATCCGCTCTGGCCCAAGCCTCAGGGACTTTTTGTTGTGCTTGAAGCAAGATTGAGGGGACAAAAAACATGAGTCACACACCTACGTGCTGAGATATTGCGCTGTGCCCCATAAACATATACAATTATTATGTGTCAATTATAAAATTAAAAATTAATTAATCAAAAAATACAAGTCACAGTCTCGCCTTGATTTTTCAATGTTTCACTTTCTCAGTATATGGAATGTATCTCACCAGGCAAGAAGAATAATAAAGACCTGCAGATGCCCCAAATTTTGGTATTTTCATAGATTCCTAATATAGACAGGAACACTCTTGATGCGTTGCCTGGAAACTGTGACAGTGTTTTCTCACAAGAAAATCTCCTGCTGGATAAAATGCAAGAATGCCTTAGTTCAGGATATAATTCTAATCGGGACCACAGAGGACTTAATCATTAACGAAAACTGTAACAAGAGGAAGTGAAAGTGCTTTTTGAAAAATGCAAATGTCTTGACATCTTAATTAGAAGTCAAAAAAGTTAAAATCACACCAGGCCGGCTGTCCACAGCCTTCCTAAAACATAGTAATTGAAATACATTTTTAAACTTGTCAGATGTTTCACCATCAACTAACTTTTTAGCAATACCTCCCTTCATGGCATCCATCAGAAGAAAGCAAAGCAATTAAAAAGTTATTCATTAATCAAAACCCTCTATCAGTTTCCTGGATAAAAAGGAAGGAGCCAACATGGGGGGAAAAAAATCATCAAGCTACAAGAAGACACAGCCAGGCCAAGTGTCCAGGGATAAGTTACCTCTGTTGTGACAGGAAAGGGCAGGTGATCAAATTTCTGCCAAGTCAGACAAAGGCGAGTTTAGCGCACCTTTCAAGCTTCCATTCACCAGGTAGGATTAAGTACCTGGTTGCTCCAGGCATGTCAGGCCCTGAGGGTACACAGGTGAGCAGAGGGATCTAACTTCCTCTCCCCATTGTTCTTCCTCACCAGCCACCATTCGCAACTACAGTGAGAGAAATAACGACCTACTTGCAATTAAGTGTAAATCCTTCAAAGTAGTAGGGATCAGCACATTCTGGTTGCACTGCGAGATCCCCACAGGCTCCCTCCACTGAGAGGGGTTTATAATATAATTCCTCAAGAACTAAGAAAACTGCAGCAGCCACACAGCCAGCTTCTTTCCTAAGGTCCTCTCTGAGCCATTCTATCCTGAAACATAACAGTTCCTCTAGCTTCTCATGCTCAGTGGAATCTGCCATACTCAAGTCTTAGCTTCTTTTTCCATTCAGAAATTTTTTTTCTGCTTTGTTTGGCTTTGCCTGTCCCCTCCCCTCCCCTCCCCTTCCCTCCTCTCGTCTCCCCTCCTTCTCTCCTCTCTTTCTCTCTCTTTCTTTCTTTCTTTCTCTCTTTCTTTCTTTTTCAGAGTTTCGCTCTTATTGCCCAGGCTGGAGTGCAAAGGCATGATTTTGGCTTACCGCAACCTCTGCTTCCTGGGTTCAAGCGATTCTCCTGCCTCAGCCTCCCGAGTAGCTGGGATTACAGGTATGTGCCACCATGCCCCGCTAATTTTGTATTTTTAGTAGAGACAGGGTTTCTCCATGTTGGTCAGTCTGGCCTCGAACTCCTGACCTCAGGTGATCCACCCGCCTTTGCCTCCTAAAGTGCTGGGATTACAGGCGTGAGCCACCGTATCTGGCCTATCTTTTCTACAGACTTTTCATTCCCCCCTCCACCTCTGGCTTCTGAGTTCCTATTGTTTCCTGTGTCTTGAGGCTTCTGTTTCTTTACAACCTCCCTCTTTTCTCTGAGGTTTGTCAGAACTCTAACATTTATGTCTGGGTCTTGCATTCAGACTTGCTGAGGGAGCAATTCGATTGAGTCTGTTAGTCACTACACAATATGCATGATCTTAATTGGATGACGTCCCCATGCCAAGCCATGTCATAAAATGCTGACCAGCCTATAGAAGGCTGCCTTTCACTCCAGGGCTGAGCCCTGGCTCAATCAGCTTGTAGTCATAATGATGGGATCCTATGATTCAAAACATGGCAACCTCTGTCTTAAGAAACCATTTGTGCTTTTTCCTCGTAAATCATCTGTGGGTGAGAGTGACAATAGAAGTATCACAAAGGACCCAAAACAGACATTAAGGTTTGATTTCATGTGAGTCCTACATTTGTTGCTGCTTGAATCTAACATCACTATTTCTTAAAAGGCTTCACCACTGGGCTCCCTCCATACTCACACAAGCACCTCCATCAATCCTGCACAGAGACAGCCTGAGATCCCTTCTTAACACAGTGCTCTCAGTTGCCAATTCCGATTTGGCACACGGGATGAAATTGACTGCTATCTTCTTGTCTATAGGATAAAGTCCAAATTCTGCAGTAAGCCACATTAAGGCTTCAGCCTAAAACTCTGGCTGCAGCCCAAAACTGCAGCTGTATTATCACACCAATTTCTTCATGCAACCTGCGCTGGGTGGGTTCCATTTCTCCTCTCCAGTCCACTCTCTGCCTTTCTCCAGGGAGGCTGACCTTGATGGACTGCTTCAGCCAGCTCCCAAGCTCCCTGACTATGGGCTAAATTTGGTTAAAGTGGGGGCACTGGTAGGATATGAGAAAGAAGGCATATGGAGAATGAGCTTGAGATCTGATCCCCACCCCTCAACCTCTTCCTGCCTGGCTGTGGCTGCCTTTCTTTGCTAAGGGCCTCAGCTCTGGTCAGGGGATTCCCTCTGCCATCTAAGCTCTCAGTGGGTCTGGGGTTACCCGAACCCTATTCCCTGTTCTTGCTTTTTTAGGCTGAAGTTGCTTGCTCCAAGATGCTTCATCCTCCCATGTTGGTTTTCTTCCAACCCTGCCCACGTCTTTGTAAATAGTCCTTCAATTACCCCCACCTTGTAAAATTTTTAGACTTCGAGCGGGGGGCGGGGGGCAAGGTCTCCTCTGTCACCTAGAATGGAGTGCAGTGGCATGATCTTGGCTCACTGCAACCTCTAACTCCCGGGTTCAAGCAATTCTCATGCCTCAGCTTCCCAAGTAGCTGGTACATCAGACGTGTGCCACCACACCTGGCTAATTTTCATATTTTTTGGTAGAGACAGGGTTTCACCATGTTGGCTAGGCTGGTCTTGAATGCCTGACTTCAAGTGATCCGACTTCCTTGGCCTCCCGAAATGCTGCGATTACAACTCCTGACCTCAAGAGAGCCACCATGCCTGGCCTAAATAGACTTTTTTTTTTTTTAAGAAAAGTTTGAAATTTATAAAAAGATTGAAAAGATAATACACAATTCCCATATACTCCCAGCCTTCCTTATACTCTGTAGGCAGGTACCCCTATGATTAACATCTTATGTTGGTATGATACATTTGTTACAATATTGATACATTATTATTAACTGAAGTCCATACTTTACACAGGCTTCCTTATTTTTTACCTAATTTTTTTTTTCTGTTCCATGACCTCATCCAGGATACTACATAACATTTAGTCATGCCTCCTTAGACTCCTCTTGAGTTGTGACAGCTTCTCAGAATTTCCTTGTTTCTGATGACCTTGACAGTTTTGAAGAGTACTGGTCAGATATTTTGCAGAATGACCCTCAACATGTAACAAGAATACATAATTTTAATATGCATCAAGAGAACATGATGTCAACATGACTTACCACTGGTGATGTTGACCTTGATCATCTGGCCAAGGGAGTGTCTGTCAAGTTTCTACACTGTAAAATTACTTTTTTCCCCCTTCTCTTTCTATATCGCACTTTTTGGAAGGAAGTCACTATGTGCAGCCCATGTTTAAGAAATAGGGAGGCTGGCTGTGGTGGCTGATGCCTGCAATCCCAGCACTTTGGGAGGCCAAGGCAGGAGGATCGCTTGAGCCCAGGAGTTCGAGACTAGCCTGGACAACATAGTGAGACCCTGTCTCTATTTTTTTCAAAAAAGAAGAAAAGAAATAGAGAGCTATGCTTCCTTCCCTAAAAGGTGGAATAGAGCCTATGTTCTTTAAGAAAATTAAGGTAAAATATACATAACATGTACCATTTTAACTATTTTTAAGGTTTCGATCACCCTTTTTAAGTAGACCAACTATTTCCTGCTGACACTCTGATGATATCCAAGCTGAACTTGTCATCATTCACCAAAAATGACACGTGTCTTTATGTTCTAGCACATGAGAATCCAGGTAAAGAAAGAGCTTCTCCCATTTTTGCCTGTTTGATTCCTACCCACTCTTTAAGCCCCAACTCAAGACTTCATGGGCTCCCCTGGGAAGGTGAGTTACTCCTGCTATTGTCTTCCTGTCCTTGTATTCATCGTTCTATTCTAGTATTTTTTTTATTTTTTGCACTGCATCCTTTTATTTGGGCTTTCACACAGAAGAAACTAAATTGTATTGATCTTTATGTCTCTAAGTCTGAGGACTGTCCCAGAAACATGGTAGTGATCAATGGATGTTGACTGGAAATGAAGAAAGCAAAGGTGAGATAGAAGCCAAAGTGGTTTATTTTCTCCAAAGATTAAAGAGAGGTTTAACACCTAACATTGGTGAGTGTGTGGGAAAACCTGCCCTCGTAGTGGTTTGCCCTAGCAGACTCTTCCTGTAGGGCAATTCGGTAGTAGCTATTAAGAGCAATAATATATGCATTTTTTTCACTCAACAGTTTCAAGTCTGGACATTTTATTTGGAAGATAATCAAAGACAGGTGGAGAGATACTTGTACAAAGATGTTATCATTTTTAATGCAAAAACTGGAAACAAACCAAAAGCACAGCACCTAGCTGACTAAATTACAGTATATCCATCCTGTGGAGGAACATGCGGCCATTAAAAATTGGGCTGAACATTTACTAAGTGATTAGCAATGGGCGGTGATATAACGGGCATGAATTTAACTTTCTCTTCGTGTGTTTCCAAGTTTTCTCCTGTGAACAATGATGATATCTGTAACTAGAAAAAAAGATCAAATATATTCTTTCGAACTATCTCATTTTGTCATTTCAGATGTAAGCATCCAATAAAGGATAATAAAAACTTGCAGTCTGATCTGTTGGCCAGTTTAGTTATGGTGAAGCCAAAATGTCACGGCTGCCATGACCACTGCCTGCAGCCATCACCACCCTCCTACTGAATATACTAAGGGTGGTGGGTCCCAGGAGAAGAGAACTCAGAGCTTCCCAACTTTGTTGGTCAGCTTCTCTGGACCCCTCTTCTAACCTGGATCTTGGACATTGGTTTATGTTTGTTTTGTTTTGAAAGCTTCTCTAAGTGACTATACTGTACAGCCATGGTTAGAAAACCATGGTTCTTGGCCGGGTGCGGTAATCCCAGCCTGTAATCCCAGCACTTTGGGAGGTGGCCTGTAATCCCAGCACTTTGGGAGGCTGAGGCAGGCACATCACCTAAGGTCAGGAGTTCATGACCAGCCTGGCCAACATGGCAAAACCCGATCTCTACTAAAAATACAAAAATTAGCTGGACATGGTGGTGCATGCCTGTAATCCCAGCTACTTGGGAGGCTGAGGCAGGAGAATCGTTTGAATCCAGGAGGCAGAGGTTGCAGTGAGCTGAGATGGAGCCACTGTACTCCAGCCTGGATGACAGGGTGAGACTCTGTCTCAAAAAAAAAAAAAAAAAAAAAAAAGAAAACCATGTTTTTTTTCCCCCACTCTGCTCATTCTGCAGATGGGACAACCGAGGTTCAGAGAAGTCCAAAATGACATGAAGGTAAAACTAGATCCTGGTCTCCTGGTTTCCAGGATGTAGTATTTGTACTTTAGCACACCAATGAAATCAAGGTTTCGTAGATTAACAGATTTAGAGCCTCAAATGTTTCAAGAGGGAAACTAGGAGTCTAAGATTTCTAGAAACAACTTATCTTTGAACCTCTCCCTAAGTCAATGTGAGAACTATGTCTGAGCAGTTATCAAAAAGTACTGGACACAGGGATATTAGAAAAGATGATCCTTAGTCTAATGTACTGCTGAGGAAGGCACTGCAGAGTCTAACTAAATACAACTGTATTGAGTAAGCAAAAATGTTAGAAATCAAAATACCATTATATACGAGGCTGGCTTTACCCCAGGACAAATAAATGAAATTCTCATCACACCTTTACCTTCCTGGCCCAGTCCTAGGATCCTGCCTTCTGCTCAGGGCAGTGCCTCCCAAAGCAATAACCAAAAATGGCTTCCTACAGTTACTCTTGCAAGTCAGATACCCTTGCAAACTGAAAGCAATACCACCTCTTTTCACACGATCTCCACCCTGTCCCAGCCAGTACCAACAGGACACACCTCAGTGAATCAGATACAGTGAGGCCCTGGAATTTTCCCTGGAATCTGCACAGAGGAAAGAAGTTTAGACTTGGGAGTCAAAAGATCTGACTTCCCCTGACTGTGTGGATATCCTGGAAGTCCTCAATAAATCTCTTAACCCTTCAGGACTCAGACTTTCTGTGAAATTCATGACTACTGGGCAATTTCTAAGGCCCAGTCCAATTTATTCAATGACAGGCTTGTACAAGCCAAGCCCACTCCTGGTTTGTAAAAGATGCAGTTAATCTTTAAGCTAGCAGCGTGTGGTGTAATGAGAACTTGTAGAGGAAACTTTTAGTCACTTGAAAACAGGAAACACTTGTCCTGTTTCAAAATTAAAACAAATATAGACAATGTGAAAGGTGAGAAGGTAAATCAGATTCATTAAGATCTAAAGTCACTCAAATGAAGAAGAAAACTTCTCTATTGTTTGAAGGGTCCTAAATCAACGTCCTGGTGCTACCTTCTAGGCTATGCGGAAAAATCACTTGATTTTCAACATTCACTCATTTTTTTTTAAAGAAAAACGAAACATCGCCAGTCACAGTGACTGACGTCTATAATTTCAGCACTTTGCAAGGCTGAGGCAGAAGGATCACTTGAGGCCAAGAGTTTAAGACTAGTCTTGGCAACATAGTGAGACCCTGTCTCTACAAAAAACAACAATAACAACAACAACAACAACAACAAACCAGATGATGGCATGCATCCGTAGTCTTAGCTACACAGGAGGCTGAGGCAGGAGAACTGCAGGAGTCCAGGATGTGGAAGATGCAGTGACTTATGATTGTGCCACTGCACTCCACCCTGGGTGACACAGCAAGACCCTGTCTCTTAAAAAAAAAGTTTAAAACTATAATTTTATATTGCAATCTACATGCATGTATTCACAAAAGTCACTAGTCCCTCCTACGTGCCAGGCTATGAGAAAAAAATAAGGACCATAACAGAAAAGTTGCCTGCATTCTTAGAGTTTATCATCCTCTGGAGGGGCGGGGAATAATCAGATATCCACACAAAGGCACATTTAAACAACGTGATAAATGCTGTAATGAAGAAATGCAGAAAGCAAAGAAAAACTATAGCAGGGGGAGCTAGGCTGGAAGGTCAGAGAAGTCACCCATGGAGGAACTGACCTTTGGAAATAGAAGGATGAGTGGGGAGGATATTTAGAGAAAAGACAGGCAGCTCAGGCAGGCCAACGCCTGTACAAAGGCCTGCAGAGAGGGCAGCACACTTTTCACAACTGCCCCCTTAAAGTCCTGTAAATTGCCTGAGTGTAGATAAGAGATAATTTTTGAGGGGGGGAATCAATGTGTGTATGTAAAGGATTAATCTTCCCAAGTCATTTGAAACCAACCCACCTGTAAAAACATTAATTAACCTTTCATTTATCAAGCACTCTCAAGTTTATGATTTCCCCCATTATATACCAACACAATGATTTCTTATCTTGGGCATTCAGCTTTCTTGCTTTTACATGATCTGTAAGCAGAAGTCCTGTGTTGGCTGGGTGGGTGTGGGGAAACCGCCACAATTTCACTCACTGAAGACCCACCAGGATTGTCAAGCAGTAAGAAGATAAAACTGTGTAAGAAATCTGCTTAGCTTGCTTTTAAAGGTCAAGAGGATCCAACTGTGGAGTTTAAAGTTAAGTTACCAGGGGTGATGTTTAAAACAGTTTGAGAAGCACTGGTGGAACAATTCACTCTTTTTCAGCTTCCTGAATTAGAGAAACAGGGTAGAAGCTTGTGAAGAGAGCAACAGAAAGCAACTCACGTGTCTACCTGTGGGTGTAAACAGTGTGTGCACCGAATATGTCACGGCACGTTTCAGCCATGGGACTGTTTTTTGTTTGTTTGTTTGTTTGTTTTGGTCTTTTTTTTTTTTTTTTTTTTTTTTTGAGACGGAGTCTCGCTCAGTCGCCCTGGCTGGAGTGCAGTGGCGTGATCTTGGCTCACTGCAACCTCCGCCTCAAGCTATTCTCCTGTCTTAGCCTCCGGAGTAGCTGGAACTACAGGCCGCACCACCACGCCCAGCTGATTTCTTATCCCCCCTACTCTGCCCCGTTTTTAAGACAAGGCAAGAGAAAAAAGAGGGGTTCTCATACTCATCTATAGGTTACCGGAATGTCACATGGGATAAAGAAGGAACAATAAAGAGGAAAAAATACAGAGGAGGATTTCTCTGGAGTAGAACACACAACCACCCTCACCCTCCCAAACAAATTCTGTAATCCAATGCCTATAATATTCCATTCCACACAGAAGCCAGGTTCTTCGTAATTCCTCAGTTACTACATCTAGAAATTTACACGTAAGTAAAGGCCACCTTTCTTTCACCAAAACCTTCTAGGAAGAACAAAATGTGGCTGTGTACAAGGAATTCGAATTATTAATACGTTTATTTCTGTTCTCCTGCGCCACACTTTTGACTTTGCCGAGGGAAAAGGCAGGTGCTGCCAGTGCTCCCGGTAGACATGCGTCCCCAGAAGCCAAGTGCAGCCCGTCTGGTCCCTGCTGCCTAAAGTCCCTGTGCACTGCGACGACGACGCACGCTGGTTCCCCCCAAGCCGCAGTGGGTTGTATAACCACGCTTTGAACACCTAGCGGGAGCGTAGCGAGCTTCCCTCCCAGAAGCATCTGTTAGAAGTCACTGGTGTCGGTCCATAAAAGACCCACCAGGCAGGAGGGACCCCCAGACTCTGGGGGAGGGCAAGCGAGAGTTGCTGTTAAGACATCATCGCCGGGGGTAGTGCAGGGAGGTTGTAAATCTCTCTAGGAGCTGTGTGAGCCCCAAGTTCTGTGCCCAGAGCTGGCGGTGCAGCGCGGTGAGGAGCGCGCTGAGCCCGGCTGCACCCGCATTTGTGCGCATCAGGGAAGGGGGATGGGCGGAAATGCAAGAATACGGGGGTGGGGGGGAGTCTAAGAACGTCTCCCCGGGGAAGTGCCAAGGACATCCCCGCTCCTCCGTTCCATTACGTAACTCTTACATATTTGCTGGCATCTACGTGAATTTAACTACTTTTGAAAGTGGGAAGTCTCTAAATGGACTGCATTGAAAGCGTCTGGGGATATCTCAATAGACCCGGTTGCCCCTGGCAGCGTTGGAGGGTGGCATCCTGGTTACTGGAAGGCCAGGCCTCCCCGTCCGCTCGCAGCGGCGGGAGCCGGGTCACTGCCGGGGACGGCGCCCTCTCGGCCCGGCCGGCCCCGCGTGGCGGAGTCGCAGGGACCCGCACGTCCGCAGCCGCCCCCTCCCCGTACCCGGCGAACACCTGCCCATGGTTACCTCCGGCGCCGCGGCTCTGCGCAGCCCGTTGGCCGGAGCCTCGCCGCCCTTGCCGTTGGCTGCGGGGAGATGCTCGACCCCGGGGACCCGCGCCGCGCGCTCCGTGGGGTCCGCGCCGTTCTCCCGGGGGCCTTCATCCGGAGCGGGGAAGAGCCCGCAGCGGCGCTGGAAGCGGGCGACGAGCTGGGAATCCTGCAGGCTCCGCAGCAGCTCGGCCATGGTGTGCCCGGGGCCGCGCTCCGCCGCCGCTGCCACGCCGGGCCGGTGCCCTCCGCTGGCACCGCCACTCCCGCCTCGCCCCCGCCGATCCCGCACTCCGGGCGGAGGCCGGGCGGGCGGGGCCCCGGGCCCAGCCAACAGGTGCGCCGCCCGGGTCCTAGCGCCCGCCCAGGTGTCTGCCTCCACCTTGCGCAACGCGTCCCCCTTTCTCTCCGTCCCGGAGGGCTTGGGCGGCCCCGGGCGGCCACGGGGGCAGGACCGCCTGTAACTGGACGGAGGAGTGCCGATCTCCGAACTGCGCCTCTCTTCTCCCGGCGCCCCCAACCCCCCACCCCACCTTCTTCCCCCGGCAGACGTAACACTAATGGGAGCGGCCGAGCGCGCGTGCACCTGCGGCCGCTCCCATTAGCCCATCCTTTTGGGCTCAGGCTGATCCCACAGTGACCTTCCTTGCAACTCTGAGCCCAAGGTGAAGTCGGATTTCCTCCCACGCCAGCTCCCCACAGCCAGCCACGTACTCTCACCTTCCTGCAAGACTAGTTCCCAGTAAATACAGCGAGCCCCCCAGGGAGAATTCCCAAGTTCTTTCCAAACTGCGTGATGCAACGTCTCCCTAGAGGTCCGAACACCCTTGAGCTTGCTCAAGTACCCAGGAGGTTCAAAGTGGGCCCTGAGTCATCTTCCGCGTCGCTGCCCCTGCCCTTCTGATTTGGCAACTGGGGAACATTTTCAGGTGGGTGGGAAGGAAAGTCCCTTCTGGGTTTTCCGCATTGAGAACAAAGATGCTTACCGCTTTCTCCTACTTCTTTCTTTCCGCTCTGCCTCTCTTTAAGCAATGACACTGGGAAAACCCCACCAGACCATTTAGGGAGTTTAAACGAGAAGAGAACAAAGTGCTGGAGGACTGGGGACAGGATTAGGTATCTCATTGCACCTGCACCTGCTTTAGAGCACTCAGCAGAAGATAGCAAAGGAAACATCCTGCAGGCCGGCCTTGGTTTTCCCTCCTCCCTCCTACATTTCCCTCCTGGGCTCAGAGATCCCTTGGGAGGCAACAATCAAATTAGGCCCAGGTGATCAGTCTGCAACAAAAGTGCAATTCAACCCCGTCTTTCGTTTGCAGCAGAAACCTGCATGTTTCCTGATTGTCCATGCAAAGCCTACTAAGAATTTGGTTGCACAAATGATTAATGAACACCTGTCAATGCCTTATTTATTCAGTTGTCCTTTTAGGCCTGAATGTCTTTGGGATGTGACTTTCCAGGATGATGTAGTCCCCTTCATGCCCTAGTTTCTACTTTTCTTGCTTCTCAGTCCTGTCTGGAGAGCAAAGTCAAGGGGACTGAGAGAATGCTGAAGCTCTTAAGGGAAACCATTTTCCTCTTACAGAAGACACGCAGAGTTATTGTCATGTCTGGCGGGATCACACACAGAAATGTCCGGCCCAGGAGGTGGAAGCATCTCTCCACAATGCTTCTGGCTGTCATTTACAGGTGTGAGGCAAAACCCTGTGGTTTGGTTTTAGAAGCTGGAGCTGTGATCGTTGGGGACCTGTTCTGCTTATGTGTTAAAGAAATATGTTTTCCTGTGAAGGCACTTGCATCATGTGTCTCCCGAATTTAGTGCTTCGATTTTTCTTTCTACCAGTTAGGAAAAATAGGCAAAGCAAAACATGGCACACGCAGCATTAAGTTAATTGCCAAAGAATTGTATTTGTAGACAGAGCATTTTATCTCCATGGAGGATCAGTTACTGATTCCAGCTTCTAGTGGCTCACCAAGTCACCTGATGTAAGTCACCATATGTCGCAGTTTATCCCTGTAATGAAATGATAATCCTCACTTCTTGTCTTTCTTATAAGGCTCTTGTAAAAATAACCTTGAGACAAGCTCTATAAGGCCTAGTGAGATCATGATAAGAAGGTGTATTGTGCTGGAGTCATTCAATCTAGGAAGGAATCCTCAAGAGAATTTGGCTCTGAACATCTTGAGTAGGACATCTTGAGCCTCCTGGGCAGTGGTAAAGTCCATTTCCCCAGAACCTTTTTTTTCTAAGGCCCAGTCTGATTATTCTGAACATGAATTTCCCAACCAACCTAACAAAAATCAACATCTTTGAGAAGTGGTAGGACTGAAAGACTGCTGTAATGGTGCAGAGATATCAAATAGTAGCTTGCAGTCATGCAAAAAATTTTTTTTTCTTGATACCAGAGAAACACCCTGTAGTTCTTTGATCACTGAACACTAGTCATACCTGTGGGAAATACATTTCACATCCCGCCCCCCGACCTTTTTTTTTTTTTTTTTTTTTTTTTTTTGCCAGGGCAGAAATCCAGTTATTTGTACTTTGCTCACTTGTATATATGTAACAATTACAAAATGACATATTTAAAAGGAATCAATGATGGATATATTAATACTAGTTCGGATAAAGGTTAAGCTACTATAACAAAGAGACCCCAAAATAGAGTGGCTTAAGGAACACAGACATGTATTTCTCTTTCATAGAATGGTTCTAAGGCAAGCAGTTGAGGTTAGTAGGAAGCTCTGCTCCATGGCCCTACTCCATGACTCTGGTTCTTTTCATCTTATTGCTCCACCATGCCCTGAAACTGAGCCTTAGGTCATCGTCCTCTTTTGCATGGTTGAATCTGGGTTAGGGCTGAACATCTGAAGTTCAGCTCCTGAAAGGGTGAAGAGAGAGAGTGTTCTGAGCAGCAATGTCTTATTAAGCAAGTGAGGCAGAAGTTCACACATCACTTTCACTAACATTCCATCAGTGAGAAACAATTGGAAATGTTATCTCTAGCAGGGCAACCTTATGTCAAGCTTAAGCTATATTCCTGTGGAAGAAGTGGAGGACAGAATTTTTTTGTGGGCAACCAGCAGTCTCCACCAGTATTAGGAAACTAATGTTGGTTAAAATGTTGTACAGTAAAAATCCATGTTATAATTCAGCCATAATCTACACATTTTATCTAGGCAGCTTGTCATTCACTTGGCATGTTATAAATACTCATGTGCAGATAGAATTTTTTAAAAGAAGCCACACTAAAAATAAGTTATTCCAAAAGACAATTGGCCAGGCATACATGCCTGTAATCCCAGCACGTTGGGAGGCTGAGGCGGAGGATTGCTTGAGGCCAGGAGTTCAAGACCAGCCTGGGCAACACAGGGAGACTCCATTGCTACAAAAAAATTGTAAAAGTTAGTCAGGCATGGTAGCATGAACTTGTAGCCCTAGCTACTCAGGAGGCTGAGGCAGAAGGATTGCTTGAGGCCAGGAGGTTGAGGCTGCAGTGAGCCATGACCACACCACTGCACTCCAGCCTGGATAACAGAGTGAGATCTTATCTCAAAAAAAAAAAAAAATGGGGGCAGGGACACCTGGTAACCTTTAATAAGTTAAAGTAATTTTTTAAGTGTTGTCAAAATACCTTCATTATAAATGAAAAATTTTGGTATTAATTACATTATTGCATTTTAAGTTCTGATTTAGAGTTATTTCTCTGCAAAGCACGTTACTTCCAAATTACAACTAGACTGTTCAGTTTTCAATTGGGCAATGCTTCCTGGATCAAGACAAGTATACAGAATTTGGGTTCTGTATTGATTATCTATTGCTGCATAACAAATTATCACATAAAAATAGTAGCTTAAAACAACAACATTTATCATCTCAAAGTTTTTGCAGAGCAGGAATCCAAGTGGTTTTAGCTGGGTCCCCTGGCTCTGGTTTCTCACAGGGTCACAGTCAAGGTGCTGGTTGAGGCTACATCATCTCAAGGCTCAACTGGAGGTGGATTTGCTTCCAAGATCACTCAGACGATGGTTGGTAGATTCAATTAGCTGCAGACTGTTGGCCACAGGCCATTCCCTCTTTTTCAACACATGGGCCATTTCATAGAATAGCTCATTATACAGCCTCTTCATAGAATAGCTCATTATACAGCCCTTTACTTCACCAAAACAAGCAAATGAGGAAATCAAGACATACAGAGTGTCTGAACAGGACAAAATAGAAGTATTTTATAGCCCAATCTTGGAGGTAACATTCCAATAGTTTTATCCTATTCTACTTCATAGAAGCAAGGCCCTAGATCTAGCCCACACTGAAGGACAGAGGGAGTGAGACAAGAATATGAGTAGTAAATGGTAGGGATTCTTGGGAGCCTTTTCAGAAGCTGCATACTACAAGTTCTTCATGTTTACATTAATTCTCTAATTTCATAGCCACAATATCAATATTTATTGTCCCTAAGAAATACAATGCATAGTCTTGGCCTCAAGGAGCTTCCATCTGTTGCACACATATAAGATGCATACACAGAGAAAAACGCGTGCAATAATATAAAAACAATACTAAAGGGAAAAAAATGGAGCACCAGATGACAATTTCTATTAAAAACTACACGTATCACAGCTGTAATTCTCAAATCTGGAATCAGAATTATCCCAAAAATCTGCCAAAATTATGGACCTCTTCAAAGAAAGTATAAATCCTTAAATTAGAAAAGAGAAAAACAATGAAACTAACAAATGCAAAATAGAGTTATTGGGAAAAAATGCAACAAAATAGACAAACCATTAGCTAATCTAATAAAGAAAGAACAAGAGGAAAAACAAAAGCACAAAATTTTAAATACTGAAGGAAAAATAATCATTAAAAGCAGAGGAAAAATTTTAAAAGCCTTAGAGGCTACTTTGTACACCTCTATGAAAATAAGTTTTAAAAATAGATGAAATAGATATTATTTAAGGAAAACACAACTTACTAAAATTGATCCCAGAAAAGAAAGTCTAACCAGACTAATTATCATAAAACAGCTAGAGAAAGGGGGTTAAAATACTCCTCTATGGAAAGCACCAGGCCTAGCTGGCTTCACAAAAACATTCTATCAATCATTTAAAAAATGGGTAATCACAATGCTAATTAACATATTCCAGATCATAGATGAAGACATTTTTCAAATTTTCTTTTATGAAGCAATATATTGATCTTGAAACCTGAAATAGTACCAAAAGAAAATGACAGAATACTATCACTTGTGAAAATCATTCAAAAATCTTAAAATATCAGGAGTCAGACTTCAGCAGCTCATTAAAAAAATACTTTTTAATTTAAAAAGTGAGATTCATTATAGTAATGCAAATAAGTTAAGTATTAGAAATCCATTGATATTATCTATCATATTCATAGAACTAAAGAGAAAAATCATATGATCTGTTATGGACTGAGTTGTGTTCCCTACCCTAAAAAAGATATGTTGAAATCCTAATTCCTAATATTTCAGGATGTCATCTTATTTTGAGAGAGGGTCTCCACAAATATAATTAGTCAAGAAGAGGTCATACTGTTACAGGTTGAGTATCCTAAATCTGAAAATCCAAAATTCAAAAATGGTCCAAAATTAACACTGTTTGAGCACTGACATGACACTCAAAGGAAATACTCATTGGAGCATTTCAGATTTTGGATTTTCAGATTAGGGAGGCTGAACTGGTCAATGAAATGCAAATATTCCAAAATCTGAAAAAATATGAAGACTGAAACATTTGTGGCCACAAACATTTTGGATAAGGCATACTCAACTTGTAATGGAGTGGACCCCTGATCCATTATGACTCAGATGCTTACTCACTTAGATGACCACATGAGGACAGAGACACAGAGGGGGACCACCATGTGATGATGAAGGTGGAGACTGGAGTTTTACAGCTGCAAACCAAGGGATGTCAGGGATTGCCAGCAAATCACTGGAAGCCAGAAGAGGCTAGGAAAGATTTCCCTACAGGTTTCAGAGGGAGCATGGCCCTTGATGTCTGGTCTCCAAAACTGTGAAACAATAAATTTCTATTGTTTTAAACTACCAGTTTGTGGTACTTTGTCATATCACCCCTAGGACACTAATACATCGTCCTTTTGATAGATGTAGAAAAGCCATTTGATAATATTTTACACTCACTCTTGTCAAGGCTCCTCAATAAAATAAAAGTGTTTACTGTGTCTGGGATCAGTGAGCACGTGATTTTGGTTGGATGGAGAGTTTCTGTATTTCAATAATAGAATATAATGTGGGAAGGATAAATTGTGTCTTCCCAATAGTAAGTCCCGAATGTTGGGTTATGAGTTTTACGGTATACATTTGAGGCAATTAGAAATCTTTGAAAGGCAGACCAGGTGCAGTGGCTCACATCTGTAATACCAGCACTTTGGAAGGCTGAGGCAGGCAGGTCACTTGAGGTCAGGAGTTCAAGACTAGCATGGCCAACATGGTGAAACCCCGTCTCTACTAAAAATACAAAAATTAGCCAGGCATGGTGGTGGGTGCCTGTAATCCCAGCTACTTGAAAGGCTGAGGCAGAAAAATCGCTGGAACCTGGGAGGTGGATGTTGCAGTGAGTAGAGATCATGCCACTGCACTCCAGCCTGGGCGACAGAGCGAGACTCTGTCTCAAAAAAAAAAAAAAAAACTTTGGAAAGCAAATAAAGGACATAGGACATGAGAAAAGCAGTGTTTCCAGAAAATTAATTGGGAAGTTTACTATTTAGTAAATAGTGTCTGGAAGCAAGGAAATGCTGGAGATATGGATATCCATTATAGGCCCCCATAATTCAGATTTAATAGGACTTTTTCAGATGGAAGAAATTTCACTTAATTGCATATTAAAGCAAACATGAATCTACTGACTTTTCCTTTCTTTTTCCCCACACAAATGGTAGCATTTATTACATGCTGTTCTCTGTCTTGTTTTGCCCATTATGATATACTTAGAGATTATTCCATGTCATTATTAAAAGACCTTGTTCACTCATTTTTTTTAACTGCAGCACATCCTATGTGCTGTAATTTATTTTACCAGTCCCCTAGTCATGAACACTTTGGGTTGTTTCCAAACAATGACTCTACAAACAATGCCACAATAAATAACCATTGTTCCCACCTGCGCTTCCATACAATAGACTCCTGGCAATGGAATTGCTGGATCAAAAGGCCTATGCATTTGTAATTGTTAGATATGGCTTAATGGACCTCTAGAGAGTGATGTACCAACTTCCTCTTCAGTCAATAAAATTGCCTATTCCTCTCTATTGCTGGCTACAAAGTATGACCAAACTTTTTAATTTTTGTCAATCTGATAGGCTAAATATGGTATCTTGTGGTAGTTTTACCTTGCACGTCTCTTATTATCAGTGAGGCTGGCCACCTGGAGAGAAATGTCCAGGTCTATTCCTATCTCCAGATGACAGATCTGGGTAAGAATGTTGACTTATCCCAGTCAGTTGCAGGGAAAATATTACCTCCCTAATCTCCCAGCTTGAAGGCCATGTTCACCCTATTAAAGTCAGGAAGCTCCAGTTCAGTGTTTACCAAGGTGCCAGAGTTGGTGCTTATCCTGGATTATCTTTGAGAGCCACAGAACTATTTTGGGGATTGAGAGAGGGACCAAACCTGGTCTGTAAAATCTGCTCCAACCCAGGACTAAGTGGGTGGCTCTGATAGCAAGGCTGTAGAGAAGCCTCCTGCAGGAAAAGTAGTTATGGGGTGACTGCTTGCCTCATTCACCACTAGAAGTTAGGTTATTGCAGCAAGAGCTTAATTATTTACACAGATTATGTTAACTTTCATTGGCTAATTAAGTTTTATAGTTTTCTTGGACTATAGTTACAAATTATCGTATACCAAGTGGCTTAAAACAACAGAAATGTGTTAACAGAACCCTCAAAGTTCTGGAGGCTGGAAGTCCAAAATCAAGGTGTTGGCAGAGTTGCTGCATGCCTCTCTCCTAGCTTCTGGTGGTTGCGAGCAAGCCTTGGCATTCTGTGGCCTGTAGGGGTACCACTGCAGTATCTTCCTCTGTTGTCATATGGCATTCTCCCTGTGTGGCTCTCCACATCCAACTTTCCTTCTTCTTCTTAAGGCACTAGCCATTGGATTAGGGTCTATTCAAATCCAGTTTGATCTTGTGAACCCCCAAAACTTGAGACAGGTATCAGTTTAGCAAGTTTATTTTGCCAAGGTTGCAGACACATGCTACAGCCTCAGGAGGTCCTGATGACATGTGCCCAAGGTGATCAGAGCACAGTTTGGTGTTATACATTTTAGGGAGACATGAGACATCAATCAACATGTAAAACGAACATTAGTTTGGTTTGGAAAGGCGAAGCAACTTGAAGTGAGTAGGGTGCTTCCAGGACATAGGTAGATAAGAGATAAATGGTTGCATTATTTTGAGTTTCTGATTAGACTCTCCAAAGGAGGCAATCAGATATGCATTTATCTCAGTCAGCAGAGGGGTGACTTTGAATAGGATGGGAGGCAGGTTTGCCCTAAGCAGCTCCCAGCTTGATTCCTCCCTTTAGCCAAGTGATTTTGGGGCCCCAAGGTATTTTCCTGTCACATTTCCCCAATTTTCTTTTTAAAAATCTTTTGGAGAAAGCATTTTAGAAGAAAATGAGTCTCTGGTCTCAGGTTTTGTCTGGTCTCTCAGGGCAAGGATGGTTTGTTCCTAGAGGGGTAGGTCCTGAGTTATTAGGAAAGCTCATTTTAAGAAGGTTGTGAAGTCTCATGTCCTATGAAGAGAAAGTAGGGGGAGAAAAGGAGAAAACAACAAACAAAAGAACAATCCTGGAAAATCAATATAGGCCACATTACTCTGAAGTCCATACATCAGTAGGCAGGTATGAAAGTGGCTTATGTATGCAAATAGGCTGTTACTTTCTTCTGAAGTTGAAGTTGTCTAGCTTTGGATTACAGGGCTTTATGAAAACACAGCTTAGTTTTCAGTGACTCCAAATTAGGAAAAACAGGAAAAAAAAAGAAGGAAAAAAATTAAAAACATTATTTTGAAGACTTGTAGCCTAGTAAAATTAAAATTCAGTCCAAACTGTAGAAAATAATAAAAATTGAAAAACATTAGGAAAGACTGGAATCTAATAACAGATCCACTATAGTTTTTGAAACTTAATTTTTCTCTCTCCAGTTTCTCATTGCTACTAAAGGCAAATCATGGTATGCCTGGTTTGCTTTATTATACTTGGCCTAATTATTTGTATACAGTGCAGCAAGAATAATTACTTTTTACATAAGCTTTTAAATTGGCTTTGATAGGACTTTGTTCCATGGAAGGAATCTCAGATAAGACTTTAGGCAATCAGATATTTTTAAAGCTGAGCCCAGCCATGGATTTGTACCATCAAATACTTATGAGTTGGGTGATCCTCTCCTCTTGAGGTTCCAAGATAAAACTTGGGGCTCCTAAGCCTGTCAGAAAGTGACATTCTTTACTTACCACAGGTCAGGAACCCTGTACAGGGACTGTGTAGACAAGCACGAGGCCAGTTTTCCAAAGGCACTTTTACTGGCTCTATAAGTCAAGTTTGACTCCTCAAAGGAAAACACACCATTCCAGTAGAAGTGTTGGTAAGGTAACCAGTTGCTCTAATTGTGTCCTATTATAAATGAAAACAGATTCTTACTGCACTTATACACATAACTTTATTGCCATAAGTTAAGAGTAGTTTCCAAACTATTCTTTGGAAACTATTCTTTCCAAACTATTTGGAAACTCACAAATAGTTTCCGAATTCTGGAGAAATCAGGTAGAAAGAAAGCAAATATGATCCAAATTTTGTTCATAGGAGTACACTTTACTCAATTGTTAAAAGCTTTAATGTAAATAGTTTAAAACTTTTCTTGACCCTGAAAAACGAAACAAAGGATCAGCAACTTTTTAAGCAAAAAGTTAAAAATATTACTTCTCCTTGATATTCATGAACATTTCAGATCTCCATGAGCCCTGAAAGTTTTTTCTCTATTCTGATATCACAATCTCCAAAGTTATTAGAAACCTGCATTCAAGAGTACCCATTAGAGTTTCATAGCTGATTATAAAACCACCTTCTAAAGAGGACAAAAACCAAAGAACAATTGTCCATGGATGACAAAAAGTTTTAGGGCAGCCATAGTCAAAGAAACAATTGACAAAGGAATTTGTTACCTCTGTGGCACACAATAATTTAACATAACAATTGTAATTATTACTGATAATGTACAGTAAGTCATATCAGAATTATAGGAGTTTTCCATAATTTTGGAATACATACCAATGACATATTTACACAAGCACAGCCCAAAGAAAACTAAGCACCATTTTATATTTGACAATGTTTCCTGTATAATTTCATACCAAATAAGCCAAATATGTCATTTTTGAACTATAGGGAACATCATATCCTAAAGAATTAATTAGGTCAGAAAAAGACATAATTTATAATTTGATTTGGAAAGTTTGTCAAATATCAAAGGTGTAAAACACTTGATATCACAAAATAGCATCACAGGTCATTGTACATTTCATTTAACCGAAGTGATAACTCAAGAATTCTGAAAAAAGGTGAAAACCTTCACTCTTTGAGAGAGGAGACTTAATTTCCCAAACAATAAGCCCTAATAAAAACAGCATGAAGCCAATTAAATTTGTTTTTCAAAATTATATAAACAATCTATAAAATTTTAATCTTAACCATAAGATATAACTTCCATAAGCCTTTTATAACTTTTATAACCTTTATTAAGCAGTCAATTAATGCTTCAAGAAAACTGTTACTCTGACACAGGGGCCCAGATGCTGGTCTTACATTAGTATGCTTTTGACATTGATGATTAATTTATAGAGAAACTGAACTTATTTTATCTCTCAAAATTGGCCCTTACAATCTCACATGCTCACCTCTTCCATGATAGTCCCTGGGCCTTGAGGAGTTGAATAGCTTTAATTTCTGGCCCTGTGTCTCAAGAATGCAGTTTATTTTGATGGCATTTTCTACAGGGCCTGAAGATGGGGCTTTAATTGCTGTAAGTGTTTAAAATTTAGCAGGGCTTGGTGTACTTTTCAGGCCCAGGAGTCAAAGCCCTGTAACTCAATGTCACAAGCCCTTTGAAAGGGCATACAGAGAGATATGCAGATATAATAACCTTAATAAAAAAATTTATTCTCAGATTTTTTTCCTAAGCAAACCAAAACTTAATAATAATATGACAACTTGATTATATAAAAGTTTTTTAAAAATAAATCCTCTTGTGACATACATAGACTGTTCATGACATGCTTAGACTTTCTGGTTTGTCTTGAGCATCTCTCTGTCTTCAACAACCAGTCATTTTACTTTGGTATTAATTTACCATACAAGAGTCTTTCTTGTATGAAATTATTTCTCTTTAAGCTTTCCTACCAAAAAAAAAAAAAAGTCTTTACTTTTATAACTTTCTTTACATCTTTCTTATTTCCTCGTTCCTTTTACCTTGTTTTATATGTGACCTCTAAATAAGCTTTGAGAACTTCATGTCTAAAACACCAAAAGCAATGGCAACAAAAGCCAAAATTGACAAATGGGATCTAATTAAACTAAAGAGCTTCTGCACAGCAAAAGAAACTACCATCACAGTGAACAGGCAACCTACAGAATGGGAGAAAATTTTTGCAATCTACTCATCTGACAAAGGGCTAATATCCACAATCTACAAAGAACTCCAACAAATTTACAAGAAAAAAACAAAAAATCCCATCAGAAAGTGGGCAAAGGATATGAACAGACACTTCTCAAAAGAAGACATTTATGCAGCCAACAGACACTTGAAAAACTGCTCATCATCACTGGCCATCAGAGAAATGCAAATCAAAACCGCAATGAGATACCATCTCACGCCAGTTAGAATGGTGATCATTAAAAAGTCAGGAAACAACAGGTGCTGGAGAGGATGTGGAGAAATAGGAACACTTTTACACTGTTGGTGGGACTGTAAACTAGTTCAACCATTCTGGAAGTCAGTGTGGCGACTCCTCAGGGATCTAGAAGTAGAAATACCATTTGACCCAGCAATCCCATTACTGGGTATATACCCAAAGGATTATAAATCGTGCTGCTATAAAGACACATGCACATGTATGTTTATTGTGGCACTATTCACAATAGCAAAGACTTGGAACCAAGCCAAATGTCCAACAGTGATAGACTGGATTAAGAAAATGTGGCACATATACACCATGGAATACTATGCAGCCATAAAAAAGGATGAGTTCACGTCCTTTGTAGGGACATGGATGAAGCTGGAAACCATCATTCTCAGCAAACTATAGAGGCTATAGAGGCTGTAATTAAGACTAATACTCTCACTTTACAGGTGAGGAAACTGAGGCTCAGAGATAGAAAACTTGGCCAAAGCCACCCAACTGGTAAGTGGTTACAAGGACAATTGAACCCAAATCTGTTTGACTCCAAAACCAGTGATCTTCATTACTAAACTACACTCTATTCCTTGGATTTATCTCTACTTTTCACTTTTGTATTGAAAAGTATTCTTCATGAGTAATAAGCGCTAAATAAATACTTAGTTGCTCTGGCTAAGAGTAAGACATCACATTTTTTAGAGCTCTTGGAGTTCATGACTCATTTTCAAATTATTACATTTAAATTCTACAACATTCCTGGTGCAAAAGTGGTTTTAATCTCCATTTTATGGAAAAGAAAACTGAGGCTTGGAGATGTGGAGTGATTTCTCCCCAAGCTACAAAATGTATTAGATACATTTTGTGAGGCCCACCATCTACCATCTCACAATGCTTTTATGAGAGAACTTCTTTCCTCTTCTACCCATAATCTACCCATGGGAGGAGGAAGGAATGGGGAGAGGAGATTGGCCACCATGTTTGAGCCAGATGACCCAGGCCCTGGCCAGAACTAATTGGCCCTGGGCTGGACACCTGGCCAAATCTGGGCTCATCACATGCTCCCTCTTTGGGAATTTGGATTCAGAGATCCCAATCAGTATCTGCTGCACTAAAGAGAAGAAAATTTAAAAACTGGAGACCGCACTGTGGAGCAGATAACTCTGTCATGTGGAAATGAGAGAAAAATAAAGCAGCCATATGGATAAGTCCAAGGTGAGCAAACAACCCCTGAAAGATAGCTCTCTGGTGCCTGGTTCCAGCCACTGTAAGGTTTTTCCTGCTTTTGGGTAGCTCAGGGAACCCAAAATTCACCTATTAGACCTGTCTGGGTAGGTAATATTAGACCCTTGGAGACCTGAATGAGAGCAAGTTTCACATAGAGCTTTAGTTTCCAAAGCATTTTCATACATTTACCCTCTTATGTGTACAAATCTTCACACCAACCTCATGAGGTAGGTGGGACTGATACTCCCCACCCCCAATTGAGCCTGAGACTCAAAGAGGTTACATGAATTCTAAAGGCCTTTTCAACTAAAGGGAGAACCAATATTCACACTTGCAACTTCTGGCTGCAGATACTGATCTTTAGACCCGAAACCCAATGTGCTTTCTAGATGTGCATGTTGTTCACTAAATCATATTGTATTCAGAGGCTGAATGTTTAATTCATCATCTGTATCATGAGTTTCTTTCACCTGAAATGTAGGTACTATAAAAGCAGGATGATAACTCTAACATGAGGCCTCAGAACCCAGGCAAAATCCAGCCCATGGAGACTGGGAGTTTTTAAGCAGGTACGCAGACCAGACCAGATCTGGCTTCTTGTAGTGACTCTACTGATAGTTCTCACTCATGAGCTGAAGATGTGTACAGGATTGAATCAAGCTTTTCCAAGATGATGAGAGTTGCCATGGAAAGGGAGAAAAACCCTCCACTGTCACCCGTAGCTCTCCAGACAACTCACTTGTCAACAAATTCCTTATTTCTGTTATTTGTTGTTTGAAGAGGGCTAGACAGCCAGAAACTGGCAGAAATGGAAAGAGAGGCTCTAGGACTGAAACCTGAGCTGCTTCCTACCTTCGCTTCACAGTCACTAGATCACCAAAGCCCCACCCACCTCTCTGCAGAGTCTGCTTGCTACTGCCATGGAAACTACCAATTCCTACCCATGTCAGGGCCTTGGAATGTTGTAGAGGGCTGCAGGATCTGGGGCTCCTAAGAGATTCTGGAACTCAGTGATCTACTGATACTATTTCACCTCGTGTATACATCAGATTGCCTCCTGGACTTTGCTGGAAATCTAGCCACTTTATTTGGGCAATGCGTTTTGAAAGCCAAGCAAACTTTTGACACACAGCCCTTTCAAAATTTGCAAACTCCTGTATATGAATTTGGTAACTGACAGTTTTTTTAAAAAAACACTAATTCATATCTTTGCATCTGTGTTACGTAAATACTTGAGGATTAATAGCTTTATCAGATTAGAGGCATTATCATTTGTTAACGAATTGGTCAAAGCCTCAGCTCCATGGACTATCCAGGTCACCAGAATTTTGAAATATAAACCATGGCACTCATCTTCTGCTGTTGAGGGTGAATCCCTTTCTTCTCTTTCATGAAAAATGTCTTTTTTTCTATTTGGACATGTTCAATAAATCATCAAACCGAAATTCTCCTTTTTAAAACTCTCAGGCTGAGAGAAATTTCAGCTTAAAACCTCACTTTAAACAAAAACAGTTAAATAGGCAACAAAAACAGAAATAAACCAGTGAGACTACATCAAACTAAAAAGTTGCTGCATAGCAAAACAATCAACAGTGAAAAGATTGAGCTAGGTGTGGGGGGTTCATACCTGTGGGCCCAGCTACTTGGAAGGCTAAGGCAGGAGGATTGCTTGAAGCCTAGGAGTTTGAGTCCAGCCTGGGCAAATAGACCCTGTCTCTCAAAAAAAAAAAAAAAAAAAGGACAAGTGGGAGTAAATGAAGAAAATGTGGATGCAAGGAGGGGAATGACAGGCACTGGGGCCTACTTGGTGGAGGATAAGAGGAGGGAGAGAATCAGAAAAAAAAAATATCTATTGAGTACTACGCTTATTACCTGGGTGATGAAATTATCCGTACGCCAAATCCCCATGACATGCAATTTACCTATATAACAAAACTGCACCTGCACCCCTGAAACTAAAAGTTAAAAAAAGAAAAACTCAAATAATATGGCATTTCTGCAAAAAGGCATATTTTGCCTTCAGTTCCAAAAGGCATATTATTGAGATTGCCAAAAATAGAAAGTATGGCCCATTCATTAAATCTTTAGCATGAATAAATGTGAATCTGATATTTTTTAAATCTCAAAATAAATACATAAAATTTTTTTTAAAAAAAGAAATCACTGTAGGATCCTTCCCAATAGTCAGCTTTCTGGACATTTTTATAACATCATTCAATTTGCAAATTCAGTAAACAGTACTTTCCAAGACCATGTTTATTATATGGATATGGGTACAGCTGTGGCACTTAGTTATCAAAAAATTTTAAAGCCTCATGTAGCTCTGGATAAGCTTCCAAATCTATAAATCTATAAAGTACAACTTTTGGTTGTACTTTATGCACATATTCAACTTCCTAAAACCTAAAAGTTGATTGGAAAACTTCACAGATAGTTACACTCAAAACACATTGTCTAATAAACAAAGCAAGTCCCAGAATAATGCAGCACATATACAGCATGTTGCTATTTACGTCTATTTATGTCTAAAATATTAAAATACACATTTTTGTGTGTATGTGTATATGTGTGTGTGCACACATGCAAAAGAATAGGAAAAGGGAAAAACACTCATTGGCTGACACCAGCTACCTGTGGGAAGAGGTATGGAACAGGAGCCAAGGGAGACTTTTAATTTTGACTCTACGTGGCATTTGCTTGAATTTTTCACATACATGTATTGCTTTAGTGATTTAAAGGATTTATTGTTCTTTTAAAACTGTCCTAACTGGTCAGGCTTGGTTAGTGAGAGAAGCAGGTTTCTAAGATGCTTACACAAAAGAGATTGTAATTATACTGAGAGATTACAATCATTTAAAGGTGGCTGTGAGCCACCAGGTATCTCAAGCATATCTTTCTTTCAAAGTTAACAATATCTCTGCCAAACTCGCCTGATAAACAACAGAATTATTTTCATTTTTTTTTTGTTTCCAACCAAGTAATCTACTAAGTCATCTTGTGGTGGTGAGAAGGGCCCAGGGTAGGGAGGGGAGCAGTGTGAGATGCTGGACATGTGCTATAACCCCTCTGGATCTCAGGGTTCTCCAACATCCATGGGCAGGTTAATCAAGGTCTATCCAACTAAAACGTCTGTCTGCAGTGGGCAGATGATCAATCTTGTAAGTGGCCTGTGCACATAGGCCTGCAGTGCCTACTTTGTACAAAGGCCCCGACCATCATGCCTGCCAATATAGATTCTCAGAACCAAAATGACCTGCAGACTATACCATGGCTTTGGATGAGACATCAGCATTAATTCAGCAGAGTCTGTAGACAAATGTGAGAACTATTAATACACAGGAACCAACATCTAAAGAGGCTGGCCCACACTGTCATCTTAAAAAATGGAATTAATTGCCAGTCTTTAAAAATCAGATGATTTCATAGGAGGGAAGGTAAATTAGTACAGCCATTATGGAAAATAGTATGGAGGTTCCTCAAAAAAACTAAACTAGAACAACCGTATATGATCCAGCAATCCCAGGAATGGGTATATACCAATATATCCAAAGGAAATGAAATTGATGTATCAAAGAGATATCTGCACCTCCATGTTCATTGCAGCATTATTCACAACCACCAAGATATGGAATCAACCCAAGTCTTTATTATGTATGAATGGGTAAAAAATGTGGTATGTAACACAAAATGAAGTATGTCAGCCTTAAGAAGAAAATCCTGTCATTTGTGACAGCATAAATGAATCTAGAGGACATTAAGTGAAATAAGCCAGACACAGAAAGACAAATACTTAATGATCTCTTTTATATGTGGAATCTGAAAAAGTTGAACTCATATAGGCAGAGAGTAAAATGGTGGTTACTAGAGCCTGAGGGTGTTGGGAGAGGTGTTGGTCAAAAGATACGAAATTTCAGCTAGACAGAAGGAATATGGTCAAGAGATCTATTGTACATCATGGTGACTGGAGTTAATACGAAAGCAGATTTTATGCTTGAACCCGGGAGGCGGAGGTTGCAGTGAGCTGAGATCACGCCACTGCACCCTAGCCTGGGCGACAGAGCAAGACTCTGTCTCAAAAAAAAAAAAAAAAAAAGCAGATTTTAAGTGTTCTTGCCACACAGAAATTAGTATGTGAGGTAATACATATGTTCATTAGCTTGATTTAGTCATTCCACATCATAAACACGTTTCGAAACATCCTGCTGTATGCCATAAATATATAGAATTGTTGTCAATTTGAAAAAATAAAGAAGTGGAAAATAAAATATCAGATGATTTTATGTAAAATATAGATCTCTATCTTCACCTTAAAAAGCTGGAAGATCTGACATCCCTGGGCCAACATTCACTGTGAAGAATCTCTCAAGCTGATCATCTGCTGCTCTCTTTGGGCAAGGCGTTACTGTGGGCTTTTGCACAGTTCTCACCACTTCGTATTATTTTATATCTTGCCCCATCACTTATTTTATTGCCAGCTTGCCCCCGGAAGTATTTGCATTTTCAACCACTCCATTTAAAACAAGAAAGTCCAGTTAACAATGTTGTTCATTTGGAGGATGTATTAGTCCATTTTCACACGGCTGATAAAGACATACCGGAAACTAGGTTAATTTATAAAGAAAAAGAGGTTTAATGGACTTACAGTTCCACATGGCTGGGGAGGCTTCATAATCATGGTGGAAGATGAAAGCCACATCTTTCCTGGTGGCAGACGAAAGAGAATGAGAACCAAGTGAAAGGGATTTCACCTTATAAAACCATCAGATCTCCTGAGACTTATTCACTATCACGAGAACAGTACGGGGGAACCACCTCCATGACTCGATTATCTCCCACCGGGTCCCTCTCACAACACGTGAGAATTTTGGGAGCTACAATTCAAGATTTGGGTGGGGACACAAGCCAAACCATATCAGAAGAGTCTCAACATTCAATCCAAAAAGAAATCAACAGTCCTCCGCCTAGAATCTAGAATGCAGTGGAAGAGACTGCAGCGGCATCTGTATCATCTAATTTAGTCATATGTTTGGTCTCCAAATCTTCTTGCCTTTTTTAGTATAATTAGTGTCTGTTAGCAAACAATCCTGTATCTGAATTTCCTTATGTGTGTTTAAATTTTACCCATCTTGACATTTGCAGCAGCTTCTC
The DNA here is from genome assembly GCF_000001405.40 of Homo sapiens. NCBI lineage: Eukaryota > Metazoa > Chordata > Mammalia > Primates > Hominidae > Homo > Homo sapiens. The sequence goes on along the minus strand of NC_000002.12, from coordinate 222,406,498 downwards.
TCAAGGGGAGTCAATATGTTTACTGGAAACTTTAATAAGGTATGTAGTCTTACTTAAATAACAAATACTTATCTACTCAGAAGAATAATTAACAGAATACTAGTTTATAATTTTCGTGCATAGTGCTTTCTCATTGCTAATAACAGGCTTCTTTTTATTGCTAATAATGCCCTTTCTATTACTAATAATGCTGAGAGGCAACATGAGCTGGTGGAGCAGGTTTGAGTCAGGCACACTTGGATTCAAACCCAGGTCTCCTAGTCCTTGGGCATTTCTGTTTCCTTCTCTGTGCCCCAGGTTAACTATCTAGACAATTAGGATACCTTTCTTGAAGGGTCATTTTAGGAAGTTAATGAGATGCTTCTTTCTTCCTTACTTTAACTGTAATAGGAATTTCTGCAGATCTCCAAACATTTTCCTATCTGCGCCATTGTAGAGATGATTTCCCCTGCATCATTAGGCTAATTCATAGTTGTAACCATTCTATTAGGTGAAATTAACAGCTTTGTTTGCATGCCATAAAACCCTCCTTATCACTAACCTCTGTGGTCAGCATGCAGTGAAGGAGAGCCTTCATGAACAGTGAAGTGGTAACAGGAGACCAACAGGACAATCAGACACACTCTGATTTCTAATTTGCATATGTTACCTACATGTTCTAGGGGCTTGAATATTTAGAGCTTTTACAATGTGTTTTATTGTTGACATTATGCCACATTAAAATACCAATGTATTGCCTGATTAATAAACACTTACGGAGCTTTATACATCCACAATCTCATCATGAATTGAATTTATTAACTGTGGTAAACACCTTTTGTCTACGTGTAGTAATTGGTATGTGGATTTGTTGACCATATACCATATACTCTCCATGCTACAGAGTTCTTTTAGTTGTTTTGCTGACTGCTTTGACAGAAGTGAGCTATTTATTAATTTCCTAAGAACCAGGAGCTTGTTCCACCTTTTAGTGTATGCAAAATCTTCTCCCTGGTCTGGCTTAAATTTTCCACTTCTTTTTTTATACTTGGTTAATTTTCACTTTGGTGTCAGGGAAATGGTATAGCTGAATCTGTTCAAATGTCACTGACATACATAGAAACAGTGAACATCTCCCAGTCCAAAGGCCTGAGAACCAGGAAGGCTGATGGTGCCTTATGGACTTCCAGGAGAACGTGGCTTTGCTACTGAATCACAGTGCTGGTTCTGGGTATCACTTCACAGAGTCAACAGGTAGGAGTCTCCACACCACCTGCTGTTGCCATCACAGCTAAAATGTGTGCCTTTGCTGTGTCTGATGAAGGAATAAATCTTGTTGATGTTGTTGTTATTCAGGTCAATGAGATTTCATCCTATCAATTTGTTTTTATTTTACTTTATTTATTTTATATATATATATATATTTAAAACTAGTCATGCGTAGTAGTGAGAAGAAAGGAAAGAGTAGAACAAGGAGTTAAATCTGTAACTGACTATGAACAATCAATTGCCTTAACTCACTACCTTTGGACCCTACCCCTTTTTTTTTTTTAAGACTAGTTAAGTGCAGTAGCGAGAAGAGGGGAAAGAGTAGAACAAAAGTTTTTTATTCACTGAGGTTTTATTTATGATTCTTCCAAGCTCTTCCAATTATTACAGGGGCTGGAGGCCTAAAAACTACGTTTCTCAAACTCACTCTTATTGGCAGAGTTCCAGTTTAGATTCCTCCCTGGGAGATGCGGAGTGATATTTGAAGGGGAGAGAAAAGCAGAAGCTGTTTTGCTTCCACAGCATGGGCAGCCTCACGTGAGAACCTCAGCAGATGACAGACATGGGGCTTGGCCAGCAGCTTTTGGGTGCCTTGCTGTGGAGCACCCACTTCCTGTGAATCACCACAGGATCCCGTGATTCCTTTATTTTCTGATTACCTAAACGTCAGCAGTGGATTCCATAATTAACGGTCCCCCTAGTCTTTCAAATGGGTAATGAGCTTCTAATCCCTGTACTAAACCTCTTGCTACTTCAAATACCTAGAGTATTGTATTAGTCAAGGTTCTCCAGAGAAACAGAACCAATAGGTTGTGGAGATTTATTATAAGGAACTAGTTCACGCAATTGTGGAGGCTGGCAAGTTCCAAGCTCTGCAGGGTGAGTTGGTAAACCAGAGACCCAGGAGAGCCAATGGTGTGGAACCAGTCCAAGTCCAAGGGCCCAAAGATCAGGAGAGCCAACGATGCAGTTCCAGTCTGAAGGCCTGAAGTGTACTTGAGGCCCAGGAAGAGGTGATGTTTCAGTTTGAGTCCAAAGACAGGAAAAAGCTGATGTTCCAGTTTAAAGGCAATTAGGCAGACAAAATTCTCTTATTTGTGGGAGAGTTAGCCCTTTTGTTCTATTTAGGCCTTCAACTGATGGATGAGGTCCACCCATCTTAGGGAGGGTAATCAATTTATTCAGTCTACCCATTTAAATGTTAATCTCATCCAAAAAAAAGAAAACACACACACACACACACACACACACACACAGAAACACCCAGAATAATGTGGTTTTTTTTTTTTAACAATTTTAATTAATTTTAGAGACAGCATCTCACTATGTTGCTCAGGGTGGAGTACAGAGGCCATTCACAGGCACTATCATCGCACACCATAGTGCACCACAGCCTCAAACTCCTGGGATGAAGCGATCCTCCTGCCTCAGCCTCCCAGATAGCTGGGACTGCCATTTTGTGCCACTGCACCTGGCCCAGAATAATGTTTCACTGAATATTTGGGCACCCGATGGCCCAGTCAAGTTGACATATAAAATTAACCATCACAAGTAGCTTCTGATTTGTGCCACCCATGTTTGATACATCCCTCATGTGTCATACACACAAATGGTTATCTTACCTAGAATCATTTTTTCCCTATTTACCCCAGGGTAATAAAATTTTATTCCTGAAAAATTTTTACAATTGGCCTCATGTAGGGAAATGCAAGTGGGCAGGAAATAGTAAGTAGTAGTGAAAAGTGCACCTTGTCCCTCTAAAGGACCATACAACTCATTAAAAACCATTATTCATACTCATCTCTCCTTTTCTTCACTGTTCTTTTTAACTCAATAAGAGGTGAGTGTCTGTGCAGTGATCTAAATGGCAGACCTTACAACCTGAGGAAACGTCTGCTACACCAGCAGTCAGGTGGAGGCAGGGTCCATGCAGTTGTAGAGGCATGTTCTAAGCACCCATTTTGATATGGTTTGGCTGTGTCCCCACCCAAATCTTATCTTGAATTGTAGCTCCCATAATTCCCATATGTTGTGGTAGGGACCCTGTGGGAGATAATGGAATCATGGAGGTGGTTTCCCCCATACTGTTCTCGTGGTAGTGAATAAGTCTCACAAGATCTTATGGTTTTATAAGGGGAAACCCCCTTTTGCTTGACTCTTATTCTCTCTTGTATGCCACCATGTAAGATGTGCCTTTACCTTCTGCCATGACTGTGAGGCCTTCCTGTCACGTGAGTCCATTAAACCTCTTTTTCTTTATAAATTACCTAGTCTCAGGTATGTCTTTATCAGCAGTGTGAGAATGGGCTAATATACCTTTCTTCTTTTATTCACTTTTCCAAGATCATTCATTTTGGAGAAGTCAAAGGTAAAGCATATATACTCCCTGTATACCAATCGTAAGGTGACACACTTAGGGCCACATTCTTTTATACGTTTTTAAATCTTAAAGTATGTCTTGAAAATAGTAATTCCCACCATATATCCCAGGACATTTCCAAACAGCTCCATTGGCCAGAGTCCCCTGGTTAATCTTTTGATGGTCTGTAGTACCAAGGAGTCTGCCACTGTACTCCTAACCCCGGAGTGGGGGATAATTCTCACACAGAAGGAAGTGTCTTAATTCCAGACAAGACTTTGCCTAACATACATCAGACACAGTCTTCCAGAGAATTACTGAAGTCTACCAAACTATATAAATTTATTCCTAAGAATTTGAGGAGACGTGAATGCTGGTCCCATCCCAGTGCAGTCATTGTCATGTTAACTTCTTAGGATTGCAGTGGTTGCATATTTATATATGTAGTTGACCCTCCCACAACACAGGAGTAAGGGGTGATGACCCCCACATAGTAAAAAATCTGCATATAACTTTTAACTCCATTAAACTTAACTGCTAATAGCCTACTGTTGACTGGAAGCCTTATAAATAACAGTCGATTCACACATATTTTTATGTTACATGTATTATATACTATATTCTTACAATAATGTAAGCTAGAGAAAAGAAACTATTAAGAAAATGATAATTAAGAGAAAGAGAAAATATCTTAACTAGTCATTAAGTGGAAGTGGGTCATTATAAAGGTCTACGTCTTTGTTGTCTTCACACTGAGTAAGCTAAGGAGGAAGAAAAAGAAGAGCAGTGGGTCTTGCTGTCTTGAAGTGGAAGAGGCAGAAGAAAATCCACATATAAGTGGACCCACGCAGTTCAAACCTGTTTGTTCAAGAGTCAACTGTACACACACACACACAGATAGGAAGGGGTTAGACAAGATGATCTCTAGGGTCTCCTCTAGCTCTAATTAATGCCTGACTTTACTATACTTAAAGTTGGAGGTTATTTGGGCTACTGAAGCCCTAGTATCATCCAGTGAATACATTTGGTGAAAGTAATTTATTCTGCCCTAGAACCTTGTTGTCAGACCCTGATGGAGCCGTCTTGTTGTTGTGTCTTCCCCCAGTCTCTGGGATAACTTCTTCCCCTTACATCACTCCCTGACTTTGACCCACATCATTTTCTGTTTCTGTTTTTCTTTGTGCAATGCATTCTGTCTTCTGTCTGTTGTATCCTTCCCTGAGCTCATTGGTCAGGGTTTTGCCTGCCACCAATGGGCTTTCAAATCCTACTTCCCCTGTTATGCTTTCTTTGGTCTCCCAGTTATAATTAATTTCTCCCTCCTTTATCCCCCCATCATACCATCTTAGATCAGTTTGGCTATTGTAGTCATTACCATATCTACCTATATACTCCCACAGACTACTCATGGATGACAAGAACTATGTCGATTCCCTTTTCAACTTTCTACCCTTAAAGCATTAAAGCAGTGCTTTTTATTTAGCTGGTGCTGAGCAATCCAGCATTGAATTGAATCCTGTTTTCCTTTTTTTTTTTTTTTTATCTTCTCTAACAGGGATTCAGGATTCCACGGCATGGTTTTCAAAGATCCTGGAATTAAAATGGCCTTTAAACAAGGCTAGGAGGTTGTCTTAACAGACCAGAGCAAGATAGCTAAATGTGCAGAGACAGCCTCACATCCTGAAGGATGTTGGAAACCAACTGGACAGGAGAATAAACCAGACCATTCAACTAGACATCCCTTCAGAACAGACTGCTTCGATCCTGCCTTCCTCACTTTGTGCAAAAAGTTACTCACCAGTCCAGCACATAATGTTGGCCTTCCTGATAATTTTATAGGTGATTATTAGATAAGGGAGTTAAATGGGACTCTTCCCCAATAGCTGCTTAAAGAAGAAAATGTGTTGTTTTTTTTTTGTCATAAGGTACAAGATTTTTTAAAAAATGGTTAGGCTACTTATGAGTTGATAGTAGTTAATAATGGATTAAAGTTATATGTTATAGCAAGTGACTTAGCCTTTCCAAATCTCAGTTTTCTCATCTGTCAAATAGTGTAATAGTAACTTTTCCTAACTTTTCAGTTGCTGTGATTATTAGAGATAATATTTATAAAATGCCAGCATAGACTAGTACCTGGCCCACAGTAAGCACTTAGTAAATCGTGGCCACGGACGGGCTGTATGAGGATGAGATTAAAATATCAACTCAGGGCCGGGTGTGGTGGCTTACGCCTGTAGTCCCAGAACTTTGGTAGCCTGAGGCAGGTGGATCATGAGGTCAGGAGATTGAGACCATCCTGGCTAACACAGTGAAACCCCGTCTCTACTAAAAATACAAAAAAAAAAAAAAAAAAAAAAAAAAAGTAGCCAGTGTGGTGGCGGGCGCCTGTAGTCCCAGCTACTCGGGAGGCTGAAGCAGAAGAATCACTTAAACCCAGAAGGTGGAGGTTGCAGTGAGCTGAGATCGTGCCACTGCACTCCAGCCTGGGCAACAGCGAGAGACTCTGTCTCAATAAAAAAAAAAAACATTAAAATTAAAATTAAAAAAAAATCAACTCAGTTTGTTCTAGTAAATAGTTTGAATCTTCTTCTAATTAGTAAGCTAAATTATGAAATATGGCTCTGATAACACTTTTCTGAGTATTAATTTACAGAAAATACTGTTATTCAACACTAGCATAATCACTAAATTACATATATTGATTTAAAAAAATGAAGGTAAAACCAGTTATCATCTTAAGAACTAGAGTAGGTTTTCATGTACTAATTAAATATTTTAAAGAAATTTTTTTTAGAAACGAATGTCTCTATGTTGCCCAGGTTGGACTCAAACTCCTGGACCCCAGCCATCCTCTTGCCTCAGCCTCCTGAGTAGCTGGAGCTACAGGAGTGCACCACCCACCTGGCTTAAGTGGGATATTTTTAACAAAATGATTATGTGCTTGGTTTATGTGACACTTACCATTAAAATGGATTCTGATCCATTTTTTTTTCTCAAACAGTTCAGATCTGAATATGTTAATCCCAAAATTAAAAAAAAAAGCTTTATCATGCCAACTTTAATTAGATTAATAAAGATTATATAAGTGAATCATTTACTTCAGGTATATTGTTTGGCAAAACTTGTGCTGCTCCAGGAAAGAATAGCTTCTCCTCTAAATATTATCGTAAGGAGAAAAACACATCTAATGTCAGGAGCAGAGCTCATATGGCAGCTGGTCAACTAATGGATCCTGTAATTGGCAAAGAGATGGGCTTCTGCAGATAAAGGAAGCAGAGTAATCATGTTGCTAAAAATACACGAGTGTTTGGCTCTTCAGATAACAAATGGGCTGACACAGGACCATATGCATGAAGCTAAAAATACCTTGCAAAATAGCTGCAATGAGGTGCCCTGGGACACAGTTGTAATAATAAACGACTGTATACTGGCTGTCAGGCTCCTATTTGACAAAACTAAAATATCTTGTACTGCTTTTCTACTTACTGGGAACATTGGAAAAAAGAACACAAAATTGTCAATGTGGCAGTGAAAGAAAACGCTCATGGAAATGTGAGATCTGATAATCAGATAATGCAAATGATACTGTATACATAGCAACAATTTCTATCCTCAGAATAGCTCACGATAACAGGGACCATTTGTTTTAAGACAGTAAGATCCAATTCACCTGACTGTGCTCTGTGACTTAGGATCACTAGATGCTCAATTCTGAGTCACAATATCTTAGTAGCTGTATCACCTGGGGCAAGACTCCACATCATTATTCTGAGGCTTAGCTGTCTCATCTATAAAATGGGATTAATAAAACCATTGGATACTGTGGAAATAGAATAATATATCAAAACAGAATGTCTGGCAGAAACAACGCTTGTCTTTTTTGTCTTGAATGTAGATCGAGTTAAACATAAATAAGAATTCATCCAAATATTTGCTGAGTGGTGGAAACATTATATTTTCTTTATTCTGGAATGAAATGGTTAATTATTCAGGGATAAGAAAAATCTTTTTATAACCAATCACATGCCTGGACTTTGTAACCTTGGTGACATTCTAAAGTGCTGTTGAGATTGCTGCTGCTGCTGCTCTAATGAATCCAGTGTTTTGGTGGAACTGGGGCATCCAGGGTCCTACAGCAACAGAAGTGTTTTCCAGAGTAGTGGACATAATGGGCCCCTTCCTGAGCAACAAATCCTCCACTCATCTTTCCTAATCAGACCCTCAGTTTCCTAGCCATGCGATCCTGCTGTGGCTCCTGATTGGCCTCCAATAGTTGCATAATTCTACCTCTGTTGCCACAGAGATCAGTGCACTATGTAACCCAGGTCCAACCAATCAACATGCAGCATTTTCCCAGCTTCAGTCATTCATTTTGGAATGGGCATGTGATCCCAGTGATTCAATCAGAGCAAAGCTCAATCCTTTTGTTTGGTGGTCAGGGTATCAAAATAGCTTTCTGCCCTGTGTATGAATAAGAAAGTACATATCATCAATACACAAAAGCCAGTTACAGTTTCACAAACTTGCAACCTTCAGAAAACTTACTTTAAACATATATATGTGTGTGCATATATAAATGCAGTCAAAAATATTTTCTCCTAGCTACATAGGAGAAAATAATCTAACAAAATATGGGCAAGACCTTTAATAAGAAATGTGAAAACTTAATTGAAAGATACTAAAGAAGACATAAGTGAAGAAATATGTCATATGGATAAATATGAAAACTCAGTGTTAAAAAATGTCACTTCTAACTTGTTCTATACTATCAATTCATTTGCTATGAAAATTCTAATAAGTTTTTTCAAGGGACTTGATAGTTTGTGTACTCCAAAAGCAGATGTTGAGATGGAGTTTGGGGTGCTAGATGTTTACAAGTATATTAGTCAGTTCTCACATTGCTATAAAGAAATACCTGAGACTGGGTAATTTATAAAGAAAAGAGATTTAGTTGGCTGATGTTTCCACAGGCTGTACAGGAAGCCTGATGCTGGCATCTTCTTGGCTTCTGAGGAGGTGTCAGGAAACTTACCACAATCATAGCAGAAATGGGGGCAGGCACGTCTTACATGGCAGGAGTAGGAGAAAGAGAGAGTGAGGGAGGAGGTGCCACACACTTTTAACCAGCTCTCAAGAGAACTCACTCACTATCATGACACAGTACCAAGGGGAAAATCCACCCCTATGATCCAATCTCCTCCCACTAGGCCCCACCTACAACATTGGGGATTACAATTTGACATGAGATTTGAGCGGGGACACAGATCAAAACCATATCAACTAGGAAGGTGTGAAAGGAACAGGGAGGAAGCAGGATTGGACAGAGGAAGATGTTAAACTCTGATGCAGCCTTGACAAGTCTCAACCAACCCTGTGGTGAGCTCTGAGAAAAGTACTGCCCTTCAGAGCATCCTACTTCAGGCCAAAATATTCCTCATCCCACTTAATCACCAGATAAAGGCTGCCCTGGAAAGGCCAAGTCTCTGTGTAGGTGGTTCTCTGAAGCTGAGGCTAATCTTAAAGAAAGTGATATTTGGGGGCTGTCTGCTGACTGTACTCCTTTCAGCCTGCCAGCAAATTCTTCCTTGAAGGAGGCCTATGAAAGCAAATCTATGTCTATCACACAAGCTGATTCTAAAACTGATAGAAAAAAAAAGCCAAGAATAGCTAAGATATTACTCCTGAAGACAAAGGAGGAAGAGGTGAGAGAGGAAGAATGATGAGGAGGGGAAGGAATAAAGGGATTTGTCCTACCAGAAACAAAACTTATTTTTATTTACCTATATATTTATCATTTTCTGTGTTTTTCATTCCTTTGTGAAGATTCAACTTTCCTGCTGGTAGGATTTCCTTTAAGCCTGAAAAACTTACAATGTGGGCCTTTTGAGATAAATTTTCTCAGCTTTCATTTACATGAAAAGGTCTTTATTTTGCTTTTGTATTGCAATGTATTTTAGCTGGATATAGAATTCTGAGTGAGTTGATGCCAGGCGCGGTGGCTCACACCTGTAATCCCAGCACTTTGGGAGGCCAAGGCGGAAGGATCACAAGGTCAGGAGATCAAGACCATTCTGGCCAATGTGGTGAAACCCCATCTCTGCTAAAAATACGAAAATTAGCTGGGCGTTGTGGCGTGTGCCTATGGTCCTAGCTACTCAGGAGGCTGAGGTAGGAGAATCACTTGAACCCAGGAAGCAGAGTTGCAGTGAGCCGAGATCATGCCACTTCACTCCAGCCTGGGTGACAGAACTAGACTCTGTCAAAAAAAAAATTCTGAGTTGACAGGGATTTTTCCTTTTAATACTTTTCAGATGTCATCTTCTTATGCTTAGGTCTCCATTTTTTCTGATGAGAAGACTGTGGTCATTCTTATGTTTACTTCCCTGATTGTAAAACCTTTTTGCTTTGGCTACTTCTAAGACTCAGGAATTGGACTAATATATATCTAGGTGTGGTTTTCTTTGGAACTTGCCTGCTTGGGTTTTGCTGAGCTTTCAGATATCTTTCATCAAATTGGGAAAAGTTCTGGTCATTACTTCTCCAAATATTTTCTGTTCTAATATTTGAATCCTCTCATTCTGGGACTATACTTCCACATGTTTTGGAATGCTTAATATTTGCCATAAGTTACTAAGATGCTTTTCTTTTTCTTTTTTTCCAGCTTTTCCCCCTATCTTTTTTCTTCAGCTTCTTAGATAGTATTATGGGCTAAATTGTGCCCCTACCTCAAATTCATATTTTGAATTCCCAACCCTTAGTACCTCAGTGTGTAATCAAGTTTTGAGATAAGGTCTTAAAGAGGGGACTGAGTTAAAATGAAAATATGACAGCTGAGAAGCCTATAATTAAAATAAAATAAAATAAATAAAATAATAAAATAAAATGAGAATATCAGAGTTATCCAATCTGCCTGATGTCCTATAAGAAGAGAAAGGACACCAAGGGTATATGTGCACAGCAGACACCCATATGAAGAGGTAGCAAGAGGGTGGTCATCTAAAGTTAGAGGCCTTAGAGAAAACTAACCCTGCTGACACCTTGATCTTGGACTTCCAGCTTCAGAACTGTCAAAATAAATTTGTCTCGTTTAAACCACCCAGTCTGTGGTATTTTGCTATGTATTACTAGCAGACTAATCCAGATAGGTTCTATTGTTTCTTATTCAAGTGCATGGATCTTTTTCTCTGCAATTTTCAATCTGCTATTAATTCCATCTATTATTTCCTGAAAATATAACTTTTTTGTTTCAAATGTGGTATTACTAATTTTTAGAATTCCCATTACTACATTAATATTCCCCATTTTTATGTCTCATTATATGCATATTTTCTTTTACATCCATGGATATATTTATAATAGCTATTTTTAAGTGCTTGTCTGTTAAATTCAACATCTGGTCATTGCCATTGAGGATGCAAAGATGGGAGAACTTTGCTAAATTTTTCTTTCCTGGTTATGGCACATTTTCCTGCTTCTTTGCATATCAAGTATTTTTTTCATTGTATTCTGCCATTTTTTTCTTTAGAGATGAAGTCTCACTCCCAGGCTGGAGTGCAGTGGCACAATCATAGCTCACTGCAGCCTTGAACTTTCAGGTTCAAGTGATCCTCCCGCCTCAGCCTCCTGAGTAGCTGGGACTACAGTGTGAGCCACCATGCCTAGCTTGTATGCTGGTCATTGTTAATACACGTTGAATATCCCTTATCCAAAATGCTTAGGACCAGAAGTATTTTGGATTTGGAATTTTTTTTTTTTTACAGATTTTGGAATATTTGCATATATATAATCAGATATCTTGGGGATGGGACCCAAGTCTAAACACAAAATTTATTTATATTTCCTATACACCTTATATACGTAGACTGAAGGCAGTTTCACAATATTTTAAACAATTTTGTGCATGAAACAAAGTTTTTGTGCATTGAGCCACCAGGAAGCAAAGCTGTCACAATCTTAGCCACCCATGTGAACAATCTGATTGTTTGGCATCACGATCATCCCTGGCTCTAAACTGATATGCTACTCATAAGCAATAATTTTCTTAAGCTTATTCACACATAAATACTTAACATTAAAACATATGATATGCCATTAATACAATGAAGAAATATTGTGTGCAGAATAACTAAGTAGCACAGTAGCATCACCAGAATACCTGTCTCAGCTGTTAGACAACGGCAACAACAAACAGTGATAGGTTGCAACCTCCACCTGATGCTTTTCTTTGACTAAAAGGTTACTAGACAGTGTGTTTCTTTTTCTTTTTTTTTGTTTGGTAAGAAGAAACATCAAAAGTAATTGAGGGACCAGGAAATAGGTCCTCTAGGAATGAAGAGGCATTCTGCAGGATGGCTTTTAAAAATGTTTTCTCCAGAATAATCTGCCTCATTAACAATGAGTTTTTGCTTAGATGTCTTTTCTTGATTTTATAAACTGAGAAGGTTTCTTGTCTTGTTATAAATATACACTGCTGTAGTCCTTCAAAAAGCCCACCACACATTTTCACCATGTTGTCAATAGATACTTTTCCTGTAGTGTTGACATCATCTTCATCATCACTATTATCATCATCTTGATTGGGAACTGTTTTGTCATATTTCACCATTGATCATTGAATAAACAACTGGAGCCTTGTTATTGATGTTAAAAACTTTTTCAATTATCACCTTCTTCCAGCTTATTGATGGATTTTAAGGATACATTTCTTGAATATGTAAGAAGGTCAGATGTCCCTGGCGATCCATGCCTTTTGTTAGCATAATAAAGGACTGCTAAGAAATTCACTCCTTGAGGACAGCAAAGCTTTTGCCTATCACAGCAAGTTTACACTCATGCATACCTGCTGTGTTACCACATCCCAGCACAGTTATTCTGTCTTTGCATCCTTAATTCCTGTAGGGGCTTTCTCATCAGATGTAGTCGGTGTCTTTCTGGAGCAATAAGGCCAAAAGTGTTGATTCATCAGTATTATAGATGTGTTCTGGCATCAGATTTTCATCAGCGATGACCTTGACGAACTCATCAGTGAATTCCTCTGCTGCTTTGTGATCAGCAGATGCTTAATCACCAGCAGTCTTTACAAATTTAAAGCAGTGGTTCAAATTTTTACAGGTTCTGTTCATTGTTAACCCCAAAGGATATATCTACCTCTCTTTTGGGTATCATTCTGGGACCACCAGTGAGCAAAGTAGGGTTTGACCCCAGAGGCTCTGAAGTGAGTCCAAAGAAAACATTTATGAAATTAATGCTAAGGCCACAGCACACCTAAGGGTGAAAATGTACTCCTTCTTCCATTTACTATCACAAGTTATGTCCAGTCACTTTGTCCAATAGAGCTCATCAGAAATTACACAATGAGATCAAGTGATTATATTAAGATTTTCCCACAATAAAATACAAATAAAAAGCATTCTGATAAAAGAAACTATAAAGAAACACATAGAAAAGTTTGTTACAAAAGTGTGGATGATACTTGCAGATCTGTAAAGTGTTAATGGTGGAGGGTATCTAGGTTCCTGGCATCTTGAACAAAGAATTAGACAAAACGCACAAAGCAAGGAAAGAATGAAGGGATTTATTGAAAATGAAAGTACACTCCACAGTATGGGAGCTGGCCCGAGCATAGGGGCTCAAAGGCCCTGTTACAGAGTTTTTGTGAGTTTAAATACCCTCCACTTGGGGTACCCCCTATGTAAATGAAGAGGATGAAGTAAAGTTACAAAGTCATTTACTCGATGTATGCCCTATGGAGAGGATATTTCCTGTTATAGCTGAAGTGTCAATAGGCCTTATGTTTCCTGCCCCCAGACCCTATTTTCCTGCCTCAAAAGGAAAGGTCATAGAGGGAACTTCTCGGGTACTGCCAGTACCATTCCCAAACTGGGTGGTCTTCACATGGATGTTTGCTTTGATAGTACTCTTTAAAATGCACATAGGGCCAGGTGCAGTGGCCCACCTCTGTAATCCCAGCACTTTGGGAGGCTGAGGTGGGCGGATCACTTGAGTCCAGGAGTTCAAGACTAGCCTGGGTAACATGGCAAAAACCCCCATCCCTACAAAAAATACAAAAATTAATTGGGTGTGGTGCCACGTGCCTGTGGCCCAGCTACTCAGGAGGCTGACGTGGGAGGATTGCCTGAGCCTGGGAGGCAGAGGTTGCAGGGAGCCCAGATCATGCCACTGCACTCCAGCCTGGGCAATAAACCCAGACCTGCCTTAAAATAAAATAAAATAAAATAAAATAATTAAAATAGAATAAATAAAAAGTAAAATGCACATATATGTTTAATACATTTTCTGTATGTATAATAATTTTAATGATAATAAATTTCTTTTAGAAAAATAAACTTCATTAATGAAATGCCAACAACAAGATGTGCTAAGAAAAATTAGTATGTCTTTCTCAAATTTCTGCAATCAGTCTGTTGAATATTTACAGTTCCTTTCACTTTTCAGTTCATTGTGATAGTTCTTTACTGGTTTTGTGATTAGCAAACAATTAAGTTGTATGTGTTCTTTGTGACACAGACAGACCTACCTTTTCAACACATGATCAAGATCTTCATTTTTAGCTTTATGCAGCATTTTCCCATTTTTCACTTTCATTAATATATGTTCATCACTTTTAGCATAGAACTGCTACAGTTTATCCTTCTGTTTCTTCAGGGCATGTATGCTGGTAATTCTAATACCATAATCTTCTGTAAGATGTTTTACACTTACACCACTGGCTGGTTTCTCCAACAGCTGGACTTTCTGTGCTATGGATAAGCATAAATACTTCCTCTTTTCCTTATCACTGTACTCATAAGGATATCTGCAAGATTTTTTGACATTTGCAACAATATCTATACCACAGTGCAGAGAATAAGCAAGAAAACACAGTGAGTAATGCATGTAGGTCTTGGCCCCATGTGGAGCATCATGGGGAACATGGATCCAGCCTGTACATACGTGTGTCGTTTCATTACTCATCGTGGGCATGCTTGCAGGGAGAATCTGGGTGTGTGCCGAAAAGATGTATTACAGCTGAAGGGGGCTGGGAGGGTCGTTTTCCCTTGGGGATGCTGAATAAACTGTGCGTTGTGTGCCTTTATTTGACTGTGACCCATCACATAAGGTCAGGTGTGGAATTTTTCACTTGTGGTGTCATGCTGGTGCTCAAAAAGTTTCCAATTTTGGAGTTTCAGATTCGGGATGCTCAATCTGTACTAAGTTGTTAGGACTTTGGATTTTGTTGTCTCCCTTCAAGAATGCTGAGCCTTGTTCTTGTAGGGAGTTAATTTGCTGTAAGATCAGCTTCGTAAGCCCTCACTTTAAGGCTAGGGTAGCTTTACTCCATAAGAATAGTCCTCTAGAATCTCAACTCATTGCCACAGTGTTCGAATAGATCTCTCTACACTAACTGGCTATAACTTTACTGATCTCAGCTCTGTGAAACCTTCAGAGATTGAGCTTAGTGTTGAACCAAACAGAAGCCTTTCTCTATTATCTCCCTTCTTTCCAACACCTATGTCACAACTTCCAGTTGCCTCAGCAGCCCCCAAATCTGATCTTTGTTCCTCCATCCAGTAAGAGCACAGCTTTTGTTGAAGCTCCATTTCTCAATGCCTTGGCTTAGAAAATGCCACAGGCAGAAAGAGAGCTGGATGTGGAGCTCCCCTTCTGTGTCTTACTCTTAAGGATCACAGCCCTGTGCTGTTGTCTCATGTCTTTGTCCTGTTTTATAGATGTTCACAGTGTTAGAAGTCAAAACTTATTTCAAAGCCAGCATCATTAAGTCTATTGGTTTTGGCTCAGGGAGAGAAAAATTGACCAATGAAACTGAACATAGAGCCCAGAAATAGATGCACACGCATAAGCAAACTTTAAATGTGACAAGATGGCATTGCAGATCATTGGGAAAAGCATGGAAGATTCAACATGGGTGCTGGCCTCTAATTATCCATATGGAAAAAAATAAATCTGAACTCATACCTCACACCACCCACAAAAATAAATTTCAGGTGGATCATGATTTGCATATGAAATGTCAAGATTAAAAATGTTTCGAAGGCTATGTAAGAAAATATATTTTCAGGATAGGATTTTTAAACATAAGGCAAAACTGCTAATTATGAAAGGAAATATTGATACATTTGAGTCTATTAAAATTAAGAACTTATGCACTGCAGAAGACATCATAAGAAAATGAAAAGAGAAGCCCAAAACTGGGAGAAGATATTTACAAGCTATATAACTAGCAACATATTATTTGCAAGTCGATAAGAAAAAGACAAACCATCCAGCAGAAAATGGATAAAAGACATGAACCACATAATTAGAGCAACTTTAATAATGGAAAGATGCTAAACACTATTAGTAATCAGAGAACTGCAAAATAAGACTCTAATGAGACATTATTTAAGCCTATAAGATGGCAAAAATTAAGAGGTATGAAAATACTACAGGCTGGTGATTAGCTAGAGCCATGAGAGCACTTTGGCATTGCTGATATGAATGGAAATTGTTATCACTTTGGAGAACAACTTTGCATTATCTTTAAAATAGAACTCTTATACATGTGCACTAAGAGGCACGTACAAATATGTGCATAATAGCATGGTTCATAATTATAACAAAAAAATGAAAGTATTGTAAACATCCATCTGTAGGAGAATGGATGAATTGTGATATGGTCTCAGAATAGAATATATTTCAGTAGTGAAAATAAATGAACTGTAAGTTCACATAACCATATGGATAAATATTAGAAACAAGATTGCTTGAGCCCAGTTTGAGACCAGCCTGGACAACATAGTGAGACCCTGTTTCTATCTAAAAAAATTCTTTAAAAATAATAAATACATAAAGTAATTTGTAGAGAACAATTTACAATACTATAATTTTCAAAAACAAGAACACGCGATGTCTTGAGTAGTGATACATATAAAATAGAAATATATATATTTATAATATTTATATAACATAATATAAACATGTTATATATAACATAATATAAATATTAATATTATATTTATATAAATATATTTATATATCACATATATGTGATATATATCATATATGTATATATGTATATACATATATACAGTATACATATATACATATACATATATACATATATGTGTGTATATACATATATACAGTATACATATATACATATACATATATACATATGTGTATATATACATATATACATATATGTGTGTATATACATATATACAGTATAAATATAAGTATTTTATATCACATATAATAATATATAATTAATATATTATATATCATTAATTTATATTAATATACAATAATATAGTTATATATAATATAAGTTATACACTAATATATATTGTTAATACATTATTATATCAATATATTATATTTATATATTATATATAATTCAAGGTATCACCCACACCTTTGGGGGTGTGGGTGATAGGATCAGGTGAAGCACACAGAATGAAATTGGTAATGTTCTAGTGTGTTAATTGGTGGTGGGTTTATCTATCTAGCAGATATTATTTGACATTATCAGATATTACATATCTTAACATTAAAATTATTAAATATGTGAAAACAACTTTAAAAATAGAATTAAAATATTTGGGCCCTTTAGTTAAAATAGTGTAAAGCGAGTTCATAGAACATTATAATTTGAAGCACTGGTTTGAGGACTATATTAATTTTCTATTGGTGACGTTACAAAGCATCACAAACTTAGTGGCTTAAATAATTATCCTACAGCTCCAGACATTAGAAGTCCAAGGGTATTACGGGGCTAAACCAAGGTATTGGCAGAGCTGAGTTCCTTCTGGGCATTCTAGGGGTGAACCCATTCCTAGCTTTTTCCAGCTCCTAGAGACTGCCTGCATTCCTCTCTGCTTCACTCGTCACATCTCCTTCTCTCACTCTGATCCTCCTGCCTCACTCTTATAAGGACCTTTGCAATGACACTGAGCCCTCTTGGATAATCTAAGATAATCACCCCATCTCAGGATCTTTGACTTAATGACACCTGCAAAGCCCGTTTTGCCATAGAAGGTGATATATTCACAGGTTCTGCAGACTAGGATGTGGACATCTTAGGGAGAAACTATTCTGTCTACTTTAGTACTTTTGACGTTGCTGGGAAACAGCTGGGAAATTCTGAGTTAAGACACTTAATATACCTTATTTATGAAAGAAGAGAAGGAAGGAAGGAAAGAAGGGAGGGAGGGAGGGAGGAAGGAAGGAAGGAAGGAAGAAAGGAAGGAAGAAAGGAAGGAAGAGCAGACAGACGACTTAGCAGCTATTGACAGAAGCTTAACTTCCACAGCCAAGTCATCCTGAGAGTGAAGCTGGAGGAGGACACAGCTTTAAGAATCAAAAATAAACAGGGCTAAAGACCTAATGTCCACATGAACCTCTGAGTCAAAGTAAATCTAAAACTTATCTCTGGACTTACACAGTTAACCCTTGAACAGCACAGGAGTTAGAGGTGCTGACCTCCTGCACAGTCAAAAATCCCTGTATAATTTCTGACTCCCCTGAAACTTTACTAATAGCCTATGTTGCCTGGAAAACTTACCAATAATATAAACTGTTAGCTAATACATATTTTGCATGTTATATGTATTATATACTACATTCATACAATAAAGTAAACTGGAGAAAAAATGTTATTAAAAAATCATAAGAGAAAATATACGTACTCTTCATTAAGTGGAAGTGGATCATTATAAAGTTCTTCATCCTCATTGTCTTCACATTGAGTAGGCTGAGGAGGAGGAAGAGGAGGAAAGTTCAGTCTTGCTGTCTCAGGGTGGCAGAGGCAAAGAGAATCCACTTATAAATGGACTATGTAGCTCAAGGATCAACTGTATTTTCCTTTTAGTTACATTTCTTTTATAAAATTTACCCCCACTTTACCCAGCAAGCTTTCAATTTCTTGGTAGAGATATTGCCTTGGTGAACCTACTTTAATCTTGGAAGTGCAGCAACTTGCGTTAGGCAACTCCATGGTTGATTAGAATTTGGGGACTGATTAATAGTAACCAGTAACTGGGGTGCTAATTGCCTATCCAACATCTCTTCTAATTTTTCCCTTAGTAATTAGAGCCTGTTTTATTCAAGGTGGCAATGTGCTCAGCTGATAATTACCTTTTTTGGTCTTTCTTTCAGATACATGTGGGCATTGTCAAAGTTCTGGCCAATGGGGAGTATTACATTATTCTTTTTCCTGCTTCCTGGAATACAGAGTTGAGTGCTGGAGCTTCAACAGCAATCTTGCAGCAAGAGGTGACTATGAAGACAGAAATTAATCACTAGGGTGATGGGTGCTATAGACTGAATGTTTGTGTCCCTTTTGCCCCCGACAAATTCATATGTTGAAATCCTAATTCTCACTGTGATGGTATTTGGAGGTGGGACCTTTGGGAGGTGATGAGGTCATAAGGATGGAGCTCTCATGAGTGGGATTAGTGCTTTTATAAAAGAAATCCTAGAGAGCTGTCTTGCCCTTTACTGTCATATGAGGACACAGCTAAAGGAGAGCCATGTATGAACCAGAAAGCAGGTCCTCACCAGATACTAAATCGCTGTTGCCTAGATCTTGGACTCCCTAGTCTCTAGAACAATGAGAAATAAATGTTTGTTGTTTAAGCCATCTAATATATATTATTTTTATTATATCAGCTGGAACAGACTAATACCATGGAACAGACAGAAATAACCTAGGTCTCCACTGACTTTGTGAACTGATGCCAATCCTGATCCACCTACTTGTGGTCTTCTTTTGCAGGTAAGCATAAACTTTGTGCATATAAGCCACTCTTATTTTGGATTCTTTTTATATACAACTAAATATATCCTTAACTCTTAGACTAAAATAATAATGTATATAAACAGGAATAGATTATTCATTTACAATGAAAACATAATTATAAATTCCATGTATATAAAAAAGAATCACAAATTATTCATTTACAGAGAAAAGGTAACCATAAATCCCATGGGGCCAGACTACTTAATTGAGTCAATATATTCTCTCCTCTAGAAATCTGTTTGGGAAGCAGAGAAAGGAAGGCAAGGGGTCTAGCAGACCAGCTTTTAGGGCCAGCTTCATTAAGTCAGAGACCTTGAGGACTCACAATCTACATGGAGATAGATGGGCACCAGGGGCTGCATCTCTAGCTCTATGATCAGAGGATTTTCCTCCAGACAATAGTGGGTGAACACGGTTCAACCTTGCTTCTTCAACCACCAACATGTATTCCTTGCTCTGAATCTACAGTCTTTAGATGGGTCATCACCATCACTAAGGTTCTAGTCAGACCTGCTACTACTGTTATTGACTTTAGACTGATCTTTTACATAATTTTTTTTGAGAATTTAGAACACATGCAGAAGCAGACAGCCTAGTGTAATGAATATCCTATGTACCCCTCATCCCATCCCAACAATCACCTTCCCATAGCCAATACTGCCCCATCATACCCCCATCTGTTTCCCTCCATCCCAGATTATTCTGAAGCACATCCCAGACATCATATAATTTCACCTGTAAATATTTCAGAATGTATCTTTAAAAGATAAAGGTCAGGCTGGGTGTGGTGGTTTACACCTGTAATCCCAGCACTTTGGGAGGTCAAGGAGGGAGGATTGCTTAAGCCCAGGAGTTCAAGACCAGGTTGGGCAACATAGTGAGACTCTGTCTCTACAAAAAAATAAAAAATTTTGCCGGGAATCGTGGCGCATACCTATAGTCTTAGCTACCCTGGAGGCTGGGGTGAGAGTATCCTTTGAGCCTGGGAGGTTGGGGCTAGAGTGAGCTATGAACTCATTGCTGCTATCCACCTGGGCAATAGAGAGAGACCATGCCTCAAAAAAAAAACAATAACAATAAAAAAAAATATATATATATATATATGAAGGTCTGAGAAATTATAATCTGTTAGCCTACCCTCCATTTCTGAGAGTCAGTTAAAGGTCACTCTCCTAGTAGAGAGACATTATGTTCAACCAGACATAACCCTAACTTGTATACCAAAATGCCAATGTCTATAAAGAAGGAATAGCTAAGCATTCATTTACAATGAAAAAAATAATTATAAATCCCATAGGAGCAGAAATCCAAGAGACACTTCCAGTCCCCTCAATCCTTGCCTGCCTTCTGTCAAAGATGCTTACTTTCCCAGCTTCCCATGAAGCCTAGGTGGTCATGTGTCCCAATCCTGACCAATGAGATGTAAGAGGAAGCCTGCTCATGTTCTCCTGGAAAAAATATTGCTTCCTTATAAAAGGAGAAATGGTGAGGGGACTGCTTCTCCTTAGCTGCATTGAATACAATTTAAAAGGATGCTACTGTGAGGGGATGATCAAGACAATCACAGAGAACAGATAAACAAAATGTAGTATATCCATATAATGAAGTATTATTCCACAATTAAAAGATGAAACAAAAATGATTCATGTACAACATGTGTGAACCCTGAAAACATTATGCTAAGTGAAAGAAGCCAGACAATAAACCCCACGTATTATGTGACTTCATTTATGTGAAGTGTCCAGAATAGGCAAATCTATAGAGGTAGAGAATAGATCAGTGGTTTTCTAGGGCTAGGAAAGGAGAAGGGGCTTGGGAATGAGTGTTAATGGGTTTGGGATTTCTTTGAGGGATGATGAAAATGTTCTAAAATTAGATTTTAGTAATGGTTGCTCCACTCTGTAAATATATGTAAACTAACAAACCTTATACTTGAAACAGGTAAACTTTATGATTTGTAAACTATATTTTAATAAACCTGATTTCTTAAAAAAATAATCACAGACACACCAGCTCAGAGCCTTGAGATCATTTTGCTGCTGAACCAGTTTCTGCAACAATGTACCCACATCTTGTGTTGGGGGACAACACAGTATTAGGTTGTTTTTCTGTATTTTTGCAGCCAAAGGTATTCTTTTTTTTTTTTTTTTTTTTGAGATGGAGTCTTGCTCTGTTGCCCAGGCTGGAGTGCAGTGGAGTGATCTTGGCTCACTGCAACCTCCACCTCCCAGGTTCAAGTGATTCTCCTGCCCCAGCCTTCTGAGTAGCTGCAACTACAGGAACATGCCACCATGCCCGGCTAATTTTTGTGTTTTTAGCAGAGATGGGGTTTCACCATATTGGTCAGGCTGGTCTCAAACTCCTGACCTCAGGTGAGCCACCCATCTGGGCCTTCCAGAGTGCTGGGATTACAGGCATAGAGCCACTGTGCCCGGCAGGTACTCTTAACATATTTTGCCATTCAACTAATATTTATTTAATGCATACTATATGGCAGGTGTCAGAGAAACAAAAGGGCCAACATTCCTTGTATTCCTAATATGTACCAGGTGATTTATATACTTTTCATTATCAATGCCTTGCAGCAGCACTGGTGAGAACGGCCTCTGCCTTCAAGGCATTCACATTCATGGACCACCTGCCTCTTAACCCTTACGTGGTACTGTTTAAAAATGTATATTCTCTTTGGGAGGCCGAGGCGGGAAGATCACAAGATCAGGAGATCGAGACCATCCTGGCTAACACGGTGAAACCCCGTCTCTACTAAAAATACAAAAAATTAGCTGGGCGTGGTGGCGGGTGCCTGTAGTCTCAGCTGCTCGGGAGGCTGAGGCAGGAGAATGGTGTGAACCGGGGAGGCAGAGCTTGCTGTGAGCCGAGATCGCGCCACTGCACTCCAGCCTGGGTGACAAAGTGAGACTCCGTCTCAAAAAAAAAAATGTAAATTCTTGGCTTCACCTTGGACTTACTAAATCACGTCCACTGTGAATAAATCATTGGCTAATAATCTACACAGGTGGCCCATAAACATACCTGAGCCTTATGAAGCTTTCAACATAAACCTGAAATAAACAAACACAAATAGACTTCTGACAGCAGAACAAAAACATCAGAAGGACACTGTGGTAGGAAAGGCAGGAAGTTAAGAAATGTACATAAGGACCCCGTCCTCAAGAAGGTGTGATATAGGGCAGAATTTTAAGCTAGCCCCAGGATTCCCAGCCATGGTGGACCCCACACCTTCTCCCAATTGCTCAATAGAATGCTAATCTGGTACTGCTGTGAAGGAATTTTGCAGATGTGATTAAGGTTCTAAGTCAGTTGACCTTGAAATAGGGAGCTTATTCTGGTGGCTCTGACCTAATCGCATGAACCCTTTACATCAGAATCTAGGGGCAGGGGAAGTCCGTGATTTGAAGCATGAAAGGTATGTGATGTGTGAAGCATTCTTTGCTGGCTTGGAGATGAAGGGGGTAAGGAATATGGATCATCTTTGGGAATTAAAGGAGCCCCTGCTGACGACTAATGATAATATGGGGACCTCACAACAAAGTGAGATCCCATCTCAACAAAAAGTCAAAAAATTAGCTGGGCGTGTGCCTGTGGGCCCAGTCTTTTGCCTTTATTTATTGTGATTGCGAAATGGCAGCTGCCCCTCTGGGCTTCCCATGCATTCTAGTCAGGAAGAAAGGGGTGGACAAAGCGTTTTGCCAGCTGAGTCTGATCTTTTGTAGTGAGAAAGCAAAAGATAGTCTAGAAGTCCTACTCAGAAGACTCACTTACATCTCAATGGCCAGAACTGGATTATGGGGCCACCCTTGGGTCAATATTGGCCAAGGAGGACGAGATTGCTATGACTGGTTTAGACTAATCACAATGCATCACCTGTGGTTGGGGTAAAGCTCCTAGTCACCAATTGAACAAATCCAGGTCTTCTTCACAGGAGTGGTAGAGGCAAGAAGGGATATTGGCTAGATAGCAGATAGAGTCTCCCATGGTTGAAAATGACATTTCATCATCAATCCAACAAATATTTGTTGAGAACATTGTATTAGGGCATGGCTCAAGGTTTACAAAAGTGTGTGTGTGTTTGTGTGTGTTGGAAAGGGAGAAGGGGACACAGGCATGAAAATAATAATTATGAATGACTATGGCTTTAATTGCAAAATGAAAAGTTTCTACTTTTATATTGACCGTAATATAGTCCCTACCATAGATACATTAGGTGAATCACAAAACAGCAATAACTTGCCCTAAGACAGCATGTATTGATTTGTGCTTTTGAAAGAGAGAACATGTTTTAATTGGTAAGGATTATATTCAGAGTAAATTTCTAAGAACTATTGAATTAAGTATTGATCCATATCTTGGACTAAATCTGGGCAAGAAACATAGTTATCATTTAAAATGCAAAAGTGGTACAAATATAGATATGATATTCTCCAAATGAAGTGATGCAATCTGTCTCTATTTTATAGGAATGGCAACACTGAGTTTCAGTATAATTTATACAAGATTCCCAGGTGCTCCACCCATTTTAATCTGTAGTTAAGTGCTTTGGATGCATACATATTTAAAAATATATATTTAGCCTTTGGTTCACCAACTTCATCTTTGTAAAATGTCTCGATGAAAACAATTATTTTTTCCAAATTCTAATTTGATGATATAGAATATGACAGTTGAGCTTATTCACACTACAGAAATTAACTCAGTAGTTAATCGTTCTAATGTAAACTTGCCTTTAAGCATGATAGCCAGTTTCACACTAGCATAATTAGCCAGAAGTTTGCTACCAGGCCTCACAGATGCAAACAGGAACAGCTTGCGACTGATAACATAAAGAGGTTTACAGTGCTTATTTTAAGGTGTAAAGCTTAGGAAATGCTAAGAGACTTTTGTTCAGGTCCTATTCAAATATATGAGTATTCCAACATAGAAGATAATAAATATGACCATATCTTCTCTAGTGAAAAGGTACTGAATTGGGCGATGAGTTATGTGGACTCTGACACCAGCCATGTTCCTAACTAGGATACATGGCTTAGAGTAGGACCCCAGATAAATTTTGCTGTGGCTTTTCAAGCCCCTATGGTTACTAAATGTGTGGTGTAATAAGAATGCTTTTCTACTCAGTGCTTTTTAAAAAAAAATTTTAAAAATAAGACTCCTTATTAAAATAGCTGAGCGTAAGCATGGATGGTGCTGTGTAGGTCTTAGTGATTTTCCACCTGAGCTATTTGCCTTCTCTCCACTGCATTAAGCACTCCTTCACTCTCTAGGAAAAATCCTGACCCCCAGGAGAGGGATCGGCGTCAGTACTGACTCAGTTTTGCTGCTGACACTTAAGGTTGTTCCCTGCATTTGCTCTCAGAAACAAGACTGCAGTGAGCATTCAGCTGTGTTAATCTTGGTGCAGGCTTCTGTTAATGTCTCCAGATAAGCTCCTGGGAAAATGCTTGTTGGGTCAAAGGGTTGTACATTTTTAATCTTGAAAGATATTCCAAAATTGTCCTGCAGAGAAATGTCACCAATTTAAAGGCCCTCTAAGGAGATGTGAAATTAGTTTACTACATGCTCAGTGATATTAAACATTATTAATATTGTAAATATTTTCCTTTCTAGTAGGTGAAAAAGGCATCTTTCATCTTAATTTGCATTTTTATAATTCTAAAGGTTTATTGCCTTTTTGTTTCTCTTTTGCTATGAACTCCCTAATTATTTTCTCATTTTCTTGTTTTTCCCCCATTAAAAAAATTTGTTTATGGGTTCTTTGTATACTCACAAAGAGACAAAAATTTTTGTTCATAATATGTGTGGCAATATTTTCCAGTTTCCTTTTTTTTTTTTTTGTCTTGATGATGTGTTTTTGCCAGGCAGAGTTTTAAAATTTTATAATCAGTCATATTTAGCACTTTTTATCCTCTGTGGAATTTGGATTTTGTAATACGCTTTTAAAGGTCTTCTATATGCGCATATTATTTTGAAAAATCCACTCACACTTTCTTCCAACACCTTTATAATTTCAATTTTTAAGTTTAATGTTGATCTGAAATTTGTTTTGGTGTAGGGAGTGAGGTAGGGATTTAGCTCCTTCTATCCAATTTGGACTCATCTACCATCTATTTGTTATCATCTGTCAAGAGTGGGGTGCTTCCTATACGTTAACTACTGAGGGCAGAAACTAGGACTACTATAATTCAATTAAATGTGTTAAATCTCTCCACCTTAGCCATTTCCTTTTCCTCCTCGCCTTCCTTCATCTCTTCTTCATTCTCTTCCTTCTCCTTTTTCTCTCTAACCCTTATTGGCTCTGGCCCACTTTCCCTTCAATCCCTCCCTCTCACACCTTCCTCATCTCATCAGTGAGAACTGATTTTGCTTTTATGCTGCTAATCAATGATTCTCTAACTGGAGAGAGATTGAAGGAAACACTTCAATGAGTTGGAATGACTCAACCCATTCTCTTCTTAACACCCTGTAATATGACCTCAGTGTACACTGCTGTATTGATGTGTTTTCTTTTTTTTGGTAAGCATTCTCCATTACCTCTTTATTGTTTCTGATATCGTACTTCATTATCTCTTTTTAAAGATTCACATTTTTTTTTTGCTTTCTCAAGCCCAAGTGGTTCTTTTAAAAAAATTTTAATTTGTGTGGGTACATAGTATGTATACATATTTATGGGTTACATGAGATATTTTGATAGAGGTATGCAATACATAATAATCACCTCAGGGTAAACGGGATATCCATCACCTCAAGCATTTATCCTTTGTGTTACAAACAATCCAGTTATACTCTTTGAGTTATTTAAAAATGTACAATTAAATTATTATTGACTGTAGTCACCCTGTTATGCTAGCAAATACAAGGTCTTATTCATTCTTTCTATTTTTCTTTGTACCCATTTCTATCTCCACTTCTCCCTGAACCCCACTCTACCCTTCGCAGCCTCTGGCAATCATCCTATTCTCTACCTTCATGAGTTCAATTATTTTAATTTTTAGCTTCCACAAATAAGTAAGAATATAAATAAGTAAGAATATGCAAAATTTGTATTTTTGTGCCTGGCTTATTTGCTCATTTCACTTAACATAATGACCTCCAGTTCCATCCAACTGGTTCTAGATCCTTGAGGAATCACCACACTGTCTTCCACAATGGTTGAACTAATTTACACTTCCACCAACAGTGTAAAAGTATTCCTATATCTCCAGCATCTGTTGTTTCCTGACTTTTTAATAATAGCCATTCTAACTGGTGTGAGATGGTATCTCATTGTGGTTTTGATTTGCATTTCTCTGACCAGGATCTTATTCTTTTTATAGCTGAATAGTACTCCATTGTGTATATGTTCTTTATCCATCAATCTATTGATGGACAGTTATGTTGCTTCCAAATCTTGCCTTGTTAACAGTGCTGCTATAAATATGGGAATGCAGATATCTCTTCGATATTCCTTTCTTTTGGGCATATACCTAGGAGTGGGATTGCTGGATCACATGGTGGTCTAGTTTTTCAAGGAACTTCCAAACTGTTCTCCACAGTGGTTGTACTAATTTACATTCCCACTAACAGTGTCTGAGGGTTCCCTTTTCTCCATATCCTTGTCAGCATTTGTTAATGCCTGACTTTTGGATAAAAGTCGTTTTAACTGGGGTGAGAGGATATCTTATTGTAGTTTTGATTTGCATTCTTCTGATGATCAGTGATGTTAAACACCTTGTCATATGCCCATATGTATGTCCTCTTTTGAGAAATGTCTATTCAAATCTTTTGCCCATTTTTCAATTGGGTTATTCGTTTTTTTTCCCATAGCACTGTTTGAGCTCCTTATATATTTTGGTTATTAATTCCTTGTCAGACAGGCAGTTTGCAAATATTTTCTCCCATTCTGTGGTTTGTATCTTCACTTTGTTGATAGTTTCCTTTGCTGTACAGAAGTTTTTGAGCTTGATGTGATCCCATTTGTCCATGTTTGCTTTGGTCACCTGTACTTGTAGGGCATATCTTAAAGACTTTAATCCATTTTGATTTGGTTTTTGCCTACCGTGAAAGATAAGGGGTCTGGTTTCATTCTTCTGTATATGGATCCAGTTTTCCCAGCATCATTTATTGAAGAGACTATTCTTTCCCCAATGTATATCCTTGCCACCTTTGTCAAAAATGAGTTCACCATAGATGTATAGATTTATCTCTAGCTTCTCTATTCTGTGCCACTGATGTATGTGTCTGTTTTTATGCTGGTACGATGCCATTTTGGTTACCATAGCTCTGGAGTATAATTTAAAGGTAGGTAATGTGATTCCTCCAGCTTTGTTCTTTTTGCTTAGACAGCTTGGCTATTCTAGGTCTTTTATGGTCCCAGATAGATTTTAGGATTGTTTTTTCTATTTCTGTGAGATTTGTCATTGGTGTTTTGATAGAGATTGCATTTTATCTGTAGATTGCTTTGAGTGGTATGGACATTTTAACAATATTGATTCTTCCAATACATGAGCATGGAATATCTTTCCATTTTTTGGTATCCTCTTCAACTTCTTGCATCAGTGTTTTACAGTTTTCAGTGTAGAGATCTTTCACTTCTTAGCTAAGTTAATTCCTAGGTATTTTATTTTATTTGTAGCCATTGTAAATAGAATTACCTTCTTGATTTATTGGTTTCTTTTGATTGTTTACTGTTGGCAAATGGAAATGCTACTGATTTTTATATGTTGATTTTGTATCCTTCAAATTTACTGAGTTTGTTTATCAGTTCTAATAGTTTTTTGGTGGGGTTTTCAGGTTTTCCAAATATAAGATGAGATCATCTGCAAACAAGGATAATTTGATTTCTTCCTTTTCAATTTGGATGCCCTTTCTTTCTCTTGTCTGGTTGCTCTAGCTAGGACTTACGGCACTATGTTAAATAACAGTGGTGAAAGTGACCATCCTTGTCATGTTCCTCATCTTATAAGAAAGGCTTTCAGTCTTTCTCTATTTAGTATGATACTAGCTGTTGTATATGGCATTTATTATATTGAGGTATATTTCTTCCATACCATTTTTGACAGTTTTTATCATGAAGGGATGTTGAATTTTATCAAATGCCTTTCCAGCCCCAGTTCCTATGATTATATGGTTTTTGTCCTTTATTCTGTTGATATCAGGTATCATACTGATTGATTTGCATATATAGAAACATCCCTTCATACCTGGGATAAATACCACTTGTTCATGATGAATTATCTTTTTAATGTGTGGTTGAATTCAGTTTGCTAGATTTGGAAGAGGATTCTTGCCTCATTGTTCATCAGAAACAATGGTCTATAGTTTTCTTTTTTGATGTTTTTTTCTGTTTTTTTGTATCAGAGTAATACTGGTCTCATAGGATGAGTTTGGAAGTTTTTCCTTCTCCTGTATTTTTTTTTAATAGTTTGAATAGAATTGGTATTAGTTCTTTAAATGTTTGGTAAAATTCAGTAGTAAAATCATCAGGTCATGGAATTTTCTTTACTGGGGGACTTTTTGTTATGGCTTCAATCTCGTGATTTGTTATTAGTCTGTTCAGGTTTTGGATTTCTTCATGGTATGATATTGGTAGGTTGTATGTGTCTAGGACTTTATCCATTTCTTCTAGGTTTTCCAATTTATTGGCTTATAGTTGCTCATAGTAGCCTCTAATGATGCTTTGAATTTCTGTGGTATTGATTGTAATATCTGCTTTTCATTCTCTAATTTTATTTTTTGGAGGTTTCTCTTTTTTTTTCTTAGTCTGGCTAAAGGTTTGTCAAGTTTGTTTTTTCTTATCAAAAAAACAAGTTTTCATTGATCTTTTGTGGTGTTGCTTTTTGTTTCAATTTCATTTATTTTTGCTGCGATCTTTATCATTTCTTTTCTTTTCTTTTACTAATTTTGGGTTTGGTGTGCCCTTGCTTTTGTAGTTTTTTAAGATGCATTGTTAGGCCGGGCGCGGTGGCTCACGCCTGTAATCCCAGCACTTTGGGAGGCCGAGGTGGGCAGATCACGAGGTCGGGAGATCGAGACCATGGTGAAACCCCGTCTCTACTAAAAATACAAAAAAAAAAAAAAAATTAGCTGGGCACAGTGGCGGGTGCCTGTAGTTCCAGCTACTCGGGAGGCTGAGGCAGGAGAATGGTGTGAACCCAGGAGGCAGAGCTTGCAGTGAGCCGAGATTGCACCACTGCACTCCAGCCTGGGTGACAGAGTGAGACACTGTCTCAAAAAGAAAAAAAAAAAGGTGCATTGTTAGGTTGTTTATTTAATTGAAGTTTTTCTACATCTTTGATGTAGGTACTTATTGGTATAAACTTTCCTATTAGTCCTGCTTTTGCTGTATCCCATAGGTTTTAGTATGTTGTTTCCATTTTCATTTATTACAATTTTTTTCAATTTTATTAATTTCTTCATTAACCCATGGTCACTCAGGAACATATTGTTTAATTTCCACATGTTTGTATAGTTTTCAAAATTCCTCTTGTTATTGATTTCTAGTTTTATTCCATTGTGGTCAGAGAAGATACTTGACATAATTTTCATTTTTTGAATATTTAATACTTGTTTGCTGGCCTAACATATGGTCTGTCCTTAAGAATGATCCATGTGCTGAGGAGAACAATGTGTATTCTGCAGCCATTGGATATAATGCTCTGTAAATATTAGGTCCATTTGGTCTATAGTGTAGATTAAGTCCATGTTTCTTTGTTGATTTTCTGTCTGAATGATCTGTCCAATGCTGAAAATAGGGTGTTGAAGCTTCCAGCTATTGTGTTGGGGTCTATCTCTCTCTTTGGTTCTAATAATATACGCTTTATGTATCTGGTTCCTTTAGTGTTGGTGCATATATATTTACAATTATTATATCCTCTTGCTGAATTGACCCCTTTAGCATTATATAATGACTGTCTTAGTCTCTTCTTACAGTTTTTGTCTTGCAATTTACTTTGTATTATATAAGAATAGCTACTCTTGCTCTTTTTTGGTTTTCATTAGCATGGAATATCTTT
Organism: Homo sapiens; assembly: GCF_000001405.40. Lineage (NCBI taxonomy): Eukaryota > Metazoa > Chordata > Mammalia > Primates > Hominidae > Homo > Homo sapiens. Next base: position 222,376,083 of record NC_000002.12, on the reverse strand, counting down.
TTCCATCCCTTTGTTTTCAGTCTGTCTTTATAGATGAAGTGTATTTCTTGTAGGCAATAGATTATTAGATCTTGATTTTTTTTATCCAGTCAGCTATTCTATGTCTTTTGACTAGAGAGTTTAGTCCATTACATTCAATGTTATTATGATAACATAATTATTAAGGACTTACTGCTATCCTTTTATTTGTTTCTGGTTGTTTTGCAGTCTTTGCTTCCTTTTTTCCTTCCTTTCTGTCTTCATTTTAGTGAAGGTGATTTTCTCGGATGGTAGGATTTAATTTCTTGCTTTTTATTTTTTGTGTATCCATAGTATGTTTTTTGACTTCAAGTTACCATGAGGCTTGCAAATACTATCTCGTAACCCATTATTTTTAGCTGATAACAACTACTTAACAAACAAACTAGCAAAAAGAAAATTAATAAAAACTCTACACTTTAACTTTATCCCCTGGCTTTTTAACTTTTTGTTGTTTCTATTTATATTTTATTGCACTGTCTATGTTTTGAAAAGTTGTTGTAGTTATTTTTTGATTGGTTCATCTTTTAGCCTTTCTACTTAAGAGTAGTTAACACATCACAATTAGAGTGTTATAATATTCTGGATTTTTCCCCTAGAAGAAAACCTAGGCAATACCATTCAGGACATAGGCATGGCAAAGCCTTCATGACTAAAACACCAAAAGCAATGGCAACAAAAGCCAAAATGACAAATAGGATCTAATTAAACTGAAGAGCTTCTGCATAGCAAAAGAAACTATCATCAGAGTGAACAGGTAACCTACAGAATGGGAGAAAATTTTTGCAATCCATCTGACAAAGAGCTAATATCCAGCATCTACAAGGAACTTAAACAAATTTACAAGAAAAAAAACAAACAACCCCATCAAAAAGTGGGCAAAGAATATGAACAGACATCTCTCAGAAGACGACATTTATGCAGGCAACAAACATATGAAAAAAAGCTCATCATCACTGGTCAGAGAAATGTAAATCAAAACCACAATGAGATACCATCTCACACCAGTTAGAATGGTGATTATTAAAAAGCAGGAAACAACAGATGCTGGAGAAGATGTGAAGAAATAGGAACACTTTTACACTGTTGGTGGAAGTGTAAATTAGTTCAACCATTGTGGAAGACAGTGTGGCAATTTCTCAAGGATCTAGAACTAGAAATACCATTTGACCCAGTAATCCCATTACTGGGTATATACCCAAAGGATTATAAATCATTCTACTATAAAGACACATGCACATGTATGTTTATTGCAAGAGTATTCACAATAGCAAAGACTTGGAACCAACCCAAATGCCCATCAATGATAGACTGGGTAAAGAAAATATGGCATATTTACATCACGGAATAGTATGCAGCCATAAAAAATGATGAGTTCATGTTCTTTGCAGGGACATGGATGAAGCTGGAAACCATCATTCTCAGCAAACTAACACAGTAACAGAAAACCAAACACCACATGTTCTCACTCATAAGTGGGAGTTAAACAATGAGAACACATGGACACAGGGAGGGGAACATCACACACCAGGGCCTTTTCGGGGGTGGAGGGCTAGGGGAGGGATACCGTTAGGAGAAATACCTAATGTAGATGATGGGTTGATGGGTACAGCAAACCACCATGGCATGTGTATATCTATGTAACAAACCTGCACATTCTGCACATGTATCCCAGAACTTAAACTATAATAAAAAATAATTCTGGGTTTTTCTGTGTTCTTGCTATTGTCAGTGAGTTTTGTACCTTTAGATGATTTCTTGTTGCTGATTAATGTCCTTTTCTTTCTGATTGAAGTACTCCCTTTAGCATTTCTTGTAGGTAAGGTCTAGTGTTGATGAAATCCCTCAGCTTTTGTTTGTCTGGGAAAGTCTTTATTTCTCTCACATTTTAAGGATATTTTCACCGGATATACTATTCTAGGCTAAAAGGTTTTTTTCCTTCAGGACTTTAAATATATTATGCCACTATCTCCTGGTCTGTAAAGCACTGAAAAGTCTGCTGCCAGACATATCGGGGCTCCTTGAATGTTATTTGTTTCTTTTCTCTTGCTGCTTTTAGGATCTTTTCTTTATCCTTGACCTTTGTGAGTCTGATTATTAAATGATGTAAGGTAGTCTTCTTTGGGTTAAACCTGCTTGGTGTTCTATAACCTTGCACTTGGATATTGATATATTTTTCTAGGTTTAGGAAGTTCTTTGTTATTATCCCTTTGAATAAACTTTCTATCCCTATCTATGTACCTCCTCTTTAAAGGCTGTAACTCTTAGATTTGCCCTTTTGAGGCTATTTTCTATATCCTGTTTTATTATTATATTATATATTATATAATATGCTTTATTATTTTTTATTCTTCTTTCTTTTGTCTCCTCTGATTGTGTATTTTCAAATAGTCTGTCTTAAAGCTCACTAATTCTTCTGCTGGATCATTCTTCTATTAAAAGACTCTGATGCATTCTTCAGTGTGTCAATTACATTTTTAAACTCCAGAATTTCTGCTTGATTTTTAAAATTATTTCGATCTCTTTGTGAAATTTATCTGATAGAATTCGGAATTTATTCTCTGTGTTATCTTGGATTTATTTGAATTTCAACTCGAAATAGTTATTTTGAATTCTTTGTCTGAAAGGTCACATATCTCTGTTTCTCCAGGTTTGGTCCCTGGTGCCATATTTAGTTCATTTAATGAGGTCATGTTTTCCTAGATGGTCTTGATGCTTGTGGATGTTTATCTGTTCCTGGGATTTGAAGAGTTCGGTATTTACTGTAGTTCTTACAGTCTGAGCTTCTTTGTACCTGTCCTTCTTGCGAAGGCTTTCCAGTTATTCAAAAGGACTTAGGTGTTGTGATCTAAGCTGTGCCTGCCCTGGGGGCATCCCAAGCTCAGTAGCCCTGTGGTTCTTGTAGACTCATAGAGGTACTGCCTTGATGGTCCTGGATAAGATCAGAACAAGATTACTAGACAGAGACTCTTGTTTTTTCTTCTTACTTTCTCCCAGAATCTCTCTTCCTCTCTCTCTCTCTCTCTCTCTCTCTCTCCCTGTTCTTTACTGTCCAGAGCTGAGGGTGGGTCGACACAAGCACCCCTGTGGCCACGACCACTGGGACTGCACTAGGTCAGACTTGAAGCCAGTATCACACTGGGTTTCACCCAAATCCCACCATAATCACTACTTGGCCACTAACTATGTTTACTCAAAGCCCTGGGGCTCTACAATCAGCAAGTGGCAAAGCCAGCCAGGCTTGTGTCCTTCAGGGCGACAAGTTCCTCAGGCCCTGGGTGGGTACAGAGGAGCCATCCAGGAGCCGGAGACTGAAGTCAAAAACCTTAGAAGTCTACCTGGTGCTCTATTGTACTGTGGCTGACCTGGGATTCAAACCATGAGAGTCTTTCCACTCTTCCCTCCCTTTTCCACAGACAGAGGAGTCTCTTCCAGAAGCCACCATAGATGGGAATGTGCTGAATCTCACCTAAAGCCAGGAGGTCTCAGTTTCACCCAAGGCCCACAGGGGCACTATCTGGGTATCGATGCTTGTTATTCAGGGCCCAAGGGCTCTCTAATCAGCCTGTGATGGGTCTTCCCTTCAAATCAGTGGGTTCCCTTCTGGCCCAGGGTATGTCTAGAAATGTCATCCTGGAACTAGGGCCTGGAAAGGAGGCTTCATGACTCTGACTAGTGCCCTGTCATACTGTGGATGAGCTGGTATCCAAGAACTAAGATCGAGTCCTCTTTACTCTTCCTTCTCATCTTTTCAAGTGGAAGGAAGGAGTCTTTGGAGCTAAGAGCTGTGCAGCCTGGGGTTGGGGAATGAGTGGCATACAAACACTCCCTTAGATGCCCTGGCTGGTATCTCAGTAGGTCGTGTGCCCCCCAAGTCCACTAGCTCTGAGCCCAGTTCAGCACTAGGTCTCACCTAGGAGTTGCAGCCCTTGTGGCCTAGATTACCTTTCAAGTTTATTTATGGCCCCAGAGCCCTTTAGCCTGTGGTGGCAAGCCTTGCTGGAACTCAAGTTCTAACTACTCAGATGGACAATCTCCTCTAGCTAGGGTTGGTTAAAATGCTCCCTCCGTAGGCAGGTGTTAGCTGAGTTCAGGCCAGTTTTGCTTTCTGCTGTGACAGTGCAGCACTAGTTCAATAAAATGTCTCACAGTTGCTGTGCTCTCCCTCTCCACAGTGCACAGATTCTCTATGGCAAGGAGCCACTGTTGGGAGATGGGAGTGGATGGTGTCAGCAATTCAAAACTGTCTTCCCAACCCTCTTCCAGTGCCTTTCAGTGTTATAATGTTGAAATCAGATACTGTGAGTGCTCACCTGATTTTTTATTCTTATGAAGGTTTTTTTTAGTATAGATAGTTGTTAAATTGGTGTCCTTGTCATGGAGAACGATTGGTGGAGCTTTCTATTCAGCCATATTGCTTCTCCCCTCTCCCCAAGTGTCTCTTAATGGAAAGGAGGGGAGATGGGATTTTATCCCCAGTGGACATTTGGCAATATCTGGACATATTTTTGGTTATCACAACTTGGGGAGGGGTGTTCCTGACCTTGACTCATTAGAGGCCAGGAATGCTGCTAAAAATCCTACAATACACAAGACAGCCACCTGTAACAAAGGATCATATGGCCCCAAATGTCAATATTGCCAAGGCTGGGAAAACCTTTAATACACAGCGGTGTAGTTTCTTCAGGAGCATTTGGAAGTGTGAGGAGCAATAGGCATTACTTTGGTGGTTTCAGGACTGAAAGACTGGGGAGTACCATTGGCATTTATACTGGAAGCTAAGGATTCAAAATATTTTGGAGTGTGCTATAGTCTCAGGCAATGAAGAACTGCCCAGTCTCAAATGCCAATAGCACCTTTGTTTGGAAACACTGCATACCTTTATGTCGTTTACATTTACTTTTTTGGTTTCTCCCTCTCACTCAATTACTGTGAGTGTTATGCAACCTCTTAGTTTTTCTCTCTTCTTCTGAGAGCTCATTCTATCTCTTGATTTACTCTAGTTCTAAACACCTACTGATGACAATAATGAGATTGAATGTCCATGGATGACAACACTATTTTGGCAGTCAAGATTCAACCTTGGAGTTATCCTTCAACATTTTGAAGATATTATTTTATCGTCCTTTGGCCTCCATTTTGTCTGGTGATTTTATCCATTATTTGTAATGTGTCCCTGTATATAATGTGTCTTTTTCTCTGGCTGCCTTTAAGATTTGCCACCTTCTTTGATTTGCAGTTGAATTATGATATGCCAAGATGTGGTTTTCTCTGCATTTAGCTTGCTTTGGACTAGTTGAGTTTCTAGGATCTATGGGTTGATATTACGTATTGTTTTTAAAATGTTCTTGACATGATCTCTTCACACTTTTTTTTGCCCCATTCTCTCTGTCTTCTATTTCTGGGAATCAAATTTCATATGTATTAGACTGAATGGTATTGTCAGATGCTCTGTTCTGTCTTTTTCTCCTCTCTCAGTCTTATGTTTCAGTTTGGGTATGTTCTATTGACCTGTATTTAGGTTCATTAATATTTTCCTCTGATAGGTCCAGCCTTCCATTAAACTCATCAAATGAATTTTTTATTTCTGGTATCGCATTTTTTATTTTTAGCTTTTCTTTGTGGTTCTTTTGTAGACCTTCCATCTCTCTGCTAAAACTCTCCATTTCTTCTACATGTTTTTTATCTTTTCCAATATATAGATCAGCATTTTTATTACAAAGTCTGTCTGATAATTCTGACAACTGAGCCATCTCTACATCTGCTACTATTGATTATTTCCTCTCTTGACCATGGGTCACATTTCTTGCACTTTTGGGTGACATAACTTTCACTATGTGTTGTATTTTTTTATATAGTAGGGACTAAAGTAAGCAATATTTACCTTGAGAAAAGGGCATGCTCCTCTTCTGTTGGCTTTAGAGTGATGTCTGAGTCATTCTGATCTGTGATTGAACTGGATCTGGGCTTTGTTGCAGCTTTAGCTTAATTAATTTCACCACTGGCATCACATATTTTAAAAATTGTATCAGGATTTCTTTCCCTTCAGCAGACCTTGGGATTTGAGTGCTAGAGAGATGTCAGACACCTCTGTACTTTACATCTCAGCCATCAGCTTTCAAATGATGACTTCTCTCAGCTTTATAGTTTCATTGCCAGGTTTTTGGTTAGGTGGGGATTTATTTATTTATTTATTTATTTTTGCCTCTTGGTATTTGGGGTCTTTGAGGGATCTTTTTCCAGCCTTTAGAGGGTTGCTACCTTATACTCTATAAAGTCACAAAAATGCTTCAGATAAATGCCTCCGATATGGTTTGGATCTGTGTCCCCACCAAATTTCATGTCAGATTGTAATCCCCAATGTTGGAGGTGGTGCCTGGTGGGAAGTGATTGGATAATGGGGGTGGATTTCTCATGAATGGCTTAGCAACATCCTCCCTTGGTACTGTCCTCATGGTATGAATGAGCTCTCATGAGATCTGGTCATTTATGTGTGTAGCACCTCCCCCCTCACTCTGTCTTCCTCCTGCTCTAGCCAGGTAAGACATGCCTCCTTCCCCTTTGCCTTCTGTCATGATTGAAAGTTTCCTGAAGTCTCTCCAGAAGCTGAGCAGATGCCAGCATCATGCTTCCTGTACAGCCTATGAAACTGTGAGCCAATCAAGCCTCTTTGTAAATTACCCAGTCTCGGGTATTACTTTATAGCAGTGTGAGAACAAACTGATATAGCCTCCAAGTGGTTTCTTTATTTCTCCCAGCTTTTCTGTTCCACTTTGGCATTGGTTGCTGAAAGCTCAGAATGCCTCAAATGTTTTCTTTCAGCTTTCCTGTCTCATGTACTGCTGGAAGCCTAGAGAGCCTTAGATGAATTTCTCTCAGTTCTCTTGCTCTGCCCAGGGGCAATTGCCTTGAACATGGGAGAGACATCATGTATCTCAGGAAAGATTTATTTCAGTTCTTCTGCCTTGTCTCAAATATTTAGGAAATTTCACTAATGCATTAATGAAGACCCATGGGAAAATGTTGGTAGGTGGATGTAGACTCACTCTGTGGATGCATTTCCTTGGAATTTTCATTTGTCACATCTGCTCCCACATGCCATTAAGTCTGTTGAAAATTCAGCTGAATTCCTTTTCTTCTTGCCCTGCTGTTAAGAGTAAGAGCAACTGTGGGAGGACATTCCAAGATGGCCAAATAGGAATAGCTTTCGTCTGCAGCTCCAGCATGATCAATGCAGAAGACAGGTGATTTCTGCATTTCCAACTGAGGTACCCGGTTCTTCTCATTGGGACTGGTTGAACAGTGGGTGCAGCCCACAGAGGGCGAGCCAAAGCAGGGTGGGGTGTCGCCTCACCCGGGAAGCACAAGAGGTCAGGAGATTTCCCTTTCCTAGCCAAGGGAAGCCATGACAGACTACCTGGAAAAACGGGACACTCCCACCCAAATACTGTGCTTTTCCCAAGGTCTCAGCAACTGGCAGACAAGGTGATTCTCTCCCGTGCCTGGCTCGGTGGCTCCCACGCCCATGGAGACTTGCTCATTGCTAGCGCAGCAGTCTGAGATCAACCTGCGAGGTGGCAGCCTGGCTGGGGGAGGGGAGTTCACCATTGCTGAGGCTTGAGTAGGTAAACAAAGCGGCAGGGAAGCTCGAACTGGGTGGAGCCCACTGCAGCTCAGCAAGGCCTACTGCCTCTAGACTCCACCTCTGTGGGCAGAGCATAGCTGAACAAAAGGCAGCAGACAACTTCTGCAGACTTAAACTTCCCTGTCTGACAGCTCTGAAGAGAGCAGTGGTTCTCCCAGCATGGCGTTTGAGCTCTGAGAATGGACAGACTGCCTCCTCAAGTGGGTCCCTACCCCTGTGGAGCCTAACTGGGAGACACTTCCCAGTTAGAAAGAAACAACACCTCTTACAGGCAGCTGCCCCTCTGGGACGAAACTTCCAGAGGAAGGATGAGGCAGCAATATTTGCCATTCTGCAATATTTGCTGTTCTGCAGCCTCTATTGGTGATACCCAGGCAAACAGGGTGTGGAGTGGAACTCCAGCAAACTCCAACAGACCTGCAGCTGAGGGACTTGACTGTTAGAAGGAAAACTAACAAACGGAAAGGAATAGCACCAACATCAACAAAAAGGTCATCTACACCAAAATCCTATGTGTAGGTCACCAACATCAAAGACCAAAGGTAGATAAAACCACAAAGATGGGGAGAAACCAGAGCAAAAAAGCTGAAAATTCTAAAAATCAGAGTGCCTCTTCCCCTGCAAAGGATCACAGGTCCTCACCAGGAATGGAACAAAGCTGGATGGAGAATGACTTTGATGAGTTGACAGAAGTAGGCTTCAGAAGGTTGGTAACAACAAACTTCTCTGAGCTAAAGGAGGATGTTTGAACCCATTGCGAGGAAGCCAAAAACCTTGAAAAAAGATTAGATAAATGGCTAACTAGAGTAAATAGTATAGAGAAGACCTTAAATGACCTGATGGAGCTGAAAACCATGGCACGAGAACTTCATTACACATGGACAAGCTTCAATAGCCAATTCGATCAAGTGGAAGAAAGGGTATCAGTGATTGAAGATCAAATTAATGAAATAAAGCAAGAAAACAAGGTTAGAGAAAAAAGAGTTAAAAAGAAACGAACAAAGCCTTCCAGAAATATGGGACTATGTGAAAAGAAAATCTACGTTTGATTGGTGTACCTGAAAGTGATGGGGAGAATGGAACCAAGTTGGAAAACACTCTACAGGATATTATCCAGGAGAACTTCCCCAACATAGAAAGGCAGGCCAACATTCAAATTCAGGAAATACAGAGAACACCACAAAGATACTCCTCAAAAAGAGCAACCCCAAGACACATAATTGTCAGATTGACCAAGGTTGAAATGAAGGAAAAAGTGTTAAGGGCAGCCAGAGAGAAAGATCGCGTTACCCACAAATGGAAGCCCATCAGACTAACAGCAGATCTCTCAGCAGAAACCCTACAAGCCAGAAGAGAGTGGGGGCCATTTTCAACATGCTTAAAGAAAAGAATTTTCAATCCAGAATTTCGTATCCAGCCAAACTAAGCTCCATAAGTGAAGAAGAAATAAAATACTTTACAGACAAGCAAATGCTGAGAGATCTTGTCACCACCAGGCATCCCTTACAAGAGCTCCTGAAGGAAGCACTAAACATGAAAAAAATAACTGGTACCAGCCACTGCAAAAACAGGTGAAATTGTAAAGACCATAGATGCTATGTAGAAACTGCATTAATTAATGGGCAAAATAACCAGTGAACATCATAATGATGGGATCAAATTCACATAAAACAATATTAACCAAAAAAAAATATTAACCTTAAATGTAAATGGGCTAAGTTCCCCAATTAAAAGACACAGACAGGCAAACTGGATAGAGTCAAGACCCCAGTGTGCTGTATTCAGGAGACCCATCTGACATGCGAAAACACACATAGGCTCAAAATAAAGGGATGGAGGAAGATCTACCAAGCAAATGAAAAGCAAAAAAAAGCAGGGTTTGCAATCCTAGTCTCTGATAAAACAACTTTAAACCAACAGAGATCAAAAGAGACAAAGAAGGCCATTACATAATGGTAAAGGGATCAATTCAACAAGAAGAGCTAACCATCCTAAATATATATGCACCCAATACAGGAGCACCCAGATTCATAAAGCAACTCCTTAGAGACCTACAAAGAGACTTAGACTCCCACACAGTAATAATGGGAAACTTTAACATCCCACTGTCAGTATTAGACAGATCAATGAGAAAGAAGGTTAACAAGGATATCCAGGACAACCAAACACCGCATGTTCTCACTCATAGGTGGGAATTGAGCAATGAGATCACTTGGACACAGGAAGTGGAACATTACACACCGGGGCCTGTTGCGGGGTGGGGGGCTGGGGGAGGGATAGCTTTAGGAGAAATACCTAATGTAAATGATGAGTTGATGGGTGCCATAAACCAACATGGCACATGTATACCTATGTGTCAAACCTGCACGTTGTACACATGTACCCTAGAACTTAAAGTATTACAAAAAAAAAAAAAAGAATAAGAGCAACTGTGGATCTCTTCTCTCCTAAAAAGAGCCTATCTCTCTCTGGCATTTGGTTCTTTTAGGTTCTTTGCATCCTCCACTCTCTCTTAAGTTTTAAGAAATATGATTTTGTACTTTTTCTAGCTTGATTTGGTTATTAGGATGACAATTATGGTCTATTTTGCCTTTGTTTGCCCTAACAGGAAGTGAACATTGAACTGGAATTATCGTTGAGGCTCCTTTCTCTTCATCTCTGGCCCTCAATAGTCTAACAATTCTTCTCTTTAACATGAGTCTCACGACTTTTGGAATGAATCCTCATTATATCAGAGTAAGGATTAGAATATTAGCTTGGCCTTACTGGTAGTCTATCTCTAGTCAACCTCTCCCTCCTTCAGTCCCTCTGTCGTGTAATCTAGTCCCTCCATGATTTGGGTTCCTCAACTGCATCACATCTAAATGAGGCAGTCTATAGGCTGGCCCCACCTCTTTTATATAATTTTTTTAAAAAATAATATCCTAATTTTATTCCAGTGATATTGAATGGTTCATATATATTTGGGAGGGTGGAAGAGCCAGGTTGATGTCACATAGCCAAGAAAATGCTCCAAATCCCACTGTAGTGATCTGGTGGAAATATCATGCTTACCACCACTAGACTCTGGACAGCGCATCTTGGGCCTCCAGTATCAACACTGATACCGAATGTTGCTGCTGCAAACTCACTATGGCTGTCCTCACTGCCTCCTATTGCCACAACTGAGTCTGCATAGTATTCATTTATTCATGCAATAAATATTTACTGATTGTCTACTATAGGACAGGCTCTCTTCTAGGGGCGGTGGAAATATGAATAAATAACCAAGACTTCTGCCTTTGTAGAGTATATATTCTACCCAAGCAACCAATTTATCCAGTTTGTCTGAGACTTTCCCAGGTTGTGCACCAAAAGGGTTGCATCCTGTGAAAGCCCTAAGTTCAATAGAAATTTGAAAGAAGAATATTCCAGGCAAAAGAAACAGTGATGAACTTGAGGTGAGTGAGGCCCTGTTATTAGGGGAATATCAAGGACCACAGTGTGGCTATCATGAATTGAGAGAGATTTAGGCAGGTTAATAACATTTCCAAGTCTCTGTTTCTTCATTAATAATTTTGGAAGAAAAACAGACAATCTTTTGCTAGTAACTGGGAAGGATAAAAAAGTCAGTGTATTCAATCACACAAAGGACTTTGAATAGTAAGCATGACTCAAGGATCCCTTTGGCCATCTCAGCAAAGCCAAGAATAGAGATTGGATTTCCCAGGATGGAACTGTGGAGGAACCTCTTGTCTAATGGACTGAATCTCTTGTGACATACTTAGAAGACCCATGATGTTCTTGAGAATGTCATGCCATCAAAAACACTGCGAAGTGGGTATGAAAGGGACAGCAAGGGGACAGAATGAAAGAAGGCTGTCAGACTCCCCACATTTTACAGGCTGATAAACTACTAAGTTGAAAAACTACTAAGACTGATAAACTGGCAGATAAAACTACTAAGCTACAAACGTGTGTTACCCTTCATGAAAAAGGAAGGATGACTCAGCACAGAACAATAAGCCCAAACTGTGGAGTCATTTCTCAGAGGAAATTACGCCAGGGAAATATGTAAGTTGTAAAAGTTTTATTAAAAAATAAAACAAGACTTAAATACAGCCTTGAAGACAGGGAAACACTTTCAACATTAATTAGAATAGATAGATTACATTCTATATTGCAAAGTCTTAAAACTAAAGTTCTCAATTTCAATATCATAATAAAATATACTCTGCCTTATTAAAAACCTTTTATTTCCTTTTCATAGTACACTATGTGATATATATTTGACAAAGTGTAGCAAGATGTCTACTTAATATTCTATTCTTTTTTTTTTTTTGATGGAGTTTCTCTCTTGTTGCCCAAGCTGGAGTGCAATGGCACGATCTCAGCTCACTGCTACCTCTGCCTCCCAGGTTCAAGTGGTTCTCCTGTCTCAGCCTCCCAAGTAGCTAGGATTATAGGCACCTGCCACTACGCCTGGCTAATTTATTGTTAGTAGAGATGGGGTTTCACCATGTTGGCCAGGTGGTCTTGAACTCCTGACCTCAAGTGATCCACCCGCCTCAGCCTCCCAAAGTGCTGGGATGACAGGAGTGAGCCACCACACCCACCCGGACTATTTCTATTTAATAAACAAAGTATTTATTTTTTATTTTATTAAAAGGACAAATACTTTTCAGGTTTCAATGGAACATTGTTTTTCTGCTATCTTTAGTTTAACTGGGTAGAGTATGAGCCTTGCTTGTAGGAATTAATACTTCCTAAAATCTATGAAACGGACTCCAGGACCGAGCAAACTGACAAGATCCACTTTCAATTAATACCTTAGGCTGAATGATTTTAAAGTAGCTTTAAACTGATTCCTAAAAAGCATTCTACAGAAAGAGACATGCTCAAGGTTCCTCAGAGAGAAGCAAGCAAGAAAACTCTAATTTTAAATATAATTTTTGGCAGTTGGGTCTTAAATCAACTGGTTCTCTTTTAGTTATTTTTGGATCTAATAAGCCAACCTAAAAAAACATACTAAATTAATTTAAAGTAATTCATGTTTATAATACAAATGGACATAAATAAACCTAATTTTCTAATACTGGTAATAACAACCAAGGCTGCTTCTCATAATAGAAAAATAAAACCAACATCCTCCCTGTATTAGTCTGTTCTCACGCTGCTATGAAGAAATACCCAAGACTGGGTAATTTAATAAGAAGAGAGGTTTAATTGACTAGCAGTTCTGCAGGGTTGGGGAAACCTCAGGAAATTTACAATCATGGTGGAGGGGGAGGCAAACATGTCCTTCTTCACATCACTGCAGCAAGGAGAAGTGCCGAGCAAAGGTGGGAAAGCCCCCTATAAAACCATCAGATCTTGTGAGAACTCACTATCACGAGAATAGTGTAGAGGTAACCACCCCTTTGATTAAGTTACCTCCCACTAGGCCCCTCCCAAAACACATGGGGATAATGGGAACTCCAATTCAAGATGAGTTTTGGGTGGGGATGCAGCCAAACCATATCACTCCCAAAGAAACTTCTGGAATATGCACCTTGACTCCTCTATAAAAGGAAACCATCTTGATCATTGATAAACTTGGAAAAACCTGAAACAATATGTTATTCCAACCCACAGTATTACCATCCAAAGAGAAGAGGCTGAGGCCTTATACTATACGAAATGTTAACAAGGGAGAGAAGTATAGTGAAAATAAAATAAAAATAAAATAAAAAATCCAAATATACTTTCCAAAGACTAAAATAGTACTTCTCCAAAAGATGGAAAGTATTTCTCTATCTCATGGAAAGGCAGTGGTCCGTGGCATTGGCTACTTTATGAGGTTGAGGAAATAACTCTAGTTTATTTTAATGTACCATGTAATCTGGCTCATTTCCCATATTGTTCTGTGATCTTAACTGTGGAATTCAAGGGAAAACTTGGACCAGTGTTTCAAATGTCATCTTGATATGACCATATGCATTTCCAAGCTCACTTCAGTAATTTGCTTTTCTTTTTCTCTCCTTTTGTCCATAATGTCGAGCCAATGATAACAAAATCAGTAAAAATGCACAACAGTATAAGAAACAAGTCACTACAGTACCCAAAAAGCATTGGCTCATTAGAGTTGGAGACAGATTTTTGATTGAGGAAAGCATGAATTCCAGGATGCTTACATGGGTGGTGTTTCACTTGGACTATTTCTTGTTGGTAAATGCCTCACTTTCAATTACTTCTTTTATTTTATTTCTCCCTAAATTGTCCAGACATTCTGTACCCCTCCTGTATTTGGTTGGGATTCTCTCTGTCTCTCTCTTTTTCCCAGCCCCCACAATGATTTTCACTGTAAAGTCTCTGGTGTCAAGGTTACAACTGACACAGTTCTGGCTTTAACAGAAGGTCATTTTCGACAAAGGATTTCTGGTTTGTGTTTGTGTATAACATACCTCTGCTTAGGAACATGCCAAATCGACAAGAGTTACGTGGTGCCTCCTGGCTGCACAGTGCTGTGTTCAGGTACAATAAACTTTGACAGAAGGGCACCACAAATCAAAAGTGACTTCTAGGAATGGAGTCCATAGCTCTGACAGGCTGTGACCTTGGTGAAGGCTATGTCTTTGGGGAAGAACTGAGATGATTTCTGAAGCCTTCTACTGAATGTTTCTATCTAGTTTAGAGACCTACCTCACGCATAAGACCTGTCTAAAGAAAAATAAGAAATAATGCTTCTGTAGTATGAAGATCATGACTGTGCCTAACCCCTACCAAAACTTTGCATGAACACTTGCCACAGTTAAGTCAAAGTCTTTTCAACATCAATTATTTGTCTGTTATAATTTGATTGCTAGATGGGTGTCTTTATGGGAGTAGTCAGGTGATCTGACAAAATTTCCAAACTTACTTTCAGTAGCTTAAAAACTAATTGACTTCTGAGCTCTAAACTAGCAATGCATAGGATATGGTCTTTTAGACAGTTAATAGTAAAATGGGTATTTCCATAAGTTTTTGCTGGAAAAGAATATTATTAAAAGATCATTTCTATCATTAGGAGGATCTGCTATATCCAGGCCGAAAATTTTTGTATGTACTTGAATTAAATGCAAAAGAATTTTATTTTAAAGAAAAGAATCTGCATCACATATTCTGTCTCTTCAGCAACATAAAATGCAGCCCCAAATCATTTCCCATATTCAATTACAAGAGTCAGGACTTGGTCCAGCTCTAATTGACTCCAGGAACATTTTATTTTTTCATTTGAAAGATAATTTAATTCACTGCCATATGTTTACTGGGATAGTTCTCTGATCTTGGCCCTAATGGTCCCTCTCTCCTCACTACCAGGTGTGGTTTCTAAGGGACCCAGAGGCTCACCCTTTGCTCTCATTTCCACAGTTTTTACTAGATTAATCTTCTCTTCTGAACAGCATTTATTCTTCTGTGGCTTTTCCCTCCAGTGTCTTTCTCTTCTTGTAATCATTGAAGTATTCACGCTTGAATTGCAATAGTGAAGTCAGCTTTTAATGCTGGATCAAAAATATCAGAGGAGCTACCAATTTCATGGTTCACCAAATAATGGTATCAATCTGGACTGTTTAAGAGATACCAGAATCTCCTGACCCAAACGCAAACCCCATTGGCCTTGAAATAATTTGACTCATATCTGATGACTGAGGAGCCATATTAAGGTTTTGCTTAGAGTTTTCCAGGCCAGTGACTGACACCACTGACTTTTATTCTTAAAGAAGTAGGATTTGGATGATTGAAGAGTGTACTCATTTGAATGTCAGAAGACTCAGAAATATATTTTCTGGGAAAACAAAATGCCTTCGTGTAACTTATAAGAGTTCATGGAGCTCACTTTTGTGCAGAAATGTAATGACTATTAATTTAAATACAAAATTCATCTTTCCTACTGTATAGTCAACTATGGCTTGTGTAACAAACTCTCCCAAAACATAACATCTTAAGGCAACAGCCATTTATTACTTTTCTTGGGGCTACAAATCAGTTTAGTGGTTCTGCTGACCTGGGCTGGGTTTGCTTGCGTGTCTGTGGTCAGCTAGCTGGTTGGCCAGGGAGCTGGCTGATCTAGGATGGCCTTAGCTGATGACTCAGTCTGTCTGCACAGGTCATGCATATTCCTCCAGCAGGCTAGCTCAGGTCTGTCCTCGAGGTGATGACACAAGTCCAAGAAAGGGGACCCAGCTGTGCAAGAGAGCAAACGGAAATATGCACACGTTTTTCAAGTTTGATTTGTCAAATTTGCTCTTTTCTCATTGGCCAAAACAAGACCATGGCCAAGCCTAGGAGTAGTGTGGGAGGGCACTGCCAAAGGGCATAGATACAGGGAGGTATGAAAAGTTGGGGCTTTTAACGCAAGCAACCTGTCACCCTTACTCAGGTACAACTAGGGCATAGCAACAGGCAAGCTGGAGAAAAGGGCCACTTTCTTGTGCTACTCATATGTGGGGAGGAGGGGCAGTGGAAGTAGAGTCCAAGGTTGCCAAATTAAAAACATGGAAATCCACATCCAAATCATGTCGTCAAACAAGAAACTAAGGGCAAAACTGACGTATGCCTTAATAAAGGGGAAAGGGGTGTCAAAGAAACAGAAAAGCCTAGAGTGGGGGCATGAAATGTAGATGGCCATGAAGTCATTTTACCTTGGAATTTTACCCATGTTTGGGAGAATCTACATGCAAAATCTTTGCATATTTAAGAACATACAGGGTATAAACTATATCAAACTGTCATCAAAAGATTCGAATGCCTATAGGCAGTGGAGTTTTTGAAATTTCTACACAAGAAAGTTTTGGTTTTGCTTAAAAGAAATAGTTGCTGCTAAACAATTCTTATACATCCTTAATATGTATGAGCCCCAGTAAAAATTTCCTTTAGAACCAAGGGTCGGTAAAACCATTTGCTTCTATGTGAATGAAGAGGCTTTCTTTCGCTAGCCTACTCACAGAATTTCTGTAACCCAGTGGATTTTCTTCTTCGCTTTGGTTGCTAGGAAGGTCAGAGTTAAGTTACATAGACTACTGAGAAGACTTTTTAGGCAAAATCTTTGGACGCAATTTTCCTTCCCCTCTTTTATTTTCTCCTCTGTCTTTGTCTTTCCTTTGTGTTATCTTCAGTCTTATGATACCCTGGTATTTACAGAGAGGGCTTTGAGGAAATTGCAATGGCAATTTCCTCATTTTCTTTCCAGAATCTCTTGGGATTCTGGCCTTTATGACTCCTGTTTCCCAAAGAGAAAGGGCAGGGCAGGCATATTCTCATATTCCACTCAGGTTTGGCAGGGTCCCCACAGACTCTCAGCCTGGGGGAGTTGATGTGTAGAAATAGGAAACCAGACTTCCTGAGCAACCAGCTGGAGAATGCCACAGATGGGTGGCTGTTCCCACATTGCACAAGCAGGGTCAGGAGGTTGACAGTGTCTTCATGCAGCACTCCTTCCCCAGCACCATATCTCCTCCTCAGATCACCCGCACCTTACTATAGTAGAGATTTTGTCCATGGGTTGCCAGATTTAGCAAATTAACATAAAAGATGCCCAGTTAAGTTTGAATTTCAGACAAATAATGAATAGTTTTTAGTATAAGTATATCCCAAATATTGCATGAGATATACTTGTGCTAAGAACACTTATTTGTTGCTTATATGAAGTTTAAATTTATCTGGGCATCTTACATTGTTTTCTGGCAATCCAACCATATTAAGTAAATGGGAATAGAGTCAAAATATCCATATTCTCAAATTTCAAAGACTGCTTTTATTCTTTGCTGACTTTCCTATTGTTTTTAAATTCATACAATGGCGTTCCCTTACAAGGTACACAACTGAGAGTATTCTTACCTTAGTTACATTCCTTAGGAGCACTATTTCAAATATTTTTCAAAAAGGCAGATACTCCATAAACTTTCTTTTTCATTCCAAATAACACTTATTCAGAAAAGGGAATGCAATTTATTATATCTAATTAGTCTGCTGCTCATTAAACCAATATCTTTTAAAATAACTCCATTATGGTCTTTTGCTCATTCCTTTCATTGACAGGGGTTTCATATTTTGGATACTTTTAGGCAGGCCAATATTATGGAATCACAACTAAAACCCTTTTTTTTTTCTTTTTAAAAATATGTATTCAGCCAAATCCACAATGTGAGCCATTCTACGGGACATTTGGCTAGGTTTCATCAAGAAGTCAGTGGCCCAGAAATAAATAAATGGAATTGAGAGAATGTTCCAAATTGAGGGTTAAGACAGAGATAAGATTATTAACAGCTGAATACAATGAGTGGACCTGTCTGGATCTTGATATGTACAAGCCAATTTTTCAAAATTTTTTTAGCATAGAGGGGAAATTTGATTATGGCCTGAGTATTAGATAGAATTAGGAATTTTTGTTAGCTTTATTATGTGTGGTAATGCATTATGATTGTTTAAGAAATATCATCCTTCTTTAGAGATTTGTCTTACTCTGTTTTGTACTGCTATAAAAGAATACCATGGGCTGCGTAACTTATAATATACAGAAATTTATTGATTCATGGTTCCAGAGACTAGAGAACTCAAGATGAAGGGAGCAACATCCAGTGAGGGCCTTCTTTCTTCGTCATCCCGTTGCACAAGGGCAAAGAGAAGGTGAAAGAGAAAGGCAAAAGCAGGTTGCACTCATCCTTTTATAAGGAACTTTCTTTCCCAGTAATGGCACGAATCCCTCATGACCATTAGGTGATTACACCTCTTATTAGGCCCTACCTCCCAACACTGTTTCATTGGGGATTCAGTTTTCAAAACATTTAAACCATAACAAAATGTGTGCTTTAGGGCTAAAATAATGTGATGTCTGGAGTTTGCTTTAAGAACTAAAAAAAAAGAAAGAGAGAGAAAGCCTAGGGGAGATTAGTGTGGCAAATTGGTGACAATTGCTGAAGCCCTATGATGAATTCATGAGGGTTGGTGATATTCTCTGCTTTTGCACATTTTAAAGAAATTATATAATACAATATAAAATTCAATCTTATTTTAAAATATTACAGAGAAGAAGTTTATAAGGATACCATACTTTCTTTTTTCAACTTCTAAATGTCTTATTAACTTCATTTACAATTTTGTTCCTAATTATAAAAGTAGCATATACTCAGTATTTTAAAAACTAAAAAAAACACAACAAAGAGCAAAGAGAACACAAAAATCACATGAAATTACCTGTAGATAAGTTGAGGACAAACAAAAAAGATCACCTGAAAGAATAATTATGTTTCCTTCTAGTCTCTTTTTATTGTTATTACATATGCTTGTTTTAAATAAATAGATTTGGGTTCAGCTATTTGTTTCCATTTTTTTTTTATTCCAGAGTGGGTTCTGTTCAATGACAAATAAATAGTTGGAGTTTGATAAGAACCTCAAATGTTGGATTATTTGAGTAGTGTTGCCTTCCTGCCATAGCAAATGGGAAGATTTCCCACGAGGGCCTGGGCATTGTAGATGATCAACACAAATGCTTTTTTTCTTCTTCTCTTGCATTTCTTTAGCTTTTAAAATTTGATTTCATCTTCTGATCAAAACAATGCCACAATTTCGTAATTTCTTCACCTTTCTGCTGGTACTGAGAGAAAACTCTTGTTTTATTCTTGTATTAAATGGCTAACTACTTATTTTAAATGCTCAAGAATGCAATAGTTATTGATTCGGTCATCTTTTTTTTTTTTTGATTTGGTCATCTTAAGGTATCAGCTTGATTGTGTCAAATAAAAAAGGAATAGGCACACCCCCAAAACTGGGTTGAACAAAGTCCTTAGAAATATATTAATCAGCATGACTTTGGAATAATATTATATGTGGCTATAACCTGGTGAAATAATGTCCTCCTCTTGACAAATGCTGCGGCTATCTTTGGGCATAGGTCATTCTGAACATCAGGGAGGAACATCGCTACTTGTCCCTATTAGTGCCCTACAAGCCCTGATGGCTAAAAGATGACCAGATAGTACTAAAACCCAGGAGAGATGCTAACTTGAGGAATGACTATGTTGATGTTTGTTTCCCTTAATCCACATTTACCCAGGTTCAAAAGTAAACCTCCTTTTAACATTATGAGCCTTCTGATGTGCTAGAAGCACACAGATCATCTATGAAGTATTCCTGCTGAAACATTTAATCAAGCCTCTAGATGTGCATCAATTGCTCTTGTTGCAAAACTGATCATCTGGGAACTTGGTGGCTTAGAACAGCAACAATGTATTCTTTTATACTGTTCTGTGGGTCAGATAAATGATTCTCTGGTTGGAGCCATCTGGTTGAGAATGGCTTCATTCCTGATGTCATTTGAGGAGATGGGGATGACTTGGCCACATGTTTCTCATTAAGCAGCAGACTTGAGAGCCACAGGACTCCCAAGAGCAGCAAAGATGAGCAAACCCAGCACACAAGCATGTAGCAAGCCTCTGCTGTGCCACATTTGCTACTATCCCATTGGCCAAACCAAGCCATATGGCCAGGCCCAGAGTCTAGGGGAGAAACAGACTGCACCACTTAATAGGAAAAATACTGTCAGTTTTGCAGTCTAACCACATCTAACTTCTGGTTTATATAAACACAGTGTAGAGAAGAAAATGTTACATGTTATCATAAAGAAATAATTAGGCGAATTCAAAATGTGCAACATTCTATAGATACCTCATCTGGGGTTTTCAAAAAGTCAATGTCATAGAAAAAAAAAGATGAGCTATAGGGATGGGGAGACTCTTCTAAATTTAAAATGACTAAAAAGAAATAACACCCAAAGCCAATGTATGAACTTTATTGGGTAATTATGCAGGAAAATAAAAACTGCCATAAAAAAACATTTGGACAACTGAATATGGATTAATACAAATTTAAATTTTCTTCGATGTGATAATGGCATTAAGGTTATGTAGGAGATCATCCTTATTCTTAAATGATGCAAAGTGACATGTTTAGGAGTGAGATGTCATAATGTCTATAATATGTCTTCTAATGGATTATCAAATCAATATGCCTATATATTATAGAAAGAAAGAGATAAAGCAAATATAATGTTATGGGTTGAATTGTGTCCACCCCCTAAATTTGTATGTTAAAATACTAACCCCCAGTACCTCAGAATGTGACTATATTTGGAGTGGCTCTTTAAAGAGGTGATTAAATTAAAATGAGGTGGTTAGGGTGGGCCCTACTCCAATATGACTGATGTCTTATAAGAAGAGAAGAGAAAACACAGACAGCCACGCAGAGACAGGATACTGTGAAGACAGAGGGGGAGGACGGCCAGCTACAAGCCAAGGAGAGAAGCTTCAGAACCAACCCTGCCAACACCTTGATCTCAGACTTTCAGCCTCCAGAACTGTCAGAAAGTAAATTTCTGTTGTATAAGCCATCAAGTTTCTGGCACTTTGTTCTAGCAGCTCAAGCTGACTAATACACATGTGAAAATGCTGTTCATTGTTGAGTCTAGGTGAGGCTGTGCAGGTATTCATTGTGTTATTTTTTTCAAACTTTGTGCATGTTTGAATTTTTACATATTAAAAAATGGGAGGATGCTATGGACTAAATGTTGTGTCCCCACAAAATTCATATGCTAAAACTTAATTCTCAGTGTGGTGGCATTAGGAGATGGAGTTTCTGGAAGGTGATTAGGCCATGAGGGTGGAACTTTCACAAATGGGATTAGTGCCCTTTGATGGAACTGAAGAGATCAGAGTATTATTCTTCCACCTAGTGAGGACACAGTGAGAAGGCACTGACTATGAACCAGGAGGTGGATTCTTACCAAACACTGAATCAGCCAGCGCCTTGACCTTGGACTTCCAGCCTGCAGTGCTGCAAGAAATAGATTTCTGTTGCTTATAAACCACCAGTCTATGGTATTTTGTTATAGCAGCCTGAACAGACGAAGACAGAGGACGAGGCCTTCTAGGACACCTTCTTTAGTCAAGCAGCTCTTAAGAAACAATATTTTCAATCAATTATAAGTGAATTTTGAAATATAGATTTGGCTGCAACCTTGCTTAGAGAATAAATGAGTAGTTGGAAGCTTGACAAATTAAATGACAAAACCATTTCTCACCATATCAGCAGTTCCCTTGTTTCAAATTATAGGCCATTAGATCTAGAGAGAGACTTAGTGACATGATTATTTTGGAAAATTATTTCGTGCAACAGAATAAAAGGACAGTGTGGCCATTGTCTTGAGTTTCAGCTCCAAGTTATTTCAAAACAGCAGCAGTGGCAGCTGGCCAACTTTGAAATACAGTGACATGAATAAGGGACATCGATGGTGGAATTATCCAAACAGTGCATTAATTCTGTCAGTCTGCCAACAACTCAAACAAATATTTCCTGACAAAGTTGTATTGCATTTTTAGTAAACAATGTAAAGGGATTAATCAATAGGATTTGATTCAAGCAAAAAAGCGGTTCATTTTGTGTATGTTGCCTGTCTTTTTTCTTTTCTTCTGCTCTTCTCAGCAACTGTCCACACATCCAAGTGACCCGGCTCTTTCTCTTCTCCCTAGCATCAATGAGGTGGAAAAAGAAATGATCACATATCCAAGTATTACTATTTACAATGGTGCTTGCATTTTTTAATGCTATCAAGACTCAGAGTGGTTTTCAACACTAGCAACACGTTAGAATCAACTAGAAGATGTGAGCAAAACAAAATAAAAATGAAAAACAATGATTCTGGGATATATTTTTAAAAATTCTGATAATTTTTTCTGAGGTAGGACCTTGGTATCAGTATTTAAGTTTCCCAGGTGAGAGTGTGAAGCTAGGTGAGAATAACTGCTCTAACCACAACAAGTCCATGCACTTCTTGGTGGTCAATGGAGAGCCTGTAAAGTGTTCTTTAAATTATCTCCAAAAATCTTTTTAAAATATCTTTTAAAATGTATTATAAAAAAGTCTAATAATGCTATTAAAGTATCATTTCACTTCAAATTTTTTTGAAAAGTGTTTTCTGGCATGAGATATGCTATTATGCATAATAGGATGAAGTATAATTATTGTAGTTGCCAGGCTGTGACATCTAAAATAATTTTCCCCATTGACAATACCATAAGAACTCCAGGAATCCCAAGACTATGATTTCTAAATAATATTTTCTACTAAAGGGAACTAGCGCTTCTTGAAGAATGAACAGTTTGAGGTCTGGAGCACAAAAGGTACATGATGAGCCTAAGAGAGCTGTTTGCCCTAAAGCAAGGATACTCAAAGTCTAATGGGATGTTTCGAAATGACTCAAAAGCCAGAATGAAGACACTCCCATTGGCTACAATTTGAACATCTGAAGGAATAATGACTATAAAGTGATTGTAATAAAATAAACAAAAACCCCGGTTCATACTAACACTCAAAACTAAAAGAACAGAACAAAAAACAGAAAAAAAGAAATTCATTTACCACTACTGGAGGCAACGATTACAACTCCTTATTCTGAAAAGAGAAAAAGAGTTAGACATAAATTTGCCCCGGTAGAAGGAATAAAACTCATCTCCAGTTAATGGAGAAAAGCTCTTCTTTACAGATAGATGCTACCTAACTTTCTTAAAATAAATATTTTTTAAAATCCCCAAACCTCAATGACATAATTGATGAAAGCAGCAGTAATTAATAGAGATTAGCAACTTTAGGTAAAAAGCTAATGAGACTTCTGTTTTTGTTAAAGGTGAAGTAACAGGGATAAGATATATCCTTCCACCTGACACAACCAAAACTCTAGACAAAATATGTAACGATGACATTCAGCATTGGATATGAGATGACAAAGGACAGCAATCTCTGAGAAGTGGAAAACAAATGAGGTAGCCCTCTGAGTGTACCAGCTTATTGCTTGGAGTTAGTTTTCAGGTTGCAGTACAGTGAAGGGGAATCCAGGCAGAGCTCAGTGGTATCCCTGGGTTGACAGTATTGAGCTGGCAATCCAGGGAAGCCAAGATGCCCAGAGTTCACAGGGCAGACAGGAAGTGAGCGGCATTTTTTAAAAAATCTGGAAATACAAAGGAAATCTCCCTCAAATATTCAGCTCAGTATTGATAAGCACATGTATGTGAGGAAACTACCTGAGATCAGGAAAAGAATCACCTGAAAAGATTAGAAAAAATTTAATTTGCAGTTTAAAAAAATCCAAAAAAACTTCCTATGAAGAAAATTCTGGCCCCAGATATCTTCACTGGTGAAATAACATGAATTTTAAACAGTCTTCCACAAAATTGTAGGAGGGAATACTTTCCAACACATTCTATGAAGCCAGTATTACTCTGATAACAGAATCAGATAAAGCTTTTATTAAAAAGAAAAGAAAATTATGGACCAATAACCTTTATAAGCATATATGCCAAAAATTCTAAACAAAAGTTTGGTAAATTGAACTGAGAAGTATATAAAAATCATGGCCAAGTGGGGTTTATCCCAGGAATGCAAAATTGGCTTGGCATTTGAAAATCTATCAGTATTTTTAAGAGAAAAAACAGAAAACCAGGAGGAACTGCTTAACCTGATAAAGGGCAGCTCTGAACCTGTAGCTGGCACTATATTTAATGGTAAAAGAATGAATGCCTCCCCTACCCAGGAACAAGCTTTTACTGCTTCTATTCAATATTGTACTGGAAATAGTAGCCAGTGCAATAAGGCAAGAAAGAGAAATAAAAGCTATTCGGATCAGAAAGAAAGACATAAAACTGTCATTATTCTGAGATAGTATGATCATTTGCATAGAGAATCTAAAGAATCTACAGAAAAGCAATGAGAACTAATAAGTGAGTTAAGCAAGGTGGTCAGATGCCAGTTCACTATAAAGAAGTCAGCTGACTTTCTTATATACTAGAAACAATAAACTTAAAGCAATGCCATTTATAATAACATCAAAAATATTAAATACTTAGGGATACATATGACAAAAATGTGCAAGACTTGTATACTGAAAACTAAAAAATATTGCTGAGAGAAATTAAAGAATACCTAAAGTTTCTGTTGTGTTCACAGATTAGGAGACATGATATTGTTAAAATGTAAATTCTCTCCAATTGATATATAGATTTAATGTTATCTCAGTTAAAATCCCAGCAGGTTTTATTATTAAAAAAAACAAGTTGATTCCAAAATTCACATAAAAAAGCAAATGACCTAGAGTAGCAAAAACAACTTTGAAAAAGAACAAAGTTGGAAGACTTACACTAACGTCAGCACTTTTTATAAGGCTGCAGTAATCAAGGCTATGATATTGCTATGAGATAGATAAATAGATCAATACAACAGCATGAGAATTCAGAAAGGGACCCACACATACAAGGTCAATTAATTTTCAACATAGATTCAAAAGTAGTAGAGTTGAGAAAGAATAATTTTTTCAACATGTGAATGGATACATAAATGGTATATTTGTACAATGGAAATTATTCAGCAATAAAAAAAAACAAGCTATTGATATACACAGCAACACAGATGTATCTCAGAATATTTATACTGAGTGAAAGAAGCCAGACCAAAAAAAGAATACATGCTGTATGGATTCCATTGATAAAAAATTATAGAAAATGCAAACTAATTTATACTGGCAAAAACCAGAGGTGTGGTTTCCTTGGGATGGGAAGCGGGGAAAGGGCAAGAGGAAACATTTTAGGGGGATTATCTTTATCATTATCTTTATTGTATTGGTGATTTTACAGATACATTCATATTTCAAAGCTTACTAAACTGTCCACTTTAAATGTGTACAGTTTACTATATGGCAATTATATGTCAATAAAATTATTTAAGAAAAGCTAATGGGATGTTTGCATGCTACCAAAGTATTATTCTACCCAACAGATTGATTAAAGTACTCCTCAGATTAATTGTTAATTGAAAAGAGAAAAAAATGAATCTATGCAAAAGGGAAATCTGGCTGCCACCATGATAACCAACTGATCAAATTAAATATCACTAATAGTGGGACAAACTGACATTAAATGCCTCTTGAAATCTTAACACCTAAGTTCAAATTCATGGAAAATACTCAGGATAGAAGAATTTAAACAAGATCTAACTGAAACCACTAGACAAATCCAGAATGTGGAATATCCTACAAGACAATTTGCTTAGTCTTTTCAAGAAGTCAATGATTGGTTGAGGGTGGGGGTGGGGAATTGATTAGGGATAACAAATGTCATGCGTTAAACTTTATTGGATTTTACTTTAAAAACAAAACAATAACATTTTGAAGAAAATTGATGGTAATTCAATAGGGACCAAAACTCTATCAAAATTGGTATTTGCTCCAGCACAAAATCTCCTTTCTTCAAGCTTGTTTACCACATGCCTGAATGAAAAGAAAATCGCCCACATACAATTGCAGAGATCTTCTGAAGCCATATACCCTGGAAATAGTCAAGCTGGCTTGTGGCTTGAAGCAGAGGAAGAAAACTGAAGTGGTTCGTTACTGAAAGAATACTGTCAACTCCAGAATTACTGCCATTTCTTCCAATATTTTGAAAAAGATTACAGAGGGATTGTCGGTTCTGCCCATAGTACGGTCTACCAAAGAAATCACATCTTGGTTTTCCTTCCTTGTGCTGCATTAACACCATCAAAGAATCCCTGTTTTATCATTTTGGGCATACAAAGACCATCGAAAATGTTAGAATGGAATTTGCAAAGTAAGACTTCCACTAAAAGAACAATCTTAATACTGCTGTAGAGATGGGGGCCCTGTGATGCATGACAGCACATCAATACTTGCAGCTTTGGAAAAGACGTGTGTATTTTGTGGCTTTCTATCTAAGCAAACATTGATGGCAAAACAAAAAACAAAAAAAAAAAAAAACAGAAACAAAACAACAACAACAAAAACCCGCGCCAAACTTCCTGCAATAAATCTTGTCCATTTCCATGAAACACAGCAACTTCATCAGACTCAGGACCTCAAATCATCACTTTTTTCAAGATTTAAAAAAAAAAAAAACAAGAAATGCAGTAGAAAATAAAGTATGTTTTCTTTCTTGTCTTTCTATTTTCTTTCTTTTTCTTTTTTTTTTTTTTTTTGAGAGTCTCACTCTGTCACCCAGGCTGGAGTGCAGTGGTACAATCTCAGCTCACTGCAACCTCTACCTCCCAGGCTCAAGCGATTCTCCTGACTCAGCCTCCCAAGTAGCTGGGATTACAGACGCCCACCACCACGTCCAGCTAATTTTTGTATTTTTAGCAGAGGCGGGGTTTCACCATACTGACCATGCCAGTCTCGAACTCCTGACCTCAAATGATCCACCCACCTTGGCCTCCCAGAGTGCTGGGATTACAGGCATGAACTACCGTGCCCAGCCTAAAGTATGTTTTCTATAGACGGGAATTTGCTGGCTTTCTACAAGATAAGCCTTGAGCATTTGAATGACCTTCAGGCAAAAAAGAAAATAGGGACAGGGGAAGGGAATGTTGAAAGTAAAGGAACATTTACTTAGGACAATTGGACATGGATGAGTTTATTTACGGCTTGACTTATTTTGTGGATACTTTTGATGAAACTAGTGAAGTAATTTTTTCCATTCAAAGGCTTACATGCTATTAGGAAAGCTGCAGAGCCACTATGAGCTCTTCTGTCCAAACTGCTGCTCTGGAAAAGG
Source organism: Homo sapiens (assembly GCF_000001405.40). NCBI lineage: Eukaryota > Metazoa > Chordata > Mammalia > Primates > Hominidae > Homo > Homo sapiens. The sequence goes on along the minus strand of NC_000002.12, from coordinate 222,348,819 downwards.
AGGTGGGAGCAGGCACTCCTGTTAGTTTTCAATGCTAGGAAAAAATGTTTCTTTAGGCTGAAGTAGAGAGTAATATTTTTTTTTCCAGTTTTCTGCAGGCAAAAATCTGTGGGCACCTGGAACCTTGCAGAATCCTTTTGATGCTTATTTCTGCTCCAGTGATCTTGAAATTAAACCTGTGTTTATGATCCTTAACTTGCTGACATCAAATGTGCAGATTCCGCCAATAATGACCTCACAAAAGAATTGATGCTACATGGTTTAACCTAAGCAGAGTCTTGAAGAAATCTGATGTTGCTTGACTCAGGCCTGCCCTTGTCTCAAAAAATGTACTATGGGAGCTCTGATTCCATTATTACGTTTATGAACTATGTGAACAACAGTTTTTCATCACTTATCAGTCAAAAGGAGAGATGAAATCCACTGACAAAGATGACATTGGCATTTCATCAGATAGCATGCTACAGTTTCATCCTCTCATTCAAGCTAAACAACAGCACCTTTGCTGTTAGATTAACTTTTGAGCAGATTAAAATGTACCTTTTGTTTTACTTGTTTGTTTGGAAAATTTTGTATGTTTTTGCGTATCTTTGCAACAATTTTGCGTATTTTCCAAGAACGAGCATGAATTTCTGCCTGAAAAAATGCGAGTGAAGCATAAGCATAAAATATTATTTTTATATTCTGTACAAGTAGAAAAATGTGTGTTCTTTATTCCAAATGATACAAAAGCATTCTGAGTTGATGTCTGTGTGTTTTTTCCTGGGATGCCTACCATTGCTTCCTTTGGCTTCTCAAAGTGGTACTATATCCTAAAAATGTAAGAAACTGCAAAAAAGAAAAAAAGAAAGAAACTCAAACAGTGGAATTTCAAGCATCCGTCAGTAGCTGGAGCAGGATTTATAAAGCATCCAGCTCTTTCTAGTGCCCTAACACCTCACCAAATGACCGTCTCCTCCATTATCTCTGCCTAAGCTCATTCTTGCAGTCTAGCTCAAGAAGTAAAATAAATCAGATATTGCCCAATTTTTACAAATTTATCTTTCTTAACCAATGCTTTTGCCACTTTTTTTATGTTCCCTGGCCTTACTCAGCTGGTAGGCTTCTCTGGGTTTACTTAACACAGAAGCTTTGAATCTGACCCGTGTATAAGAAACTGTAGGAGAGAAGCTAAGGGACATCATCACATTTTTTTATTTGAGGCGAATAATCTCTTAGACTGTGTGCTATAATTTGAACATAATTTCCTAGACTTATTTTTCCTGTTAGCATTGAAAAATAAGTCTGCTACTGAAAATATTTCAACCATTACAGGGTTAATCCATGACTAGAAACAGAAACAGTAAAGTACAAATAGAAGGTAGGACCATTAGTTATATCATTGGTGCTGTATTATCACATAAAATGTTGCATCTGCTTTCCCTTTATATTTGATCCATAATATATAAACAGAGATGAATGAGATATAAAGGTGCAAATTTCTTGAACTGTATTAAATATCTGTTAATTAACAAAGTATCCTGAAAACTATAATGAACTGTAAAAATTCAAAACTGTCATCAAATATAATTCTGTTTTGTTTCATTTTCAAATAGAAGCAGTAATTCTCTCACTCAACTTCATTTGCATAATATCATAATATTATGGTAACTACAATCTATTCCTCTTTACCATATATTTCATTAAAATGGGAAATTTCAGCCAGGCTCAGTGGCTCCTCCTGTAATCCCAGCTCCACGGGAGGCTGAGGCAGGAGAATCGCTTGAGCCTGAAAGTTTGAGGCTGCAGTACTCTATGATCAATCACATCTGTGAATAACTACTGCAATTCAGCCTGGGAAACAAAGAGAGACCCTGTCTCTGATTTAAAAAAGAAAAATGAGGGTAGAGAGGGTATTTCCCCTTCAGAATACACTTTATCTCTGAATCTACAAGTTTCAATGTAGATTTTGAAACAAATTAATAATCTTTATGACATTGGCCTAAGTACAATTCAAGCATTTCTCAAGTAGAAAGTGTAATGTGATTTTTTTTTCTATTAGATATAGAACACAAATAGAAGAGAGAACCAAAATCTGTCCAAATAATTTATTATATATGCTACACTGTAAGGTCACTCCTGTATTTTACCTTCTATAAGATTTTATAAACTAAGTAAGATTTCTAAAAAGTTACAAAGTCCCTCACAAATGTTTTTTAAATAAATACAAAAGGAATAATCCTAAATATTTAAAAAGCTATATTAAAATGTTTATTGCAATTAAAATTATGATTTCTAAAAGTTTAAAGTTTCTTATTCATAAATATCATTCAACTTTAAGATATCTATCAAATTAGTTTATTAAACAACACAGTAAATGATAAAAGATCATATTATTATATCAATATTCAGTCATTTTCAACAAAAAGCATGGGATAAAAAGAAATATATTAATATGCTAAAGACCACTCATAAAAATCCTGTGACAATCATAACAATCAATAATCAAGATGTTACTATACTAGAAAATAACATCTTGAAGTCATTTCCTTTAAAATTAAGATCAAGAAGTACTCCCACGGCTGGGCGCAGTGGCTCACACCTGTAACCCCACCGCTTTGGGAGGCCGAGCTGGGCAGATCATCTGAGTTCAGGAATTTGAGACCAGCATGGCCAACATGGTGAAACCCCAGCTCTACTAAAAATACAAAACTTAGCCCGGCGTGGTGGTCCACACCTGTAACCCCAGCTACTTGGGAGGCCGAGGCGGGAGAATCACTTGAACCCCGGAGATGGAGGTTGCAGTGAGCTGAGATCATGCCACTGCACTCCAGCCTGGGTAATAAGTCAAGACTCTGTCTCAAAAAAAAAAAAAAAAAAGTATGCCCACAATTATAATATCCAGTTTTAACTGAAACAATGAGAGAAGGAAAGAGTCATTATAAATATTGAAAAAGTAGAGACAAAAATGACTATATTACTATGTTTTCTTTTTTAAATTATTGTATATTTAGAAAAACTAAGAAGATAATAAACTTCTTTAAAAAATAATAAGAGAAATTGATAATGTAATTAGGCACAAGATATATGTACAAAAATACTCACAATAATCTTATTTTATAATAGCAGTAATATGTTAGAAGTAGAAATGGAAAAAAAATTCCATTCATATTTGCCAAACCAAAAGCAAACACACAAACAAAAAAAACCACAACCCAAGATGGGCAAAGGCCATTTATTTAGAAAACTATGATTTTTATTGAGGGATATAAAATGAAATTTGAGCTAAGAGAGAAAGATTTTCTAATCCAGTGTGGAAATGGATGCAACAATTTAATGTGACCCCAGTTATAATATCAATGTTTTAAAATAGACAAAACAAATATAAACTTTATGTGAAGGGATTAATATCTGAGAAAAGCCAGTAATTTTTGAGGAAGATGTGTATATGTGCATGTGAACATAAACACAAGTAAGGGAATAGATACTATCTTACTTTCCCAACTATTAAAATTCATGACAAACCCACTATGATAAGATAGTATTCCTGTACGTTAGCCTAAAACATTTTATATTTTAGTGTCTGTGAAGTAATACTGAAAGAATTTAAGAACAGTATGTTTATAGTCAACAAAGTAACATAATTTTATTTTATTATTTTTGAGGCAGGCTCTGGCTCTGTTGCCCAGGCTGGAGTGCAAAGGTGTAACAATCATGGCTCACTGCAGCCTCCATCTCCTGGGCTCAAGTGATCCTCTCACCTCAGCCTCCTGAGTAGCTGCGACCAGAAGTGTGCCACCATGCCTGGCTAATTTTTGTATTTTTAGTAGAGATGAGGTTTTTCTAAGCTGCCCAGGCTGGTCTCGAACTCCTGAGCTCAAGTGACTTGCCAGCCTCAGCCTCCAATTGTGCCAGGATTACAGGCGTGAGCCATTGTGCGAGGCTCATAATAATTTTAATTAATTATTTATTTACTCCAATATAGAACAGTCTACCATGATATATCATAGTGGAGATGTTAATAGAACAATGCAATAAAATAGAACAGGAACAAATCTAAGGATATATGGTAGCTTGATATATAACCAAATTGGCATTTCAATTCAAAGTAATGAATAATTGAATACATGGTATCGGCATAATTTATTCTCTGTCTGAAATGCACTCCCAAACAATAAAATTCCGTACTTTTTTTTTAATTAAGTGGGGAAAGATGTAGTGTATAAAATTGAAGTGCAAATGGTAGATTGGAGCAAAATAATTGCATTATATGTGACAGACCAAGTATAATTTCCTCCTACTACAAATTCCTCTTACTAAGCCTTAAGAAAAAGACAAAAAAAGAATGAAAGTATGGGGAATTCATAGAAGAAAAAATTCAGATTATCAAGAAACACTTGAAAATATTAATAGCTCCATTTGTAGCATGGAAATGCAAGTAAAGCAAGATAATTTTTTAACCTCAGATTGTCTATTAAGAGCAACAGGATCTAATGTTGTTGAGGGTGGGCTGAAACTAGCAATCTAAGACACAGCTGATGAGAATGTCAATTGCTGAAGTCTTTTGTGAAATTAATCTGAAAACATCTACTAAAAACTAGAATACTCATGCTTTAAGGATTCTGCTTGGGATTATGTATCCTATAAAAATAAAAACCAATATGTAATATTGTGTGCTTAATGATTTTTATTATGACATTATCTACAGGGGCCAAAAAAAAAAAAAAGTCCACCTCTAAACAACCCACTGTCCATGTAAGAAATGGCTGAATAAATTATGGCACATCAATATCATGTACTATAATGCAGCTATTTTTGTTTGTTTGTTTGTTTGTTTTATTCTGTTTTGAGACAGAGTCTCACTCTTGTTGCCCAGACTGGAGTGCAATGGTGCCATCTCGGCTCACTACAACCTCTGCCTCCTGGGTTCAAGCAATTATCTTGCCTCAGCCTCCTGAGTAGCTGGGATTATAGACATGCACCACCAGGCCCGGCTAATTTTTGTATTTTTAGTAGAGACGGGATTTCACCATGTTGGCCAGGCTGGTCTCGAACTCCTGACCTCAGGTGATCCGCTGGTCTCAGCGTCCCTAAGTGCTGGGATTACAGGCGTGAGCCACCGCGCCCAGCCTAATGCAACTATTAAAAAGGATGTTAGGTGTACATTTGGGCTCTGGAGATGCCCATGATATATTACTACATGAAAAAGACATTGTAGAACAAGGTATGTGATATAATCCCATTTTCAAAACCAAATTCTATGTATATACATACATATATTTATGATATATATTAACATGAGCATTGAGAAAGATAGAAACTTGTGCAGGAAAATGTTAACATCAGTTGGTTATCTTGGGGAGTGGCAAGTGGGATTCATCAGGAGTAGAAGGCAGATTATTAGATTTTCTTAAGTGTTTCTATGTTGTTTGACTTGTTAAAACATGTCACTTTTGTTACTACAAACTCTAAGAAAGTTTAAACAAAGCACCAATAGGGAAAATACTTTAAATATTGGTAATAGATTACTTTTCTCAGTTGTAGGAGGACAGCCTCCAAAAACCAAAGTACTGTTAGCAATAGGAACTGGGTCTCAGAGACTGATCACAGCCTCAGTATAGTTACTTTTTAGCACTTTTTTAGTAAGTTCCATTGCATCTTAAGTGGAAATATTTAATCTCATATGAATTTAAAAGATTTATAGCAAGTGACTATTTAAAACAAGTAAGCAGATTTAAAGGAGTAAAATATAGATAATAGGAAGATACTCCTACATTCTAATGAAGACTCACTAAAAAATACTCAAAGAAAAAGCTTAAAAATTATTTAGAAAGAAAAATATACAGTTAAAAATGATAGATGTAATGTGCTACAATCATACAATGAAATTCAGTTGACCTTTTGACTCCCCCAAAACTTAACTATTAATAGCCTGCTGTTGACTGGAAGCCTTACCAATAACATCAACAGTTGATTCACATATATTTTGTATGTTACATGTATCATGTACTATACTTTTACAATAAAGTAAGCTAGAGAGAAGAAAATGTTATTAAGAAAATCATAAGGAAGAGAAAATATATTTACTCTTCATTAAGTGGAAATAGATTGACATGGTTTGGCTTTGTGTCCCCACCCAAATCTCACCTTGAATTGTAATAATCTCCACGTATAGTGGGAGGGAATTGGTGGAAGGTAATCGAATCATGAGGGTGGGTTTTCCCATGCTGTTCTTGTGATAGTGAATAGGTCTCACGAGATCTGTTGGTTTTATAAAGGGAAGTTCCCCCACACATGCTCTCTTGCCTGCTACCATGTGAGACGTGACTTTGCTCCTCCTTTGCTTTCCATCATGATTGTGGGGCTTCCGCAGCCATGTAGAACTGTGAGTCCATTAAACCTCTTTCTTTTATAAATTACCCAGTCTCGGGTATGTCTTTATTAGCGGTGTGAGAACAGACTAATAGCATGGATCATCATAAAGTTCTTCATTTTCCTTGTCTTCACATTGAGTGGACTGAAAAGGAGGAGGAAGAGGAGGGGTTGGTCTTGCTGTCTCAAGGGTGGCATAGGTGGAAGAGAATCTGTGTATTAGTTAGTAGACCTGCACGGTTCCAATCCATGTTGTCCAAGGGTCAACTGTATTGCACTATGATAAAAATTATGAAGATTTTATTTTAAAAACTTGGAAAATACTATAGTTATAACATTATCTAAACAAAGCAGGATGCAAAACTCTGTATGCTTTTGATTACAACCAAAGAAAATGACAACAATAGCACAACTTCTGTATTAAAAAAAGACCAAAAGGAAATAGACTAAAATATCAACAAGAGAAGGGGAATAAAGGGATTTTTGCCTTTTTTTCTATTTCCTAAACTTTCCAAATATTTTGAAATAATTGTTATTACTACATAGCACTATATAATTACAAATGGAGTAGAACTTTATTTGACTATATTGATAACAAATATTTGAATTGTTATATATAGTACTTTATGATAATAAAGTTCTATGTAATATGCATAAATAATGACCTTTAATAGTTATTACATATAATATTTTATCCCTTAATAATAGTAAATTTAGTAAACAATAGTAACTATTGAGGAATAAATAAAGTGTCAAATATTTTAAGGCAATAAATAATATCTGGATAGTTAATCTCACCTTGTAATTGCATAAAATATTTATTTTCTACAGCTCAATGCTGAAATTTCATAGATAATTTGCTGAAACTCTTAAATATCATGCTTGATGAGCAGTGTGGAATTTCAGCCTCCGTTAACTAACTAAGCCCTGCAGTTCTGTGCTGGCATTCCTGTGCATTAGCCTAAAACAGTGTCTGTTTACAGTGTCCAGGATTTTTTAAAAAGTCATATTAGTAACATGAATGGAGCTGGAGGCCATTATCCTTAGCAAACTAATGTAGAAACAGAAAACCAAATACCACTGCATGTTCTCACTTTTAAGTGGCTTATTTCATTTAACATGATGAAAACACATGGACACATAGAGGGGAACAATTCCCACTGGGCCTATCAGAGGGTGGAGAGTGGAAGGAGGAAGAGGATCAGGAAAAATAACTAATGGGTAGTAGGCTTAATACCTGGATGATGAAATAATCTGTACAAGAAACCCCCATGATACAAATTTACCTATGTAACAAACCTGCACATGCACCCCTGAACTTAAAAGTTAACAAAAAAGTCATATTAATTGTCAGTAAAAAAGTATGATTATGTTAATCCAGGATAGTATAATCTACCATGAAATGTCACAGTAGAAAAGTTTAACTACCATATAACTGACGTAACGCACAAAGCCAGAGTGGAAACGTGAATATTGTCTTATACCATCTTACTGAGCCATCACTACGCATCTCTTCATTTTCCAAACTGTAAACAGATATCATGTCTCTAAATGATCTTGTTATTTAGATAAATAATGACATGCCGGTAAAGTACCTAGTTGAATGTTGGTGCCATCTTTGTCATGTCCATTTGCCAACCAGCAAACTCAACAAGGAGACAGGAGAACTAATGATACCAAAAATCAAGTTCCTTACCAGTACCTCTTCCACTTTTTTTTTTTATCCTTCTAACTCACTAGAATAAGAAACCTTTATATTATTAGGATGTATCCAAGAAAGGGATTTCACCCTGAGTCAAAAGGGACCCCAATAAAGGTATCAGGTCCAAAGGACACATTTTTTAGTATCTACTGTGTACCAGGTTCTTTCAGTCATAAGGCACAGAAGCCCCCTCACAAACGAAAGTAGGTAAAATGGGGAGGGATGTGGCAATAATTTAGAGCATCAGGGAAATCTTCCAGAATCTTAGGTCGTCACAGTGCATGGGTATAGGAACAGAAACATTTCTAAGCCAAGGCCTTGTCCCCATCTCTCAGGGCCTTGCTAACCTCATCTCCATGTGCCTCTGTTTCTTGCTTTCATTGGCTCTTATTCTCACTCTTGCTCTCTCTTCTCAAGCATCCTCTGCTTTTTCATCTCCTGCTTGGCCCAGTTTAGCCATCTTAGCCTTGATCTAAATGACCTTTCAGCTCAAGTGCCTCCCACAGACTAGAATTTCCCTGTGGGTTTCTTGGTTCAGATTCCAGATAGAAGGAATGTGATTGTTGAATTCATGAATGAATATATGTATGAATGAGTCAATCAATAAATAAATGAATTCAGCATTATTCTGCTTTAAGAACTTTTATTGAAAATAAATAATCCATTGAACTCATCTATTTGCGGAACAATGTTCATAGGTAGAAATTTATTGGGCCGTCTATTTCCTCATGAAGGAAATTTTCTATGTAATATTACAAGGTTTCTATTTATGCTCCCAAACTATATCTACTAAATTTGTGTCATGTTGAAATAACTTTTTAAAAGATATTACTTATTCATTTTTAATTTTTATGAGTACATGGTATATATATACGTATCTTTGGGGCACATGAGATATTTTGATACAGGCATGAAGTGTGTAATAATCACATCAGGGTAAACAGGGTATCTCACCTCAAACGTGTATCATTTCTTTGTGTTACAAACATTCCAATTCCACTATTGTAGTCATTTTTAAATATACAATAAAATGTTTACTGTAGTCATCCTGTTGTGCTATCAAATACTAGATCTTACTTATTCTATCTAACTATATTTTTGTACCCACTAACCATTCCTACTTCATCTCCCCACTAACCACTACCCTTCCCAGCCTCTGGTAACCATCATTCTATCCTCTATCTCCATGAGTTCAATTGTTTTACTTTTTAGCTTCCACAAATGAATGAATACAAGAGAAATTTGTGTTTCTGTGCCTGGCTTATTTCATTTAACATAATGTCCTCCACTTCCATCCACTCATCAAAATTTAATAAAACTGTCAACCTAGATAACAGAGCTCTCTAAAAGAAAATGATATTCATTCAGAAATAGGATCACAATGGGAATATGTGCATGGTTTACTATGTCATGCTTATTCCCATTGCAATGTTTATTCCTGAATAAACATCATTTTCTTTTAGAATCTCTATCTCTGTTATTTATGTTGTCAAAAGAAAACAAAATTTACATCTTATGGGTTAGGCACTTGTTAAGTACTCTGTTATTTTGTTTAATCATTATAATATCTACAGAGTATGAAGAAATTTAAGCTTAGAGGGTTTTAGAAATCATTTCACAGTAACACTGTGAAGGAAGGACTCCCATAGGTTTCTCTGGATCCATAGTTTATAAGCTTAGCTATGAAGTATATAAGTATATATACATAGGTATATATACTTATATATATGTAAGTAATATAAGTATATAAGCTTAACTATATAAGTTATAGTTATATAATTATATAAAGTATAAAAGCTTTACTGTAAGTATATAAGTAAGTATATAAGTAAAGTATATAAGCTTAACTATATAGCCTACTTCGTACTCCTAGGTGAAATAAGACATTTAAGCCCTGTGACATATAGTTAATACAACATTTTGCTGAAGTTTTAGCAATCAGTTAACAGGTTGTGACTGGTTAGCAGTTATTGTAGAGTTGGCAAAAGGAAGAGATAATATTTGTCATCTTTACAGTTCCTTTTAAGCACTTTAGATTTTTTAAACACTTGAAATTGATTGAAAGCTCTGCATTTTGCAAGGAAGTGTTCATATCAGCCCAATGCCAATAGTAATTACAGTGTTCACATGGCAGAGTTTAAGTGATGATCTTCCTTATCAGAGTGAAATCAACCTGTGGAATTGTTGCTGACTTGCAAATCTTAAATACGGCATTTCTGAATTTCAATTCTAATTGCCACATCATTTAAAAACTTTAGCCACTACTTGAAATATATATAAATTCAAAGCAAAATCCAATGTATCATTTTAATGTGTACTTTCCTTTGGACTATTTGTGATTATCTTTATTTTGATGCTCTTGAGTATAATACTTTGTTAATTATCACAAATAAAATACTGTATCATTGAATGTTCACTTATATTTTACTATAAAATGTGACTCCCTTGGCCTTATGATGTGACATAACAGTAGTTATCCTTTTGTGCATCCTCTTGTCTCCACATAGCACTTTTATCCATCCCAGTCTAAAGATTATCTTCATAGTCTTAATCTGAAGTAAAGAAAGATATGTCTTCATTATCTACATAATGGGCTCATTTCTCCATTTCCCTTTGGATATGAATGTGAGTCTGAAACTACATTACATTATTTATAATTTCATGCTGCATCTCTTAAGTGAGCTAAGCTCTAACTTCAACACAGGCAATTTGCAGTTTCTACTAAATCACAGTTTAGTTTTGTTTTTTTTTTTTACTTCTTTTTCTTCTATTCTGCAAGGATCTTAACTCTAAGAGACAGAGTTCAGGTACAGCATTTTATAACATCATAGTATCTTACGTCACTGAGGTTTTCTATTTCATAAAAATGATTTCTTTGGCCAATATCATCTGGCATGAATCTAACTCTAATAACTTCCTTGGGCCTACAGTTTCTTTTACTGACCTTGCTTAAATTTCTAGTGTACCTTGAGTTTGTAGAGGCATTCAGAGAAAAATCAAAGATAAAGGTGACTTTAATATTTGAGTGTTGGGCAGAAATTTAGCAAAATTTATACCTGGCTGTTATTTTATTTTTCAAATTAGGCTGAACTTTGCTAGAGTTCATCTGAATTTCTCATTCAAGCTTTTCCTCCCTAACTAACTGTAACAAAAATATTCTTTTTTTCCGAAGAATGTTCAAGCAACATACCAATTCTCAATCTATGAAGTACAAAAAGTGAAAGTTTCTTAAAGACTTAATGGAAAAAGATTCATTGAGGAAAATAATATTAGCTCATAAAATATTCCCTAAGTTAGGTGTTTTATCAACCCATAGAACTATCAGACTAGTGTTCTGAGCTCTTTGTAAGGTCTCTGTGTTTCCTTATTGCTATGCTTATATCGAGGTTTCTAGAGATAGCAATTTCACTTCCAGCAATAAATTAAGTCAATAATTAAAATAACAAAACAAGGTGTATCTATGTTCCTCACTCCCCTGAAAACTGTACTATCTGAAGCAGGGGCTCTTTGCTTCTGCCTAAATGTGCTTTGACTCCCCCATATTTGTCAGTTATCTTGTAAGTTAGAAACCAGCTATAACCACTTAAGAGCTACATTACTATCCCTTATTTTGATTAATATCTCTTCCCCCAGGGTACATATCTAGATGATGGCATCTTTTCTGAATAGCTTCCATCTGGAGAGCAACAGTTCTAATTTTTCCACTTACATATGTAAGATTCATTGTCATGAAGTAGTTTCAAAAATAGTAATAAATATTTGACTTAATTATCCTACAGAAAATTTCAGTCTTTTATAACTGCAAACTGAGGAAAGGAAACATGACACTGATGTAAGTAAAGCAGTTCTATTTTTTTTAGAGTCACATAACTAATGTTATTTGTCAGTATGGTTTGGACTTGTAGCAATAATTGATTAATAAATTGCTCATTTACTGCCATCCCCATAGTAGAATCCAACATGTACTGTGACTGTTCAATAATGTACATTTTAATTAATGATTTCTTTTCTCTGAAACTGAAATGTCAATATGATTATAAGCGTGTATGCTGAGGACAGAGTTCAACAGAGCCTCTTAATAACAGAGCTAAAATGGAAGGTAACAGCTTGCTTGCCACATGAGGCTGTGACCAATTAAACCAGCTCCCTCAAGTGTTCAATGTTGGGGAGAAAGAACTGTCAAGAATCCCATATACTCACAAATAAGTTCCTGATCACTTTGTGTTGTATGCATTGACTATTGCTATGATCCATTTAATAGAGATTGGGTCTTTATTTTATGCTCAGAACTTGCCTCTGTGGGCATCACTCATATTTTGTAGCAGCTTTGTCCCAGTAGGCAACATGTATGGTTAGATCAGATGCTACTACGTTTGATACAGAACTACTCTTTATTATAATAGATCTATGACCTTGTGTAAATTGCATAACTGAGCCTCAGTTTCTTCATCTATAAAATAGGTATTTAATGAGGCAATATCTTAAAGTACCATGCACAAAAAGGTATTCAACAAATGAGAACTATTATTTTCTCTTTGGGTATCCACGTCCAACCTGGTTCAATATCTGGATTATGTTATATTTATTTATTTATGTTTAGAGACAAGGGTCTCACTCTGTTGCTCAGGCTGGAGTGCTGTGGCATGATCATAGCTCACTGCAGCCTCGAACTCCTGGGCTCAAGTGATCCTCTTGCCTCAAGCCTCTTGAGTAGCTGGGACTACAGGCATGAACCACCACATCTGACTGGATTATGTTATGTTTAAAGGAGACAGAAGTTTATTCTTGTGTGGTATTTTGGGAAAAATGTGTCATAAAACTTTCCAGATCTTTTATAATGAGTCTTTGTAAGTTTTTAAATCAAGGGCAGGTAGGAAATCCTTACTTTTAAAAAATTCAATATGGCATCCACATACGGAGCATAGATTTTTCACCTCTTTCCCTTCAGAAATCCCATTAAAATTATAGCATAGGAATAAAAAGGGAATAAAAGCTAAGCTATTCAGAAGGGGACCTTCACAGATGAGAGTTCAATAAATTTTTGGAAGACAACAGCATATAGAAGATGATAGTTTAAAAAAAAATAGCTGGGGTAACTGCTATAGGAGTTTCATAGGAGAGATGAGTTTCTCATAGGTAGCATATAACTGGGTCATGTTATTTTTATCTAGTTAGTCTGCATCTTCTTAACGAAAAGTTTAATCTGTTTACACTCATGGTAATTCTTGATATGTGAGGGCTCATTCTTGTAATTTTATTAATTGGTTTCTGGTTGTTTTGTGTATCCTTTGTTCTTTTCTTTCTCTCTTATTGTTTATCATTATGATATGGTGACTTTCTGTAGTGGTAACATTTGAGTCCTTACTCTTCATTTGTGCATTTGCTCTACCAGTGGGCTTTATACTTCTGTGTTTTTTTGTGATGGTAGATACTGTCCCTTTGCTTCCACATGTAGGACTCCCTTAAGCATATTTTTTAAGGCCAGTCTAGTGGTAATGAATTTCCTCAGCTTTTGCTTTTCTGGGAAAGACTTTATATATCCTTCATTTATGAAGGATAACTTTGCTAGGTATAGTAACTTTGTTTGGCATTTTATTTTTCTTTCAGCACTTTGAATATATCATTCCATTTTCTCTGGGTCTTAAGATTTCTGCTGAGAAATCTGCTGTTAGTCTGATGGGGGTTCCCTTATAAGTGACTAGACACATTACTCTTGCTGTTTCTAGAATTATCTCTTTGTCTTTGGCCTTCGACAGTTTGACTATAATATACCATGAAGAAGACCTTTTTGAATTGTATCTATTTGGGGATCTCTCAGCTTCCGGAATCTGGATGTCTAAATCTCTTGCTAGATTAAAACAATTTCAGCTATTATTTCATTAAATAGGTTTTATATTTCTCTAGTTTTCTCTTTGCCTTCTGAGACACTGAAAATGCAAATATATGGTTGCTTTATGTTGTCTCATATGTCATGTAGGCTTTGTTCATTTGTTTTTATTAATTTTTCTTTGTTTTTGTCCGACTGGGTTTTTTCAAAAGACCAATCTTCAAGTTCTGAAATTTGTTTTTCTTTTTGGTCTAGTCTATTGTTGAAACATTTGAATGTATTTTGTGTTTTGTTTAATGAATTCTTCAGTTCCAGAATTTCTGTTTGGTTTTTTATGATATCTGTCCCTTTGGTAAATTTCTCATTCATATCCTGAATTGTTTTTCTGATTTCTTTATATTGTTTTTCTGACTTCTCTTAAATTTCACTGAGCTTCTTTAATATCATAATATGATTGTTTTTCATAAATTTCTTTTTCATTGGAATCTGTTCGTGGAAAGTTAATTTGTTCCTTTGGAGGTGTCATATTTCCTTGTTTTTTTTTCATGTTTCTTGTGTCCTTATATTGATAGCTGTGCAGCTGGCATAATAGTCACTTCTTCCAATTTTTAAAATTTGCTTTCATTGGGGAGAAATTTTTTCTGAAGACACATCTATGCTATTGGTTGGGTAGGACACTTTGGCCTTGATTGTAGGTGTGTGCAGTAGTGTGGTCTCCATATGATTTCTTTGGATACAAACAGTGTCAGTAGTGCCTATGATTTCTTTAGTGGCTTAGGGGGCTGTTATTAGTAGGGGCTGTGGTAAAGTTTTGCTGTGAACAGGCATGTCAAGCAAGCCAATCCTTGGGTTCCAGTGGTGACAGCAGCAGTCCAAGCATCCCTGTCCTTGGGCCCCATGGTAGTATACACTGGCACTGGTGTTAGTGGGTTCAGGTCAGCTGATTATTGGGCCACCAGGAGGATTCCTTGGGTGTTGGCAGTCACAGCAGTGAGCCAAGTGGGTGGGAGGGTCCTTGGACCCCTGGGCATCAAGTATGGCCTGGGTGATGGCAGTAGCAGTGGCAGGACAATATCTGGCTATCCTGGTGTTGGTGCTTGGTGCTGACTGTGTTGGGCAGGGTGGGCTTGTCCCTAGGCCTGCAGCTGGGGCATACAAGTGGGTGGCAGCTGTGGTGGTAGTGGCAGGTTGGTGGGGCTGTCCTCAGGCCCCTGGGAGGGGTGCTTAGGTGCCAATAATGGTAGATGAAGTTGGGCAATCCCAAAGCACCCAGACATCATGCTCAGGCACTAGGGGAAGGGGGATGGAGCCGGGTCAGGTGGGCCTATCTTCAGGCCCTCTTGGTGGTACATGTAGGTGCTGGCTGTGGTAGGCCGGAATGTAGTGATCCCAGGCCATTGGCAGAATGCCTGGGTGGGAGCAGCAGCAGCTGTGCCAGGACCCTGCTGCTAGGGAGGGCAGGGTTGCTTTCAGTGGCAACAGTAAGGTGGCTGGGGAGCACACATTTTGGCCTCAGGTGGCTGCTATAAGTGAGATAGCCTTTTTTTGGGATGCCTTTAAATGCACAGTGGCCCTGCTACTGGAGGCAGCTGGGTTACTGACAATGGCTTGCATTTTGGCCTTGGCAGCAGAGCCAGCTGCGGTGGTGAATAAAGGTGGAGAATGTCAATGGGGCTCCAGGGATGTGAAGATACAGGGGCTATTGGGCCCTCCAGCAGAATACAGTATGATAGGGGCTGTGTTCTCAAAATGGTGCCTTCCTGTAGCTGCTTAGGATTTAGGAGCTGTCTAGGACCCTGTGTGAGCTTCCTCTCAGAATGAATACTGTGGGAAGTCTCCAGGCAGCTCCCTATGTTAGTCTCAGGGGCTGCTTGAGTTGAATGGCTCAGGGTCCGGGCTAGGATTTCAGGAGTCCATGGTAAGAAGGTGGACCTGCCGGGGGTTTCTCATTCACCCTTTTCCCACATTGGAGAACTTCTCTAGGCTCCCAGCAGATGCCTGCTGAGCAGGCTGCCTCCCTTCCCCCTCCTTCCTTGTCTTACATGTTTCCTGTCACTTCTCTCTTAAATTCCAGCATTCTCTCTCTCTCTCTCTCTCTCTCTCTCTGTCTCTCTCTCTCTGTCTCTCTCTCTCTCTCTCTCTCTCTCTCTCTCTCTCTCTCTCTCTCGGTGATCTATTTGAAGTGTGATTATGCAGTCACTATCTTGGTTCTTTGTGGAGAAGGCAGCTCCGGATGCCTCTGGTCAGCCATTTTGAGGCCCCTCCTTGGTTGATTAGATTAATAATCTGGCCAGCTGGGATACAGTCATGTATCTGTCTTTCATGTATTTGAATAGTTTCTATATACTCTGTCCCTTTAGTTCAATAGACAAATGTGCATTCTTTTAAAAGTAACAATAGCAACTCTGGTGAAGAAAATTTGAGTTTAAACCAGAAGTGGGTTTACCATGAAACCAATGAAGCTTGTTTCAAGACCCCTTATTTGAACTTGAAGTGTTCCCATGTCCATATGTTCTCATAAAATTCACAGGAATATATTTTAACTGCAAATCTTTAAGACCATTGTTTCTTTCCACTTCAACTTCCCCTTGTTAGGGTTAGGTAGCATCGAAGAAGCCACGGGCATTTTTGGACCGTGTTTAAGGAAGTTGATCTTTGGTTTTGGTTTAGTGAAATATTTATGCAGTTCACAGATTCTTCCGTGTAGAGGTTAGCTGTCCCAGTGCAGAAAACAATTTTCAGTCCTAATCTTACCACTCCCTATATCTGTGCATCTAACTTTATAAAAGGAAGGTGAAGGGCCCCATATAACCCTCATAATATGCCACATTATTAGGGACACCAAAGATAAGCTGGTCAGTGAGTGTCGTCAATTCAGAGTACTTAAAATTACTCCCTGCAACAAACAAATCCCTAAAATGCCTTGAAATTTTACAGCCCATATATGAAATTCACTTGAGAGAAGTGTTTCCAAAATTAATAATAATCCTAAAAATGTACGCGCCAATACCAACAAATTGTGAAGCCAAAAGGAACCTTTCCATACTATTAATTTTTTAAAAATATGTTGTTTGATCCACCATGCTAGAAGAAATACTGATTTCTTCTTCTAGTCTCTCCCAGAAAGTATGACAAAATTCTTGTGGCATGAATAGACAATCAAATAGTATGCAGACAAATAATTTTATTGAGGGGTATGTCAGATAGCTAATTAGTTGAAAAAAATTTTTTTCTGGATTTTGAGATCGTTCCTGAATTTATCAACTTTAAATGTTTTGTTGTGGCAGTGGTTTATTTTATAATTCTAAATGAATACTTAACTTCTTACCAAGCAGTTTTAATTATTTTTCTTAAAAAGGACCTCCAAAATGGTATAAGCTTCAGGTCCATGGGCTTGCCCCTGCTTGAAGTGAGTACCTCACCCACATACTCTAATAGTGGATGGGAAAGAACCTAATGGATCTGCGCTTTACAACTGCCTCAGTCTCCTGAAAACCAAATCTGCTTATTATTAAGTCAGCAAATGCACAGTTGATGGATTGTAATGACTCTGAAGGAATCTGTGTGGCCAGAAAGATAAATAATACATTGTTTAAAGGTTTTTGAATTCTTATAATGTTTTGGAAGAAGACATTTTTTAAAATACAAAAGAAATTAAGAGGGAGGATGTATCATGGTCAGAGACAAAAATACATAAACAACCAATTATGATTAACCATGCTAGATGAAAGGTGATTTGTCTCTTATTTCCATCTATGGGAAATATTACAAAAACATCATCATGTGAAGAGTCAATTAAGCAGATACCATCTAACAGAGGCAGTCTATCTTGGCTCAATATACCCTTAGAATCTGTTTGTTTCTTTTCAGCAAAGGTACTGCTGCACGTAGGATGGTACATGGCTTCAAATAGATGATGCGAATGGCATATGGAAGAAATTAGCCTGTTTCTTTATTGTTAACACATCCGGTTCTCCATACATGTCGAATCTCACTCCCAGCTTTAGCCCTTTATAGGTATAAAGGGAGAAGTCGATTCCTATGTTGGTAGATGTGCCCCTTTGTCTTATGCACTTTCTCTCCTGCACCACTCAATATTTATAATGCAGCATCTGAATCTGTTTCTTTAAAATTCTCTTCTCTTAAGGCTTTTAGTCATACCTTAGATACAGGTTTACAAAAAGAAAAATTTTGAGGCTGTAAAAATTTGATAAACACTTGTTTATACCACATCGAACTGATTTCTTTACATCTTTGTAACAGTACTTCTCAGAGCCTTTAATGAGTAGAAAATATAGAATGTAGTTTGGAATACTTCCCAAATTATTTGATGACAAAAACTTTTTTTTGAGGAACTAATATTTTAGAGACCATAATTTCAGGAAATTCTGCTTCAGACTATAATGAAATGAGACAATGGAATTTAAATGCTTTAACATAAAAACCAAAAAATTATATGGTACTTTGATAATAACTATTATTATTATTATTAAGACTACCATGTTCAAAGGAATCAATTGTTTCTCTCATTCTTTTCTAATAGGTGTCATTTAAACTGTATGTATAGATCTGAAAAGAAGATGCACTAAGACAAACATGTTTGCTTGCATAATTTTCTGCTGTAATAGTTTTGTTTTACAAAGAGATTGAGAAAAATTATACAAGCTTCTAGCTATTGAAATTTTTCCTGTGGTCTCAGTAGTTTTCACTATGTTTTTAAGATTCTTCACTGGATTTATCAAAGAACAGTGACTATCAATGCAACCCCTATCAGAATTCCAATACTTTTTTTGCAAATGTAGAAAAATTCATTCTAAGATTCATGTGGAATCTCAAGGGGCCCTGAATAGCCAAAACAAATTTGGAAAAGAAGAACAAAGTTGGAGCATTCACACTTCCTGATTTCAAAACATATTACAGAGCTACAGAAATCAAAACAATGTGGCACTGTCACAAGCACAGACAAATAGACCAACGAAATAAAATAGAGAGCCCCAGCTGGGCATAGTGGCTCACGCCTGTAATCTCAGCACTTTGGGAGGCTGAGAAGGGCGGATCACCTGAGGTCAGGAGTTCCAGAGCAGCATGGCCAACATGGTGAAACCCCATCTCTACTAAAAATACAAAAATTAGCCAGGTGTGGTGGCACACACCTGTAATCCTAGCTACTCAGGAGGCTGAAGCAGGAGAATTGCTTGAACCCAGGAGGTGGAGGTTACAGTGAGCCAAGATTGCGCCAGCACACTGCAGCCTGGGTGACAGAGTGAGACTTTGTATCAAAAAAAAAAAAAAAAAAAAAAAAATAGAGAGCCCGGAAATAAACCCATGTGTATAATCAAATGATCTTTGACAGGGGTGCCAAGGTCACTCAAGGGGGAAAGGACAGAGAAGTGGAGAAATGGTACTGAGAAAACTGGATATACATGTGCAAAAGGATGAAGCTGACTTTTATTTTATACCATATACAAAAATTAAATCAAAATGAATTAAAGACCTAAAAGTAAGACCTAAAATTATACAACTCATAGAAGAAAATATATAAGTGAAGCTTCATGACACTAGACTTGGCAATGATTTCTTGGATACAATACCAAAAGCACTGGCAACAAAAGCAAAATAGACAAATGGGACTGCATCAAACCTAAAAACTTCTCCACGTTGAAGGACACAATCAACATAATGAAAAGGCAACCTATGGGATGGGAGAAAGTATTTGCAAATCATATATTTATGGGGGTTAATATCCAGAATATGTCAGGAATTTCTACAATGACTCAATGACAAAAAAATTTAATAACCTAATTAGAAAATGGGCCAAGGCATTGAACAGACATTTCTCCAAAGATGATATACAAATGGCTAACGGGCATATGAAAAGTTGCTCAATATCACTAATCATCAGAGAAATGCAAGTCAAAACCACAATGAGATTTCACCTGAGACCCATTAGCATGGCTATCAAAAACAACAGCAACAACAGCAAAACCCAAAAAACAAAATAATAAGTGTTGGCAAGGGTGTGGAAAAATTGGAATACTTACATACTACTGGTGGAATTGTAAAATGATGCAACTGCTATGGAAAACAGTATGAAACTTTCTCAAAAAATTAAAAATAGAACTGCCCTATGATCCAGCAATCTCACTTCTGGGTATATGTCCAAAAGAACTGAAATCAGTACGTCAAAGAGATATCAGCACTCCCATGTTCAGAGCAGCATTATTCACAATAGCCAAGAGCTGGAAGAAACCCAAAGTGTCCACTGATGGTTGAATGGATAAACAAAATGTGATATACACATACAATGGAATATCATTCTGCCTTAAAAAGGAAGGAAATGCTAACACATGCTACAACAAGAATAAGCCTTGAGGAGATTATTCTAAGTAAAATAAGCCAGTAACAAAAAGACAAAAAACATATAATTCCACTTATATGAGGTATCTAAGTGGTGAAGTTTACTTTTAATGGCAAGAACTGCAATTACTTTTGCACCAACCTAATACAAACAGAAAGTAAAATGATGGTTACCAGGGGCTGGGGGGAGCTGGGAAAAGGAATTTGTTCTTTAGTGGGTATAGAGTTTCTGATTTGAAAGATAAAAAGCTCTGGATATCTGTTTCATAGCAATGTGAATATACTTAGCATTACTGGACTATACACTTAAAAATGGTTACGATGATAAATTTTATGTTATGTGTTTTTCACACACACACACACACACACACACACACACAAAACCATAAATAAAACAGTGACTGTTTGGGAGCTCCTCAAAGATGAATGAAGGCCATTTATAACTAGACTTTCTGGAACAATTGACTTTTTTTTTTTGTGACAGAGTCTCACTCCATCACCTAGGCTGGAGTGCAGTGGCACAATCTTGGTTCACTGCAACTTTCGCTTTCCAGGTTCAACAGATTCTCCTTCCTCAGTCTTCCAAGTAGGTGGGATTACAAGTGCCCACCACCATACCTGGCAAAGTTTTGTATTTTTAGTAGAGATGGGATTTTGTCATGTTGGTAAGGTTGGTCTCAAACTCCTGGCCTCAAGTGATCCACCCACTTTGGCCTCCCAAAGTGTTGGGATTACAGGCGTGAGCCACTGTAATCTGTGTAGAACTGTGTAGCCACTGTAAACTGTAGGCCAAGCACACTGTTAACTGTGCTTGGCCTATAGTTAACTCTTGAACAATTCAGAGGTTAGGGGAACCAGCCCCCTGTTCAGTCAAAAATCTGCATGTAACTCTTGACTCCCCAAAAACTAAAAGCCTACCATTGACCGGCAGCCTTATAGATAATATAAATACTTGATTCACACATATTTTGTATATGTTTTATAAGCTGTATTCTTACAATAAAGCAAGCCAGAGAAAAGAATATTATTAAGAAAATCATAAGGAAGAGAAAATATATTTACTATTGATTAAGTGGAAGTAAATCATCATAAAGGTCTTCATCCTTGTCGTCTCCATGTTGAGTAGGCTGAGGAGGAGGAGGAAGAGGGGTTGGTCTTGCTGACTCAGGTGTGGCAAAGGAGGAAGAAAATCCATGTATAAATGGACCTACGCAGTTCAAACTCATGTTGTTCAACTGTACTTCTCTTTCTGTGTACCTTTGTTCACTTTTGTTCTAATCAAATGAGTTCTTTTAATAAATTCCCCTTGGAGCCAGGATACTTAAGAGATTATAAATAGATGGCATATGTGTATAATGGGTGTTAAAAGTGAGAAATTGACACCAAGTCTGAAATGTTTTCATTTGATGTTTCCTTTCCTTTCAAATTTTGCAACTGGTGATCAAACACATCAAGGACTGCTTGGCCATACAGTCTGTGATGCCTTTTACTACTTAGATCTTTGCGAAGTATCAAGGAGACTAGAGTCTCAGAAGCTGGGCCATCTCCTCACCTCCTACAGTCCATGGGAACCTACAATACCTCTTCTTTCAGTCAAAGACTTGATTAGACTTAACACCATCTTTGGCTTTTATTCTCCCTCAAGGTCAAGACCATCCCTGGTGTCAGGTTGGGAACTTGAGTGCCTTTAGTATTTCACAGCACTAGGGCAGCCTTTTGAGTTTTGAGAATCATTGCTTTGATAGAAGTGCCAGGACAAATAAAGGTAAGAAATGCAATACAATTGCAGCTTCATTTACTCCTATTTGTGGCATCCAAGAAGGTGTATTTCTTTATATTAAAAGTGCTGTATTTTACTTTTATTTCTCAAAGAGAATATTCATAGCTCAAAGAGAAAGAGCTTTTGCAACTTCAACACACATTTTTGACCTGATAAAGTGTGTTTATATTAATAGCATCAAATAAAAGGGTAGAATTATAAGAGGGAAAAAATTTTCTGGCAACAATGCAGACTTGATTGAAAGAGTCCAGGCTACAATGACGTTTCAGAAATAAAGTACATTGCATGTATTTCCATTTGATCTTGTGTTTGGCATACAAAGTGTAGGAAATATTAGAAGGGAAAAAGCTATTTTAGAATTGAGCCTGTAGCTGGTTGGCATAGAAAGCATAAGTTCATGAATGGCTTCCAGATATTAAGGTAGGACAATCATTTTCCCAGGTGAGGAGATGGCCCAGCCTCCTAGACCTGCATCTTTTAAAACTTTGAAAAGATCTGAAGAACAAAAAGCTTCAGAGACCATGTGTAGATTAGAAACAGGTATTTAAACAAGTATTTCTTCCACGGTGGATTTAGTAATTCTTACAAAATCCACCGTGGAAGAAGCTCCTATTTTTCCATTCTGCCATTTTACCATTGTTCTATTTATTATATAACATTGATAAGCTCCCATATTTCTTCTTCATCTGCTTTGGCCCATGCAGTCTGGGTTTTGGAGCAATGATATCACCAATGCCTTGAGTGATAAGGGCAGTGGTCTGAGGTCTGAGCAGCGCCTGTGAAGAGTGGAGAGAGGAAGAGAAGGACTCCTAGGACTAGTGCTGGGCAGTGAGCTCAGCCTTGATTTTCCTCCCTGTTTCAAAAAGGGGACATCTGGGCTCCCCTCCCGCTTCAGCGCTTCCTTGAATTCTTTCTGTTTTGTTTTTGTTTTGAGATAGAATCTTGCTCTGTCACCCAGGCTAGGTACAATGGTGCAATCGTGGCTCACTGTAGCCTTGAACTCCTGTACCCAAGGGATCCTCCCTCCTCAGCCTCCCTTTGTAGCTGGGACCAAATGTGCACACCACCACACTTGGCTAATTTTTATCTATTTTTATATTTTGTAGAGATAGGAGCTGGCCATATTTCCCAGGCTGGTCTTGAACTCCTGGCCTCAAGTGATTCTCCCACCTCTGCCTCCCAAAGTCCTGGAATTAAAGGTGTGAACCACCACCATTAGCCTTCCTTGATTTCTTTTTTCTCTCTTTCTCTCTCTCTCTCTCCCTTTCTTTCTCTCTCTCTCTCTGCCTGCCTGCCTGCCTGCCTGCCTGCCTTCCTTCCTTCCTTCCTTCCTTCCTTCCTTCCTTCCTTCCGTCCTTCCTTCCGTCCTTCCTTCCTTCCTTCCTTTCCTTTCCTTTCTTTTTTCCTTTTTCTTTTTTTTTTACAGTGTCTTCTCGGCTGCCCAGGCTAGAGTGCAGGAGTGTGACTCACTGCAGCCTCAAACTCTACAGCTCAAGGGATCCTGCTGCCTCAGCCTCCTGAGTAGCCAGGACTACAGGCTAATATTTTAGTTTTTTGTAGAGACAGTCTCTCTGTGTTGCCCAGGCTAGTCTTGAACTTCTGTCCTCAAGTGGTCCTCCTATCTCTACCTCCCAAAGTGCTGGGATTACAGGTGTGAGACACTGCACCCAGCCGTAGATTTCTTAAAGACGGCAGAGAACAAAAAAAAGGCCAAAGGAAAAAAAATGAACAAAAGAGCTAGATTCCAGATTATTTTCTCCAGTCCCTCAAAACTAATGTGCTTAGTGAGGTCTTCAAAAATGTAGGCATTATTTGTGCTATTTTTATACAGATGATCCCAATTTTGAGTGTGTCTCTAAGATTGATGACTGTTATGAACATTTTTAAATATCACGGAAGATAGTAGTATAATGAGCATCTGTATCCTCATCATCTAGCTTTATCCATTTTCATACATTATGACAGTCTGATTGTTGACTCACTACTATTTACTAAAGTCCATGCTTTAGTTGGATTTCCTTAGCTTTTCCCTAATGCTCTTTTTCTGCTCTAGGATTCCCTCCAGGATGTTACTACATCACATGTAGTCATCCTGCCTCCTCAGGCTCCTCTTGGCTCGTCTATTAAATTATTGGGTCCAGGAGGCCAGGTATTTTATCACCAGCACCAATGGCTTCTGGAATAGGACCTCAATAAATGTTGATTGAATCGACCTGGTTTCTATTTTAAAATGTCAAGGCTTTGATTGAACCATCTAGTACCTGCTTCTGAGTGGCATGATCTGCCTATGTATATATATTCCTCCAATATCTACAGTGAGATTTCACTTTGTCCTCATGTTTTATGCAGGGCTTTATTTATTGCAAGTAGTAGATCAATAATGTGTGATTAAATTCATAGGTCAGGCCTCTGCCTGGTCTTCTTGACTGAGCTACTACCTGTATCTCTATCTCTGAAATAACAGAAGAGATGCATGAGAACTACTTTGCTCCTGTTGGCTGTGTCACCTTACGCTGATTACATAAACTTTCTGAGCCTCTCTCACAGGGTTTCATAAGAATTACTGAGATCAGGTATAGGAACCACTGACATAGATAATACTGAGTGTTAACAGCAGCCCAGGAGTCTTTGTGTGTTATGTGTACAGCATATTCAGTCTTCACAACAGACTTATGCAGTAACCACCCTTATCCTCATTTTACAGTTTGGGAAACTAAAGCACAGAGAAGCCAAATAGCACATCTAATACTACACAAATGATGAGTAGCAGAACTAGGATGTGGACTCAGGACTGTCAACTCACACCCTACGTTAATGCTTTTTCCCCACTAAGTGCTTTGTGAGACAGTAACCCCAAAACTAAAGCATTCTCTCTCTTTAGGTGGTCAGTAGAGGAAATCTATGTAAGAGATTGCCTGAGACCATGGCTGTCTCCCATTTATACACAAATCTTCAAAAATAAAACAATTCAGCAAATAGTGGATGTCTAATATGTTCAAGCATGAACAAGATTCTTGCAAAGCGAGTTCAAATACTGACATAAATACAGGATGAATATCCCTTATCTGAAATGCTTGGGATCAAAACTGTTTCAGATGTCGGATTTTGGAATATTTGCATATACATAATGAGAGAGCTGGGGGATGGGACCCTAAACATGAAATTCATTTATGTTTCGTATACACCTTATACCTATAGCCTGAAGGTAATTTTATACTCTCTCTCTCTCTCTCTATATATATATATACATATGTATATATAAAAATGGTATATGTATACATTACATAGATACATATTTTGAGACAGAGTCTCGCTCTGTATATATGTGTGTGTTGTGTGTGTGTGTGTATATATATATATATATATATTTTTTTTTTTTTGTTTGTTTGTTTTTTTTTTTGAGACAGAATCTCTGTTGCCGAGGCTGGAGTGCAATGGTGCGATCTTGGCTCACTGCAACCTCCCCCTCCCGGGTTCAAGGGATTCTCCTGCCTCAGTTTCCCAAGTAGCTGGGATTACAGGCGCCCATCACCACCCCTGGCTAATTTTTGTATTTTTTCTTAGAGACGGAGTTTCACCACATTGGCCAGGCTGGTCTCGAACTCCCGATCTCAAGTGATCCACCCGCCTCAGCCTCCTAAAGTGCTGGGATTATGGATTTGTGCCACTGTACCCAGCCTATATAATATTTTTAATATTATATTAATTTATATATGCATCGCATGAGGTCAGGTGTAGAATTTTTTCACTTGTGGCATCATGTTGGTGCTCAAAAAGTTTTGGATTTTAGATGTTTAAATTAGGGATGCTCAACTTATGCCGAGTTCCTTGTTTCTGATCCCTTTCAATACATCTTTCTCTAAAGTGGAACTCTAATTCCTACATGAATGACCAGGCTTTACTACTTAAACCTTCAGGTGACACTGGCACTGGCCTGACAGTCTGTTAAGGCAGGTGTCTATGGCCTGTGTCACACAAACTCACACTCTTTAGCAATGTCACGCCTCCTCCCTGTACCTACAGAAGCCCCACATGGCATTTTTAAGAGTCCTAAAAATGAATGATTGACTCTAGGATATAAAATAATTGATTTGGGCTCCTCTGAAAAACCTATCCAAACTCAGACAGTAAATTTTACTATGGTTAACCAAATTCTCGCAATTGTTTATGACTCCATCAACAGGATGTGTTATTGACAAAAGCTGTACTGGACCTCTCAAAGAGAGTTCAGTATTATCTAAATGACCATGAGCTATAGAAGAAATGCCTGTAGTCATTAAATTCTTTGAGAATGCTATCTTACACTAGTTAGGAGCTGTAAGATATTACTGCTTTTGGTTTCACTTTAACCAAATCTGTGACTTTGTGGTAGCTCCATGGTCCTCAACCAGAGACATTTTTGGTTGTCACAACTGGGGAGAGGTGTTACTGAGATCAAGTGTGTAGAGGCCAGAGATGCTGCTAAACATTG
Source organism: Homo sapiens (assembly GCF_000001405.40). NCBI lineage: Eukaryota > Metazoa > Chordata > Mammalia > Primates > Hominidae > Homo > Homo sapiens. The sequence continues at coordinate 222,322,331 of NC_000002.12, read as the reverse complement.
AACAATGCCCAGAACAGCCCCACATCAAAGACTTATCCAGCTCCAAATGTCAATTATGCTGAGCTTGAGAAAGCCCAGTGTCATCCTACACTCTGTTCCTCAAGTCTGTCATTCAATGGTGAGAATGCATAATAAAGTGAAGCTTCAAAATCTTAAGTGTTTTGCCCATATGCACACCATATTCAAACATACAGACCTTCAGAACTATTTTTAGTCACTTGGTATGGAGGCCACACTAGCCCTCCTGTTCATGTGCTTCTCTTCTCCCAGATACTCTGTTTTAAATATGTCCTACATCAGCATTACGTCTCATCTCAGCACACAGCTACTCAAGGCTTAAAGCACAAGAACCCAGTTTAACACTGCATAAATGAGCATTTTCAGGCTTTTCCCAATCATACAACTAAATGAGGGAAAGAGGACAGAAAGCCACTTCCTATAGTTAGGTTAGTGTCACTTTGTAATATTCCAAGGCCAGACTAAGGCCTTCTCAGGATGTCCCCTCAACCCACCCTCTCTGATCACCACCCCATCACTAAGTGAAATGCTTAAAAAATTGAAAGAATGTTATTACCCCAAGTAATAATTACAAAATTAAAAACTAGGAAATGGAAAATAGTGGGTTTTAATGAGCTTCACTTAAAGCCCTTCAAACTGAAGACATCACATTCACTATTAGCATGGAGTAAAACATTTATTTTCAAATGTCATAGAAACAATATTTATAAGTCCTCTTCTCCACCTCTTGTGTGGTGATTTACTGATTTCTCTCTTTCTTTCCTTCTTTTTCTTCAGCTTGCTTCCCATCCAGTCATCCTTTTTCACAAACATTCCCTGGGGCATCTTGCTGTCTTCTGCAGAGAAACTGAAAAAAAAGTAGGAACATTCCCAGCTGTGGGAATCCAGAACATTCCAAAGTCATCTTTTCTTTTGTTGAGGGGGAAGGTGGGTTCCCTGCTCATAGGGTGAGGCCCAACCTGGAGAAATCGGGGGACAGACTTTCTGGTTAGGAGTATCTGAACACCACCCCTCAGTTGGTCCTCAAGCCCACCACTCCTGTCACCTACCCAGTGCTTCTTAAGCCTTATTTCTTGCTACCCGGTCCAGTTGATCTTCTGTTTTCATTAAATCAAGAGGACCTGTCCCATGTTACCCCTGGAGTTTCAGCTCTCTACATGTGTACGTTAAAAGTTTAAGTGGACGAAGCCAGTGAGGGAGCCCAGGAACTCGGTTTAAGCCGCACTTTGACAGTCTGTGAATCTGTTTGACAACTTTCTCCCCTCTCTGCCTCTGTGAACGCCTGTGCACCAACGAAATAGCCACCTAGATCCGCTGTGGTCAGCGTCAGGAAAACAGCAAGACCCAGCTATGAATCTGTTGTCTTCGTCCTCCTTTAAATCTCAGCAATATTTCAGAGAGAGAGAGAGGGAGAAAAAAAATACTGTTCAGCTCAAAAATTTCCTCTAAATGATACAAGGAAAACGCCGCCGTTCCGTTTGTACCCTAGATGTGGGCTGCAGGGCTGCCTGGGCTCTGCTAACAAAAGCACAAAGCGTGAATGGCCTGGTGATGGCTGTTTTTTCGCCCATGGACGGAGAGATGAGATCACGATTTTCACGAAGAGAAGAAACCGCCGCTGCCAGGCGGTTGAGGCTGCCGTTTCCCCTCCCCGCGCGGGTCCCGCATTACATCACTGGTGAGCTCTGGCTTGGGGGTGGGTGGGTGAAAACGAGGCTTCGCCAGGGACCCAGCCCCCGGGCGAGGAGGATAAACAGAAACACACTGGTGGGGAGGTCGTGTCGAGGAAGAGAAAGAAGGAAAACTCAGGAACCGGTTTCCTGCCACCACCCCGCGTAGGGGGCGGGGGACTGCTGGGGTAAAAGGCAACATCTTTATAAGCAGCCGCACCCCAAATCTCCTTCCCGAGCGCCTCCAGGCCGCCCTCAACTCCCAATTTCAAGTCCAACAAAAACCGATATCCTAAGCTGCTGGGAAAGCTGCGTTGAGAAGGCCGAGGGGGACTGCAGAGGAGCCCAGGGACGGGGAGGGACCGTGGTGCACGCGCCGGGGGCGGGGGACGGGGAGGCGGGAGGGGGAGGCGGTCGCTGCTGCGCCCCCGCCTGGCCCAGCCAGCGGTGCCTCCCCCGCCAGGCGACAGCAGTCAGAGGGGGGAGGCAGAAGCGCCTCCTCCCCGCCCGGAGCCCAGGCGGCGGTGCAGGGGGAGGAAGGCACCTCACCTTGCCCCCGATGAGGGGCGGATCATGCCATGGCAGCGCCGGCGAGCGACAGCGGCGGCAGCCAGCAGAGCCCAAGCAGCAGCCCCGGGAGCCGGGAGGGAGCTGGGGTCGCCGCGAAGGGAGCCCCGGACTGCGGAGACGCAGGAGCCCGGGACGCAGCGGAGACGGTCTCCGGCCTCCCTCCGCTTGAGGACTACGAGTGCAAAATCTGCTACAACTACTTCGACGCGGACCGGCGCGCGCCCAAGCTGCTGGCGTGCTTGCACACCTTCTGCCAGGAGTGCCTGAGCCAGCTGCAGCTCCGCGCCGCCGCCGCCGCCGCCGCTGCCGCCGCGCCTGAGCGCCCGCCGCGCCCGCCGCCCTGGCTCTGCCCGCCCGGCGCCATCGCGTGCCCGGTGTGCCGCCACCGCACGCCGCTGCCCGACAGCCGCGTGCACGGCCTGCCCAACAACACCAAGCTAGCCGAGGCCTTCCCGCTGGCTTTGCGCGCAGCGCACGACCCGCTGCCCCAGGACCGCCTCCCGCCGCTGCCCGCGCGCCTGCCCGCGCCCGCTGCTGCCCCGCCGCCCACCCCGGCCCCGCCACCGCCGCCCTCCCCCGCCCCACCGCAGCCGCCGCCGCCGCCGCCTGCCGAGGACGCGGCCCCCGGGCCTCGAGCCCGCCCCGGCCTGCGCGCCCCGGGCGCCTACGACAGCTGCCAGAACTGCAAGCGCGCGGCGCTCACCGCTGGCTGCGTGTGCGTGGTCTTCTCCTTCCTCTCCATGGTGGTGCTGCTCTTCACCGGCCTCATCTTCGTCAACCACTACGGCGGCGGGGGAACCCCCGGAGGCGGGGCGCCCCCTGGCGAGGCACCGGCCACCGGGTCGCCCTCGCCCTCGCCCGTGGGGCCCATCTGCCTGTCGGTGGCCAGCATCCTGGCACTCTTCTCGGTCGTTGTCACCTGGGTCATCTGCTGGCTCAAGTATCGGCCCGAGGGTGCGGCCGCGGGCTCGACGGGGGGCAGCGGCGGCGGCGGCGGCCCGAGGGCACGGGCTGCGGCGGGCGGCGCGCGGAGGAGCGACACATAGCCGGGCCACGCCGCGGAACCGGCGCCTGCACCTCCAGCCCCGCGTGGCGGGAGAAGAGGGGGCCTCTGGCTCGGTGCGCTCGAGCTTCTGCACCCTCTCCCTGCTGCCCCCGGGCTCTCCTGGACTCACACTCTCTCCCAACTCGGCCACTGAGGAGCCTCGGTTTTCTGTCCCTCGGGCTTCTGTCGCCCCTCGCCCTTCGCGCTGGGCCAGAGAGGGAAACTGAACAGGAAGGGATGTTGGTGGGGGGGGGGGGTCTCTTTTGCCTGGACTGTGCAAAATTGACCTCCGCGTTATGCACCACCCTCGTCCTCGTCAGAATGTGCGGCCATCCCTCCCTAGAGCACAAAGATCTGCAGAGACGAAGCAAGGGGAGGGGGAGCCCCACCGCCCCGCCTGAAAGCTGGTTTTCTGGCCGCCAGGACTTGAGAGTTTCTTTAAAGGTGCAGCTGCGCGCGTGCACACGTGCATCTGTGGCGGCTGTGAATGGACTTGAATTGCCCGGAGGAAGAATGAATGGGATGTAAACGTGAGAGGAAAAGGATTTCCTGCTTCCTAGCGGTCCTGGAAAGGGAGAGATCCTGAGCGCTGAGAGTGACGGACACTCCCCGCCGGCACAGCGCGGGCGTGCCCGGAGCTCAGGCAGCAGCTGGGCGCGATGGGGCAGGTGCACGGCGCGCGTGCGCGATCGGAGCCGACTCGGAGTGGCCGAGGCTGCGGCGCGCCCAGGGCGGTGGGCCCTGTTGCCCATGGCCGGGTGTTGTCTGGAGCAGAGCCTAGAAGTCTCATCTCCTGGAAGCTTGTGGTTGTTTTATTCACGGTGTTACTGCCAGGAAGTCTTCTGTAACTAGACTCAGGGAGCTTAAAGAGCCTGTTCTCCCTTCTCTCAAAAGTGGCTTACGGTTGCCCCCACCTGGAAGATATTGAAAGCTATTCACACAGAATATAAACTAGATTTTCTCCTTCCCCTCGCCTTTTTTTCTTAATTTCATTTAACATATAATTTATTTTTGAATATATAAATCTGGAAATTTTTGTGCATTAAGATTTCCAGAAAATTGTTTGATAAGCAGTGACATTATTCCCATACCTCGAGTCCAAATACATTTCGAAATTAGGAGCAGAAAATAAAAGCCTGTTGGTAATTGATTCAATATTTTATACTGTGAAATAACTAATGACTTTTAATTATCTGATAAAATATAAACTAGTGCCCAAACATGAAATCAACTAACTGAAGGTCTTTCTGCCTTTGGCTACAAAAGATATATATCGTATACACTTATTAGAAAGTATTATATGATTTTGAATTTAGCTGTTTGATATTGTTGGAATTACTGAAATGTTCACATACAGTCACATGAGATGAAAAAGAATATATATCTATCTGATTTTGTAACTACAAAGATGAATTGCCAGTATATGTTGCAAGTGGGTTAGATGCCTTTTTTTTTAAGAAGGAAAACTGTTCCAAATGTATTTTATATGAAAACATTCTTTATTCCATCTTTTGAAATTTGGAATAAGACAAAGTTTTCATGCTTAAAAATCACAGAATCTACTGAAGGTATGCTATTATTCCTCGAGTATTTATGCAAGCTGTCTGCATGATATCCTGACACTATTCTATTAATTGAACTTGAATCGAGCATTTGTATCTATCATAGGAGTGAAGTAATTTATTGGCCATTGATAAGTGGTTTGGCTGCAATGTAGAAACTACAGTATGAAGTGTTTTATGTCTGCATTGTCTTAATAATAAAAACAAGAGGTATTTATAGAAATATCTATTTTCATGACATTAATTTCATGGTAAAATTGCTCCATTATTTGTGTGGCACTTCTCTTCCTTAAATACATGTCCCCTTCTAAATCCAAATTTCACATTTTTAAATGGGGCTGAGAGAGAAATAACTCACACATGGAAATGTGCGTTGCTAAGATGGGCATTTAGTGGGATTATTTCTAGGAATAATGACCCTGGAAGGCCCAGTGAGATCTGTTGTATTCTGAAGAGAGAAGTAACTTACATATTTACTACCACAATGTCCACTAAAACTAAACTCTGTTGTCAGACTTTGTTCTTGCCTTCTATGAAATGTTTTTAGGTTTCTATTACTAAAAGTCACTTTTCAGAACTTAGTTTTAATTTATTTATACCCCCATGTCTTGTGTTTTACTTCTATATCCATTTTTACCTCTTATTCATTCTTTATTTACCTCCATTACTAAGATTCTGTTTGCACTAAAAACTGTTGAGTTGCACAAGTGCAGCTACACATGTATATATGTATGTATTAGGTTTATGTTTAAAGATATATTATGTATAAAATATATGCATACTGGTAACAACTTGGCTTTGTGGCTGTAACCATTGTACATGTGTACACACACATGAGTTTTTTATGTGTGCTAAACTGGCAACCTAGAAGTCTGTCTAAGGTTACTTTGGGCACCAGGTTTCTTTTTAGAGTTTATTTGTGCTCCAGAGAAGTATGCCAATAATGTAACCTAAAAGATTCCTCATAACTGAGAAATACATTCTTGAATCACCTCGATGGCAACAGAAGCCACATTTTGCTTCTATTATAGATTGCACGTGTAAATTTCATGTAATTGAAATTTGAGTTAGAATACTTTGAAGTCAAAGAGACACACTTAGCAGATCAGTATCTAAACATGGAGAGAGATTTTCTGTGGCTTACCATGCTTTATTGCTAATTTCTGATTTTGCCATCAGGAACTGAGTGGCAGGATGTGGTCATGGAAAATATCTGTCTGGTTTCTAGTGGTTATCTGGCATTCAGGTCTCTCTCCCCTCTCTCCATTCAGCAGATTGGGTTTAATCATTTATATTTACGTGGAAACACCTATACACCAGCACCTTAGACAAAGCAGGAGTTTAAGAAGTAATTGTTGAAATAGCAAGTAAGTTGTCTGGAGGATTCCTGGTGAAAGTGGTATTTTTTTTTCCCTTCCCATGGCAACTCTTCATCTTGGAAAAGCTTGATTCAATCCTGGACACCTCTACTACCAGTAGAGTCACTACAAAAAGCCAGGCCTGGTCTGGTCTCTGTACCTGCTTGGAAACTCCTGGTCCCCATGGGCCACATTCTGCCTAGGTTCTAGGGCTACAGGTTAGACTCATCATCATGCTTTCATAGGATCTACATTTCAGGTGAAAGAAACTCATGATGCAGGTGGCGAATTAAACATTCAGTCTCTGAATACAATATGATTTAGTGAACAACAGGCACATCTAGAAAGCACATTGGATTTGGGGTCAGTATCTGCAGGCAGGAGGTGTAAGCCTGAACATTGGTTCTCTCTTTAGTCGGAAAGACCGTTAAAAATCATTTAACCTCCTTTGAGTCTCAGGCTCCCCATCTATAAAATTAGGGGTGGGGAGTATCAGCGCCCCCTACCTCATGGAGTTGGTGTGAAGATTTGTACACATAAGAGGGTAAATTCATGAAAATTCTTTGGAAACTAAAGCCCTATATGGACCTTGCTTTTATTTAGGTCTCCAAGTGTCTAATATTACCTCCCCAGAGAGGTCTGCCCTGGCCACTCTATTCCCAGTGGGTATCTATCCCAGTTTTACTTTCTTAATGAGATTTACTTTGTATAATATGTGTTATACTGTTTGCAGTAGTCTTAGTTATCAGTTGCATTTTTCATCACTCTCCTGCAGAATGTAAAGACATAAACAGGAACTTTGTCTATCTGGTCATCCATTTGATCTGCAAAGCCTTAACCAGTTCTGGGCACATAGTGAGTGGCTGATAAATGTTCTGTTGAGTCTGCTGAAGGGACACTCTGGAATTAATCTTAAGTGACTTGGCTTTCCAGACTCACACTGACCATAACTCCTGAGATCCTGGGAGGCTTAGGTAAATAGTTTCCTTCCCTACTTCATAAGAATTTTTGAAAGGCAAAAAAAAAAAAATACTTATGGCAAGCACTTTGAGTTTTGAGAAAAATTAGCACTATAACAGTGGAACTCTTACTGTTTTATATTCAGCGATAGGAACCGCTAGAGAGACTAAAGGACATTTGGCCTCCATTTTTAATCAGTTCTGCATTGTGTGACATTTTAAGGTATCTTTGTGAACATGTCTACATTGTCGCCTCCAAGGCTAGCAGCACCTGCGTAACTGGGAAAAAAGCACATTGCAGTGGAATTTCCAACATGAGAAAAAGATCTATTAAATTTCTTACTATTTGTTACTCCCTGTTTTCTTAAGTATTCAATCTTTGCCGTTTTAATAAATCGTTATTCATAGAATTGCTAATTTTATGATCTTAATAACTAAGCAATTTCCCAGTTATTATGATCTTAATAACTAAGTAATCCCCCAGTTATTCTGTGATTCAACTCGTACCCTCTTTAATCATTTAATTCCTGTTAGCTATATTTGTATTTCACATTTCTGCTATTATACAAAGATGATGAAATTCACTTTATGGACAATGAACTGCATGCTTGCTAAATATGCATTACACGTCTTCCTTTGAAATCATATGTTTTTTATTGTATTTGTTATAGTGCAAGTTTGTTTGAGGAGCAGCTAATATTTACAGTAGTATCTATTTCTGAAATGAATGTTAGAAATGACTGCAGCCAGATCTTAGTTTGAAGTTATGTGAATGAAGAAAGTGTAAGAAATTGAATTTATCCTCTGCTAGAGATCTCTTTTGATTTTCCATATAAGATAAGCTTTGTAATATATATTGGCATTGTTTCATCCAATCAGTTTTGATTCTAAGCCTTCTGTACTCTTAAGCGGACTGAAATATGCCAAAGAAAAACAAGTTTGTTTCTGTGATGAATTCACAATAATTTCTGATTATAAAATATACTTGGAGAAGTAAGAATATTCAATGCCTAATTTCCAAGAATATTCCTAGGAGCTGAGGAAGAATGTGCACACTTCCTTTTTTTTTTTTTTAAGCTGCCTTTGCATGTAAAATTGGATTATCTTTGGTTTAGAAATACCACATCTCCATGGGGTTGAGTGGGGGATATTGAAGTAGGAAGAGAGTGGAGAAAATATGCAAAAAGTTCCCTTAGCTTTTAATCTTACAAAACATACCACAAAATAAACAGAAGAGAGCATGTTTAATCACTGCAAGAATAGAACAATTTTATTTCAACAACTATGATTTCAAGAACTGTGGTAATATGTGGTCCACTCAGCTATCTCATAGCACATAAACAAGTATTCTCCATCATATATAAATAACACATTTGTGTCACTACTGTGTGACTTTAAAAATATTTTGTAGTCAAATTTGAGAGGTAGAGAGCAGGTTCTATCTGATGCAAAGTTTGGGGAAGAATTACCTTCCAGTGAGAATTGACAGTCTTTGCTCGGAAAAAAATTGGAGGGCCAAGTTCCGCAAGGCAAATGATTTGTCCCTAGAAGCTCATTTCCTATTAAATTCACACATAGCAAATTTATCCACCGACGTGAGCTTTATGGAGGTTCTCAACCCTATTAGCACGTTAGAATTACCTGGAGAGCCTTAAAAAGAAATTACAGAAGCACCCTTCCTGCCCCCAGAGACATATATTTAATTGGTCGGGGCAGCGGAGAAGGAGATGCATCGGTATTTTTTAAAGGCACCCCATGTGAGATTATTGTGCAGCCAAATTTGAAAGCCATTATATTTAACGTATTTACTGAAAGGCGACTGTCTTCCTAATCTCACTTTAATGAACTAAACGCCACCAGGTGCCCTATCTTAGAAACCGATTGGGAGATGCTGAGGCAATGCTTAGATTTTGAGTTTTGGAAGTGGTCTTGGATCACCAAAGGAGGGTTATTTAAACGTTGCTTCTCTCTCTCTCTCTCTCTCTCTCTGACACACACACACACACACACACACACACACACACACGCACGCACACTCCGGTTACCTTTGCGTTCTCAGGAAGGTTAAGTAAATACTTGCACCGGCATTTGGCTGCTGGGCTCTTTTCTCACATGGGCGGGGTGGCGGTTGCTCCTTCCCCCATCAGGGGGCTTTTCTGTGGGCTTCCCCATCCCCCACAAAATAGGTGCTTTCCAAGTCCCCCGTGTCATCAAAATGCAGTGACAACGAGGGGATTTGAGGACGGATTATGCGGATAATCAGGGAAGTCTCGAGGTTAAATTAACAAAACATCGCCAGTGATAGATGTGGGTGTCATCGCCAGTGACAGCTGAAAGGGGAATCTCAGCTTGTCGGCTGGTCGCTGACAGCTGCCGACGGGCGAGCTGATCTAGCGCAGAGTCCTGTTTTAAAATACTCGCCAGGAGATCTGTTAAAAAGATCCTTTTTAATAGTAGCCATTCAGCGTGTAAATTATTTCCACGCTCTTGGGTGCAGGTATACTTCGGTTTGCACAGAGGCCGAGCTTCCGGCAGTCGGTGGGAAGCGGGGGATTACCTCCATTTCTCTCCTTGTGGGTGCGCACGCCGGCGGTGGCTCGCAGCTGAGCCCAAGGGGCAGGGCGCGCGGACCGAGGACTGGAGCCCCTGCTTACTCTGCGACCGCAGCCCGGGGCAGCCACTGCCACTGGGACACCGGGGGAGGCTCTCGGGTGGAAGGGCAGAATCCTGCACCCTGGAGCTGGCTGGGTCTTCCTCCTCCCCTGCAGCCTCTCCGACTGCAAAGGACCCAAGGCCGCCCGGGGTGACAGGCGTTGAGCCCCTCTTGGCCGGGCCAACGACGCTTTAGGCTGTCCCGTTCGTCCCACTTGCCAGCTCCATTACGGGTTAGTTTGAGATCGGAAAGGCAGAGGAGGGCTTGGGGACAAATCGAAGGCACAAGGACGCTGTCATGATCCCACTTATCACGCGTGGAGGGAACCAGAGGCCACACTATCTTGCCAACCCCATCACTCGGCATCCCGGCTGAGTTTGGTTTGCCTTTGTGCGAACCTGGTATTCAGCCTCACCTGTGACGTCCCGGATTTCAAGGGCTGGGGAGTAGGTTATTTACAACCGGATGACGTTTTTAATATTCCAAGATGCCCACGGGCCGCTCCCAGAGCCCGCCCGAAAGCTCCGCGTTCGCATTTATTTGTAACAATAGCAGAGGTGCCCAAAAAAGTAAATTAAGAATAAAACAAACGCCGGGTGCGGTGCCTGCGCCCTGCGGGGAGTCGCCTTCGTTTAGTCCCAGGTTTCTCCGGCGCTTTCGGCCCCCAGCAGGGGTTCGAGAATCTCAGCCCCAAACGGCTCCGGAAAACCTGCTCCCCGTCGAAAGTCTCCTATTTCCCCCTCGGCTTCCAAAGATGCAAAGAGCATCTTGACACACCCTCTCATTGTCCGAGGGCGGGGCAGCGTGACCTGGACACGAAAGTTGGAGGGGGGACTTGGAAACACCTTAGGAGTCTTGAGGTGCGTTAGTACATTTCTTCCCAGGGGCCGAGCCTGCGTCCTCACGCCCAGGGGCCCAAGACCCGGCCTCTGCAGCAACACAGTCCTTATTCCAGACCTTCTATGAAGTCTGTACAATCAGACTTGGCGGTCGGGAAGAAGGCGAGGTTCTCTGCGGGGCTTGCAGCGGAGTAGGAATGACTCAGAACGCCCGCAAAGACGCCGCATTCCAAATGCAGAGCAGATCGGCTGTAACAGGAAGGCGAGAAGCTTAGAATTCTTACTTTATATCTTCATCTTCCGCCTGCCATTGTCCCGACCGACTTAGAGGAGGAGGGTTGAGGCTGAAGTGTCTCAAGTTGTTTTCTCATGGCAATATAGGCTAATAAATGTTCCCCGGGAAGAAAAAAAAAAGTTGTTTAAAATAAGCAAACACTTTAGGCAGGGCACAGTGGCTCACATCTGTAATCCCAACACTTTAGGAGGCCGAGGCCAGAGGATTACTTGAGGCCAGGAGTTCCAGACCAGCCTAGGTAACACAGCGAGATCCCCGTCTCTAACAAAAAATACAAAAATTAGCCGGACATGGTGTCACACTCCTGTAGTCCCAGCTACCTGGAAGGCTGAGGCGGGAGGATCGTTTGAGCCCAGGAGTTCGAGGCTGCAGTGAGCTATGATCCGGCCACTGCACTCCAGCGTGGGTGACAGAGCAAGACCCTGTCTCAATCAATCAATCAATCAAATAAGGAAGCACTTTAAAGTGGGATTATTTGATGTATTTTAAAAGGGAAATGAGGTGAAGTAAATTTCTAAATTATTTCCAATCGAGATAAGTTAGTGTGGTGTCTCCTGAAGGTATTAAAGGTAACTTTTGTTGACATTTACTTACTGCCACAACAAGGCAAACAATGAAAGATGAAGTATTTAGGTAGCTTCCAGACCTCGTGCTTTCCGGGGCTGATCAAAGTAGTAGAAAACTAGTACTTTCTAACGGACCAGGACTGGTAACATAACCCTGTCCTGATTTAAACCCTAACACAGCGGCTTCTTAGCTGTATGACCTTGGGCCAGTTAATTAACCTATCTCTACCTCCTTTTCTCATTTTAACTAGATATAACCTAATTGATTTGAGCAGTAAGTAGATGAATCTTTGTAACATACTGAGAACAATACCATTACATACTAAGCACTCAGTAAACATATACTTTTATGATTCACCATTATCAAGTACTATCGTCACCACGTGTGGATTTCCTTAGTTCTCCTGAGATAACTTATTCAGCTTATTTGGATGGGGACCCCCTGCAGCAGGACCAAGAAACAGCAGGCCCTCCAAGCTCTCGTGTTGCCAGCCCCAAGACACCAAAATGTCCTCCGAGAAATCTCATGAAGAGTGTCGTCCCCAAGACAGAGACTGAGACAGGTGAAAGGTGAGATGGCTTAGCAGTTTGTAATGCTAAGCAGGGCATAGTGGCATCGTCTTCCCTGATTCTCCCATCCTGGCACTTCGGTGACTTCTACTTTAAAAGGGTTTATTCCAAGTATTTGATATATTTACCTTCACCTTTTCTCCTATTTTTCTGCACTTTTGCAAGGTTTGAGCAGGCAAAGTGCAAACTCGATTTATTTTAAAACCTTGGGAGCAAAACAAATAGGTTTTTTCTTAAGTCAGTACAAAGTAAGGGTATATGTAATTTGTCTAGCCCATGATAGGATCATAAATATTGCATTTTCCTTTCTAATATCTTTTTCCCCTATTATGGAAGAGTGAATTGGGGATGCAGATCAGTTCTCCCAGTGCAACTGTGTCCTTCCAATTGACAATGATCATTGTTGCCTAGTGTAATATACCACCTGGATTCCATGTAGAACATTAGTTAGGATTCATTTTATCAGAGCAATCTTCTCTTTTTTCCAGGAGTTTTTCCTTTTTTCTGTCTCTAAGATTATCCATTCCTAGGACTTTCCTGCTTTTTGAGCTTGGAAAGCTTCTCTGAATTTTCCTGCCACCCTGCTTTTGAATGTCCTGTGGTCTGGCTCCTGCCCTCCTGAGTCATCCTCCTCCAGTGAAACCCACACAGTTTGCTCTTCTGAAAGTCAAACTGCTTCACCAAGCAGAAGACTGGAGCAAAGCCCCTATCATGTGACCTTGTACTGAGGGACCAGAGATTATCTTCTATTACAGGCACGATTCTCATGTCCCCATTATGACAGAGGTACCTGGTCTTTCTGAGAACCTCTTTGGATTGCTTTGGAGATATGAAGATTAGGTTTGGAGATGCCATGAAGATTCCCTTTCAACATGGGCCTTCTCACCTCTTCCACCGGTATAGGTTTCTGTTTACTTCCCTGATGAGCAGCTCTAAGTTATTTATTGGTAGGTTTTACTTTATCAGTGGTTCTTGTGATAAGTAAGTACCGCTCTCTTTGACTGTGAAGCACTTCTGCATATTGATGTGAGAAACCTGTAGTGTAGTCAGGTGCGCATGGTGGCCCATTCTTATAATCACAGTGGCTTTGGGAGTCCAAGGTGGGAGAATGGCTTGAGACCAAGAGTTCAAGACCAGTTTTGAGACTCCATCTCAAGAAGTAAAGGTGGGGGGGGGAGAGAGAGAGAGAGACAAGAGAGAGAGGAAGAAGAAGTAGTAGAGTAAGAACAAGAAAACAAAAGAAAGAAGGAAAGAAAAAAGAAAGAAGAAAGAAAGAAAAAAGAAAGAAAGAAAAAAGAAAGAAAATCCATTGTCTTTTTTCAAGCCTCTACTTTTTTCAAGCCTCTACTGCAGGGCAACACACTGTTGCCTCCACTTCATCTGTTGCATTCCTTGGTCCCAGACTTCTTAGGCTTTCAAAGATGTGTTCAAAGACTTTGTAATAACCTATGAAACCTTGTGAAAATATTTCCTCCTGAATTCTTCCTGCTGGTTTATTTTCCATTTATCTCACAGAAATACCAGCCAAGGAATGATGACTAGTTCTTTAGGGCCTTGGGCTCCTCTGGATTATCTGGAAAGAGGAGTCTTCCACACCCCTCCCACTGCCAAAGTGGTAGTAGCTCCTCCAAATCACCCAGGAGGAAAACACAGACTTGCCGCCACAATGTGGAGCAGGGCACTCCTAGCTTTCCCAACATCTCCCCTGCCTTGGAGGGAGTTTCCTCTCGTATGGGAAATGGGAGTGACAGGTCCTGTAGAGTGGGGATCTGGACACCAAGAAGGCGCGCTGTCATTTTCTGTCAAATAAAAATGCACTTTTCAGCCGATGGGGGCTAGATGAAGAGGCCCAGGTCCATCCTGGATTTTTGAGCCACGATCACCGGAAGGGAGGAGGCTCATACCTCTGGCACGTCAACAGTGACAGCTACCCTACCCCTGGAGGTGGTGAGAGGAACAGAGCTCAAGGGAGCCTCAGCCGGTCCACCAGAAGGTTCAGTCCCCCGTCACTCCCATAGCCATTTTGAAATATCTTCCCAAAGAAGACAATGGGAAATATCTAGAGAGATGCTGGGCCCGCAGAGGAGGCAAGCACTACCTCTTTTGGAGGGAAGCATATCTGCAGATTTGGCTGCCCAGGCCCTGCCAGGAGTTTTCCAGGACCTCAGACTGCCACAGCACAGTAGGCATTCACTAAACTGTTGTGGACCACATGGTTTCATCACTTTCCTTTTTCCTTGCCTTTCCTTCAGCCAACACTCCTTCCTTCTCTCCCTTCTCTGCAAGGAGCTACAGCTCCGTAGAGCCTGCCCAGACCACTCCTGCTGAAATATCAACTGCACCCCAGCCTTTCTTACCCGCCCACTCACTACCCCACCCTTGGTCTTTCAAGCTTCTCCAGAGCTGAACCTCAGTCTTACAACCAATCTCCTGGCAGGGTGCATTTCTATATTATTTTTTTGCTATTTTCTAGACCATCAGCTCTGCCAGGGCAAAGACTTTGGTCTGTTTCGTTGCTGTGGTGCCAGCACTCTGAATGGCACGTAGTAGAAGCTCAATAAGTATATGTGGAGTAAGTGAAAGGCCACGTGCGCCAGAGTGCAATCGACTCCAGGCGAAACTGGAAGACTAGCCCGGCCGACGATTCAGTGGGGGAAGAGAGGAACAATAAAACAATCTGGTGATCCGCAAGGTTCGCAGGTGTCTCAGGTCCAGAGACGACCCGTGAGCAAAGGAGCCTGAGAACTTTCAGAGGGAGAATGAATGATTGAATGTGAGAATGCGGGACATCGGAGTGTGCCCAGCTCCAGCATTAAGGAAACAGCAGGGAAGAGGGAGGTGCTCCAGGCGCTGCTAAACCCTGGCGGGTGGTGCTAGTGGGCCACTCCCACACGCACTCTCGTCTCCGCTAGTGCAGCCCAGCAGCACAATGGGGCAGGTTCCTTCGCCCGCCACCGGGTGCCCAAGGCTGCGTGCTGGGGCTCAGTAGCTCCCGGCAGAGCGCTCGAAGGAAAGGCTCAGTGTGAGGTGCGACTTTCTGCTTCCCGCGGAGGCTCCGAAAGGCCCTCGAGCCAAGGGCGCCCGAGGACGTGAGGGTGGGCAGGCCAGTCCTTTAGGGTGGGAACCAGCTGAGGGCCAGACCTCCGACGCCAAGCTTGATCCAGCTTTTATAATTTTTTTTTATCCAGTAGAATCTCTTGAAGGGACGATGGTCCAGGCTCAAAGCGCAGAAAGGTTAGGACCTACTAGTATAGGGTGGGACTAGGGAGCAAGGTCAGGCCAAGAGGTCAAACCCTGCTTTGCTGAGAGAGGTGGTCGCACAGGACACCCCGCCCCAAGGCGTTTTCCCTTGAAAGCCCAGGGTAACCTGCCTTCAGCGGACAAGACTGCTGCGGGGCTACCCGGAAATACCCTGAGTTTGCACCCACCCCCTCTAACCGCAATCTCCAGTCAACTTTCCCACTTGCGACCCGGAGGCTGCGAACTTTCCTGGTTCTCTATGGCAATAACTGGAGGATCCCTCTCTCTCCCCAAAACTCACTCCTGAGCAGTGTGCTGGTCCTATGGCAACCTGGTCACCTGGGAGGAGTTGGTCGCCCTGACAACTTCTAAGGTCTTCCCCGCCCCATCCCCCAGAGCAGTTTTTCGGGGCGTCCTGGGGCAACAGGAGGTTTTCTGCCTCCCTCTGTCATTTCGCCCCAGGCTCCTTTTTAGAGGGTCCTAGGGAAGAGGAGGACTGAGAACCGCGTGGTCCCCACTGAGCCTAAGGGTGAGGGGACGGAGGAAATGGGCCATAAAGTGTCCACGCGAGTCCCTGTGCGAGTTTCTGCGTACGAGCGCGTGCCCAAATAGTGAGTGGGGGTTATTTTCCGGCCTGTCAGGGGATCTAGAGCGGTCCTGCTAGCGCGCAGCCAGCCGGTGTTTCCGGAAAGGCCTCCCTGCGCGCCGGCTGAGCAGCCAGTGCCAGGCGAGCCCAGAAAGGTGGAAGTCACGGTGGAAACGCCGGCCACGCGGCTCCTTCTCCAAACGCGCTCTGGGAAGGGATTAGGCGCCCCCTGCACTTTCGCTTTGGGCGTGATTGATGCGAACGGCGCGCTAAGGGCTGCGTAATTAATAAAGATTACGCCGGTTTTGTCGAAACGTTCCTCTTAATTAATGAAGAAGCGGGGCGCCAAGGGTGTTTGATTTGCATTTGGAAAATTCCCTCGGCGGCTCGGGCTCAGTGGTGAAGCGGCCGCTGGGATCCGGGACTAACGGGCAACCGCCAGGCCGAGGCGTTCTTGTTCCGGATCAAGTGTACCCGATCCTGTTCCCCTCGCCCCGAGATCTACCGGGCCGCACTCCCTGGGGCTCAGGGCCCGACTCAAGTCTGTCTCCATCCAGCCCTCCTCGAGTGGGCCTCCTTGCCTTCTGCGGACATTGGCGGGCACCCCCGCCCCCCAGCCCCGCACACTTCCCGCAGAACCTCTTGATCCTTCCCCGTCCTTACCCCATCTAGAGGGTACCTCCAGGAGCCCAGATCACCGATCCTTGTGCTCGGCCAGGGCTTTCGTCGCTGCCCTCTGGGAGGGGGCCGAGGGATGGAAAGAAGAATTTATTCCCTGTCTCTAAGGCCAAAGGGCGCTCAGGGAACGCTGAGAACCCTCCCCGCCCTGCGTGATTGTGTGTGTGTGAGTGTGTGTGTGTGTGTGTGTGTGTACATGTGTGGTTGTTTGTGTCCCTGTGTGGGTCGTATACGTGTGTTTCGGGGAGTGGTGCGTTTTGTTAAAATATTACATTTTCTCGGGCCTTACTGTCCACCTGCTGCAGCCCAGGAAAAAAGAACCTCCTTTCCCCAGCGTTGCCGCAGTGAAACACTTTCGCTTTAACCATAGACTCCTCCACCCTGGTCCCGGGTTGGAGGGGGAAGCAAATGCTCCCTGCCCAGCAGCAGCTGGGGGCGGGGAGGTGGGAGAGACCCACTGGCCGCGTGGAGGGCCCGAGAGCCGAAAAGCGGCTTCAAAGGTTTTGGTAACGACTCTTCGACCTTTATTTATGCCCCTATTAATACAATATCCATCATGTAGATATCGATCTTTATCCTTTAAACTGATACGCTGAGAATCAATTAGCCATGCAGATTACATTTCCTACATATCCAAATGTTAGTCTCTTAGGCTGAGAGCCGGTGATAATATATTTTTGCAGCCAGATAGTATTAGATTTCGTTTAGAAAAAAAAGAAGACGAAGAAGAACAGGAAGAAAGGCTCTCTGAGGCTCCTTCCTCTTGGGGCTACTTGTCTTAACCCGGCTGAGGCTGGGGTGCCCCTCATAGAGTTTTCCGGGGCGAAGAAGCGAGACCGCGAGGATGGTGCGCGCGCAGGGCCACCGTGGGGAGCCGGGCAGCTTTCTGCAAGAGGGCTCTTGGAGGTTGGCGGGTTAGCGAGGGGTCTGCACTTCTGCCGCATGCTCCCTCCAGCTAATCAACGGGTCTCGGTGGCCCCTTTCGATGGGTTTCTGTGTCGGAGATGGTCAGTTTTCATCTTTTTAGAATTTTTCCACCTGCTTCTCCAATCTCCAAGGTTCTGGATCAAAATTATTCTCCTGTCCCTCGCTCCCAAACGTACGACTTATTTAAAGGTTCATCTCCAGAAAAAGAAACTTTATTTAAAAGAGGAAATGGGTGTTTTCTTGGGTGACGGGAGATGAAAAAGTTTAAGTTCTAGGAAGGAACTTAATGCAAGTCATGTGTAGAAATTCAGGAAGCTTAGGCCTCCTGCTTTGGTTGTGGTGAGGAGAGTTTCTCCCCTCTTCTCTCCCCCGCGTTTTACCTCCATTCTTCCCTCCTTTTATTATTTTTTAAAATTTCTTTCCTTCTTTCTCTCTTTTCTTCTCTTTCTCTCTTTCTTCTTTTTCATCTCCTCCGCCTCTTCCCCAATTTTGAAAGAGTGAGGGGTCGGGAGAGTACGTGTCCTAGGGCGGGCAGCCCTCCCGGGGTCTGTGGACTGTGCGCTCTCAGGAGACGCCCGGGTGGAGTTGGATATCTCCGAGAGGCAGGTGCGCGCAGCACTCTTCAAAACGCCTCTCTGCAGTCCCAGGTCCGCGCTCCCCAAGAACTGGCCAGATCGCGCCGGGCTTGGCCCCTGACAACTCTGCCTCCTCCACCTGTTGCGTTTACTCCGTTTAGTTGGCTGTGCAGTCTCTGGCCCCAGGTGTGCTTTTAAAACTCGAGGAACGCGGGTGTTGGACTCATTCGCAGCCTCTTGCCTCTGGTTCCCGTGATCCCACGGTGGCGAGCTTCCAGGCTCAGCGAGGAGATCTGGGTTTGAACATTCATCTCCCATGTTACTCTTTTCTTGCTCCTCGCGTCACTGGCCCCTCTTTCCTGCCGCTGAAATCCATCTCGAGGAGAAATTTTCTGAGACCCAGTTTGAGAAGCGGCTGAGGCTCACTGCGCTGGTTCAGGAGCTGGGGCCGCGTGGAGTCAGAAGGAGTCCAGTCCTGATCCGAGCGAAAGAAAGACCTGTTAGTTCCCCCTTCCCAGTACCCTCCTCCCCCAAGAGCAGGACACACAGCCCCAGCTCTTTATGTACCGGCGCCCGGAGGCAGGAGTTCCTGGAGTGGTCACTCGCCTACTTTTTTGCTCCACGAGTCAAGGAAACCAACGGACCCCAAGGTTTCTTTTATTCACTTCCTCCAGCTCTGTTCCCGCCCCCACCTCACTCACAGCCTTCACCTGCCTCCGCACAGATCAGATTTTCTGGTCTTTCCAAGGCCTAGGCTGCCCGCTCCCAATACAAGACGGTCCCCCAGCTAAATAAGGTCCTTCAACCCTTACCCCTTTCACACACACCAGATTCTTTCACACACACACATACACACACCCCGAATACACACACCCCGAATACACACACCCCGAATACACACACCAAAGAGCAGTTACCGAAGAATCTGTCTTCTAAACATCACCCCCACCCCACCATGAACTTTTACCTAATTGAGCAGAACATTTTTTGGAAGATTAGACAGGACTTACTTATTTTTTACAAGACATCCTATTCTTCCCGCCCTGGAGAATCGGGCGGCGGAATCCTGTCTTCCTTGTTTGCCTAAAAATAATTTTCTCAGACCCAAATGAACTAGGACACCAGCTGCTGTGAGATTTATTCTTCTCTCCCTCCCTCACTGCCTTTAAAAAAAAAAGTACCTCTCTCTTCTTTTCCTCTTTTCTTTTTCCTTTCCTATTTTCCTTCTCTCTTCCTATCTTCCCACAAACCATATGTTCCTTATTGTAAACCCGCTCACACGTTCCCTGGGGCTCCCCCAGCTGAAGGAGCAAACCCACTTCGGCTGGCCTACACCATGTTTCAATGGGATGTCCACATCCTCATCTAGTCCCTTAATCCGAACTCATCCCGACTGATTTTTCGATGGGGAGAAGAGCGGCGCCAATGCTTTTGACAAATAACTGCGGGGGGCCTAATGACTGTCACTGAGGCAGCGGCTGCGAAGGACCACGGGTTTAACCCGGGCATTCACCAATCCTGTATCATCACATCCGGACCGGAAGCTCATGATCACGAACCTGGCGTTTTGATGTCCTCCCCGTGAGCCCCCGGCAGCCTTTCTGTGGGATTGAGGGTTTCTCGGCGTTTGCCCAACTTTTACTGCATCCTGAGAATCACGCCTGGGGCCGGGCGGGTGGCCAGGAACTTCTCTGCTCGACCGTGTCAGCCTGCCAGAGCTCGGCCCTTCAGACGGGAGGAAAAAGGTCTGGGTGGCAGACACCACCCCCGCTCCCCACTAGGTCAGGGACATTATTTTGCATAGATCATAATTTCCTCTTAAGACCTGTGTCTGGCTGAGTATGAAGTCAACCCTCAGAGGCCCTGAGAAGTCCACGGGCCATGAAACCCTTGTGCCAGTGTCCCCAAGTGCGGAGGCTGTTCGCTAAAGGGTGCTTCACAGCCCAGGCCGGTCACCAAAGTGCGACTGGGCTGTAGACGCACGCATCCAAACGGGCTGCGAGGGAGAACTTTCAAGCTAACAAGGGCACGCTCCACTCAGGCCTGGACAGCCAGCCCGCTGTTATTTTCACCTGTAGTGTCTCTGAAACTGGGGGCAGAGGCGCAGAGGGGACAATAGAAGCTATCTCCCCCGCCCACCTTTTTTTTTTTTTTGTCAAATTATCCAAATATCGTCTTCAAGGCTCCCGTTTCATTTCGAACGTGCACAGAGCGTGAGTGGACCCTACACTCGTTCACAACACCGTTGTGGAGAGTCCCACTGATGCTTTCTGGGTAATTTGTTAGCCCAGGTAAAAGTCACTGCCTCCCAAACCAGGGTTCAAGGATGCAGGGCGCGGGCCCTCGCCTTCCAAGCCCCACCGCTGGGTCATCCCTTTACCAATTAGCGCCTGTACCGCGGCCAAATTTGGCACCAGGACTCCTTGGCCCACCGGCTGCGGATAGGGAAGTGGCCTGGACTCCCATCCAGCTGCGGGGTTTGGGTGTGGGGTGGCTTGGGCTCCGGAGAGACTTCAGAAAGAAATAAAGGGGAGGCCCAAGACTCGGAGACAGAGAAAGAGTGGCTGGAATCACCCGGCATTCCTGAGACCTGTTGCGCCCTGTTCTGCGGAGTCACGGCTCTGAGCCGGGTTAGGTTTGGCGGCGTGCGGGCGCCCTAGGCCAGGCAGCCTCAGCCAACTTTGCTGTCCTGGCCATCCCAGGTCGGACTTCGGGGACACAGGCCACAAGAAATTTAGATTCATTAAGTCTTTGGATGTGGCCCAGCTGTCCAGAGCCTAAGGGTGCCCTCCCACCCCTCTCCGGGTGTCCAGGGACCTCTGGCCACTGGCCGGTGAGAAGGGCCGGGCTGATCATCTGGGTACATATGAATCTCAGAGCGCTCGGCAGAAAAGAAAGAGGCCGGAAAGGAGAGAAAATGAGTCGCCTCCTGATTCCGGAGCTTTAGGTCCCCAGCACCCCCACATCCTTGTGGCCTCCATTTGTACATGTTTATAGCAAGTGACAGCTAGTTTATGAACCCATGGGCACTTAAGACCCAGCTCAGCCGGCAGTACCTCCGTTCAACGGTCCCGCGGACTCTGCAATCTACGGGACCGGGAGAAGGAATCTTGCAGCAAGCGCTTCCCTCCAGCATCTGCCGGCTCTTAGGAGAGAAAACTCCCGGCAGGAGAGAGACGGGTGGACGCTGGGAGGGCTTGGAGACCAAGCCTCCGGCTCAAAAACAAATGAGACTCAGCTCTAGATGTTCTTTAACTGCTCGCGGGGTCCAAGAGTTTATTTTAGCTGAGAGTTGAGCCTACTTTTGCCTTCTTGAAATTACACTTCTGGTACCTCCTTCACACAGCAATTACCGCTGACCCCAGAAAGTGCTCTGTCGACTCTGCTTAACCTTTGGGAAGAAGAAAACTTGGAAAAAGTCTAGCTCTCAAAATGCTATCGCTGAGAAGTGGCTTAAAACGTACGGACACAGGCTTTGGTGGCCCCAACGCCTTAAAAAGAAAATGAGAAAATTTTCCCCTTGAAAAATTGAATCATTTAATGTAAAACCAGGTTAAACAAGGCACATGCCTCCTTCATGGGTCCAGACATTTCTGGGAGTCTCCTGAGACCTGTCTCCGTGGCTCTGAGGGTCAACCAAGCCTTCTGGCATCAGGCAGGCTGAAAGCTTGCCTGGTTTCCCCAATGGTGAGTGGGTTTTTAAAGGGCCAACTTGTGGACTGCTGAGCGGCTATACCCCACACCCCCCTACATCTTGCCTTCTGAGTTTGCCTTAATTAGGGAATGGGGAAGTAGGGTTGGGGGCCCGAGTTCACGTCAAAACTGTCAAAGGAGGTGGGGGAGGGGGACAGAGAGAGAGGAGTGGAGAACTCCCTCCAGGGGCAGGAAAAATTCAAAAATCATAAAAGGAAAAGGGGGAACTTGAAGCCCAGAAGTCATTGTTTCCTTTATTTCAAAGGGAAAAACCTGCCCGATTCTCATCCTTTTGATTGATTAAGGCCCTGAATACCTCGCGGCCCCGGAGTGACAGTCCCTGAATAGGCTCGAGCGAATAAAGCGCAGTGCAGAGCGCGGGGCTGGCACTCGGGGGTGTAAAGGAGGCGAGTTCGCTGGCACTTACCAAGTTATAAATAAAAGGCTATGCACAATGGTACCTTCTCTAAGGACAGACAGTCTTTACAACACTCCTGGCGTCATATCCTGCTGGGGACACTTCAGCTCCTAGCCAAGACTTCGTTCCTTTTATTTTTCCAGCAGTTTAGTCTGAATGCCATAATAAATTCCTGAGAACAAACGCTGAACCCGGGCAAAACTTTAACATACAGACACATCTCTGTCGACGCATCGGGGATCTATATGTAGAGATTTAGAACCGCAGCTTGCCAGAGCGGTTTTTACACCAAGAAGAGGAGCCAGGTTTTTTTCTGCACCCTCCCCCATACCCCCAGCCTTCAACTAACGAGTGCTTGGGCCTAGCGACGGCTGCCTG
This sequence comes from Homo sapiens, assembly GCF_000001405.40. NCBI lineage: Eukaryota > Metazoa > Chordata > Mammalia > Primates > Hominidae > Homo > Homo sapiens. The sequence continues at coordinate 222,299,731 of NC_000002.12, read as the reverse complement.
TGCTTCACATTAGCCCCGCTTGCGGACGGAGAAGACAAAAGAACATCAGCGCACCCTGGACTCCTCCCAGGAGGAGCCCCATCGGGAGGACCCCTTAACAAGCCTAGGCCAAGGGGCACTGACCACAGGAAGGAAAGCTAAATATGTCTGGGGCCCCAGATGCCTTCTTATTGGAATTGTGCCCCCTCCAGTGGCAGTAAGCCAAGAGAAATGAGAGCGAGACCTACAGGTAGAAAAAATGAGACATAGAGAGAGACACAGGAAATCACAAGAGGAATAGAGGCTGAGCGAGACACACACACAGAGGCACAGAAAGAGACAGAGAGGGAAATAGAAAGTCAAGGAAAGAGTGATCAGAGAAAGACACACACACACACACACACACACACACACACACACACACACACACACACAGAGTGACACAGACAGAGAGACAGAGACAGAGAGACAGGAACTTCTCCGCCCTCAGCAACTGCCATCTCCCTGGGGCTGTCTCTCTCAGTTTCCACCGGGCCAACCTTCTCTCCTGGGCAAGGGGCGCAGCGCGGGTCCCCCTCGGGGCCAGCAGAGGCCTCGGCACCACCAGAGATGGGAAGAGAAAGTGGTCGCTGTTGCCCAATCAGCGCGTGTCTCCGCCACCCGGGACGGTCTACCCGTCGGCCAATCGCAGCTCAGGGCTCCTGACCAAGCTTTGGGTAAAAGAACTAATAAATGCTCCCGAGCCCGGATCCCCGCACTCGGTGTCACCACAGGAGGAGACTCAGGCAGGCCGCGCTCCAGCCTCACCAGGCTCCCCGGCTCGCCGTGGCTCTCTGAGCCCCCTTTTCAGGGACCCCAGTCGCTGGAACATTTGCCCAGACTCGTACCAAACTTTTCCGCCCTGGGCTCGGGATCCTGGACTCCGGGGCCTCCCCGTCCTCCCCTTTCCCGGGTTCCAGCTCCGGCCTCTGGACTAGGAACCGACAGCCCCCCTCCCCGCGTCCCTCCCTCTCTCTCCAGCCGTTTTGGGGAGGGGCTCTCCACGCTCCGGATAGTTCCCGAGGGTCATCCGCGCCGCACTCGCCTTTCCGTTTCGCCTTCACCTGGATATAATTTCCGAGCGAAGCTGCCCCCAGGATGACCACGCTGGCCGGCGCTGTGCCCAGGATGATGCGGCCGGGCCCGGGGCAGAACTACCCGCGTAGCGGGTTCCCGCTGGAAGGTAAGGGAGGGCCTCAGCGCGCCGCCTGGATCCCAGGGCCTGGGACCGGCTGCCTCACCCCATCCCCAGGCTCCGCAGGCTCCTTTGGTGCTTCCAGGAAGCCCATTCCCTGGGCACCCCACACCCCAAGAAGCACCAGTCGGGGGCGAGGACCTACTCGATTTCCTTTCTGCAAATGGAGCGCGCTGCTCTCTGCAAATCCTGGCGGAGCTGGGCGGTCAGGCCTGCGGCGAGCCGGGGAGACTTGTCCCTGTTGTTTTGGAAATGCCGCGGTGGAGAAGGAGGTGAACCGGCTTCTGAGCGGCAGAAGCAACTTCTCCGCAATTTGTCCATTCGAAATTGTCTCGAAGTTGTCTCGAAATTGTCCCGGCTGCGCCCACACTTGTGAAACATATGTTAGTTCAGGAAGTATTTTTTTTTTTTTGCCCTGCAAAGTTGTGGTGGCTAACGCCGCGCCATTGTGATTGGAATTTTTAGAATAATTAAATAAATTAGAATTCTATGTATCTCAAATAGCATCTAGAAGTTTCTATAACTTGTTTAGGAATCGCCTTTCCGTCCACTTGAAGATTCTGGGAATCCCGGGGAGGCAGGAAGTCTTGCAAGCCTGAGCCGTTTTCAATGGTTTTCCAGGTTAGGGCGCCCCAGCAGAGATGCTCATCGCCCCCGCCACCCACTCCCTTCACACCCAGCCTAGAGTAGAATGTAACACCCAGAGCAAGAATGGGGGCTGGGGGCCCAGGAACAGCCCTGCCGCTGCTGTGGTCTCTGTCCCAAGATGTAACAGGTGACACAGGCACTGCTGCTTGGGCCTCCTTTCTGGACCCTCTTTGACCCTTGGCTGCTGCACTTTTGGCTAGAAACCCCAAGGGCTATCAGCTGGCCCAAGTCCCTTAGAAAGGGAGAGATCCCAATTGGACAGGGATCGGTGGGAGCAGAGTTCATCAAGGCCAGCTCCTGGGTGAACTTCTCTTCGCCAGGAGGCTGTTTCTAGAGCAAGCTAGACTCTCTACCAGCTGCAGGGTCTCCTAAGTTGCCACTCCCCGGGCCCGAAGGGGAAGACGCTTTCTCTGGGGAGAATTATTTTGCCCCATTTGCTGTCTTTACACAAGATTACATGCGCTATATTGCTGAATAATTTGAACAAATGTGATTGAAAGGAGGTCTGGGTCTGGGAGTCCGATGTCGAGCAGTTTCAGCGTCGGTGCTGTAACATGAGGATAGGACAGAAGACTGCGAAATTACGTGCTGCTGTTCTTTGCTTTTTATTTTCCTCCAGTGACTTTTCCCTTGCTTCTCTTTTTCACCTTCCCACAGTGTCCACTCCCCTCGGCCAGGGCCGCGTCAACCAGCTCGGCGGTGTTTTTATCAACGGCAGGCCGCTGCCCAACCACATCCGCCACAAGATCGTGGAGATGGCCCACCACGGCATCCGGCCCTGCGTCATCTCGCGCCAGCTGCGCGTGTCCCACGGCTGCGTCTCCAAGATCCTGTGCAGGTACCAGGAGACTGGCTCCATACGTCCTGGTGCCATCGGCGGCAGCAAGCCCAAGGTGAGCGGGCGGGCCTTGCCCTCCTGGCTCCCAGACTGTGGTCCCCTGTGTTGGGGAAGACCGGGCGGGGGGTAACGGCTGACATCTGGGGCTCTCCAATGAGTTATTTCTGAGGTTTGTGAAGGTGCGTAAAGGCGCGCGTGTGTGTGTGTACGTGTGCACGCGCCCTGGACACTTCTTGATGAACACTTAGGGAAAGCTCTTGCCTTTTTGCAAAGGAAAAATAACATCTGTTTTTTAAAGCCCATAAGCCTTGCAATCCTCATCAAATTATTTTAATGGATAAACACCTAAAGCAGGCAAGCTCTATGTGCCCACCTGTTGCCGATTTCTTCCCTAAGTGTCTTCCCGGCTCCCACCCATGGCACCGTCCTTTCCAAAACGAATGTAAGGAACTTCTTTAGGTTTTATAATGGTTTGTCTCCCAAACCCCGCCCTCAGTCTCCCCCAGTGCAAATTGTTTTCAATGAGTCAAATACTAGGGTGATCAGTTTTCTTTGTAATAAGCCAATGACTCCATTAAAAAAAAATAAGCAGTTTGGTGCTATCCTTAAATTATTTTTGGTTCTGTTTTTAAAAAGAAAGAGTCACACCAGCTAGGGCTGAGTGGGAGGGAATTACACAAGGTCTGTCTTTTCTTCTAGTTGCCACCGGGCAAAATCAAGAGGGTTATGGTAAACCGAAGACCTCCAAACACCCTCCTCTTCCTTCCCACCTACTGAAACACTTTCACAGCCTTTCTAAGAATCTTTGGAACCTTCTTCTTCTTTTTAAAAAATATATATTGGGGGTAGAGAGAAGAGTCAGTCTCTCTTAATTAATATTTGTTATCGACTCGAAGTTTTAAAAACCCAAATACATACCTTTACATTTCAGTCTTCACTTTAGCATAAATATCCCTTTGGAAAAGCACAAGTTGCAGATTTAACTTGATTTTTCAGCTCCTTTTTCAAACATCGCTTTTTTAGTTTCGTTTTCATGTTGGTTCTGTGTAAGCAGTTGCCTTATTTCCAGGGATGAGAAAGTATAACCCCACCCTACCCCCATCAAGATGTTATAATTCTTCTGAATTTATCCCGGTTGTCTGGGGCTTGTCTGGGGAAGTTAGAGGCTTCCCAGGCTGCTCCGGGATGGGATGGGATGTGTTCTGGTCTGCCCCTTTCTAAAGTGCCTCAGAGAGTTCAGGTCTTTTTGCTCACAAAGGGGGACCGTCCCAGAGGATTCAGCGAGGAGCATCCCGACAGGCCCAGAGGCGGTGGGGCCGCCGCCACCTGGCCCAGGGTACCGGGTACCAACGCCTGCCCGCCTGTTCTCTTAAAGCAGGTGACAACGCCTGACGTGGAGAAGAAAATTGAGGAATACAAAAGAGAGAACCCGGGCATGTTCAGCTGGGAAATCCGAGACAAATTACTCAAGGACGCGGTCTGTGATCGAAACACCGTGCCGTCAGGTACTAGGCCCATTAACCTCTCCCCGAGGCGCGACAGTCAGTCGCTATTACCCCGGCACGTCGACCCAGACGTAATCACCCCAATTATCGATCTCAGCTATTGGGAGGTGGCCTCTCCCGAGGCCCTGCAATATTTGCCAACCCGGTGTTCTTGGCACTTTATGGAGGGAGGGGTGAGCTGCTTGTCCTGGGGACGGAGGGTGGCGAGACCACCGCTGAGGACGCCCCAAAGAAGATTTCTGTCGAGGAGGCAGGGCAGGAAACGTGAGGCGGAGGCAGAGCGTTTATTAATATTGATGTTCCCTTTTAAAGAGAAACAAATGTTTTGGTAACCCCAACCGAAGGGAGATGGGGCCCGCGCCGGGAGGGACTTTGCCGTGTGCGCAAAGCCGTGGAGGCTTCCACAACGGCCCCGATTTCCTCCGAGAGTCTCAGGGACGGTCCGGAGCCCCCCGCCACGGCAGCCTGGGGGAGGCGGAGGGAGAAGAGGGGCAAGCACGGGGCCAGCGAGAGGGCGCACGGGAGGGTTTGTTTTTAATTAAAAGGAAACTCCCTTTTTCCCTCTGTGAGAAACATATTTCAGAGCATGGATTTGTTTACCAGACTGGAATCTGGAAAAAATAAGTGGGAGAGAGTGCATTTTCTTTTGATTTTTACAATAGGAAACGATTCTGCAGTTGAAATTTAAACCCTTTATAGCCTTAAAAAAAAAAAAAAAAGGGAAGAAAGGAAAAAAAAGAAACTTGATTTACGGGGGGGTGGGGGGGGGCGCGGACAAGTCGGCTTTGGTTCTTCCTCCCTTAAGGCGAACCGCAGGATCCATGCATTCAGGTGGGGAGGAAGGAGGGTACCCGGTGGGCTGGTGGGAGAATTCTCTTAGATTGCAGACCTAGAGCCCGGTCTTCGGAGTCCAGGAAGGGAAATGCTTCCTGCCCAGAATCGAGGGACAAAGATGGCATCCGGCCCTAACTTGGAGGCACGGTTTTCCCAGCCTCCGTCTTTCAGTACCGAGATACAGATAATAGGGAGGGGGGTTTGAGTGGCAGGATGAGAGGGCTGGAGAAGGATGAGGATGTCCAGAGATGCAGGAGGAGACACCCGCGAGCAGTGCAGGGCAGCGGCTCTAGGGCCCTGGCTGGTGTTTGGGGGTGGGGGGTCCTTCCCGCACAGCCCTGCTTGTCTCAACCATGTGCGCTCCCTTGCTTCCTTCCTCCTCCCGCCCCCAGTGAGTTCCATCAGCCGCATCCTGAGAAGTAAATTCGGGAAAGGTGAAGAGGAGGAGGCCGACTTGGAGAGGAAGGAGGCAGAGGAAAGCGAGAAGAAGGCCAAACACAGCATCGACGGCATCCTGAGCGAGCGAGGTAAGCGGTGGCGCCTTGGGCGGCGCACTTGCTGGGTGACTTGGAGGGCATCGGCTAGCTGACATTGGTGATCTGACGGCAGCCAAGCCCAGCTCGGATCAAGGTCCCTTCATGCGCGGTGTCTCTGCGCCTGAGTAACGACATGGAACTGAAAGACCAGAGGGACACTAGGAATCAAAACAAACATTTCTATTCTGCTTAGTTTTTCTGTTTTGTAAATCTTTCTTTCTTAACCACTTTCAGCCCCTGGGATTCTAGAACTGTGAATTGTGCTCTGTTGTAGGGGGCAGGGGAAGCTCTCACTCTGTTGCCATTAAATGTATGAGACTGGGCATCTCTGAGCAATTGTAGGGCCGGGGATAGAGGGTACTTGAATCTTCAGAAGTTGAAGTAGCTTTTATGCCCTCAGGAAAGGCCCTGGTCTCCGGAGTTTCCTCGCATTAAAGGAGAGAGAGAGAGAGTACTCTTTTGGGCAACGGCCCTCCAAAATTGCCCCCACATTGGCTGCCTTATAAATATGTCTGTGTGTTGACTGGTTTGATTTGTTTGAAGTTGATTTTCAAATGTGAGGGGGTTTAACCTGTGTGTGCCTGGGAATTGAAAGGAACCCAAGCTCTGGGTTACAAATTGAAGGGATCTGGGTTCTTAGAGTGCTGGCACCCTCTGTCTTCTAGGGGTACAGATCCCCATTCCTTTTCGGCTGTGCACTGTCGGCACTAAGAAAAAAAATCTCCCCCATGGGAGACAGAAGTGCAGCTTGCTTCCCCTTCACCTGCCGCAAGCCATCCTCAAACTTTAAGGGTACAAACGCAAAAAGAAAGAAAGAAAGGAAAAGAAATGCTGAACCAGGAAAGGATCATTGCAGCAGGAGACGGCAGGGGGGAGGGGAGGATTGTGTCTCAGTGGCTTTGGCCTTGGGGGTGGTTGCCCCTCTTCAAATGCACAAATGGTCAAGAGTGGCCAGGGGTCCCACTCATGCCTGAAGTTTCCTCACCTGGGACTTGGAGTTCATTGGGCAAAGTTAGTTTTGGAGTTGCCAGAGGGACAGGCGGCTTTCCAGGTGGGCTCACAGCCGTTGCCGACTGTGACTAGCTGGGTCCGAGCCCTTACCAGAGTGGCATCCAAGTGGGACTTCTTTTATCTTCATTGCCCAACTCTGTGGCAGCCAGTGGCTCTCCTGAGCAGCTGCTTTACAAAGCAATGCAAAATCTGCACACAACCTGGAAGGAACATTTAGATTTGGAAGTTACAGATCCAAATGGCTGATTTGAGGGAAAAACAAGTGTAGATACTCTGATGCACACAAGAAATCAAAGACATGTCAAACCACAGCAGGTTGGGCAGGGAGATGCTTCCTTTGCTTTATGACAGAGGCCTCCTATGGACTCAGCCTAAATCCTCTTTTTGGAGAGGTGCATTTTTCTGCCTTGGTCTCTGAGAAGACACCTTGGCTTTTATCCCAGGCCTAGCTGCAGAATAGAGGTGCTGAGAAGGGAGGAAGGCAGGGAGTCAGACAACCCCAAACCAAATGTGCTCCTGTGGGCAGTGGGGAGAAGAGCCCAGAGCAGTCACAGAGGCTGGGGACTCACGGCTTTGCTACTTGTTGCTGGAGGCTCCGGCGCTGGCAGACTGGCTGCTCTCTCGCAGTACAGGCGACTGAGGCCCAGGAGACAAAACGTCCCAAATGAGCTGGTCAAACATTTGTACAACTTTTCCAGCTTTTACAAAGAAGTCCTTCTCTACACAATCTACACTTGGAGATGAACTTGGGAGACAAAGCCTGGAGAGTCCATTGAAACTCACACTTTAGCTCAGCCCAGACAAAGCTCCAGCTCGGAGCAGCTTGATGTGAACAAAGGAAGGCAACCTTTTTATAATTCAAGGAGAAAAGAAGAGAAAACAGCACCACAAAAGGCTGAGAATAGACATTATGGGCTTGCAATGAGGGATGAATTATTCAATGAGCCCCAATAGCTGCTGCGCCGGGAAGTTTTATGGACTCTTCAGCGTGGAAAAAGTGGCCATTTCACCTACAAAATGTTTCTAGTCTTTTGGGCTGTCTAGCTGGGCCGGCTGCTATTCAAGGGCAATTGCTACATTTTTAAAATCAGAGTATTCTCCCCAGTGGGGGCTGTGCTGTTGGAAACACACACACACACACACACACACACACACACACACACACACACACACACACCTTGGAGGCTGAAGCCTGATTTAATTTGGGGTTGTCAAGGAAGATGCAGTGTCTGTCTCTTCAGCATCTCTAGCTCCTTTTTAGATGAGCCTCGGAGGACAAGAGGGGCCCAGAGAAAGGACAGAGTGAGGTGCAGTTTGAAGTCTAGAAACTTCAAAAACTCCTTTCTGTTGTTCGGGCATCAAAAATCCCAGGCTGCCCGCTTGTAAAATAGAATGAATGTTGATAAAGCGTTCTTAGCGCCCTGGCAGAGGGGGAGAAGAAAGCTGAGGGAGGAGGAACTTTGGGGTCCCCTGACCAGTGTGGTGTATTCTTGCCCTTTTCCAGTTAGTGGGTCTGGTGGGTGCTGCTGAGCCTGGCTTTTCAGGGGAATCTTTGGCCTGAGGTCTGCTTGGCAGACACTAGGACAAAAGGGTTGAGCCACTTTGAATGAGGTCAGAATCACCTCATTCTTCTCTCCAGTGGCTTTCTCCCAGATGGTCCTCTTAACTTTCCCAACTTTCCCTTTTCCCTCGCTCAATTCAAGAGCTGAGCCGCTAGCGGTGCTGGTGCGCTCAGGCCCGCGCTCCCTAACGGGCGCGCGCTAAGCATGATGCACCCTTGCTGGATACATCCCTCCAGCTCCATAGCCCAGGAGAAAGGAGAGGGCTGGGCGGTTCACTAACACGAACCCCGCCCGCTATCCCCAATCCCCCTAGCCCCTGGCCCGCGCTGAGACTGGAGCAGAGGCAGCCGGGGGAGCCAAGTCCTGGCCGAGGCATCCGGGGCTGTGGGCACCGCCCTGCGCAGCGGCCGCTCAATGGGCGCCTCTGTTCCTCCCCCGGCTCGGCCTAGCGGGCCCGCGGGCGCCGCCACAATGGGCTGGGCCCCCACTCCTGTGCTCTGCGCCAAAGCGCCGCGCCGCTCCGCCCCCTCCCCTACTCTCTGGCCGGCTCGAAGCTTAGCTCGCCGGGCTGCAGCCGACTCAATTGCCTCCTTTATGTCCTTCTCACTTTCATCTAGACACAGCCCGCCTCCCCCCTTCTTCTCCTCTTTTTTTTTTTCCTCCCTTGCCTGAGGCTCACATTAGTGAAATTTCTGCAACCTCCCCCCATTTTTTTCTTATTTTAAAGAAAGCCCTTAACACAAAAGCGGTGACTAATCAATAGAAACTGCCCCTTCATCATCTCCTCCTCCTCCTCCACCCCTCCTTCTCCCCCTCCAGCAGGGTGACGCTTTTCCTGTTTGTGAGTTTTGGGAAACATTTTTGCTTTGTGCAGTAATGGAATTAGAGGACAGTTGAGGACTGTAAATGGACACGCGACTGCAAGACTCTCGCTTAAATATTTAGATGCAAAGTTACAATTACTGACTTGTTGTAGCAGCTTTGAAGTGGCAGCTCCGGAGCGCAGGGGGAGAGAGGCCAGATTGCCAAATTGATGTTTTGATTGGGGACTGGCGATACACTCTCATAAGACTTTCCTCCCTTTTAAAATCACAAGTGAGCGTGGGAGGTTTGCAACAATTTAAAAGATCCCACTAAGAGATCTCAAGCATAGGTCTGTTGGGGGCTTATATTCCTTTCCTATCTGTTCCCTCTTATTTGACGTTTACAAAAAAGAGTGCTTTCTTAAAAAATTGGAGAAAGTAAAAGTGACGAAAGCTTTGCTCAAGTTTCCATTTTATTTGTAAGCTTGTCAGCTTTTGTAAAGTTAACGAGGACGACTTCAGCTTTTTGGGGGGGAGGTAGGAGAAGATTAATCAGTTTAAAACGCAGAAAAGCATTAAAGGTATTTGGAGTATTTTATTTCCAGTGAAATCATGAAAAGAGCACTCTTATCATTAAGGGACTGCTGAAATCAAGGAAAACGAAGGGCCGTTTCTTTCCCGGTTAGTGAGCAGGAAGGGCCATTTTGGTCCAAGGTTGGGAGGAGGGGAAGGCGGGGGACGAACTTTCCCATAGATTAAAATCATTGGGTATAAGATCATAGGTTTATGGCATCGGATCCTTTATTCAAGTGGACAGACCAGCCCACTTTCCAAGTCCATTTGTTAGGATCACGAATTTGACTTCAATGTCGTTTCGATTCTATAGAGAAAACTTCATATTTTCTGAAGTCCTTGCAAAACTCAGCAAAGAAATATCATCCATTTAAAAAATATTGGAAGTATCAGAACTTGAATTCTATTAGAACACCACGCCGTGTTCTATTTATTAATGTCGCGGTAACAATTTTCCTGCTGGAACGATTTGAAAGGAAACACCAGAGTTCAGCTCCTAGCTTTTTCTTTTTCGCTTGTTTGGTTTGGTTGACTGCTGTGTGCTTACCTTCTAGAGCTTTATTGAAAACATGCAGATTTTCTAATTAATGCTTGAAATCGTATGTTTATTTTGGGGTTTGATTTGATTGTTGATAGCACCGGAACCAGGACGTAGGGGCTTCTACTGAGTAATAATTACTGAAGGGTCATTTAAAAGTCCCCAGGGCTGAGCAATAAAACCCACCCGGGCGGTGAGGCGGAACCAGTCAGCGCGCGGCGGTTCAGGCGAGTGGAATATGCAGAAATCGATCACGTGAATAGGAGTGTGGCCGCTAAATCCGAATGGCTTCAGCATCCATGAATGCATATATTTTGAGAACAACAACAAAAAATTCTTCCTATGAGACTAAATGTTTAAGTTGTACATAAGTAGATGGCCAATGAAAATGAAAAGCTGCAACAGTAACAACAAACAAACGGTGAGAAATGAGAGTTTGGCTTGGGCTGGAACAGAAAATGTTTTACGTTCGATTGGATTCTGTATGACAGGTAACTTATCTATGAGGGTAAATAAAGATTAAAGAACCATTTAGAATGTACATATATAACTAACAAGACACTAAAAGGCAATTAAGCAGTCAGTTTAATGTCTTATCTCACTGGCTGCTCTGGGGTTGTTTTACAAGTAGGAATTAAAATCTGAAAAGGAAGTTTTCAGCAGCTCTGGCCAAATATTGATTAAGTAGCTGTTTGTTGATACCATTGTTACACATTAAAAGGCCGGGAGCGCGGCCCCTCAGTGGTCATCTTCCATTGTGAGGGGTTCTTAACCATAGAGATCAAAGCGGGATCATTTCAATTTATCTGTCCTGGAAAATCCTTCTTTTCCTCTGAAATCTCTAAGGAGGAATTGACCAAATTCTCTTTAAGAAATAGGAACTGAAACCAGTTACATGTTGTAGGTTTGTAGAGAAGACTCATGGGGTGTTTTTAATTATCCTATCGTGATTTCTTACTTAGAACTGAGGCTATGATGGTGAATTTATCATCAAATAGATTCTCATTTTGGGGGGGTGTGGCAGAAAGCATGGCAGCTACTATCTGCCTGTTGCTAAGTTTCTAAATACAAAAGTTTCCCTAAAATTGTCTTCCAAGCTGGAATTATTTAATGAAAACATAGCAGATTTTTATGTAAAAGTAGGTAGGGAATAATTAAATACACAGGAATCTGAGTGTTATATTGACTACATCTCTCTACACGTGTTTCCATAATTTCTGTGTTTATAGATGGTTAGATGACTCTCATGTATATTTCCAATCCTCTATAATTTAGGAATAGATATGTGTTTATGTGTATGTATGTGCATTGTTAGAGTTTATTTATTACACTAAGAATTATGCTGGCACTAAACTATATTTAGTTGCACAAAATGAAGATATGTTTGTCCTATGGATTGCACTTTCTAAAGTCATCAGAAACTGAGGTAACAGCACAGCCTCCCAGTTGTTGAATGCCAGGAGAAATATTTCCTTGAATCATTTTATGACTCTTTTAAACTGTTGATTTTGAGATGAACTATCCGACTTTTGTTTGTTTGTTTAAGAACACAATATATTTGCATAGGTTTTTCTTTTATTATGAAAGCAAAAATCCTGCAAACGAATCTTTTGGAAATACTATCTCTGTGCTTAATTTGCAAATTCCAACAAATAGCACTAACTGAGGTTGTAAAATTCATGCCAGATTTAGGCTTTGGATATGTAACTGTGCATCATGGATCTGCCTGTGTGTGGGGTTTTCGAATCTCTTTCTTTGTGCTCATTTCAGTACTAAAAAGTTGTGCATGAGGCTTTATTGTTTTATTTTTTACTCTTGTTCACTCTTGAGCAAGATGAATCTTGACATACAGAGCAGAATTTTGGTGGGTATTATCTAATATTTTCTATTATAATCCTCCTATTAATTAATAATCCATCTGTGCTCAAATGCTCTCTGATGTAAAATATTTACTACCAAACATTGCAGTGTAGAACAACTGCCTGAAATAGATTAAGCTAGAAGTTACAGTTAGCTCAGATTTGTTATGGTTCCCATGTCCTGGGTCTAGATATAGCATTAGATAGTTCTTTGTCATATATTTCAAATGTATATTTTGTATACATACAGAGTTCAAGTAACTTTTCTTCCTTGGATATTAGGCCGTGTATTCACACACTGCCCCAGGGACAGCATCTTCCAGCTCCAAGTTGGGCCTGATCTTAGTACCAACTCAAAATTGCTGACCCAAGAACCGGCTGCCTTTAGTTGGGGAATTGTGAAAAGGAATTTCAGACATTTCTGAAGAAAATTCAGGTATTGTCATCTTTCTGGAAGATAAACACCAAAGCAGCAATAGGTATTATAATTCTATAATAGGTGAATAAAAGGTGTTATAAATTCTTACCTTCAATACCTATTTTCTTTCTTTCCTTCCTAATAAAGGTTATTGAAAAGACTAATCCCCTAATGGCCATCCTCTGCCCTGTTGGGAAAGATAGTTTTGTCCCATTCACACCAGTCTTCGGTAGAGCAAGACACAACTCAGCTTTTAGCTCTACCCTACAGTGTTGGGAAATACTGAGCTCCAATAGCATTGTGAGCTTTTACTGGAAGCAGAACACCTCTCCTTTAGGAAGGCTTTCTTCAAATTATCTAAGCTGAGATCATGCTCCAAAATGAAGAGAATATGTATATTTCCAAGTTTTAGTTGGAATATGCACAGTTATCAAAATGCCTGTTTAACATCATAAAACATCAATTCACGAGAGAAGAATTAGAAAGTTCACCATTGTCAAAGGGAGATATGAAAATCATGAAATATAGTTATTGAAGACTGTTGAGGAATAATAGGTGTTATAAATTCTTATCTTCTTCTTTTCCTTCTTTCCTTCCTGACAAATCTTTTTAAAAACCACCAACAGGTAATTTCTGTTGTTGAAGTGGCCATGTGTCTTTGAAAATGAAATTGTATTAAATAAGGGCAACAGTGTTAAGAATTTGATTTGATGCACATTTCTTCTAGGGGAAAGGAAAATCTTGAGAAAGGATTTTGCCTTGCACGTTGCATACAGCAAAGTTCGCACCATTTTACATTTTGCTGCAGGATTTTTTAAGTGAAACAAAACAAAACAAAACACCTCCACTTTGTGGTAAAGTAAGTTGATTGAAGTAGTCTGAGTTTTTATGTCCACCTCTTACTGAGGTGATTGATAAATTACCTTCCCTAGCAAAACAGATTAGAACTCAAGATAGGCAACTATTAAACTGGCTGTGTGTTTGGCTCCTTAAACTCATTCAGTAATTCCTTGACTATACTTTCTTATGTACTTTTATTTGGCCATATTTACTGTATCTGTAATAGTATGTGAATATCAACTGAATTCTGGAAGCCAATTCCCCACGCATCTTGGACCTAATCCAACATATTCTGTTTAAAAATAGCTGATCAAGCCGCCTGGCGCGGTGGCTCACGCCTGTAATCCCAGCACTTTGGGAGGCCGAGGGAGGTGGATCACCTGAGGTTAGGAGTTTGAGACCAGCCTGGCCAACATGATGAAACCTTGTCTCTACTAAAAATATAAAAATTAGCTGGGTGTGATGGCACACGCCTGTAACCCCAGCTACTTGGGGGACTGAGGCAGGAGAATTGCTCAAACCTGGGAGACGGAGGTTGCAGTGAGCCGAGATCGTGCTACTGCACTTCAGCCTGGATGACAGAGCGAGACTCCGTTTCAGGAAAAAAAAATAGCTGATCAAAATGCTTTGTGACAGGGATGGGAGACTTTTCTTGGTTGACCAACATAGAATTGAGGGAGAGGAAATACCACTGATTTTCAGCATTTAAAAATTTACAGGATCATATGGATAATTTAAGTAGTATAGTTTTATCAAAACTTAAATGTAGATTTTCAAAATTTTTATAATTGAAAAGTAGGCATATTTATGGAAACAACTGTAGAATTAAATGTATTTGGTCTTGTGTTAATGGTTGGAAATAATAAGTAAGTTAGGGTAGAATATTAAGAAAGAAAAGTTAATTGCTATGAAATTTGTATTGCAACATGGAATTATTGTGTACTCTCATAGTCAATGCTGATACGGTCACATACACATTTGCATTTTAAATAGAAAGTCTACATTTTTATTTTGTGATTTTTACAGGCACACAGATATGCTAAATGTGCATATATACAGAAAATGAAAATGACTTTTAAACATATCCCTCTTCGCCCCCTACCCTTTTAGTGGCAAACTCTAGTGTCGGCATAACTTACCCAGTTCACAGGCTCTTGGTTCTTACCCAGTTCATTGGCCCTTGCCTTTGAGTACTAACTTCCTAGTTTCCTTCATACTACCTCTTTCTTTCAAAAGCATTTTATTTTTAAACGATTATAGATTCATAGAATCTGTCTTCAAACATATATTTAAATTCTTCCAATATTCAAATGTAATGTGATGATTAAGAAAATCTTGGCCAAAGCATGTGTGCATGTGTGTGTCTCAATCAACACGGTTGAGCTTAACCTGAACTAAAGAAAATTAATTGGTCCAATTCATTTTATTATAAGAAAAGCAATAGGTTTCTTCTTTATGAATCCCCACTTGGCCAGTTTCCCAATTGAGGTTCACTAAAGCAATTGAATGCTTTTTGTCTTGTTTGATTTAAACACACTCCAAAGTACCTTTTCAGATCTTTCTTGCCTTATAAAAAACACAGTACCCAAGGTGAAAGTGGTCTGTTCTTGCATCACCAATTTTGCTCTAAAATTGAGACCAAGCACATTTTAGTTGTGACCTTTTGAACTTCAGTTTTGACATCTCTAAGATAGGGAACTGCATACCAGCTTTCCAGGATTCTGTGAGAATGAAATGAGAAGGTGCATATTATGTGCAAATTACACCTAGCAGCAAAACTCAAAAGTCTTGGTCGGGGGGGAAATAATCTCTGAACACTCAGAAAGTGACCAGCCTACAAACTAGCAGATGGGCTCTGCCCAAGGGCAGATAAAGCCTAATTCAGGGCTTAGAAGCAACAATGAAGACCAAACACACACACACACACACACACACACACACGCACACAGACACACACCCCACACCACTAAGTCTGCTTTCACCAAGTCAAAAAATTGAGTTTATGAGCAACTATTAAATGTAAAAAACTTCGATTTAATGGGTATAAAAAATAAAATTCTAAAACCATTAGCTGAGATGTCAAAACATGCTTCTTAATTACTTTTCCTCCCAGCTTAAAAGGTTACTTTTCTCTTTTAGATTAACTTGGCTTTTTTTGAAACTCCAACTCAAACTTTTCTTTGTATTTGGCACAAGTTTTTTCAGCAGATCAGGAATTGACAAATACGTTGCTTTTTTGAAAACGAGTCTCATACATCCATTCTTATTCCTAAAATGCTGTTATAGTCTTTCATTTTGGGGAATTGTTTTTGCACAGTTTCTCATTATATCCCCTCTTCAGCCTGCTTCATTGTTCTTAAAGGTCTTTATAGCTCTGCACGTGAGGTTGTGTGCATTCTTTTTTCTTTGTGCATGATTCTTCTTAATTCCCTCTCCTTTAAAACTGGAGCTAAGAAGTTTTAAGGACACCTTCCAAAGTAGCATTCTTCAAGCTGAAGGATACATTTTAATGACCGTTCTGTTCCATTTGCCTCCATTACTTCCCAAAACGTTGGGGGCTCCTGTGTTATTGGGGTGCAGTGTGAGAGTGAAAAAGAAAATAGCCTGGCTAGTAAGGCTCCTAGGAGCTGGAGAGCTCCTGCCCCCATGTTTCTCCCTCTGGCGCAGCTTGGCAGTGCAGCCACTGGCTGCAAGGAAGGTTGTTTTCTTATCCCCGCATGCACTGGTCTGACCTGTCTCCAAAATAGGTCAGGCTGGGGCACAGCCAGTTTATGCAGCTGTTGCGGCTTAGGCTTCGCAGCAGGCAGCCGAAGCTCCTTGGCCAGCCGGGCCCCCAGTGAACTGATAAAAATTCGCTGGTGAGCCATGGGGCCTTCCTTCTGGACAGTCCTGGCCCCCTGAAGGCTTTTAGATGCAAGAAGACTCCTGGATTATGGGGGCCAACTCTCAGCCACCAAAGGGAAATGTTCTTTTATTCTGAAGATTGCACTCTTGTTGACCCAAACACTCAAGTGAAATATATACTTTGTCAGATTAAAAAAAAATTATCGTATTTATTTTTGACTGGGTAAAACACTCACTTTGCACAAAATTCAGAAGATATAAATGGATGTACGGTGACTAGTTTTCCTCCCACCTCTGTCTGCTAGTGGCCAGTATCTTGACCATTTTTCCAGACACTCTATGCCAACCAAGTAATTACATTTCTCTCTCTTTTTAAAAATATTATCTTCCCCCTTTGGCAGAAATGGTACCCTACCTACAATATAAACTTTTCTGCACCTTGATTTTTTTGTCCACTTTAGAATATATCTCAGGAATTATTCTGCATAATGTCTTGTTTGTATAGCTGCATAGTACTCCATCATACTGGCAAAGGATGACTTATTTAACAACATGTAGATTGTTTTCAATCTGACAGCACCATTTGGCACACGTGTGAGTTTATTTGTAAAATAATTCCTCCCTGGTAAGGACAAAAGGAATGACATTTGTAATTCTGGTAGCTTTGGTGGAATTTAGCTTCTGCATTGAGACCAAATGGTGGGGAAGTTCTTAGAAATCATGGTGCAGGAGTGTGTTTGCCTTTGGGCACTGGCACAAGAAAAATGATACGTTTTCTCCTATCCCTATATCTGAGTAGGAACATAGGTTTCAAAATTACTGCTTAGAGTTGTTCTGCTAACAATGACTACCTTCTGGACATTCCTCCAATATTCTATTGCTTCTTCAAATGGAACAGTCTCTAAATACAAGGAAAACTTTTTTCTTTGACTTATTGGTTCCTTTTTAAAAATTCTACTTTTTCCCTATTTACTATTTATTTAAGTTTGGCACGATCAAAAGTAGTCTCTTTATGTTAAGCATTTTTATTTTTCTTTGTAAGCCAGAAAAATTGTGGGTAGTTTTATAACAACTTAGAGGCAACTTATTATAATTATTTACTTACAAAAGAAAAATTGTCTCCAAGGTCACCAAATTAGGGTTGAACTAGTAAGAGAGTGGTTTATGTATAAGAAAATATGGTCTTGTATTTATTTTTCAGAAGTGCTGCCGGATGCTCTAGGGGTTTCTTGAGTTTGGGAATGGCTGACTTTTAATTTGTAAATTTTTAGAGAGTATATATCCATGCCCATCTCTGCACAAAAGACTTTTTATGTTTTTTTCAAAAACCTTGCTTCCACCAAATCATTTCAGTCTATTTTCCCTTAAATCTGATGCTATGGAATTCAGTTGTTGTCCTGCTGAATACCTGGTCTACCTAAGCTAGACGTTTCAGCCTGTGAAATGAGCCAGAAAGGACTCTGCTCCAAGTATACGAGAAATACAACCCCCTCAAAACCCTCCCGAGAAAACTGGAGCTATGATTGCCAGCGAATATTATAGAGCAAATCTTTCAAGTCATTTCTTCTTAGGAATGGGCCTTTCAGAAATAGGAGAACAAGTTAGGGGCGAAGGATTTATTTCTGGAAATCAAAATCTTGATTTGGTTTTAAAAAAATAAGAAAAAACCAAAAACACGTCTTCTTTCTTGACTGTTCTTGCTGCCAGGCCCGGAATGTGCAGGATGTAGTGTGCCAGTAAGGCAGGAGGATGCATTTTCTTAATTCTAGAACTTTCGTTTGTGCTTAGATGGAAGATGGCTAGCAAGGTGCCCTCAATTCCCTTCTTGCCTTCTCTCTGACTTGCCTATGGAAATCTAAAGGGGTCAGTCAGGGGATGGAAACAGGCCTGCATTAAGAGTGTCTACAAAGAGCTAAGAAAAATCAAAAGCAGCTTTTCAAAAATTCCCTGCTCTGCATAATTTGGGTTGAATCAGGCTCATAGTTTGTGGCATCTGATTACTACCTGTAAAAGTATGCAGCTCTCCACACAGGAAGGAAAGTCTACAGAGGATTAATATCAACATGGAAAATTTTCATTTGCTCCTCAAGTTGCTGTGATGTTCTCAACAAACATTTAGACCATATAAAATAATTTGCTTCTAGGCCCATAGTGGCCAAGCTTTAGGTTACTGACAGATCATCAGACTGCTTTTATCTATACAGGTGAAGGGAAGTGGCAGGCAGAGCCATCCTCCAGGGAACTTAAACCTCCAGGCTTAATGTCAGAGAGCAGGTGTTTTCTGGGGAGAGCAGCCCCTTTGCTTCTGATTTATAAACGTGTAAGTTTTTAAAAATAGGAAGTGGAACATAAATTCATCTGGGGAAAATGTTTTAATTTTCCGTTTCGTGATTCCCAAGTAGATGGGATCTGGAATTGTTAGTTACATTTTGGGAAGTTCTGGGTCATCTAAAACACCCTCTGAGACCATTTCTAAAGAAAGCTGAAAGTCAATTTCAAGTTGAGCAAATAAATGGTGGTTTCCTCATGGTGCCCCCGGTGGACTAGCAGTATGCCAGAGCAGAATATCATTTGGGAATTGATCCAGCGTGGAAACTTTCCAGGTGGTAGATGTGCTTGGCTTTTATGCAGACAGGGCACATCTGGGGCACGTGTGTACATGACACACATTTATCAGAGGGCAACAGAAAGGCAACTTTTACAGTTTCTTACTAGAAGCCAGTGTCTGTTTGTGGTCACTGGCCCTGCCAAGCTCTAAATACTTGCTGAATTTTTGTCTGAGAGCAGAAGTCGAATGGAAGACTGGGGATTTAGCATCATGTCAGAAACTACAAAGAGCCAGGCTTAAGAGTGCAGGGGTTAGAGGAATGCCTGGGTACTGGGCAAGTCCCCATTATACAGGCAATTCGCTCCAAGTAGGAGGCCAGGATGGGAACTCAAGGCCTGTTCTACTTTGGATTCAGTTTCTGGGCTTCTCAGTAAACTTTTAGGGCCTTGGCTCCTCTGGGTCTTCTCCTTGTCTATGGAAAGTATCAGCTGGTCTTTCTTGGGGCATTCCTGAGCATAAAACCAATGGATAAGTGGGATGACCATCTCATCTTGCTTTTGTAAGAGGCTCAATGAGTTGTCAGTAAAAAGTAGGGAAATACAACTCTTGTGGAGGTCAAAGCAAGTACTCACTCATTTCCCGGCATACCTTTGTCTTATATTATTTGTCCTTTTTAGGAAAATTGAAACTAAACCATTGCACAGGACTCTTTCTTTCTTCCTTCCTTCCTTCCTTTCTTTCTTTCTTTTTTCTTTCTTTCTTTCTTTTTCCTTCCTTCCTTCCTTCCCCTTTATTTCTCTCTTTCTTTCTTTTTCTTTCCTTCCTCCCTCCCCTCCCCTCCCCCTCCTCCCTCCTTCCCTCCCTCTCTCTCTCTCTTTCTCTCCTTCTTTCTTTCTTTCCTTTTCTTTCTCTTTCTTTCTTTCTCCCTCTCTCTCTTTCTTTCTTTCTTCCTGACAGAGTTTCACTCTTGTTGCCCAGGCTGCAGTGCAACAGCACAATCTCAGCTCATTGCAACCTCCACCTCCCACGTTCAAGCAATTCTCCTGTCTCAGCCTCCTGAGTAGCTGGGATTACAGGCGCGCACCACCTCGTCTGGCTAATTTTTGTATTTTTAGTAGAGATGGGGTTTTACCATGTTGGCCAGGCTGGGCTCAAACTCCTGACATCAGGTGATCCACCCACCTCAGCCTCCCAAAATGCTGGGATTACAGGTGTGAGCCACCATGTCTGGCCTTGGACTCTATTTCTAATGGGGTGCCAGTATATACCTTGGTCAGATAAGGAGACCAACCATTTCTTTATTATAAAATACAAATGACACAGAGAGCCAATTTTTTTTCTGAATCTTTGTTGGCTAACTTTCATAATTTTATTGAATTACTATAATTTAATGTTACTAGTTTAAACTAACATTTTTTCCCCTGAAATGTATCTTTTCTATTTTTTTGTAACATGAAAACCCAAGTTAAATTCATTAAGTAAGACAATGACTATCTTTCACATTGAAATTTCTGGTGCTTGGAAAATTCTTATGGAAAAACTTCAGGAAAAATAAAAAGAACTGTCACTCAGACTACAATTTATAGGAAAAGATGTTACCAGAACAAGTGTAGGCTTTTCACAGGCATACTTGAAAATTCTCCTACCACCTAACCCTCCTCTACCAAACCCTTTGAAAATGTTTTTCCCCACTTTCCTTCCATAAAGGGCCCTGTGGGCTGACCTTAGGTGAAAAGAGTGAAGTCAGTCTTGGGTGCTGTTCCCTCTCCTTTCCTGAATCCCTGTCCCTGCCATTTGCCTTGTACATTCCTACTACTATTACTACTACACCACACACACACACACACACACACACACGCACAGGCTTGCACTCAGCTCTACCTCATTCACATAGATACTCAACTGGTTGGCTGGGCGTGGTGGCTCATGCCTGTAATCCCAGCACTTTGGGAGGCCCAGGCGGTCGGATCACTTGAGATCAGGAGGTCGAGACCAGCCTAGCCAGCACGGTGAAACCGCCCCGTCTCTACTAAAAATACAAAAATTAGCCAGGCTTGGTGGCAGGTGCCTGTAGTCCCAGCTACTTGGGAAGCTGAGGCAGGAGAATTGTTTGAACCTGGGAAGCAGAGGTTGCAGTGAGCCAAGATCGCACCACTGCACTCCAGCCTGGGCAACAGAGTGAGACTCCATCTCAAAAACAAACAGACAAGCAACAACAACAACAAAAACAAAAGAAACTCAACTGGTTAAGCCTTTAACTGGTTAAATGGAAAGTATTTGCTCTTTTCTAAAGGACGCTGAGAGCTGACAACTTACCATGAAGGAATGAATCCCTAAAGGTAGAATTTCAGGTGTCCGTGTTTGGTGGGGGCAGGAGATAGGTTCCTGATGCCCCTAAAATCACACCTCAGCAGATCCTGTCTTCACTGTGAAAGGACAGGATTAGTTTTGCTATGAAGGAGCTCCTTGCTGGTGGGCAGGACCTGCTAGGGCACAATTCCCCATTGAGCTGTCTAGGAGGAGACATAGCCAGGTTGGACCAAGAGCATCCCTCCACCACAAGTGGATTTCCCACACTTCCTCAGTGCCAGGGAAGGGCCTTGGCTTTTGTCCCTTGGGCTCCCTGGCAAAAAGCAGAAGGACAAGAAGGGTCTCTTTGGCCAAGAGCCATAGACTAGGAAGGAACTGTGGGGCTCATCTCACCTTAGAACTCACAACCTTCCCCAAGGAGCAGAAGTCTGGGCTGAGCTCTTAAATCCTTAGTGGCTCCTGGACAGTTGTCAGAGGTCTGAAGAAATGAGACTCCCCTCCTCTAGAGGACTGGGGCACAAAGGATGTCTGTTATGGATCTACTAGCTGTGGCTGGGGGTGGGGGAGGCTTCTGGCCAGGGAGGGCCAGAGGCTTAAATCTCCAGAGATTCCTAGACTCTCAGTCTTCAGACTCTTGAGATCCTTAGAAACAAATCACTTTGGAGCATGTAAGCCAAAAGGGTCTCAGTGGAACAACTGGGATTGAGTCCACCAATGATATCTGGGATTCAGAAATTGCCAGTGTATTCATGGACCATTTTAATCAGGGTGTCTAATCTTTTGGGCTCCTTGGGCCACACTGGAAGAAGACTAATTGTCTTCGGTCACACATAAAATACACTAACACTAACACGATAGCTGATGAGCTAAAAAAAAAAAAAGAAATCACACAAAAACTCAATTTTTTTTTTTTTTTTTTGAGATGGAGTCTCGCTCTGTTGCCAGGCTGGAGTGCAGTGGCATGATCTCAGCTCACTGCAGCCTCCGCCTTCTGGGTTCAAGCGATTCTCCTGCCTCAGCCTCCCGAGTAGCTGGGACTACAGGCACGTGCCACTATGCCAGGCTAATTTTTCTATTTTTGGTAGAGACGGGGTTTCACCATGTTGGCCAGGCTGGTCTCGGTCTCTTGACCTCGTGATCCGCCTGCCTCAGCCTCCCAAAGTGCTGGGGTTACAGGTGTGAGCCACTGCGACCGGCCAAAACTCATGTTTTAAGAAAGTTTATGAATTTGCTTTGGGCTGTTTTCAAAAGCATCCAGGGCTGCATATGGCCCGTGAGCCACGGGTTGAACAAGCTTGATTTAAATGATCTTGTGTTCCTATTGGACTGTCAAAGTGGGCACTCAGGCTTGATTTGTGTTTTATAAATATTAGATAATGACAGGGAGTATGAGCGTCTAGAAAAACGGTCCACGTCTCCCCAGGAGGGGTTCCTGTAAAAGGTGGGTTCAGCAAGGAGCTAATGAACCTATGGGAATCTCACCTTTGAGGTTTGTTTCTGTGATTTGTTTCTGAGGATCTCAAGAGTCTCAAGACTGAGAGTCTAGGAGTCTCTGGAGATTTAAGCCTCTGGCCCTCCCTGGCCAGAAGCCTCCCCAACCCCCAGCCACAGCTAGTGGATCCATGACAGATCACCTAAAAACATCTCTGTGTCATTAGATTTTTGTAAATATTGCAAAATTAAGATCTATTGTATTTTTTTTTCAAGAGGAGCCCCCTAAATTGTAAAAGCTTCAGGTCCCACAAAACCGCATCTACCCTTGTCCTTGTTCAGCAGAGGTGGGGAGAGATGGTACGCTTCTGTGTGTAAAGTGTGAGTCAGCACAACCATGTAACAGCCACATACTAACAGTGCCAACTTGTGTCTTGCACTTTAGAATACGCAGGGTGCTTCTTCATTTCCTGTGCCTTATCTTGTTTGCTTCAAGAAGTCAAAGTCTGGGTTTGACTAACAATTTACCCATATGGTTCTTACTCTACACAGCATCCTCTGTCTTTGTAGGGAGCCCCTTAGGGGGGATCTTGGACCGACTCCTCACAAGAAGATGAGAAATATCCACTCACTGCATAAGGGCAGGTGGGCAAAACCCTTAATTGGAGGATGCAGGGAGGCTTAGTTCCCTTAGCTGTAAAGGTTGTGTTAGGCACTTTCTAGATGTTTCTTGTAGGTCTCTGAAACTATTACTGGGACCTGGTTGCTTTCCGTTTCTGGACCTCATTCTCCCCTCCTCTGACAAATGGAAGCTCTGGGCGAGGTGAAGGCCACGGTCTCTCCCAGCTCTAGCAGGCTGTGGCAGCTGTGGCCCCATCCACCTCTCAGCAGACTTGTAGAAGGTACAGGCAGCCGCTTGAGGAAATCATGGGGCCCCCAGGCAGCCAGGGAATCAGGGCAAGGATGGAGAGGACCGGGACCCTTCATATCTTAGAAGGTGAGCAACTGCTACCTTGCCTTGTCTTTGAGGGAAAAGATGCCTTTAGGTGCTGGAAGGAGGTGGGAAATGAAGCCTTCTGGGAAGAAGCATTTCTGTGCAGTATCACAGGTGAACACACCGGCTCTTCTTCCACGCAGGGAGATGCGTGCTTTCTTGTACCTCTTGTCAAAGCTGTGGCTTCCAGAAGAGGCTGGAAAGGCCTCTGGGTATTGTTTTGAGAGCTTCACTTTCAATGGGTTGCACATGATTCTGCCGGGAAGTTAGAATTGCTACACAGGAGGGTGACATTCCCTCTTTCGTCTATGCCTGGACGATTTCTTCCTGTGTCCAGAAAGGGACACACAGGATTTCTGGCTACTGACCACAAAGCTAGAAGCTGTCTGGTCTTGAAGAGAAGGAGACTCAGACAATAGTGAATTCACTTCAGATGATTCTAAGTCATATCTTAAATTAACGCCCTAATGGCTCACACTTAGCGGTTGTCCCAACTGATTGGGGCAAACAAGAGTTTGCTCTTAACTAAAACACACACATATACACTCACATATTTAAAAATCTTATTTGAATAAATCAAAATTTTCAATGCCAAACAGAGTTTCAGAGAAAACTCATGAAGATTAAACAGGAGAGCATTTCAAATCTGAAAACTTTTGTTGTTTTTGTAAAAACATTGAAGTATTTAAAAACTTGGAAAGAATGTAAGAAATATTTTTTTTGTTATATTGAAGACAATCCAAAGCAAAATGTCATAGCCTATCAAGAGGAGATTTTACTAAGTTTCATCCTCCCATTTTTTTACTATTTTATTTTTGTGGAGGAAAATTATTTCAAAAATCATCTACACAACATATTGACTTTTCAGCTATATATTCTGAAGGTAGACAATGATTCATTCAAATATTACACTTTTTAATTGCAAAGACTGAATGGTAAAATTAACAACGTAAAATGCACTTTGAAAATGTGGTGGGTTTTTTTTTTGTTCTAGACAATTTTAGAGCATATAAAATATCCAAACTAATATTTGCATGCATAATTTTTTGTATATACCTGATATCTATGGCTCAAGCTTTATTGTAGTTTATCTTAAATAGGTTTGTGGAAACACATGTAAGCAAATATTGCCATAAAATATTTACTAATCTTTTAAAATAGAAGCCAAACATTATAAAACGAGAATGTTAGGAAGAAGAACTATACCCTTTGTATATTCAGAATAATAAGCCCTGCTATTTACCATATGAGTTTGTCTCTATTTTTCTTAGTGATTATCCTGTACTCAGATCAAATATATTGCAATTTTGAACTTTGAATCGAAATTAAAATTTTTATTTAATAAGAGAGAAAGTCACTACTTGACCTTTAGATTAAAGAAGAAATCTGATCTTAGCCACTTCACTTCTAGCTAACATTAGGATTTTTGTTGAGTAATTCCATACAAATCAAAACAGTTCAAATTATTGACTCCCTTTTCCATATCCACAGACAAAACTGACTGATTCTGCCACATGAATTGGGTCCTAGCAGGTTTGAAAAAGTTGAATTTATGAGAGATATGGCGTGAATTTGTTTAATATACTTTGAATAGCAAGATAACTGTATAGCTTTTAAAATGGCAGGCATTCATGATGCTTTGCCAAGCTTGGGGTGGTGAGCAGTACTCCATCTGAGTATTGATTTCCTCTACTTATTTTTTTTCCATGTTTTCTTAGGGAAGTGCTAGTTGAGGTTCGAAGAAGAGTTGTTATTCTGTTTAACTATATAAAAACATTAAAACATTTTAGGGAATGCGAAAATACATATGCTTCAAGTTAAAATATTGAGACATCTTGGATATTTTAAAAACATTTCCACTCTAAAGTAGCAAAAGCAGACTTTAAAAAAAAAAACAAAAAACTTCCTTTATAGAGGTGGTTACGTTTGCTGGTTAAAATAATTTGAACATTTAGGAAGAACGTTAACTCTACAGCGTTGAGACATTTACTATTTTCCATTCTCTATTAAAAGAGATTTTAAAAAATTTAAAGTACGAAGATGATTATTTTTATAGTTGGTCAGAGGGATTTTAATATTAATATAAATATAAATTTATACTCCTTAAGGGAACTGAAATCAACAAATGCTAAAATGAAACTATAGAATGACTTCTACAAAAGAAGACAAATATATAGTTTGTCAAAATTACTTATATTAATAATGTATAACAGGGCTTAGAGACTCTGTTGTACAATTCATTTTGGATGTTTGAGATTAAAAATATCCTTTTAGAATTTGGAGAAAATGAAATTGTTGCATTTGAGAGGAGAGGGAGCTGCAGAACAGAGCACAGTGGAGAGAGCATATTAAGGATTCTGTATATTTTATTTCACAAGTCCTTTGTAAAGTGAATTTCTCACATTAGGATTAAAACACTAATTTTTCTAGGAACCAAATAAGTACCAAACTCCGAATTTACTTGCAGAACAGATTACAATTTATACCTGCTTTTATTCAAAAGATGGCCATTTTCTAATGAAGAGAATGAATTGAGGAGCAAATTTAAAAAATTACAGCACCGAATTTGCCATGTTTTAGTCGAATTTTTATTTGATTATAGTTCTAAGAGCTGTCAAATTACCTAAAGGAAGCAATGAGTTTCTCAATAGGAAAAAAAAAGGAAAAAGAAAGGGAAATGATCCAAAAATGCTGCAACTAAATAACAATCATTTCTGCTAAGCTTTGTGCAGCTTTAAATACAATTGAATATTAATTCTTTCAGACCTAGTTGACTTAAAAGCTAGGATGGATCAGGAGCTGATTTTTGGCATTCCTTCATTTTTCCACTCTTTTGTTCACTTGACACACAGCTTTTATACATTGGCTTTGCAGGAACCACTGGCATGATCTCCGAACAATCTGTTTGAGGAGGAAAGGGTCCTTCCAACAAGCAGCCAGAGGTTTAATAAAATACTGCCCATCCTGTCTACCTTAAACAGTAGAAGAAATAGCTGTTGGCATAAAGGTACCAATGAACTTATGTTTCCTCGTGTTAATAGAGCAAAGAACCTTCTTGGTGTTTAAACACACATGGACACACAGGCGTGTGCACACACACACAAGCCCGAAAATCATGTGGTTATATTTTTTTAGTTAAGAAGAGTCACAATGAAGCCACAACCCTGTTCCATACTGCTAGATTCAGTATCATGTTGTAAGGAACATGCTGGTTGAAGAAATTATTTTGTTTATTAATTCAGGTTACATGTCCTGCCAGGCTGGCTGGAAGAGAAAGGAAAGAAAGGTGTAACTTTAAGCACACACTGATTTGTTCTTATTACATAACAAAAGTCTATTTCTTTATCATGTTATCATTCAGTTAATAAAAATTAGCTACAATAACAGCATCAACTTAAAAACCCCTCAAAGTCCAGGGGATTTTCTTTCACAATGAACATGAATACGGTTCAGAAATACAAACAGTCAAAGGATAACTTTAGGTCTGAAAGAGAAACCTGGCAAGGGTAATTGAATAAGCCTGGGTCCCCTGACTGTGTCATGGTGAGGGCAGTCAACATGTCATAATTAGGTTTATTGAGGGCCATTCCAACAATCTGCTTCTATTCTTCCTGCCTTATTGTCCACAGCTAGGCAAATAGCCAAGGGACAAAAGGAATCAAGTGCTGACAAAACATGAAAGAGGAAAAAGATTTAGCTGCTTTTATCAAAGAAACTGAGAAGGACTTTGTGTAAATAAAATAAGTGACTGGCCATCCCGCATTTAGGCAATGCCGTTTTCATTAGAATTAATTCTTGACATATTGGAAGAGTTCCAAGGGAAGGATTTCTACTTCTGACAAGTTTAATTTGTAAATTAAAAACAGTTGGTTAAACATGAGCCTCCATCAACAAAACTTAACCAAAGCCATACACGGTAAAGGCCTAAGCAGGTGAAAAAGAGAATTACTTTGAAAACAAAGTCTTCCCCAAAATTATGCAAATTCTTATTACTTCATAACAAATGTTACCCATTGAAGCCTACAGCAGGATGTCTGTTCCTAGAGATTTGTTTAGATCACATTTTCTTCCCCTTTAAGCCTCTTTAGTTGACATAACACTTACTCCATGCTTGGGAAACATGCTGGTGCTTGGGAGAAGGGGTATAATGACATTTTTAAAGAACTAAAGCTAATGCAACTTTTGTAACTCTACACATTTCAGAACGGCTTGCTGCACTTTTTTTCTTTTTTCCATTGAAGATGAGAGTTTCCTCTAAGTGTGCCTCTGATTCCTAACTGGGATAAACAGTGGCGGCTACTATGCAGTGTTTCTTGAACTAAACATTCATCAGATCCCAGGTCAATGTTGTCTGGTAGGATGGTTTCATGCAACACGATCAGCTTTGTGGTCATGACTTGGTGACGCGAAGAAAGTGAAACCTTCAGGAGAGAGGTCCAGCAGGCATCTGGACAAGGCTTTCATTTAAGTCTAGGAAAATTCTTTGATAAAACAGCTCCTTGTGAAGTTGGAACACCTTTCTTGTTGCATTTTTGCAGCTTGCAGGTTAAGCTTTAGAAGGCTTCTTTCATGTGGAACTGAATTTCAGAAGCATCTTTTTCAAACTGCCAATGGGAAGGTAGCTAGGAGGAGGATGCTGTCATGAATGATTTGTCCCTTGGGAATATAAATTTTACTTGGGTATCAAATACCCCTCAGCTTTATTGAGAATTACATAGGAAATAAGAAACCTATTACTTAGGTAGCTTCAATGACTAGGTTATTTAGGTTTAAAAACTTCAAAATGCTTTACTTCCCTTGGCATCAAGGCACATTGCCTTATTCCTTGACACTTAAAGTGAAAAAAAGGTTTTTCCCTCAACTCAAAGAATTATATGGTTACACCAAATAGTGAGTGTAAAAATACTTTAGGAAGTGCAAAGCCCTAGACAACTGCAAGATATAATCGTTACTGTCACCAGTACCATCATCATCAGCATCACCATTATTACTATGTTTGGGATGGAACTTGTCACAGTTATATTTACATGACCATAGCATCCTGAGGAAGCATTGCAATATGTGTTCCAAACATTTTTCTTGTGTCTTGTTGAGCTGGATTTGCAGAGGTCTTGAAGTTTATTCCACTTACGGATTTTGGTAAAGAATCCATAGGACATCAGGCTGCCCAGGTCTAGTTCTACACCAGATATAACCATGGCTTTATGAAAGGCTTTGGGGTTAAGAGATTTGTCCTGGTTCACTCTCTGAATAGTTGTGATCATGGAAAAGTCACTATGTGTTCTGAGCTGGAGTCCTTTTCAATGTAGGCGATAATATTTGCTCCACTACCTCAAAGGATTGTTGTGTTAGTGACCGCGAACACATCAGAAGTCCTGAGCAAATATAAAGTATTATTTACTTAGAATCTGTTGATTCCTTTTGTACTCATTGAAACAAGGTTTGGTAGCTGATTGATTTGCCTTCTTGCTGTCTCAGAGTGCAGTTTAACAAGGATTAAGTGGATCTTCCTGTGGTCAGTCTAAAATAGACAGAACTAATTCTATATCTAGGACATAAGGGACCTAGTTACTGGGATAACATTGCTTTATTGCAAAGCAGCACACCGCTGCATATCTAGTGAAAGACTAGTATGGGAGAAACTGCTTTTAAGGGTTTGGATTTGGGCAAAATAAGTCTTTTGATTTTCACATTGTTCTGATGTCTGTTGGCTCATGTCACAAGATTGGAAGGCCCAGCAGGCCAGGAAGGAGTTTCTCTGGAAGGAGTTGGAGATTTATGCAGATTGGCTGGCTCTCTGACATTTATTTGCTGCCCTTTTTCACTCTATTTTGGCAACTCTGAACCAGATGGATAAGCTCATGGAAAATAAGGCCAGTGAGGAGAAGATGCTTTTGATTTCCCTGAAGATAAGGGAAACCTCTCTCTTTTTCTCTTTCTTTTAACTTAGCAGCGACAATTTTATTGCACGAATGCAAAATTGGCAACTCACTTTTGGAGACCGATGGAAACATCTGAACAAGGACCTCCCTTGTACGTCATTGAGGGTAACATAAACTCTGTTTACCAAAGCATCCAGTGAGGGGAGAGAAGCCCTGACAATGGTCTGAATGTTATGTCTACCAGGAGGCCAACGGTTCAGTTTGTAGCTGAGCACCAAGGATGCTAGTCGGAGCTTGAGCTAAGATGATAATTCACCAGGACTGAAATCCTTCTTTAATCATCAACCTCTCTGCAAGGAGAATGATGAAGAGGGGAAACAGGGCTTACTATTTCACTCTGTAATCATTTATGATTTGAGCTGTATTTTACCTTGTGTTGACCTCTGGTGCTGTTGGTTTGCTCATTCTATAGCCTCAGCTACAGTGTTGCAAGGGGACAATGCAGACAGTGGCCACTGCATGGTGATTTCTTTGTAAGAAATGGAAAAATATTATCTAAATGTGTAGATAGAGAGATACAGTTTTACTATTTTAGGCTCGAACTAAATTCTTTCTACTAAAAGAATTAAGTGTTTAAGCACAAATGTTCATTTCAAAAGTAATTATGTCTTGAGCTCACTAGCACATTTTTTGTGAAGGTGGCATTTTTTCCTTCTATGTTAAAGTCATCACATTTTCCCTCTGTGCTACCCATGGCACACAATTTCAAACTGAAAATACTTTATCTCGGCATATTGTTGAACTTTGCCCTTGGAATTTAAATGTTGAAATATGGTATTAAAAATGGTGAAGGGATTTGCTGATTAAGTACGACTTTTTTTTTTTTTTATGGAAAGGTGGGAGAGAAATGTGCAGCTTGAGAATTTAGCCTTATTATTTATTTTATGTTGTCGTTGTTTGTAGACTTTTAAAAAAATTTGTTTACTCTTGTTTGTTTGCACTAATCACTACTTAAGGAAAAGTAAGTCACAGGCCAGCCTCCTCTTCACGAAGCCTTTAGCCATGGTGACCGTTCAGGCATAAAAACGTGCTTATCTGCAAATGAATGGCAGCTCTTTGCTTCATTAAAGCCCCTTTCTCTTTTGGCACTCGCATTGTGACCCTTTGATATTAATTCAAAGGGCAATTAAAGAATGCGGGCCATCTTTGAAGTAAGGCATTCAGGGCAAGGGTAGGGACGAACCTGGGCCTCTGATGGACTGTGCGCATTCAACAGGCCTTTTCAAGGCAGTTTGAAGTGAGTCAAAGAAAATGGGCAGGAGAAGGTCAAAGAGAAAAAAGGGGCTAAAGAAACAGTCCGTATTTGTTCGGAGTATTAGCCAAGAAAACTGCAAATAGCAACAAAATGAAACAGTTAATAGAGCAGCCAGACAGGGCCATGTCAATCACTTAACTTGAACAGCGTTAGGCTTACCAAGGCTCCTCCACTGTGTTACCTAATTATCTTGGGAAAAGCAGTAACTGGAAGTAATGGTATTGTATTTCTTTCTGCCTACTGCCCAGAAAAGGTGATAAATACTCACTGCTCCATAATTATGCAACATATATACATAAAGGAGTAGGAGGGGGTGGAAGAGGGCTGGGGGCTCGGAGACTGCCTTGAAGTCGGGTTCCTAGTAAAACGTCTGAATATGGCACAAATATGGCATTTTCAAACATTAGCATGCTGGAGAATCGCTTAACTCGTTTCATCTGGAGCTGGCTGAAATATGCATGATCTCTCCTGGAACAACTCTTAAAGACAAACACGCTTACTCATCTAGGAAAGTTCTCGTTGAGAAAAAATAAAATAGCCTGCAAGAGCTGTGCTCAAATAATATGAAGGATTTGGCGAACACTCCCCTCTGCCCCCCAACCCCCCGTGGAAACGAGGAGATTCAGAGTGAGGTAGGAAACTCAGCTCTTTGCTTTCCCCGTTGTGCCTGGTTATTGAAACACCCTTGGGGAGAGGCAACCGGAAAGCCCTCCGTGGTAACCGCATAGCCACAGCGAGTTGCATATGTTACCTAGAGAGCAGGCGGATAGTAGGTAGGGCTGGGGGGGTTGATTGGATATTTGATTGCTTTCTATTAGTGTGGTTAGGATGGATATTTTTGGATTCCACTTCTATTGGTCATGATAAAAAGCAAAAAAACAACAGAAGCCAAGCACTTCTTTGAAAGTGTGAGCAAACCGGTTGAAAAACTATTTCCAGATTCCCCCAAGGGTGTATGGGTAAGGGAGGAGGAACCCAGGCACGCACATACATGTCTGCAGATAGGTCGAATATGTGTTTGTAATTGCAAAACATGACCAGCCTTTAAAGAGGCCCCCAGGACTCTGCTCAGATTATTTGCAATATGGGCTGCTACAGATTGTTGTTTGATGTTGCATTTGTGCATAACAGGTTTTGTTTGGAGGGACAGTAATAGATCTAAAGGATCTGTTATGCAGCTTTTTGACATACTGTTACAGAATGTAGCTATTAATATAAAAGTTATGGCCTTTGTAAAAAGTCCATTATTGAACTAAGTACTCAGTTGCTCTGCATTTTAACAAAACAGTCATATACTGATGCTTGAAAACTTTCCTTTTCTTAAAAAATTCCAATTTGCCAGTCACCCAGGGTAAGTCGTATATAATACGACGAATCACAAATTATATGATTTTTAAAAAACATATTAGCAACTTCAGCTACTCAGTAGGATCAACCAATAAATTATGCCTTCTGCCTCGTTTAATGGTACAGCAGAACAATGTTTGAGTGGTTAGGGGGTGTCACTATCTCAGAGACAGTCAATAGAGCAGTAGCTGCTTAACTAAACAGGAATCACGTTGGTGGCATTGCAAATTTCCTTAGGTGTCTTGGGAAAAAATACCACAAAATGTCCCAAATAATAATAAAAATGTAATTTACAGTAAATTATAAAATAAGGGGAAACTCAAGTAATAGAATAAGCTAGGATACTTTTACCAATAGTAAGCAGTAACTCTCTTCCACTTACAGAAAGAATAGATTTTTTTGCAATAATTTTGAAAAAGTGTTTTATTTAAAAAAATACATAGCATATTTTGATGCCTTTTGAAAGGGTGACTAAAAGTCATATATCTGGAAAGATTAGGAAGTGTCCATCATCTTATAATACTGAAAATATTGATGTACCTTGTAGCTCACAATCAGTGACGTGCAAAGGGAAATATGGAGTACTTTTTAATTGTATTCCTCCTCATACCTCCTTGGTGACTTGCAGATTTTCATCAACTTTTGTCCTTCTAGTCTCTTTTTTCTTACTCCTTTTCCATGCAACTCAAAAATGTGTGCTATGAGGAGTGAAGGCTGGGGAACAGTGGTGAGAGAGAACACTTTGAGTTACTTTTTGTCTCCCATTTTAACTTTTCCCACCTTCTTGAACTATCAGTTAGAATCATGTGCAATCTCCGGGTAAGAGTGTGGCTGTGAATAAATTTATCAAGATAAAACTGGTCACTTGTTCTGTTTATGCTTTGGTGAATTTGGATTGAAGTGGCTCTATCCAGCTTACAGAGCAGACTTACAGTTATTGCACTTGTAGCGCCTGCTGTATACAGGTTCAATGCCATGTGATTTCATAGGTTGCAAATGCAACAAACTGATTCTGTTATTTCCTAAGCTGCTTCCTAGAAGTACATAAGGAATTCCTGGGATCTGTATGATATTTGGGATCTCATGGTTTCAGTGGCTCTCTGAAATCATAGGGGAAGAGAATTTTCTCTCCCACCTCCTTTGGACATACATTTCTTCTTGGATCTGACAGGCATTCCCCTTCAAGGGCCAGGCAGATAGCCACAAAGCAGAAATAATAATGTACTAATTGTAAAGCTAAGGAAGCAGAAGTTTAGAGAGATTGTGTAGCAGCTGTTAAGGGGCAGAGCTGGGCTCAGAATCCAGGTTTGCGCAAATCTAGAACCTGCAATTTTAACTGCCACACTATGTGATTGGCTTGTGCCTTCTGGGAAGACAGGTGGTATTAAGAAATAACTGAGGAGGGGGCTACTTTCAGGGAGTGGGTCTAGTGACTCTGCAGCTGGTAGCTCTATAAAGTGGGGCCAATAATAGTATTTGCCTTATAAAATTGTGATAAAGACTATATGAATATACAGGGGTGCCAAGTTCTTCTCAATAAGCATCAGGTATTGTTCTTGTTAATCTTATTTGTAGGGCCTGGCCCAGAGGGGGCTTTCCTAGGAAGCTAACAGAGCCTAAACTTTGGGACTCTTGCACATATGAATTCCTGAGTGTGCTGAGGGTTTGTTGAGTGCTGTAGTGTTCTAAGTGAGGAGGGGAAACCAGGATGCAATCAGGATATGTTTCCGTGTAGGCTCCAGCAATTTGTTGTGATTTTTTTTCCCGTTCTAAACAAATATTCACTTTTCAAGCCAGATTTTGTACTTGTAAATCTATATTCTTTTCAAAAGAAAGTCTCCCAAATTTTACAAGCTTCAAGCTCCGCAAAACCTGGATCAACCAACTACTGGCTGTCCCCACACTATTGGATTAGCCCTGCCTTCAAACCCTTCTACAGGTGTCCCTGAGCCAGATTCTGGCAGGATGTAGGAGTTTGGTCATTTTGCTGACTGGTTGATTAAGAGTTTGATTCACCCACAGGTATGAACAAGAATTCTAGCCGTTCTGTCAGATTCTGTGTGTATATGCATAAACTAAAGAAGTCAAAATCATCATCGTATTCTGGAATTGTTAAAAGTCTGACTTGCTACATATTCTAACTCTCAGTGTCCTGAAAAGGTTAGAGGAAAAATCAAAATCAATCTTTCTCCCTTCCTTCCTTCCTTCCTTCCTTCCTTCCTTCCTTCCTTCCTTCTTTTTTTTGATGGAGTCTCACTCTGTCGCCCAGTGGCGTGATCTCGGCTCACTGCAAGCTCCGCCTCCAGGCTTCACGCTGTTCTCCTGCCTCAGCCTCCCGAGTTGCTAGGACTACAGGCGCCCACCACCACGCCCGGCTATTTTTTTGTATTTTTAGTAGAGATGGGGTTTCACCGTGTTAGCCAGGATGGTCTGGATCTCCTGACCTCATGATCCACCCGCCTTGGCCTCCCAAAGTGCTGGGATTACAGGCCTGGCTGAGAAGAAAAATCTTGCTCCAAGTATTAAGGATACACAAGAGGCTAACAGAACTACGGGGAAAGCGTAGAACCTAGGGAATAATAGTTTATTTTAAAGTAAGGGTAACAGGAGAAACTAGGCGTTGCCCAGAAACCCAGTTAGAGCCTTTTATGAGACATGTACAGCAAAATCCACACAAACAAGCCACTCTTGAATGCCTACTCTATGCTAGATACTGGAGAAAATAGCGATTAATAAGATATATTCTCTCTTTTCCAGAACCTATAGCCTGGAGGGGAAGATGGTCACATGAGCAGATCACAACAATCTCATGTGTTTAAGTACTTTTTAGAGTCCAGGGCACTGTGGGAATGCGGGGGATGGTCGTCTGGCCATCCCCAAGTTCAGGAAATGCTTCCTTGAAGAGAAGATCTCAGAGCTGAGTGTTAGAGGATGACTAATGAGCTGAAGAAGCAAAAAATAAAT
This sequence comes from Homo sapiens, assembly GCF_000001405.40. Taxonomy (NCBI): domain Eukaryota; kingdom Metazoa; phylum Chordata; class Mammalia; order Primates; family Hominidae; genus Homo; species Homo sapiens. The sequence continues at coordinate 222,264,918 of NC_000002.12, read as the reverse complement.
GGTATTACTGGCAGAGTGAACAGCATGGGCAAAGGTATGGAATGGTCACATGGTGCATGTGAGAATGGCAAGAAGTTGAAGACAAGAGGTCCTGTCACCAGAATGCCTCAGTCTTCAAAGGCAAAAGCTGCGAGTGACCATTTTGTAGGAGCATTTTGGGAAAGAACAGAGCCTGATGCACTGAAGTGGAAAGTCCTTTGGAATTTAACAACTTAACTCTTCCTTTGTGCTTTGTTCAAGGAGGTAATCTAAGCATGGAGTTACAAATTATTTTTTTTCTAGTTTCTTTCTTTTTATGATTTTAAATTTATTTTTTGAAATTATCATGGTAAAATAGACTTTTTTGGATTACTTTGTGTGGGGGTGAAACTTGCGTAACACAAAATTAACTGTTTTAAAGTGAACAATTCAATGGCATTTGGTATTTTCACAACATATTGCAGTCACCAGATCTATCTAGTTCTAAAACATTTTAATCACCCAAAAAGAAAACCTGGGACCCATTAAGCAATTGCTTCCCAATCCCCCATCCGTCTCCTGGCAATCATCAATCTGCATTTTATCTCTATGGATTTAACTATTCTGGTTATTTCACAAAAATAGACTCCTACAGTATGTGATCTTTTGTGTCTGGCTTCTTTCACTTAGCATTATGTCTTAGAGGTTCACACATATTGTAGCATGCATCAGTATTTCATTACTTTTTATGGCTGAATAATATTCCATTGTATTATATATCCTAATTTGGTTATCCATTCTTCTACGATGGACAGTTGGGCATCTACCTTTTGACTATTATCAATAGTGCTGCTATGAACTTGTATTTGATCTTTTTTGGAGTCTTAACACATGCTAATTTATGCAATCATCATCACTACCAGGATAGAGCACAGTTCCATCACTCCAAAAACCTCGCTTTGAAATTGTATTCTCTACTGCTCTTAGTCCCTGGAAGCTGCTGATCTGTTCTCTATCAATGTAGTTTTATTCTTTAAGAATATCTTATAAGTGGAATCATACAGTATGTAATGTTTTGAGATTGGCTTATTTCAATCAGTGTAATTACTTTGAGATTCACCCAAGTCATTGCATGTGTCAATATTTCACCCCTTTGTATTGCTGAGTAGTATTCTACTGAATGGGTATGCCACAGTTTGTTTACCCATTCACCTGTTGAGGAAAAACAACCAGTTGAGGGTTTTGGCTATTTCCTTGTTTTGGTCATTATGAATAGAATTGCCATAAACATTTGTCTAGAGGTTTTGTGTGAACACAAGTTTTCATTTCTCTAAATACCTAGAAGTGTGATTTCTGGGTGATATGTTAACTGTATGCTTAACTTTATAAGAAACTGCCAGACTGTTTTACAGAGTGACTCTATCCTTCTGCATTCCACCAGCAATACACAAAATTCCCAGGTGCTCTGCATCTGTGCCAACCCTTGGTATTGTCAATATTTTTTTATTTTGCCATTCTAATATATTCTTAGTGACATTTAATTTTAATTAAATGTTTTAATTCATTTTTCTCTAATGGCTAATGATGTTGGACAACTTTTCATGTCCTTATTTGCCAACCATATATCCTCTTTGGTGAAATGTCTATTCAACTCTTTTGCTCATTTTTAAAAATTGTTAAATATTTTGTTTTCATATTGTTGAGTTTTGAAAGTTCTTCTTATATTCTCAATGCAGGTCTTTTGTCAGATATGTGATTTGCAAATATTTTCTCTCAATCTCTACATTGCCTTTTCATTCTTTTAACCATGGCTTTTGCAGAATGAAAGTTTTATTTTGATGAAGTCCAATTTGTCAATTTTTTATTTTATCAGTTGTGCTTTTAAGCATCACATCTAAAAACTATTTGACTAGCCTTGGTCCTGAAAATATTCTGAAAATATAGACTTTACATTTAGTTCTATGACCCATTTTCAGTTAATTTTTGTATGTGGTGGTGTTAGGTTTAGGGCAAGGTTTATTAATGTATTTTTTGCATCTGTATGTCTAACTGTTTCAACACTGTTGGTTGAAAAGTCGTTCCTTTCTCCATTCAGTTGCATTTGCACCTTTGTCAAAAATTGACTGTCCATATTTTTGTGGTTGTTTCTGAATTGTCTGTTCTGTTCCATATATATATCTGTGTCTTTCCTTATACCACAATGTCTTGATTACTGTGACTTCAGAATAATTCTTAAAATCAAAAAATGTGATTCCTCTAACTTTATTCTTCTTTTTAAAATTGTTTTTAGCTATTCTAGTCCTCTGTTTGTCCACATAAATTTGTTAATTAGTTTGTCTGTATCTACAAAAAAAAAAACCTTCTGAGAACAATTTACTTTCAAAAGTTGTTTTATATTGGTTTTAAAGAGTTTTAGAAATCAAAGAGTGATGAAAAAAATGAATCTATTTATATTACATACCCAATTAATAAAATTATCTGCCAAACTGAGGATGTCATTTTATTATAAATTTTTCCTCTATGCAAGTGCTCAGTTTTAGTAAAATGGTGAGGGGGGGTTGAGTAAAGTATGATAACTACACCAGAAAAAAAATAGAATTGTCATGCTTTTTTTTGTTTATTTGTTTTGTTGTTTTTAAAAAGAATGGTCATGGTAGCTTTATTTGTTATAGTCCAAATAGGGAATAATCCCTAAGTCCACCAACATAAGAACTGATAAAATGGATAAATAAATTGTGCTATATACACTACATTGGAGTCTTGTTCAGTAATAAAATAAGAATGAACTACTCACATATGCAACAACATGGATAAATCTTAAAAATGTTATGTTGAGCAAAAGAAGCCAAACATATGAGTCTACGTATACTGTCTGATTCTACTTATCTGGCATTCCAATACATGCAAAACCAATGGATTGTGGTAGAAATTAGAACAGTAACTGCCTCTTAGATGAACTGACCAAAGGGGCACAAAGAAGCTATTTGGGGTGCTGGGAAAGTTCTACTTTGGGAACCCATTGGGATACTGGTTGCCTGTCATGCTTGTTTAAACTGCTTTACTAATTTGTCAAGCAACACTCAAAATTATTTTCAGAGAACAGGAAGGCAAACATGAAACATTTAACGTACATTCATAAAGAAAAGGTCAATCTCCTCATGGCTTTTATATCATTTATTTAATTTATATAGTTGTAAGCATTTGGGTCCTCTCAAAAGCATTTGCAAATGTGCAATATTATAAGGTTTGCAGGCCAATGTTCTGACTCATGCATTAAAAACTGCAATATCAGGAACTTGGGAAGGGAAGTAGAAGGTAAGAAGTTGGTGTTTCTTTTTCTTTTTCTTTTTTTTTTTTTTGTTGTTGTTGTTTCTGCTTGAGTGAAGATAGAAACCCACCCTCTGTTCTGCCTCAGAAGAGGACAATTAGAGAAATATTACAATCTTCTTCGTATCTTTTCCTCCTAATGTAGAATTTCATTGCATAGTTCCAGTGAACTTTGAATGCTGTGTTGTAATGTTCCATACAAATTGACATGTGTGCTAGGTATTTAGATTTTTTTTCCTAGCCGTTTGCTAACATTTCAAATAGGATTAAAATTTAATACTTAAAAAGTCAATGTGAGCATTATGAAAATGAGCTTAAAATATAATTAAGGATTCAGCAAGTGAGCCTCAAATTTGGCTGAGGCTGCCTGTGAAACCCTTGGCTTTTTGAGGGAGGCTGTTAGCAGTTGGTGGCTGTGGATATCCTGGCAGTCCACTGCGTGCATGGCAGCTCTGACAAAATCGTTGTTTGCTGATATAATTTTGGAACTTTGGGTTAGATAAAGTCTGCATTTCAGGTTACTTTGAAAAAACTGTATATTGAGATGAATAGCTAAGGATAAAGTTTATCAGTATAGTAATTTTAGGAATTCTCCATTGAGACTGCACTCACTGCATTGAAGGATGTGGTGCTGAGTGCTTCTGGCCACAGCCTGAGTCCATTTTAACTATTTGTAAAAAGTCTAAGTGACTCTAGGTGATTATTCAGTGGTTCTAAGGAAAGCATTATTTTAAAATCTTGTGTTGCGGCATGGTGCAGTGGCTCATGCCTGTAATTCCAGCACTTTGGGAGGCCGGGGCAGATCACTTGAGGTCAGGAGTTCCAGACCAGCCTGTCCAACATGGCGAAACCCCGTCTCTACTAAAAATAGAAAAATTAGCCGGGCATGGGGGTTCACACCTGTAATTCCAGCTACTCAGGAAGCTGAGGAGGAGAATTGCTTGAACCTGGGGAGTGGAGGTTGCAGTGAGCTGAGATCATGTCACTGTACTCCAACCTGGGCAACAGAGAGAGACTTTGCCTCAAAAAAAAAAAAAAAAAACAAAAAAAAAAAACAAAAAAAAAAAACAAAAAAAAAAAACTTGTGTTGCTTGAAATAGTTTTTTCATTCCTAAACCATGACCTTATGGTATTGAAATAGAGACATGTGTAAATGAAAGGGAGTTTGATTTCTTAGTTAAAGAACAAATAGAAAAATAGCACAGTAAAACTATGATCATCCAGCAGTGATCATTATGAAGCTTTCTTTTCCTGTTGTTTTCTTTTTGAGAAAGGTCTTGCTCTGTTGCCCAGGCTGGAGTGCAGTGGCATGATCATGGCTCACTGTAGCCTCGACCTCCCAGGCTCAAGCAATTCTTATTTTTCTATAGTTTTTTTTTCACATGTAGTCTTAATTTGCCACTTCAATCTTGTGATGTACAACAGAAGAGCATTCAGTTCCCCATCTTAAAGATAAACAGACCAGGCATGGTGGCTCATGCCTATAATCCCAGCACTTTGGGAGACTGAGGCAGGAGAATTGCCTGAGGCCAGGAGTTCCAGGCCAGCCTGGGCAACAAAGCTAGACCTCATCTCTACAAATTTTATTTTTTAAAAAATTATCCAGGCCCGGTGGTGTGTGCCTATAGTCCCAGCTACTCTGGAGGATCACTGAGCCCAGGAGTTTGAGGATGCAGTGAGCCATGTTTGTGCCACTGCACTCCAGCCTGGGTGACAGAGAGACATCCTATCTCTTAAAAAAAGAAAGTGAGGATCAGAAAAGTTAAATGAAGCTAACTTCACTAGTAAGTAACTGCTGGTAAGTAGCAGAATCAAGATGATAAACTCATTCTCACAACAATCTGAAATGGCATTTTACTTTTAGGTAAAGCAAATTCTTATCTATGTCTGTTAGAAAAGGGAAAGTATGACTTCAAAGTCCTGAATTTCTGATCCTGAGGCAAAATTTATTAAGTTTTAATTTTTTTTCCTTTATGACAAGATGAAAAAAAGGTAAGAATGCTAAATTGTGTATCAACTCTGGCTTTGAAATGTTTAAAAAATATGGACACTTGAATTTTTCTTTCTTTAAACACAACCGGTGTTATTTCCCAATGTCACTTCTCTGCTTAGTTATAAACCCCTTTGATTTTGATGTTCTTAATAGATGTTGATTGGTAGAATGCTATGCCTAGTCTTTATATTTGATATATATCATGTATTACCTGTAAAGTGCTTATTTGTTTTGTACAATCTCTTGGCCTTACCTTTTGATCTAGATATAAAACAGGCAGAAGCAATGTGATTCCTGCCTTTAATGTCATATGATTCCAGGAATTAAGAATTTCCATCGCAGAATGTATCAGGAAGTGGAGAATGGGCTTATTCAAACAGTGATGTTCTGTTGGATAAGTTGTGTTAGTTGCTTCCGTGTGTGTGCTCATTTTGTGGTAGGTGTTCATTTCGAGGTAGTAAAAGTAGGTTTTTCCTTTCGCAAGAAACCACTCTTGGAAAGTAGATCTCAGCTGCTGCAGATGTGGCAAAATACAGAATAAATTTAGTTGAGGAAACTTGAAATGTTAAGATTATTTTTTTGAAAAAAAAAGTCTTCAGGAAGGAGTTTCTTAATTCTAGTCTTCTTGTTGACGCTGGCTTAGTAGCTCACTCCACAGTATGCTTCAGGGTTTGGGATTTGTATAAAGTGTTTTAAATCAGTGCCACAGTCAACCGCAGATTTGGTTCTAGAGAACAAGACTCAGGAAAAAAAGAAATCTCAGCATCACCAATAAGAGACTTTTTGTTGTTGTTAAGAACTGAACTTCAGATCCACACATTAGAACATTAGAAAGGTATAATCCATACTCCATAAAACTCAGATTAAGAAAGTCCTCCATGTATGCCATATATTCTGTAATTGCAAACAGTATGCGAGGTTGGGAAATCAAGTCCCAAGCTTAAAGGTTCTTCCTGGGGAGCTGCAGAGGAAGGGGAGAAGCATATAGATGCATGTCAGTTTCCAGACTCTGGGGTGAGGCTGTTGTTCTTAAAAGGAACAAGGCATCTTCAGAAAAAGTGTGATTATCAAACAACAGGTCAAAGTTTATCTCTAGGTCAACAAAAAGGCAGGGGCAGGGTGGTGGTGGTGGTGATGGTGTCATCATTCTGGCTGTGAATATAAGCTCCATATTTAAATAAATTTGTGATAATGTATTCAGATTTTTTTTCAAATTACCCTATTAGGTTTACTAAGTATTATTTAATAATGAAATCAGAAAATTGTTCTTACTGTTAATAATCTAATAATGGGTAATAATAATAAAGTTTCACACACATTACCTAACTTGATCCTCACAGAAATGCTATGAGGTAAATATTATTATTCCCACTATGCAGATGAAATAATTGAGGCTTAAAAACATGACTGCTTCCTTTACGCAGACAAATATATTGTTTTTTCCACCACTATAGTTCCCTCTGAAAAAGCTGGATGATGTAATATGGATTCATCTTTTTCGGGTTTGCTTTTATTTTTGCTTGTTTCCACTAGGGTTGGAGGATTCATCTTAATTGGATTTAACTTAAAATATAGACACACTTGAAAGCACTCTAGAAAACTAAGTTTTAGAATGGAAGGGTGTCTCTTGAATAGAATATTCCTCTTTTCTTGGAGCAGTTCTTTTTTCCTTCCTTTTTCCCCAGAAGGGTTTGCCGTCCATCCCTATTACAAAGCTCCTCTGTGCCCTGCCTGGATGTTCTCACAGAGGTGGTGTGGGAACTCCCTGAGCCGGGACGATGCAGTCAGCAGCGTGGGGGTGACCCTGGGGAGGCCCTGGTGGGCACAAAACAGCCCCATTTCCTGCCCAGCCATGCGCTGCCTTGAGCCTCAGGAGGCCCCAACTTCTGACTTCTGCCCTGCTGTCAGATGCGAAGGGCCCTCTAGTCTTTATCACTCTTTATTGTTTTATTTTCTTAAGCATAATTCCCTGGGAGAACATATCATACAGTGACTGGTACATGCATTCTTACTGGCATTTGAAAAGATGAATGGAGACAGGTAGTCAATTTAGATGACTTTTTCAACACAAAATGAAGGTTGTGTTTAAAATAACGTCTGGAAAACAGGCACTATCTCAGTGAAAGTCCCTGAGAACAAGTCTCAATAATTAGCATGGCAAAACAGCAAATAATTATTTTTTGAGCATTCACTAGCTATGGAGTTTCAAATTTTTTGTAGCTGCTGGGGTAGAAAAATAATCATTCTAGCATAGTACTATGCTTAAAACATAAAAGTACATTATTAATTGGCCCTTCATATTTGGCTCTATGAGTTAAAAGACATGAAAACAACATACATCTTGAATTGTTACAGCATAAAAACATAATGGTAAATTTCAATAGTAAGTGAGTGTGAAGGAACAGAAACTTATCTGAAGGTCAAAAAAAAAAAATGCTGAGCCATTTATGCAGCGGATGTTTACTGTGTCCCTGCTAAGAGCAAGGCACCTGGAGACATTTAAGCAAAGCATAGACATTGTAAAATATATATCTGTGTTGAAATTATCTTTGTCCCCAACTACTATTTTTCCTTACCATAAAAGAGCCCATGGTGTGGTGTGTCTGTGTGTGCCCATTCTGTGACTATTTCCCAGATTTTACCTACGTATTGATTATATTTATTGTCTCAAATTAGCTTTATTGTACAAAACTATCTCACAAGTACAGGGTCCATTTCAATGATACAATGGAAGCAAAGTTTAGAGTTTAGTAGTAGGTGGCCCTATCTGTCTTTTTAGAGGTAGAATAAGTTTTGGGCCAGTCTGTCGAATTTCAAAATGGAAAGCGAGTTCTTCAAAGGCAATGACTGCTTTCTGAGATGATGTCAGGTTACTTTCTCTAAAACAAATTGTGTCATTGAAGCATAACATGAAAAATACTGCATTATTCACTTTATGATGTTTAGGAAGAGAAAATAAAAGAGTATTAGTTTTAAAAATGCTGTTATATACAGTATTTAATTTTGCATTCATGAGAAAATGAGACTTCCAGACTGCTGGTAATGAAAAGTTAATTCCTTGCAGTAGAGAAATCAAAGAGCAGTTTCCGAGTCTCTGGGGCCGAGGGACTTGGAGGAGGTTAGGGGGTCTTTGTGCCTGAGGGATTGTCTCAGTGGGAGTGGAGAGGGAGAGGGAAGGATCAGGAAGTGCCTGCCTCAGTGTGAGCCCAAGGGATCAAGGAAGGACGGCAGGGGTCTCTGAGAGGGAGGGATGGCATTATTGGGATGAGAGGACGTCCTGCTCCTATCAAGGCGTCGTCCAGAGGATGGTGAGCACTGTCTGCCGGGCTGGCTGGAGGGAAGAACGGTTTTTTGTAAACAGAGAAAATCTTCCTGCAAATTCTGAAAACCCTTACAAGGATCTGCCTTATGGCCAGTTTACCTCCTTGGAATGTAATTGATTCTGGCACGTTCCAAATAGCAGAGGAAGAAAGGAGCCCATGACTCTAAGGTTTCGAAGATCAGGGTTTGGTACAAAACAAAGCTCATCCTCAAGGTAGGTGCTAACAACTTTGAGTAAATAATATAATCGGGGCTGGGCGTGGTGGCTCACGCCTATAATCCCAGCACCATGGGAGGGCAAAGCGGGCAGATCACGAGGTCAGGAAATCGAGACCATCCTGGCTAACACATGCTGAAACCCCGTCTCTACTAAAAATACAAAAAAAAAAAAAAAAAAAAAAATTAGCTGGGCGTAGTGGCGTGCACCTGTAGTGCCAGCTACTTGGGAGGCTGAGGCAGGAGAATGGCCAATATTGTGCCACTGCACTCCAGCCTGGGCGACAGAGTGAGACTCTGTCTCAAAAAAAAAAAAAAAAAGAATATAATTGGGCATACTGTTACTATTCTATTACAGACGTGTGAAATAGCATGTGCTATGGCCACACTGCTAAATATGACAGATCACGGAATTCACTCTATGTGCATCTTCCTTCAAAATCTAGGTAGGTCAGTACTTTCCTAACATCAAGGTATCTGAGTTGCCTGCAAGAGAACCTGAGTTCCTATATGTAAAATGCCAAGAACACTGACTGGCTGACATGGTAGATGCTAGATAGGTATCAGTATTATTACAATTAATCTTTGAGGCCCTTATTTAAAAAGAACATTTCTGGGACCACTTTAAGTGATTTTGATGTTGCAGACTGAGGTGGGGCTCCCAAGTCTTCCTTTTTAACAAAGAGCTCAGGTGATTCTGATGCAGGTGCTGGTAGATGATTTGCATGAGATCACCTAGTGGGGATTCTCCAGCTAGGTGGTCTCTATACTGCTCAGCCTATCTCCTTGAAGCCTTCACCATATTTAGGCAGGGCAGGCATTTTCTATCACATGCCTCCATAGTGGAATGACCTCATTCAGCATCAAAATCAGATCCCATGACTCACATTTTTGAAGGCTGCACATTATCTTCCCCACTAGTGAAATCTATAAATGAATGTGGCCTGAACAGAACAAAATCTCAGTTTGTATTAATGCTGCAACTTGCCCTGCCAACTTCCTGAGTTAAAAATGTAAAGCTTGCCAGGTGCGGTGGCTCAAGCCTGTAATCCCAGTACTTTGGGAGGCAGAGGCAGGTGGATCACTTGAGGTCAGGAGTTTGAGACCAGCCTGGCTAACATGGCGAAACCCCATCTCTTCTAAAAATACAAAAATTAGCCAGGCTTGGTGGTGCATGCCTGTAATACCAGCTACTTGGGAGGCTGAGACAGGAGAGTTGCTTGAACCCAGGAGGCGGAGGTTGCAGTGAGATGAGATCATGCCACTGCACTCTAGCCTGGCCAATAGAGCAAGACTAAGTCTCAGAAAAAAGAAAAGAATAGAAAATGTAAAGCTTAATAGTGAGCCTTAAATATATGAGAGTCTATGATAAATGCCATGTTGATGTTGAGTTTTTGACATGTTTATACTGTAGAGTATCATCAGAAACATTAAACAATATGAAATAATCATTTATTAACTCTCTCTAAGGGATCTTTTGGTAGTTCTAGCTAGCCACAATGTTCTCTTGCATCCTAAGTAATTATGACACTGATGGAGACATCAGTTTAGGGCAGATCCAGAGATGGGTCTGCCAGATGCCTTTTTGATAAAATAATACTTAGTGACTGTGGGAAACCCAAATTTCCAAAGGTCTTCCTGGTCATCTAAGAAACTGAATTTCAGACCCTTAGGGTAACCTTATATGTGTGATGCACTGGACAACGCTTATTGCAAGAGGAAGCATGTCAGAACAGACGAGCATATTTCATACAACGAGACCAATCTAAATATAAGGTGAGAAAAGACTGACAAAACGTAAGATGAAAAAACACTGTGAGAGCTACCCTCCTTTCCCCAGGCAAATAACATATCAACTGAACACAAAATGGGATTAGAAGTCCAACTATTATCTGGTTAACCATCTAACATGTCTGGTTGAATACTTAAAGTGAAACTTTTTTTTAAAAAAAAAATTTGCAATAGGCATTTCCTGGAGATTGGATGTCATATTAAAAAAAAACTTGTCATTTGCTGTACTGTGAGCTCTGTTCTGCTCAGCTTTTTATGTGCGCTGCTTTGCAGATAACTGGAAACAATGCAGGCACTGCGTAAGTATTTGGTGAATAAATGAATGTAAATTTAAAGAAACATTTTGGAGAAAAAAAAGGCCAGGTGTGGTGGCTCATGTCTATATTCCCAGCCACTTTGGGAGGCCAAGGCAGGAGGATTGCTTGTGCCCAGGAGTTTGGCAACAGGCTGGGCAACATAGTGAGAGCCCCATCTCTTAAAAAAAAAATTAGTGGGATGTGGTGGCATGCTTCTGCAGTCCTAGCTACTCAACTACTCAGGGGGCTGAGGTGGGAGGATCACTTGAGCCTAGAAGTTTGAGGCTGCAGTGAGCTAGGATCATGACACTGCACTCCAGACTGGGCAACAGGCTCTTTTCTTCTGTCTCTAAAAGAAAAGAAAAAGAAAGAAAAAAAAAAAAGAAAAGTTTTGTAGTGAGGTTGTTAAAACTTTGACTTATTTTTTTCTTGGGAAACAAAACGTATGTCTAAATGTATGTATGTTGTAGGTTGTGTCCTATTCTCTGGACTCTGGTTATATCTTTGACAACTTGTTTTACTGTTATTTCTGTGGTGCATCACCTAGGTTTGTTCAGAGTCTTAGTTTGCATGAAGTTTTGGATGCTAAGTCATACTCTAAAATGCCTAAAATGTCTTTAGGGTTTGAGAAAGTCAACAGACTAATGTCAAACCAGGATATGCATTTCATACCTCAACACTATAATTTACCTGTATTTTACATTCTACAAGCACTCTGTGTTTTCCAAAGTCTGTTGATACCCCTGTAAATTTGTTCCTCAGAGCTACCTGTGGAGTGTTAGTACTCCTTCACAGACAGGGAATCTGGGAGCCATACCATTTAGGCAGCTCACCCAACTGATCATTTGTGTTGAGAACAGAATCCTCGGAATAGAACAACAGTTCTTTCTTTCATGCTGCTTCTGGCTTCTTTGTTTACTAAGTAGGTAAGCTTGCTGCTCTGGTGGTGGCCATTTAGATAGAGATGATGGAAGTAGCCTATGGGTCACCAGGGCATAGGATTGGGGAGTGAGGTGACAACTTTGGTTCTAGCATTTCTGGGAGAGTAGTTGGTGGTTCATGTCAGAGGTCACTGAGTCTGAAGTCAAAGCAATGATCATCAGTAAGCTAAACTAATCATAGCACCAAGACTCCAGGCCACTTAGAAAACTACTGTCCTGTTAAAAAGAGTTTCCTGGTTCTCACCCTTTTTATGAACTGAGCAATAGCTCAGTTTTGGGGTATAATTAATTCATAAATTAAGTTGGACACCTGCCCTATAAGGTTGAGTAACATCACAGAGACCTGGGCCCTCATGGGAAAAAAGTTCCACACAACTCTGGATTCATTAACATCTGAACATAGGAGAATAACACGAGATAGGGCAAGGCATCCCTCCATCCACATGGCAGAGGGATTGGGACTTGCATTATGCTGTGGATAATGGGAGTTTTGAGTCTTAGATGGTGATAGTGATGATGGGCTTTGGTGGTAACGGAATGTGGGGATGAAGTTTGTCACAAAATTCATAAACACAAGCTTCTGCATGAGAGAGATTGAATGTTAATTCTACCTTCACTACAGACTAGCTATTAGTATATAACCTCTCTGAGCCTCGTTTTTTCAATCTGTAAAATGGGGTATAATAATAATGTTGATTTGAAAATTGGATGAGGGAAAGCAAGTAAAGATGCTTGGCATGGCACCTGGTGCATAGTAAGCACCTATAAAATGTTGGCTATCATATAGACTAGGCAAATATCTTCTGTCAAGGTCCATATAGTGAATATTTTTGGCTTTTTGGGGCCACTGGCCTCTGTTAACACTACTCAGCTCTGCTGTTGTAGCATGCGGCCATAGAAAATATAGGAATGGATGAGCATGGCTGTATTCTAATAGACTTTATCAACACTAAAATTGTGTGTAATTTTCATGTGTCAATGTTACTCTTCTTTTTTCAACCATTAAGTAATGTAGTAACCATCCTTAGCTCAGAGGTAAAAACAGGCAATGGATCACATTTGGCTGACCTTTGGAATAGTCTGTTACATCTTCGATTTGGAGGTATTGTTTTGTCTCGTAGCACTCCATTTATGTTTGTGATGATTTTTCTTAGAGTTCTGTTGGTAAATTCTGGTTATGTAGCAAGGCAATCTCAGAAAGCCATGGTGAAATTGTGATGGGTAAGAAAAATGAAAATCAAAACCACAATGAGATACCATCTCACACCAGTTAGAGTGGTGATCATTAAAAAGTCAGGAAACAACAGGTGCTGGAGAGGATGTGGAGAAATAGGAACACTTTTACACTGTTGGTGGGACCGTAAACTAGTTCAACCATTGTGGAAGTCAGTGTGGCGATTCCTCAGGGATCTAGAACTAGAAATACCATTTGACCCAGCCATCCCATTACTGAGTATATACCCAAAGGATTATAAAACATGCTGCTATAAAGACACATGCACATGTATGTTTATTGTGGCACTATTCACAATAGCAAAGACTTGGAACCAAGCCAAATGTCCAACAATGATAGACTGGATTAAGAAAATGTGGCACATATACACCATGGAATGCATAGTAATGCAGCCATAAAAAAGGATGAGTTCATGTCCTTTGTAGGGACATGGATGAAGGTGGAAACCATCATTCTCAGCAAACTATCACAAGAACAAAAAACCAAATACCGCATGTTCTCACTTATAGGTGGGAATTGAACAATGAGAACACATGGACACAGGAAGGGGAACATCACACACCAGGGCCTGTTGTGGGGTTGGGGGAGGGTGGAGGGATAGCATTAGGAGATATACCTAATGTTAAATGAAGAGTTAATGGGTGCAGCACACCAACATGGCACATGTATACATATGTAACAAACCTGCACGTTGTGCACATGTACCCTAAAACTTAAAGTATAATAAAAATAAATAAATAAATAAATAAAAATGTATTGTGATGGGTATTGACAGTGTTCCCCCTTCACCTGAGGGTGGTTATGACCACAAAGTGGTTACCTCTAGAGGACAGTGGAAGTGTTGGGGGAGATAATTCTTTAAATGCAAATGTGCATTTTCAATTTTGTTTATAATCCAGGAGCAGTGGCAGTCAGCCCAAAACTTCTATGTTAAATAAATCTCCCTCAAATGATCATGTGTTGGAACTGCTGAGATAAGTGAAAATTTGTGTTTTATTTATTTGGAAGTGTGAAGAAATGTAGAGAAATTTAGTTTCTAATGAATCATTTGGGGCAGAACTGCATGAGGTCCTGTGTCATATTTAGAATTTAAGAAATCTCAGAAGAGAATAAAGCCACATCTTTGGATACAAATAAAGGAGAAATATAAGATAGTATTTAGGTAAGTGAAATTCTAAAGCCCTTGTCCTTGAAATAACCAACCAATCTAACCAAAAACATTCTTTTTTCTTGTAAATTTCTAATTGCCCCAATTCTTCCACTTCAGTTTCTAGGGTATTAAGTTTGGCCTATGTCTGGCCCATGTTCCCTTTTTCATAATACCTTTTTCGAAGTTTCTGTGGTGAAGGTATTTCCTCTGCAAGATGTTACAAAGTGAATTGACATGCATAGAATTTTTAGTGGTATTTGATTTTTTTCAAGTTTGGGAGGGTACTAGCAGTATCATTTTTTAGGGACAAAAAGATTATACATGCTGGCTAAAATCTTGAATTGACTCAAGGTTGTTTGCAAATTCTCATGAAAATACCAAAGCTTTTTGGGGGTTACTTCCCAATAATGGAACTACTTCCATTGCACAAAAGTAATACATATTCACTACAGAAGATACATTCATAATAGAATTTCACAAACTATTTCAGCTGTGTTCTGAGGCTTAGTGAGTGTAAAGACATGCACATGGAGGAAACAGAGTGATGGGAAGGGTGCAATCACGCTCATAAGATCCCCCTACCTGTGATAAAGTCCAGGTTCTCAAGACATTTCTTTAAGGGTAGGACATAAAGCAAAAAATAAAACCACAGTTTTATTCATGAGGTTCTCTGAACTATCCATGACCTATATGTCTCCATTTACTCATAAGTCAAGGTAGGTTGATTTCAAGTGGAATTGGGAAAGAAACCCTATTCTCCTATCAAAGACTCTAGGTAGCTTATAAGCATGAATATTGATTGACTTGATTGTTCCTGCTATTTGGGGATCAGGGGAGGGCTGTCGTTACTGTTATTTAGGGATATTTTATACTGTGTCATTAGCAGGAAGGGCAGACATAGAAGGAAAGTGTCTTTCACTTGAAGACTGGCTTCACCAGAGGTTCATGGGCAGAAGTGAATTTACAGTGGAGAGAACTGCGGGACCCCGGGGGCAAGGGCTTCTTCTGAATCTCTGCAAAGGGCCCTTACAATGTGTCACGTGGTCATGTGATTTTGTAGACTATGCAGAAGAAAGCTAGTTTTGTGTTCTTAAAGTGGATCTTCCCAAATCGGAAAAGCTTCAAACCTCTGCAAAACATGGACCTACTTCTAACACTGCACTTTTGGGCTAGGATTTACTCAAACCTTTTTTGAAACGGGAGAAGAAAAAAACCTCTTTGTTGACAAATATGTAGGACTCTGGAAGTTGAAGAGTAAACCTTTCCTAAGGCCTAAGACTGAAGATGAAAATGGGAAAAGGAAAGATTTACTCAAGGAAAGGGTCTGAGCTGAGAGAGGAATGGTATTGTTGATGTCTTCTTGTATTCAAAGAGAAGAATCACGACATTTGAGAAAAAAAGGGGCAAGTGTATTTAGTTGATCAGAGAAAATGACTTCATGCTCTTATGTTTTTATTTTTTGTAGAAACTGAAAGGCTTAATATAATGCCTCTTCAATTTAATTCTTGCTAATAAAGTTTATTTAATTGGTGCTTTATTATCTACTGTAATAATAACAGTCTGGTGGGGGTGCTGCTGCTGCTGAAAACATGTAAGTTACATGAATGTTACAGTTTACTAAACACGTTCACAGTTTTTTTCTCCATTGGTAAATACTGAAACCAAGAAAGAGCCTCCTTGTTTACTGTCTGTGAATGCCTCCAAAATTAACTGCAAGCCTATGAAAGACTGAAGTAGAATTGATCACATGGTCCTCAGTCACTTTCCTTATTTTGGGATAATGCTGTATCATACCATCAGCCAGTTTTTCCTCCTTTCCTCAGATTTTTTGTAGCATTGTGACAGTCAAAATAACCACTAAACTTTACCACACAAAGACATTTCTCTTAAAATGACCTCTAATTTTTTGTTTACAAAACTACTCAACAGGCAAGCAAAGAACCAAGCTCCCTCAAAACCTGCTTTTAGTAAGGCAATGTTTGCATTTTTTAGATTTGTCTGTATAAACTTACTAGTTGCTTTGCTGACCTCTGACTATTTGACCCTTTAAAATGAAAAAGTACTGCTGGGACACACAGCTAAATGGATACAAATTCAAGGAAGTGGTCAATCAGAGAAATAAGTGTGGTTGCAACAAGAGTTGACCTGCAAGTTGTAGTCAATAGTTTAATTACCAAGGAAAGGCACGGTGTGTATGGAAAGTACAAAATGCTCTTGCAGTACAGAGAAGGGAGGGGCATTGATGGCTGTGAGGTTCAGTGAATGCTTTGTGAAACTGGGCTTTGAGACCTGCATGTGGCATTGTGTGAAGATGTGCAGAAAGGTATTCAAGGTAGCACAGACAGTGAGGGAGCCAAGTTATGACAAACAGTTGGTCCATTTTGGCAAGCACATGAAATTCTGGGAAGTCGTTTTGTTCCACTCTAATGAAAACTTTAAATGCCATAAAGTGAATTCTTAGCAGATTTTTGTGTACATGTTCAGTTTCACATTAATTACTAGTTTTCTATATTTTACAGCTAATTTACTTTGGAATTTATTATTATTTCTTATAAAATTGGTTATTAATCAGTAATTGAATATACATGTTATTTGAGTGAAAAAAATTTGTGAATAATACTAAGCAATAGATGATCCAGAGGACATTTTAATGCATATTTAGAGTGAAGACTGATGATTATCTTTGAAGCTCTGACATGTAATTGACCCGCTGAGACTTTGGGCAGGTTCTTTTATCAATGTCATTTTTAAAACAAAGATAATATCCAACTCACAGAGTAGTTATAAAGATGTAATGAGGTAGATATAATGAGATATAGTGAGAATTTAAAAATCAGAAACAAAACAGCATTATATAATGGTTAGATGTAAATAGAATGGTTAAGACGCTAAAAAAAAATTTTTTTTTCCTCTCTGGGCCCAATTATGAGTCCACCTCATTCCACTAATTTTCAGATTCAGTGGGTTTGTTGGTGGTAGGAGGACTCTAGCTACCATTAGAATATAGGAGTAAATTCACCTATAGATCCACAGAAAAAAATGAGTTGATCATGTGATAAAATGAAAAAAGCCAGAATTTAGAACTCAAGAGATATAGGTTTGAAATTTAACTTGCCACCAAGCCAGTTGATGATGGAGGTATCATTTCATTCCTCTGAAACTCAGTTTTTGTTTCTTGAGTTTTTCAAATCTAGAGTAAAGAGTTTTCTGCTGATATTTAAAGTGATTTCTAGGTTTTAAAATTCTATGCTAAGCAGCACATTTAGCACAAAACATGAACGTCTCTGACTAATAGTGGGAAAAAATTTTAAAAAACTATTTCTAATTTTCTCCCTGCAATTTAGTTACATTGTTAGTTACCTGGGATTTGTCTTCCTGTGCTTCCACTGGTTTTCTTCTCTTGTCACTCTCTCTGTGCAGAGGCTTAAACTCAGCCATTCACACTCTCATCCTGCTCTAGCTTCTTCTATCAGAAAGAAGAAAATATTTGAAGAGCCCCCTCCTACTTCATTGAGGCCTGAATAGGAATAAAGACATGGACTTGGGAGGGATGCTGTAAGGACAACAATCTCTGATGACCCAGCCCTGGACAAGCTTTCTTAAACTTGTGGCTAACTTATTGTGAGAATAGAAGGAGAGATGTATAAGTGGGTTCAATGTTTGTTTGGATGAATTAGACACCTGAGTTATACAAAGACAATGAGAATATATGTGCATTTGTCTCAGCCCTCATATAGAGAAATTGGCAAATTTTCATATCTGGCCATCCAAATGCATTCACAGGTAAATATGAACAAATCAAAAGGAGTAGTGCTTTATAATCTCAGAAAACAACTTTAAGAAAGTTAAATTTTCAAATATAAACAATACTATTAACCAAGCAACTTGTGCTATTGCTAAAATAACAAGGATAAATTCACTTGAAAACTTGCTGGAGGAAAGAGTTTTATTTACCTTTTTAATGTGTAATTAAGAAAGTTTTTAAAAACTTATATTTTGTTAATAATTACACAGAAAAAAAGAATGCGAAGAAACACAGCAAAGGAGTTGGATCTGTCTATATCTATCTATTGATCTATTGATCCATCCATCCATCCATCCATCCACCCATCCATCTGTATAATATAATTCTCTAATTTAAAATCAATAGCAATTCTTTTTGGTTCTGGGACTATCATTATTTTTTATTTTTAGACATTGCTCAAATTTTATTTTATAATGTAATGTACTTTTGTAGTATGAAAACAAAAACGCACAATGAAATAAGAAACATATTTTGCTCAAAAAGCTTTTCTTAGGAACGAACATGTAAATTGGGTGGTGAAGAATGAGCTTGAGTTTGAACTGAATTGGCAGTAGTTTCTTTAAATGTTGGCATCTGTCTTGACATAGTGATGGGATGATTTCCAGTTAAAACCATGGGCTGGTGTGGGTGGGAAGAACGAGTGGGGCTACTTTTGGTTTTTACCCAGGAAAAGCTTTAATTTATTTAAAGTTGCCAGGGATTAGGACACATTGTCAGATCCTCAGCCTCAACTTCAGTCCCTCAGAGCAGGCTTTCCTAACTCAGAAAGCCTTGTCAGAGGAGAATTTTGGGGAAAAAGTGGTCATGGTGAACCCATTGACTCTGAAACCACCTATTGCTTTATTTTCTATCCTTCTTTGCTAGAAAGGAAAGTTGATCCTTCTCTCTCTCTCTCTGTCTCTTTTTGAGACAGAGTCTCGCTCTGTCACCCAGGCTGGAATGCAGTGGCATGATTTCAACTCACTGCAACCTCTGCCTCCAGAGTGCAAATGATTCTCCTGCTTTAGCCTCCGGAGTAAGTGGGATTACAGGTGTGCCCCACTACACCCGGCTAATTTTTTTTTTTTTTTTGTATTTTTAGTAGAGATGGGGTTTCACCATGTTGGCCAGGCTGTTCTCAAACTCCTGACCTCAGGTGATCCACTTGCCTTGGCCTCCCAAAGTGCTGGGTTTACAGGTGTGAGCCACAGTGCCTGGCCTCTCTTCTCTTCTTTCTCCCCTCTTTTATTCTCTTCAGTTATTTTCTCTTCTCTCCTCCCCTCCTTTACTCTCTCCCACATATCACTTCCTTATTCATTTCCCTCCAGTTCTGCAAGATTGTCCCTGAAAAGGCAATGTGGAAAAGAAAGGCAGTTGTCCAATAATTCATGCAGAAACCTGCTACTGAAGAAATTCTTGTGTTTTTCTGGTGTTGGGTACCTGACCTATTCACATTGGTTGTGGACACTAATAAAAATGATCAGAAGGTGAATTGCTCACAATTATACTTTGTTTTGCCTGTGCAGATCCATATCAGTAGACATAGAGAAGACAAGAATTTGCCTCCAAGCAAATATATTCAGGTTTTCCCCATGAAAATCAAACTAAATGTTGGCATGTGCTTAATTTCTTTTAGGCTGGTTGCCTGACTTTTGTTAAGCTTGGCCTTCCTGTTTAGGCCCTGAGGTATTTGGGAGCACTGAATTTATTTACTTTCATAGCTACCTTAATTTTATTCTATTTCTTTTCTTTTTCTTTTTTTGAGACAGTCTCGTTCTGTTGTCCAGGTTGGAGTGCAGTGGCATGATCTCAGCTCACTGCAAACTCTGCCTCCCAGTTTCAAGTGATTCTCGTGCCTCAGCCTCCTGAATAGCTGGGATTACAGGTGTGCACCATCATATCCAGCTAATTTTTGTATCTTCATTAGAGACGGGATTTTGCCTCATTGGCCAGGCTGGTTTCATACCTCTGGCCTCAAGTTACCTGCCCACCTCAACCTCTCAAAGTGCTGGGATTACAGGCATGCACCACCACACTCGGCCTAATTTTTGATCTCACAGTACAGATACAGGTCCTGGGTTAGGTGAAGTTGAGTAACTTTGATCTTTGTTTTGGATTTTTAAGGGAATTGGGAATGAGCAAGAGCTGAATATCTTTTTTTTTTTTTTTTTTTGGTGAACAATATACTGTCTGACTATGGGCGGGTTCTTCTGAAGAGGAAGCAGATGGGAGATTGGATCATGCTTATTGTACACATTCTGGGACTTCTACAAATACCTGCAAAGCTTTGGTGGTGATTTTTCTCTCTCAGTCTTAGGATGTAGGGAACATTCTTCACATGCTATTCCCTTATGCCTGGTAGGACTGGTTAACAAGAAGGGGAATAGGTGCAGAGGGGATAACATTTGCTGAGGATAAATTGTGTATCAGGAATTGTGTTATGTTTTGCAAACTATCTCCTTTCCTTAAAAACCAGTCTTTGGAGCAGATGTTTTAAACCCTACTTTGCTGATGAGAAAATGGATTCAGAGGGTTAATAAGCTTGTCCCAAATCAGAGAGGAAGGGGCCATCTGGGTATTTGAAGTAGTTTGGCCTCTCTCCTAAGCAGTAGGACACATCACCATGACATGAAACTTCCTTTGCCCAAACCTTTGATATCACCTCTTCTAAGTTCAATGGCAACTGTTGCTTAGACACAAAAAGACAAAATTTCAAAAAGCAGCTGTCCCTACCTAAGGCTGGTGATAAATCATTTACATCATCTATTTAGTCATTTTGACTGGTTTGCCAATTCCTCCCCTAGGTCCATTGGTTGGATGTGACACTAATCTGAAGGACCACCTTGTAGACAGGAGACTTATACTTTTGCACGATGAAGGGGAGGAATCACACTCTCTTCTCATTCATTATCCCCTCTTCACGGCCTCTAGGGAAGTACTTCTTGCACAGTAGGTATCCCAAGCATGATTTCTGATGATGACCTTGATGTTGCTGCTAATTCCTTTGCCAGCAAGGATTAAGCTCAGCCTTCTCTGTTGCCTCCAGGAAAAGAGTTTTCTCCTATGTTCAGTTATTACCTCTTTCAATCTTCCAACAAGCAATAATTGACCCAGATAAGATTTGGATTTTCAAAACAAGCTTCCTGTGCTACCCTTTTTCTTTTTTATAGAACCCAAGAGAAGATGGGAAGCAAAGAAACAATCTTGAAATGCCATATGGGAAGTGTCGTTAAAAGCATTTATGTATTATTTTGATCTTTATACTAAAGATCACAGAATCTATGCCTCTGTTTCTTAGTAAATAACATATCTAGGTTTTTCAGCTTTGATGGGCTATTTAATCTTTCTGTTGCCACAGGGCATGACTAGATTAACTCCTATGTACACTGACACTTTCTTTTGCCTTAGTGGAAAGAGTACTGGAATGAGAGTTTTACTTTTTGAGTTTAGGCTCCATATATTATTCATATTTGCATCCCTAGTGCAAAGGACAGTATCAGCCACATCTCAGGCATTTAATAAATGTTTCTTTCATGATGTGTCATTTGAGATAACCTCACTTGCTCTCTCTGGGCTTCATCTGTATAATGAAGGGATTGGTTCAGGGCTCCTTTCAAGGATTCTGCAATTTTGTAAATGCTTTGTCTTGGCATTTTCAATTCTCTACTCATTTGTCTTCTTACTTCTTTGCATAGGCTTTTGGCACAAAAAGTGTAGTATTTAACTTTCTTCTAAAACCTGCCTTTTTTTTATTTTCCAAACATCTCGTGTCATGCTAATCTTGGCAAAGTTTCCTTGTGGATAAAGCTGTTTAGGTTTTGTGTATCTTTCGGTAGTTTTGTCCTAGTAAGGGTGACAGGAGAATTCTTTTGTTTTCTACCTGCTCCAAGAGGCTCTCTGTATAACTAACTTGTTATCTCCTTTACATATTGAACCTTTGTTTATTTGTTGACTTTTAAACAACATATGCACACAACAGCAAAAATATTTGATAGTGGAAAATAAGGATGAAGGCAAAGTACTTTGTCTTTGTCAATTATGTCATGAGACTTATTGAACACTCATGTCTTATTCAAAGTTCTGTAAATATAGCTAAGGTTTAGATTTCATAAGCAGAGTTCTTTCTTGGTAACTGTACAGAACATAATTTCCACCTACACCAACCACCACTGAAAGTATTACTCACCTTTTATGCTTATGTTTTCACAACTGATTTACAGGGTTGTGATATCTGAGTCCTAGCTCAGTGGATCAAGAAGAAAGAAGAAGTGAAGATATTGGCCACAGTTTTTCCTTCAACCCTCATCAATCCTATTTCTCAAATGACAATGCTGATATGATTTTATATTAGGGTAACCTCTCTGAGTTCTCATGAATCAGGTAGGTAACATCACTCTAGACCTCATTTTTGCCCATCTGTAAGATGGGGATGACAGTATCCCTCCAAAGAGGGTTTTGTTAAAGGTGAAAGAAAATGCACAGCAAGGACTTCGCAGGGAACAGGGATTGGGCGGAGGAAGCTGTTAGCAGGTCAGTAAGTAGCTGCTTTTCTTATATAATAATTACTATTATTAAGTTAATTTTGTCCATAATGGTAAAAAATCCATCACAAGAAGGGCTTTGAGAGATCTGTGTTCTGCCTCTAGTTAACCAGTTTACATAGCTATGATTTCAGAAGTAAGTTGTTCAATGGACGAAACACACTTGGATCAAAAAAAACGTGGTTTCAATTCAGTTGTAGTAACAAAAACATAAGCGAAATCCCCTCATAAAACTAGTCTTTTACAACATGGTTTTTCTTTCCCTATTAAAGAAATATTTGTTTCCAAAGGAAGAAGATATGTTGAAAAAATGAAATGGCTAGAAACAATGACTTTAATCTGCTTATTTTTTGTTCGATCACTGATTTTATTCTGTCATAGTAATCAACCCAGAATGACTGCATTTCTAAAATTCTGCAGTTTTGAATAAGTAAGATGTAAATGACAGAAGGGTATATCATTACTACAGGGAACATGATCTTATGTCCTATTTCATAGAGTTAATTATTTTCATTTATAACATCTTAGAAATGCATATTTAATTGTGAGAGATTAAAAACGCCCATTGTTCTTTCAAATTGTTTGAAGTGTTCTTTCATTCTGACTCAATTCCATTGAATATCTACGAGTTGTCACATTTTTAGTAAGTAATAACTGTGTCAAGCTGTGCTGACAAAATGTCCCAACATAACTGTTAATAAGCATTGTCATTTTAAGCATGAAACAGTTTAGCTAATGATTTATCTCTTATAATGCAGCACTCGGGGCAGCTGTATGATTTGTCTCTTTAGCAAGTCAAGTAATTTCTTTAACAAAATGTTAAGCACAGATGGGCCATAAGCTGTCAGTTAACTATTATTGTGTCTGCATCTGCTTGCTTTCAACGCACTGTTTTATGTATTCAGTCAGTTACTTAGCGGCAGCTCCGTGAAAAGCTGAACCTACTCTGATTGGCAAATAAAATGTTCATTTGTCTCTTCTTCCTATTGTTTTGTTTTGGTAACACATGTCAGCAGCTCAATTACCCAGTTCATTAACAGCTCCCAAAGGACATGATGGCCAGCCCGCGATAAGAGGGCAATTGTGGCACATATGGTCAATAATGGCCTCTCTCTTGGCAATTGTAAATAAAAGTCACTTGGCCCTTTTCCTTTCACGAGAACTACTGTTTTCCTGTTCCCCTTCAGTGTGCAAATTACCTTTCTGCGCCCCTTGCAATCCAATCCCAGTAAACTAGAATTTAGCTTACTGCTTTTAGAGACATGGAGCCTTACTGTAGATAGCAGCCCTGGCTCTTAATTTTAATTATGACTGATTTTTAAGCTCTTAGGTGGGGAGAAAGTTGTTATCATGGGAGACTATTCTTAAAATGCTGTTAGCTGATTAATTAATTAATCAGTTTTCCTAATTGAATAGGGACACATTTTCTTGTGTACTTTCCTCTCTTTTTCTCTTTGAAATGCTTTGGTGGTAGTTACCATGGCGTTTTAAAAAGCCGTTAAAAACAATTGCAAATAGAAATCTTTTGCAGGAGACTGTAGGAAAGGGCGATGTCATTCGTGTTGTAAAAGGAATTCTTGTTACACACATATACACACATAAGAAGCCACTGGGCTAATTTGGGTCAGTGTTAGGGTTCTCAAGCCAATAACAAATTCCTCCTTCACTTTAAGCCTTCGAAAGGAGTTGCTTAAACAGGTACGGGTTGGTGGGTATTTTGTGGCTCCTTTAAGCAAAATGTTGCTTGTATGAGTGGTTGAAAAAGACACAAGCATGGTTTTACATAAACATACCAGTGAATACAGCTACTAAAAATAATCACTAGCAGGGCTGCATGAATGAATGAAGGAGAAATAAGCCTTTCTTGTTTGCTGCTGTTGTTAGAAAGGAGGACTTTTCGATGACCAATGGTCAGGTGGTGGCTTGAGACAGAACTCCATCCAGAGAAAGTTTCCTCAAGGAAATGTGGATAGAAATCCTGCACACACCTGAAACTCAAAATTCTGAGAAGCTTAGGATGTTGGGGGGCTTTGGGGCTGCGCAGCTCAGCACTTCAGAGGCAGCTTGCCGTGCCGCCAACCTCTGCTTGTCAGCCCTTATCTTAAACAAACACCCAATAGTCCATGTTGTGCATTAAAAATAACTCCGGAGCAACGGAGCACACGGCCAGGCCCTCCTGTACTGCCCCCGTGGCCGGCCATATTCATAACCAATCTGTACTCTCCTCCCAGGGCAGCAGGCACTCGGGGAGTTGTTGAGTGTCAGGGTTTATTTGTGCTATTTTGATTAGCCCCAACCTGGCAGGAGCTTATTTTCCTTCTAATGACCTCGTGCTGTGAGACGGCAGCTTCCGAGGGAAGGGCTTGGGTCAGAAGGGAGGGGAATAGCGTTACTTTTCTCCAGCCAAAAAATAGGGGACTGCTGGGCAGGAACAAGAGTAGGTAAATGGCTGGAGGGTCTTAATTAGATTTAGTGTTCTTGAAAGAACCTTTGCTCAAGAAAGCTCAGCATATCCTTCCCAAAAATTCTATTTTTTTTTTTTTTGCACTTGCTAAAGAGTCTTTTGCTGGCACATTTCGGGGAGAAATCATAGAGGGAATAAAAACAAAATGAGACCCCTTTACCTACCCCTCACCCCCACCACCAAATAGACCATTGAACAGGTTGTAAACCATCCCTCCCAGTTTATCAACTCACAATTGTTTATCAAAATAACAATTACTCGGACCCTAGTTCTGGGTTAAGAATTCCGGAAAGTTCAATGTATGGCTTGATAGTTACACAATGTACAGTTCTAGCTACACGTTAAAATTTTATTTTAAATCTCTGTTTTTTTTCCACCTGCATATCTGTTTTCTTTTCTCAACATATATACAATTTTAAAATAAATTAAAAATAACATCGCTGATTACTTCTTAGCTTGTGAATTAATGTGGAAGAGAAGCTTCCAGGTGCTGAAGTCTCTCAACTGACTTGGATTAACCCCTACTGTGTATCCATTTCAACCTCCCCCCTCCTTCTCTCTCTGAAAAAAAAACCCACCCCAACCTCCCCTTTCTCATCCACTCCAGCTTTCTTTGTGTCTCCTGCGCCCTGCCAGGCAGGTGTCAGAACCCTGAATGAGGGTAAATGCCCTGCTGATGGATTCCACAGATGGAGCGTGGAAATCGGTAGAATAGGCCTCAGCCACAGGCCATTTCTTGGGATCCAACAAAAGCCTCCAAATAAGTCAACAAAAATCCCAAAGATCACAAAGGGAAAATGTCATTTGTCATTTACTCTGGGTCTGCAAAGGAATATCAGTCTTGCTTCACTCCTCCTGACTTTCACCCGAGTAAACACGAGAGAGGTCATTCACATCTTTCTCAGCGTAAAAGGGCTACTTCAGATCAGAAAACAGTTAGTTGTCCCATTGTACCCTTCACGTTGAATGGCAAAACTCACAAGCGCAGGAGACCTTCTGCAATTAGCCAAGTAGGTTCATCAAACTTCAAGTTGACCTGTTAAAGACCTTCTGGAATATACTTGTGAAATACCCTTAAGTGATCAGACTCGCAGTATAAAAAGGCTTCATGGAGCTCTCAGGAAGGATTCTTATTTTTATCTTGTTCTTTTTTCAGTGAAACACAGCTGGGAGTAAAAGTGCTCACAAATCTAGCTCAGAAAGATTAAAACTGACGAAAAGACCATCGGGTTTGGTATGAGGCCATCTTATAGTAAATAAATTATGACTAGGAAATTCAGCCTCCAGAGATCCCTCCACCTCCTCCCATGTCTGTAAATCACATTGTATTATATCTAGGGCAAACATAGAATTTAAATGGTTGTCATGTTTTGATTCTTTAATTATTCAAATGAAACGTCTTGCTGAGAAGAAAGACAATGTACAAAATTCATGCTTGTGAATTATTT
Source organism: Homo sapiens (assembly GCF_000001405.40). Lineage (NCBI taxonomy): Eukaryota > Metazoa > Chordata > Mammalia > Primates > Hominidae > Homo > Homo sapiens. Next base: position 222,238,454 of record NC_000002.12, on the reverse strand, counting down.
TGTTTCTCCATTTTTTGCCTGTCTCCCATCTCTGAATTATATTTGTCTGAACACCAATAATTACAGAATTCCACATGACTAAATCCCTATAAAATTGAGGCAAGATTTCATGTATAATAGTGTTAACTAGGATGAAATATTTCCCGAGGCTACAGAGGAGGTCACAAGGGGCTAACGGACAAAGACATACTCTCTAATTCTGTAATTCCTTCTTTAATTAAACTTCATGGTTAGCCCGCTGGTGGTAATACTTTTGCCTTCTCCTCCCAGTTTGATTTGTCTCTGAAGGAAGAGTTTGTAATCCTGTGGGGGTATGACAGTTGCCCTGTGCTTGATCCTTTCTTTCTTTTTACTGACAATGTCCATTTTCCCAAGTGTAATCTTGGGAGTTAATGTGAGATGATTAGGATAACTAACAATTTGGCTCCTGTATCTAAAATTAGCTTGAGATCGAACTTTCTTATAAAGCACAGAGTTGAAATACTTCGGTGAGAGGTGATGCTTTCAGTGATCACACTGGAGTTTCTGCTGAATAACCTGAGAATATCCTGATATGTTTCCAGTTATTCCTTCCTGCACTTTTGCTTCAGAAGACCATTTTAGCTCTTGTTATATTTTTATTACATTCATTGTAATACAAAATACCAAAATTAAAACTTTAATAAAGATATAAAATGAATAATCAGTTCACCAGCTTATGATTATTGGCAGGTTCCAGACTGACCCTAGATATCAATGGTCTGTGATGGTTCTTAGTAAAGACTGCAAATGGTCAGATGAACTACTTTGATTTCTTAAATCCATTTAATATCTTGGCAAAGTTGATTTATTTCTTAGTGCCTTATTGTTGTTTAAAAACTATACCTTGGAAACATACAAAGATTTAAATAAGTATTTGTTGAATTGAATCCACTGGAAAATCGTTTGGATTGGTGTATAATATTGATCCAACTCTAGTAGTTCTGTAGATTTCATTTTATGCAGGGCAGTTTTTCAAAATTTGGGATAAATGGTAGCAATAGTGGTGATTAGCTAAGTGATTGATATTTGAATTTCTGTTTTTGTTCATTTCTGTTATTCCTCTTCAAAAGAACTGTGTGTGTGTGTGTGTGTGTGTGTGTGTGTGTGCATGTGATAAAAGACTCAACACTCATTTAAGATACTCTAAGCTAGAAGCAAGCCAGCAAGCATGTCCTCTGAAGTCCCATAGATCTGGGTCAAATTCTAGCTTCCTTAGCTGTATGAACTGAACAACCTCTTGGAGTCTCAGTTTCCTTTTTCTGTACAGTGGGATAAGTATCTAATTCCTAGGATTGCTGTGAAGTTAGGGGGGAAGGGAGAGAAATCCTCATCCTCCTGGAAAGCGTTGCTCTAGGGTCATTGGTGACATTGAGTTAAACTAATGGGTAAGCCAGATAATGGATTGTAAAGGGGTTTTAATAATAGATTCAAAAATTTCTAAATCTGATAGCAATATAGATTGGGATAAAATCTACATCTTTTTGCAATTTAAAGCAATGAAATTTCCATTTAGAATGCTGTGCATGATGTATTGATATGGATTTTCTTATGAGATCTATTCTGGAATTTCAAATTTGGGAAGAGTATCTCTAATAATGAAGGAAATTTTCTTTGTGAAGGCATCTGTAAAATATGATTGAGCAACTTAAGTGTAATTTAGAATCTTCCCTTAATATTAAAGTTGTACAGTAGTAATAGTCCAAAGAGTTTATATTTAATCTAATTGTTGTATCCTGGCAATTTATTAACTCATTTACACAACTGTCCTGCTAACACATTTGTGGTTTCCAAATCATAGCATTAGATATTCTATAGAGAAAAAAGATATAATTTCTTTCTATTAAGCTTCCTGAAAGAAAGCCTTGTTTTTACTTTCCGTGTAATATTTAGAATTAGATTCTTTGTATCTCCTATCCAATTGATTCTAGTAGCTTAAGTAAAACTGAGTATGTAAAATAGATGAAATCCAAAAAAATGGCCCTCCTATGTGCTCTTAAAATGGGATTTAAGTTTTAGTTTTGCTCTTGGTAAAAACTGGATGATTCTGCCAGGTGGTGTGAGTCTGTAGTCCCAGCTATTTGGGAGGCTGGGGTGGGAAGATTGCTTGAGCCCAGGAGTTTAAGACCAGCCTGGGCAACAAAGCAAGACCCTGTCTCTAAAACAAACAAACAAACAAAAATGAAATGATTCAAATTGGGGTGATCATTGTGAATCAAGTGCTGTACAAATAAATTTTATTTCTATTGAATGATATAAGAAATAGTAGTATTTCCATGTTTAGAAATAGCTAGTTTTTCCTAGCCGGCAGATTAATCTTGGGTTGCTGACTTTACATATTTTAAAGCCCACATCCCTTTGGGGTTTACAGATGGGGAAAAGTTAGAATTATCTTGTAAGATTGTGGCTTCATATTGCCAAAAATTATCTGGTTTCTCAAATAAGTTTCCAGCCGAAAAATCAGGCAAATCATTTCCTCAACATCTTCTGAAATTATGCTATATGGTGGTTTTCCCAGTTAGATGCAACCTTTCCATTGCTTTTGAATAAACAGTCTAGAAGTAAGAGTAGTGATTTGTAAGCTTGTTAAAGAGAGTTTTATTTTTGGTGGTAACGGCTGTCCTATTGAACTCTTAAATTCTGAGACTTTTTTTTTCTTTTAAAGAATCACCAGGCCCTGCTTTCATGGCCTATATTTATACTCAAAGTCAGGATCAAGGGAGCTTTTGCCCTTCTCCTCCACTGGAAGTTTCTGTCCTCCCTGAACTCACCTTAGGATACCTGCATTCCTGTTTGACAGGTGTACTGTCCCAAATTCTGAGGCTTTTCATTACTAGCTATGCTAGTTTTCATCTTTAAAAAAGCCCACAATCCTCTGAAAAAATTGGTAATCATTCTTCCAAACAATGCAGGTATATAAATACCTGCTAAACATTCAACATGATTGTTCAGGCCTCACAGACTTCCAAAGCCCATCTGAATAGATGTTGGGAGATGTCATAAGAGGAGAATTTCCATTTTAAGAATAAAGATGTAAAACAGTGGCAAATAAATCAGTGTTGGAGCAAATCTGAAATTTGCCCCACACTTGGCATTCATTCAACGTGTCCTTATTGAGTGCCTACTGTGTTCTAAGGGTTCCAGCAGTGAACAAGGCAGAGAAGGGCTTTGAGCTCACCCAGTTTATATTCTGGGGAATGTTGATTTTTAAGGTGAAACACCATGGTCTTGACCCTCAGGATTAATTCTCGCTGGTGCTTGTAAATCTAACCATTCTTTTTCTTCAGAAACCAGAGACGATTTTGATTAATTGATCTGACAGTGCATGGCACATCATATTTACTTGAAAGAATTTAATAACCCCAGAGACTCCCAAAGGAAACATGAAAATTTCCACATACTATTATCCTAATGGGATCATAGTAAGAGAATGTACAAGCAAAGATTTAGGGTTCTCTTGGGCAGAGGAAGTTTTTGGTCAGTCTTTAAATGCTATTGAGTGTTTCACCTGAATTCACTTTGGAAAGAAAGGTTAGAAACTGGAAGCACTGAAGGAAAATATTTTATGGAAATTTGTCTTCTTAGGGGAATACGTAATTTGTTTCTTAGGGAGCACATTGTTCACAATTTAAAAATATACATGTGGGAGTGACTTTCAGTTAATTGTGGCAGATGTATTTTACAGAGTTGAAAATTTTGAGAGTGACAAGAATTAATCTAGAATATTCTATAGAGGTGGGCAGTGTTATCTGGGGTCGGTAGAATCAGCATCAATCACCTGGGAATGTGTTAGACATGCAAACTCTTGGAGCCCACCTCAGATCTACTGAATTGAAACCATGGAAGGGGATCCATCAGTCTATGTTTTACCAAGCCCTCCAGGTCATCCTAATGCTCCAAAAGCTTATGAAACACTGTTCTATGACTCGGCACAAATTATTGCTCATTTAGTTTAGCTTACATTTATCAATCATACATGTATATAAGTTGCATTGGGAGCTTTTGGAGTTTATAATGCAATGCATAGCGTATTTTTTAGCATGTTAATTGTCCTTTAAAATATTGCCATAGCTAGAGAAAGTCTAGTTTTCTTTCTTTAAGTTAGTAGTAAAATATCCTAACGTAAGATTTATGTTAAATGAAATAATTTTATATTAAATTAGATAATTGAAAAATCAAAAATAATATGTAATACTTCTCTTTTGTTTTATGCACATGTATTTGTTTTCAGGTATATTTAAAAAAATTATCACTTGCATTATTAATTTACTCTATTGCCTCTTAGTTTCATAATATTTAGATGTGAATAAAGTATGGAAGTAGTAAAATGTTAGAAAACTGAAAATCACATTTATGGGTTCATTTTGGATGTGTACCATTTGGGGCAGTTTAAAATTTCTACTGAAATAGAATGAAATTTTAGATTTCTGTAGGGCAGAGTTAAGTTGGAGTTTAAGATAAAAGAGAATTAGAAGTAAAGGACTTACACATATTCACATTGCTTCTAGCACCACCTTCATTTCCCCAGGTCCTATCAGCCTGAGGGTGCAAATGAGTTAGTGTGACATTGACATTAATAATCTACAATTTTCTGGCTTACTGTTGCATTTGCTGACAGTAACCTCGGCCCCTTCTTTACAGGATCCCTTAGTTATTTGGGGAATTTTCAGAGCACATTTGGATGTGTTCAAGAGCCAGGCTGCTCTGGTTCCCCCTCTAGGCTCAGGGTCTATGGCCTGATAACCCTTTGATAGATCTTTGCCCACTACCCCAGTATCTGGGGTCCCGGGAGAGGGCTGCTCTTCCTGCCTGTAGCCCTGGTCTGATGCATTCTCCCTCACACTGCAGAACCCTCTATAGCCAGCGTTGCTCTATTACTGTAAGGGTTCACTTTGCTATGGGATCCCTAATGCATTCCTAGCAGAAACAGGGAAAATGCCTGCTCCACCCCTGCCCTCATCAAATTCTGGCCTGGAAATGGAACCACTTGTGCCCAGGTTTTGCTAGTTGCAGCCACAGATTCAGACCCTGTTCTTACAGGAGTACTAACCATTTTGTATCATTAACGTAATTTGTATCAAATTTCCCACTTCCCGCTTCTCTTGCCCCTGTACCTGCCCACTCAATTTTGAAATTCCCTTCCACATGTGAGTACAGGCAAATACACACAAGTTTTGTGTGTGTTAGGCCACCACACAGTGGCTTCAGGGACATTTTTGTCTTATGCAGTTGCTCAGGGCCACACACTCAGAAGGCCCTGGGATTGGGTTAATGATCTGTTGTTGCCTTCTTGAAACTCATAATATTTTTTTACAAAAGGGATCATACTTTTTTTTTTTTTTTTTTTTTTTTTTTTTGCATTGGCTTTCTTAAATAAAGCAGCTGTCCTGGACAGATGCCCACTCAGCAGAGACCCAGACTCTAGTTAGGGACAGTTCACAAGACAATGCCTGCCTGCTTCTTCTCAGGTCAGTTCTAGAGATTTACATTTTAATAGTACATACATTTTCTTTAAAGCATTTCCCCATATCTGGTGATGAGATACTGATTTAAATATAATTTTTTATAAGAGCAGTAGTCTATAAATATATAGGAATCTGGGAATAGTTAACTGTTACTCGCTTCTTAGGTACTAAGTCAAGTTTGGAATATTTTTAAAAATCACATTTAACAGATTTCATAATGTAAATGTTGGTGAAAATTTATCAGAAACAAAACTCAATGTGATCCATTCATTAGACACGAAGGAAGCACCCATTAAGTAGTAAGCATAGGGCCATACAAATGGAATAAGGCCTGTCCCTGTTTTCTAAGAGCTCATAATTGGCCTAGAATGACAGATGCTATGAGCAATTATTTCTGCCTAGGGGGCAGAAAGATAGAGTAGGAGAAGAGATTAAATATTATTTAATGATGCAGGACTGCATGGGGGCGGGGTGCTTGGTGTCCATGGAAGACATTGGGAATGCACTGTAGACCAGGATTTGAATTATTACGGATTGGTTAGACTTGTTTTTTGATCCACATTTATTTTACTTTAGGTATAGGGATCACTGTAATGGTGTCTTGCAGTCGGAGAGAGAACTTGGATTCAATCTCAGTTTTATTTTTTTGATTCACATTTTATGATGTTTTGTTCTTCTGTGCTTTTAGCCTCAGCACCCCAATCAGATGAAGGCTCTGATATTGACTCTGAACCAGATTTACCACTAAAGAGGAAACAGCGCAGAAGCCGAACCACCTTCACAGCAGAACAGCTGGAGGAACTGGAGCGTGCTTTTGAGAGAACTCATTACCCTGACATTTATACTAGGGAGGAACTGGCCCAGAGGGCGAAGCTCACCGAGGCCCGAGTACAGGTACTGTTGCCCAAACCTCCGTGTCCTACTTCAGTCCAGACAGGAAACAAACAAGCATCTTCTCATCTAAAACATATGTCAATCCCCCCCAAAAATGTATTAGGAATGGCCCTTTACTAGGGATGCATATTGTTAGGACTTTGATTATTTACTGACAGAATACAACTATATCATTTACGACACACAGAAGTCCACCACTTCATGTGACTAACTCAACTTTTCAGGAATCCTTATTGTACACCAGCACTATATGGACTTTGGGGGTGATACACAAGTAAGAGCAAATAAATTTTGAGTGGTTACTCTGTCCCAGCCACTATTTTAAGTGCTTCACATGAATTAACCCATTGAATCATTATTAAAATCCTAGGTGGGTACCATGATTGCTACTCTCCATTTACAAATAAGGAAACTGAGACTTGGACTATATAAGTAACTACCCAAGGTGGCATAGCTGCAAAGTGAGTCTAGAGATAATTGGATCCCATACGCTTCATCTCTGTGACCTTTCAATTATGAAAATGTGCAAAGGTGCATAACATGAAATTCCTTCATTTAACGATTTTATAATTAAGAAGCATTTCAAGAAATTATATTACTTAAAGAACATGTTGAATTATCTTTTGAACTCTTAGAGGTGCTCTGAACCTTCTGGAAAGGCTACTTAGATGTAATATGTTTCTATAGAGTATAGAATAATGTTTTCATCATTAATGAAGAACTACTTCCTGGAGCTAGTAAAACAGTGTTTGAAAGATGGCAGATATCGTAGGGTATCCTCGAACTCCTCACCACCCTAGAAGTTAAGTCACCTTGTCTGCAAATATTGTGTGTTATTTCCAGATTCTTAATTTGCAGGCTGGGGACTCAGCAGTGGACTAGTCAGTTGACATGGTCCCTAGATTGATCAACACGTTCATAGATGCAGCTAATTAACTCTCCTATTACAGAATTTTACAGAAATAGCCTCTTCCAGGCTGCAGAGCTCAGTCAGAGAGATTGTTTTCTTCAAACTTCCATATGATCATCATAGTGCTAGGAAAGTCAAGGAATGCTAAGATCAATTAAGACAGTTCTCTGAAGGAGTTGCAATCTAAGAAAGGTAAAAAAATAAACATACAAATAATTTAAAAATAACACAGACATGATAAGTGCAGAAAGAGAAAAAGTGCAATGGGAGTTGAGAAGAGGAAAGGATGAGATTTTTTTTTTTTTTTTTTTTTGAGGTGGAGTCTCACTCTGTCACCCAGGCTGGAGTGCAGTGGTACAACCTCAGCTCACTGCAACCTCTGCCTCCTGGGTTCAAGCGATTCTCCTGACTCAGTCTCCCAAGTAGCTGGGATTACAGGTGCTTGCCACCAGGCCCGGCTCATTTTTGTATTTTTAGTAGAGATGGGGTTTCACCATGTTGGTCAGGCTGGTCTCGAACTCCTGACCTCGTGATCTGGCCGCCTTGGCCTCCCAAAGTGCTGGGATTACAGGTATGAGCCACCATGCCCAACCTTTTTTTAAAAAATTATACTTTAAGTTCTGGGATATATGTGCAGAAGGGGCAGGTTTGTTACATAGGTATAACACGTGCCATGGTGGTTTGCTGCACCCATCAACCCGTCATCTACATTAGGTATTTCTCCTAATGCTATCCCTCCCCTAGCCCCCCACCCCCCAACAGGCCCTGGTGTGTGATTTTCCCCTCCCTGTGTCCATGTGTTCTCATTGTTCAACTCTCACTCATGAGTGAGAACATGCAGTGTTTGGTTTTCTGTTCCTGTGTTAGTTTACTGAGAATGATGGTTTCCAGGTTCATCCATGTCCCTGCAAAGGACATGAACTCAAGGGATGAGATCTTGAAGGAATGAAGAGAGGTACATGAAGAAGGCAGATTTAATTTTTTTTTTTTTTGAGACAGGGTCTCATTCTGTAGCCCAGGTTGGAGTACAGTGGTACAATCACAGCTCACTGAAGCCTACACCTCCTGAGCTCAGGTGATCCTCCCACCTCAGCCTCCCAGATAGTTGGGGCTACAGGTGCATGCCACTATGCCTGGATAATTTTTTGAAGAGATGGGATTTTGCCATGTTGCCCAGGCTCTTCTTGAACTCCCAGGTGCAAGCGATCCACTTGCCTTGGCTTCCCAAAGTGCTGGGATTATAGGCATGAGCCATTGTGCTGGGCCCAGAGGGCAGATTTAAGATGAACTTTCCGGGCTAGATAGATATTCACTGGACCAGGTGCATAAGGAGAGTATATTAGTAATAGGGAATTATATGAGCAGAGGCACAGAGAGGTAGAAGTGGTGGGCTACACGTAAGATAACCTTTCTTTTTCACTCTAGTCATATTGGGAGAATAGTTAGTTTGATTAGAATGTAAGGAGTGGTAGGGTGGTGGAAGAAATAGGGTTTGGTAGGTAGGCTGAGGATATCCTATGGAGGTCTTGGGTTTCAGGCCAGTGAGCTCACATTTGATGTGACAGGGAGTGGGGGCTATGGCATGAGATAGGTAGTGGCAGTGGGAATGGCAAGGAAGAGATGGTGGTGAAGGTATTCAGAGGTAGAATGGACAACCGATTGTGTAATCTAGAAGTGGGGAGGAAGGTGAGTGAAAGGAAGAGTTGTAGATAGACCAAGGTTCACAGAGCTGGTGTTTTAAAGTTGGGAAACCTATTATCATTGGGAAACAGAGTGTTTCTCCCCACCACACAGTGTAGAAATAACCTTTATTAACTAAGTCATAATATTTCAATAGAAAAATATTTTAATACAGTATTGATATAGTAATATTATATAATACTATATAAATATTATATTAACATAACATTAATATTACTATATCAATGTTATGATATTAACATGCATATTAATATAACAGTGCAGAGAAAAAATCTGTATCACAATCAAAAGGGCAGACAAATTAAATCATATAATAGTATATTATATATAACAATGTTATAAATAATATGTTTCAAATCTACTTTGCTTTTATTATAGTTCTGCAATTACCTGCAAATGTTATGTGAGGTCCAATCATGCCTCTTTTGAGTGGCCACTATATTCCAGGATTTGGTACCTGTCCTCTGTAACTGGCCAAGCCCACCTACTAGATCTGCTTTTTTGTTTGTTTGTTTGTTTGTTTTTTGAGACAGAGTCTCACTTTGTTGCCCAGCCTGTAGTACAGTGGCTTAATCATGGCTCACTGTGTAGCCTCGATCTTCCAAGCTCAAGTGATTCTTCCACCTCAGCTTCCAGAGTAGCTGGGTCTACAGATGTGTGCCACCATGTCTGGCTAATTATTTTTCTATTTTTTTGTAGAGCTGGGGTCTTGCTATGTTGCTCAGGTTGGTCTTGAGCTCCTGGACTCAAGTGATCCTCCCTCCTCAGCGTCTCAAAGTGTTGAGATTACAGGTGTGAGCCACTGGCACTAGATCTATTTTTAAAATAGGCCGAGTATCAGCTCTGAACTCAATGTGAGTAAGGAAAAATAAACATTTATTGTAAATAGATCAGACAAGGAGTGTGATGGAAAACTGAGGAGTGTTCGGTGTTGTTCTCTTTCATTCCTGCCTTTGTCAAAACTAAGGATGGAGACAGAATATATTTCAAACCCATGTAGCTTGTACAGCACCCAGCATTCTCATCTGGCTCAATGAATGTCAAAGGATAATAATAATGGCCCATTAACTTTCAGAGGACATGGGATCAAACCAATAAACAGTAGTTCATACTTTTCCATATAGTGACCTCCTCTTCGAAGCAGGGCCTTCATTAACGTAACAGCTGTCTTAATGTGGCTTTAACCCGGTGACTCTTGACATTCCTTATGGCTTCTTTAGTTCCCTTGAGACACATCATGGCTGGCACCACGGCTGTGATCTATAGCCTAACAAATTCCCTAGAACACCCAGCATATGGATCTTTTACTTAACCCAGCAGGAAAAAGAAGGGAGTAGTTAATCACTGATTAAAATGCCAGAAGAAAATCCTTTAGTTTTTAGAGGATCTGGGAAAGCAGTAGCCAAGTCAACTCAGTTTGAGTGATAGCCAGAAAGTGTGAGTTAGTTTAATTTGGGGCACCTGGGAAAACCAAACACGAAACACCCCCCAAACCCCAAATCATGTCTACATTTCATTTTTTTTCTCCTGAGGAAAAATATTTCTACACTCTTCTAAATAGAAATGGGACTAAAGCTATAATAACTTTAGCCTCTGTCAGTGTTTTATATAAATTCATTTAGGCTGTAGCTGTGTTGAGTTTATCATAACCAAATCTGAGTACACAATGTAAGAACTGTTGTATACTAACGACTATTTGCCTAGTAATAATAACACTACAAGGTTTTTTTTTTTTTTAAAAAAGATGATTTGCCTAATTCATCTGTAATGAGGGTAGCTGTTATTAATATCATGCAAATAATGACAAACATTCAAGTTTTGTGGGGAGGAATTACTTGCAAATATTAATTAATTAATTATTTTTTGAGACAGGGTCTCACTCTGTTGCCTGAGCTGGAGTGCACTGGAGTACAGTGGTGCGATCTCTGCTCACTGCAACCTCTGCCTCCTGGGCTCAGATGATCCTCCCGCCTCAGTCTCCTGGGTAGCCGAGACTACAGGCTTGTGCCACCACACCCAGCTAATTTTTGTATTGTAGAGATGCGGTTTCACCATGTTGCCAAGGCTGGTCTCAAACTCCTGGAATCAAGTAATCCTCCTATTTTTTGGCCTCCCAAAGTGCTGAGATTACAGGTGTAAGCCACTATGTCTGGCCCAAATATTTATGATGTGCAAAAGTTTTAGTAAATATTCCATCTAAGAATCCCATGAAGTAGGCAAGTAACATCCTGTTTTACCACGAAGACAATGGAAGACAGAAAAACAAGTTACTAGGGGAAATAGAATTTAACTAGGAGTCAGATGATATGGGTTTCGTTCCCAGTTGACAAATGTGTTTTGTTGAGCAAGTTACTTAATCTTGCTGGAATCCTTTTGGACTTCAGGTTTTTAATTTTTTTAATTTAAAAAAATATGGGGTTGGTTAGATCACATGATCTCAGCTGGGGTTCATGCCCCACCAGGATAATCATGGGTGGACTTCAGGAGATCTGGGAGATTTGAGATTTGTACACAAAATTTTGCTCCTTTGCTTGTGTATGTGTATATACAACTGTTAACTAGAGAAAGGGCCTCTGGCTTTCATTATGTGCTCAAATACCTTTCTCCCATGCCCAAATTAAAAACTAGTAGAACGCATGATTTCTCAGGACCCTTATAGCATCAGTAATTTAGGATTCCCAAAAAATAACAATGGTGATTCCCAAGGGTCCTGAGAAATCATGCATTTTGGGAATGACCCAAATGCATAATTTCTCAGGACCCTTGGGAATGAGAAAGGGAATGAGAATATGGCAGAATCCTTATAGCATCAGTAATTTGGAATTCCTAAAAAAGCACCATGATGATTTGAAGCCGTCTAACTGATCTGTATAGTTCAGAAGTTCAGATAGGTATAGAATATCCTAAGCTCCGTAATGAAGCAAACATATGTTCATCCTGAAGTTCTCTGCAGGAGTTTGCTTTTGGGAGGTATCAAGATGCAGTTGAGTGTGCTTTTGTGTGTGTCCATGGTCTTTTCACATGCATGGGAGCATGGCCTTCCTCCTGTTCAATCTTGCCCATCCTGTTTCCAACCTGCTCTCCAAATGGTGGCCAAAGTTGGATAGCAGCAGTGATTGGAAGGCTGGGAGAACCTTTCATAGAAAGAGAAAGGAGGTGAGAGTGAAGGAGAAGGTCCAGGGAAATGAGCAGCTTGCCCTGAATTTCCCTACTTGGAAAGTACTGTACTTGGCATGTCAGCATTCGACATCCTGAGTCTAGTATTTAACCAAACGTTTTACAATCTTGTTGCGAATTCTCTTTCTAAGGATTAACTATTATGTTCTCTCCCCATTTTTCAAATTGCATTTGAAGTAATCCGTCTTGAATAATGTAGGCTGAATTGCCTTTGAGAACACCACCAAAAATGTGAACCAGTAATTTATTGATGGGCAAAATTAGGCTGACACCAAGGGACAATTAGCACTAATCCATGAAACTTGGAAGCAAATTTGACCTAAGCCTCCATTCAAGTCAAACCGGCTTTCAATTATTTGAGGTGTTTTCTGGGCACTTTCCTGTTTACTCACAGACACAAAAGGCTTTGGCTGGACACCACAGAGTGAAGGAAGCAAAACAGAGCTTCAATTCTTGGTTTTCTCAGATAGAAGTGTCAGTGTGAGACTTTCTATTTAATAGCTAGCATTTACTGAACATTTAATATCTCCTTGGTATTCTTTTAGAAGCTTAGATTGCATTGCATTTTTAATAGTCACAACAATCTTGTGAAGTAGTTTTTATATTCCCCGTTTAGCACATGGGAAAACAGAGACCCCCAGATATTAAGCAAATTGTTCATGGTCACAGAAGTATTAATATAAATGAGGAGCTGAGATTCAACTTTTGCCTGGTCTGTATTGCACACATGTGAATAAGATGTATTGTTGTATCTTTACTGTAGAAAGTACTAGTTTCCCCGCCACCCGCCAACTTGTAATGTTGAGAGTCTGAACAAACTGGTTTGCTTACTCATAAAAAGTATGAAAATTTCTTTTCTAATTATTATCTTTTTTTCCTAGTTATCATGATGTTATGGGGCTCTTTCAACCAATTTAAATTTTGTTTCAAAAAATCATTGGACATTATACTACTAGAGAAATGCATGTAAAGATCATTTTTCAAAGACATGAAATATGGCTTTATGGAAGGACTCAGTAGAGAGACATACAAGTTGGGAAGTACAGGCGGCAGATAAAAATGAACCGGGCTGCAGTTTATCAAATGAAATAACAACTTGCTTTGAGGGAGACTTTTGATGTAATATTATACATGCAATGATAGACAATTAACTGTGTCTAATAGTATAGTAGGTTACTGACAAATTTGTGCCTCCTGCCCCCACTTCCTTAACATGCCAAGTGTGATGCGGAAGGCCAGGTAATCTTGTGTGGGGATAGTAAAATTACATTGAATTGTAGATCATATAATTTCATTTAAAGGTGTATAGCCAACTTTGTAAATCTTGTTCTTTCCACCCTACTGGCAAAGACATTGGGTGGTAAATTTCTGTTCTCTCCTAGAACATCAGTCATAGGCCAGTTTGCCTCTGTTGCTACTGCTATTCTTTTCAAAACAAGGGGAAATTTCTAGAAAGTGTAACTACTAAGTTATAAATATGTATATTTTAGATGAATTTATTCAGTGTTATACACTCACACATGCCATTCTGCAGATTATTCATTGATTGTATGTTAGGAATTAGTGATACAATATTGAAAGAGTTATCTAAGACTTAGGAGTATCAAGAAAATTTCAGTTAAATGTGGGCTGATAACAGCCTCCTAGGATCACTACGCTTGGTTCGTTCAGGTATTGAAAGTAAAGGTCATTTCTAGGGTACTCTTTTTAGTCTACTAAAAATAGAAAATTTGTCTGTTTTGAGTTTCAAAACATAAAGAAGGCAAAGACCAGTTCTTAATTTGCAAAGTTAGTGTGTTTTTCCTTTAATACTTCTTTTGGCAAATTCAGCTGGTTCTAGGAAATGCAGAAGGCTGGCAATGGTAAGATGATAAAAAATCAGGTTAAATGACCAGAGACAGGCAGGCCAGTCCTCACTAAGCCCTGGTTCTCTTAGGAATAGCCCTCTGGATTTATTTAGCCTAAATTTAAACAACATTTAAATTCCTTCCTTTGGGAATCTCTTGAACCTCTTGCTGAAGGTTTGTTTTTCAGTAAAGATTTGCTTCACAACAATTTCTCTTCATTTTTTATTGTGGATATAATAGATACTGTATAATAAATATAAGGACTTTTTAATCCAACTCCTGGTGAGTTTACTCAATGTCTTTGTTACCTATTTATATCATTTTAGAAAATATGAAAACAAACCCCCAAACCCTTATACTCTTACTCTGTTTGGATTCTGTCTTTTGAAGGTATTTGTAGAAACTCATGATGTTTCTTCTTTATTATCTCAGCAAAGACATTTTTGTTTTTAAAAATTGGGTTATGGTGGAGTTAGAATGAACCTTGAGTCAATAGTAACTTGAGATTGATGGAGAGATCAGGCTTCACCACTCCTGGGTTTACTTATCTAAAGGTTACAGAAGGCAGGTGGCACAGAGAGATTGCCAACAAATCTGACAAAAACCGAAGCGTACCTTTCTGAGTTCTTCATAAAGGGTTTCACCAGTGGAACTGAGCATAGTAAATCTTCATGAGTGAAGTTACATCAAAACTTTTGGAAGTCCAGTTCTCCTCCCAGCAATATAAAGCTGGAGATGCACTGTACATCGCTGGTCTAGATAGTTGCAGAGGACTACCTGATCTGAGCCGGGAGTACCTCCTTAGTCTTGACGTATTATAATATAAACTACAACCACAGTGTGTGTTATGGTACAGTGCACTCAGGCATGAACATGACCCTAATTTCCCACCTTCAGCCTCCCCAAGCTAACACAGTTTGTTCCCAGAACTTTCTTGAAAATGATTTTCTTACCCTGATGCCTTTGGGAGCCGTGGTAACAGGCACTCAGACCGGGGCAGTGAGAAAGCACAGTTAATGCAGACCTGAAATTAAGTGCTGTTCATGGTTCTATTACCCCAGGTGGCAATTTATTAAGTTAAGTAAAACTCTAATTCAATTATGTATCAACATGGGAAAATATTAACTTACCTCGTTTTCCTGTTGGAAACTTAAGGAGTATTAAATGTTGATGTTTTGAGGAAGTTCAAACAGCTTTCCTTACCAGTATCTTGCAACAATGGCGAGAGAAGACAAAACTCTTTTCAGACAAATGCTTGGGTGAGTACCAAAAGTTTGAGCAAATCCCTCGGCAAAGGATTTATTAAATTGAGCTTCTTCTCCAGAAAAATCTTTTCCTCCGCTCTTAAATGATCTGACTTTAAGAATTACAATTAAGTTGCAAAATTGTTAACATTGCTCTGTAAGGAAATCAATTCTCATCTTCTCTTAAGCTGGCCTCCTGTAACAAGCTGCATCTGCCTGCCCTGTAGGACAGGATGGATGTCACTTCCATCTCAAGCGATCGCTCGTCGAAATTAGAATCAAATTTTAAAATGAGCTGAAACTTTTTGCTTCCACTTTAGAGTTTTCCTGATTCTCTGTGCTTCCAAATGTGAAGTTTCTACCTCTAGCGAGCAATTATTTTGGTCTCCTTGACTGCTCTGTGAATCCCATGAGGACAAGGCATCAAACTACCAGAGTGCAGAGATCCTACTTGATTCCCTTTATATCCTTCCAACCCCAAACACAGTGCTTTCCTCCATATTAAGTTTCAATGGGTGGCTCACGCCTGTAATCCCAGCACTTTGGGAGGTCGAGGCGGGTGGATCACCTGAGCTTAGGAGTTCAAGACCCACATGGTGAAACCCCGTCTCTACTAAGAATACAAAAATTAGCTGGGCATGGTGGCGGGTGCCTGTAATCATAGCTACTGGGGAGGCTGAGGCAAGAGAATCCCTTGAACCTGGGAGGCGGAGGTTGGGTTGAACTGAGATCCCGCCATTGCACTCCAGACTGGGCGACAGAGCAAGACTGTCTCAAAAAAAAAAAAAAAAGTTTCAATGAACTTTTGATGTAGGAATTAGAATATCTTTAGTTGGTAGAAATCCTCTCTCATTTTAGGGGAAACATCATGTGTGCTCCGTGGAAAAATCACCCCAAGTTCTACATTTAAACTTTGCAGATGTAAGAGTTGGGCAGGAGCACAGGACCCATGAAAGGCCTTATATCACAATTTCTCAATAGTTTAGATATTCAGTTACATTTCTTGCTGCCATGACTGCCCTTTCTCTCCATTGACTCATACAAAATACTTGGGCTTTGAATTATTTGAGGGCATTTTATTATATTGTATCAGGCTTTTCTGAATGTACCTGGTTAGCATAGTGCTTGACACAGCGTGTTCTAGGAGCTTAAAGCTGTTGTTGAAATAAATAAGACACAAATGAATTATTTTAGATAAAAAAAGGCTTTCATTTCTTGAAACACTTACCTCTTTGGCATTTATTTCCACCGAGATCAGTGCAATGTTTCATATTTTGGAAGAGATGAAAAAAGGGCTCCACTTATCCTCTGTTCAATTTATATGACCATCCAGAAGCTATACCCCTAGTGACCACAGAAATACAGAGACAGACTAATAAGAATATAAAATACAAGGCTTGGAGTAAAAGGCAAGGCCACATTTAGGACATGCGTCATGCAGGGGTCACAGAGGCTCATGTATCCTCCCCAGAAGGCTGTCTACACGTAGGTGGGTGGATGTTGAGGGTAGGGAGGGGAGTTCCTGTTGTTCCTACTCCTGCTCAGTGATTCCTGCCCATGGTCCTCATAAGGTTCATGGGGGCTGTTGTTGCAAGATCATGGTGGGTCCCTGAAGCCCCTCTACTGACCTTTGACACTAAACTCTTCTTTTACTCCTGACAATTCGCCCAAACAACACAGAAGGCAGAGAACTCTTGCATCTATTTGCCCTTTCAGTAAGAAGCCTCTAATCTGTTTTAGCATAAAAAATTCATTAAGAATGTACTATTATTTCATCAGTGAAATCCTTAAATTTTAAATTAAATCCATAGGTCTGGTTTAGCAACCGCCGTGCAAGATGGAGGAAGCAAGCTGGGGCCAATCAACTGATGGCTTTCAACCATCTCATTCCCGGGGGGTTCCCTCCCACTGCCATGCCGACCTTGCCAACGTACCAGCTGTCGGAGACCTCTTACCAGCCCACATCTATTCCACAAGGTACCGAGGAAGAGTCAAGGAGATTAGAAAGTAACTTCCAGGCGATTTCTCTGGTGGATATTTTATACAAGTGAATCCTTCTGCAGTACTGACACCATGTTGTTAATTGTAATACATCAGGTTGTCCTGAACGTACCTATCACATTTCAGAAACATAGTTTGTTCTATGATGTATCAGAATATCTCTAGATAAACTGTGCTGTAATATAATTCAATTGCAGTATTTTAAAACAAATTAACCTTCCCAAATAACCATGGGATTTGCTTTTCTTTTGTTAAAATTTTACCTCTACGTTTTACTCCAGTTTGCAACTAACTGGAATTCAATGATGCTTACTAACTGTAGGAATAATAGAGGGAAGGTAAGCTTTGACAAAGTCATTATTTGTTAGCACACAGAGGTGAATGGGATAATGTTAAATTGTAAGATCCGATTATTTTGGATTATGAAAGAACATTCCAGGCATTTGAAACTATATTATTACACAAATATTTAGGTGCTTTAAAAGTATATTTGATAAGAAATTTGAGACTTGCAGTCCTTATATTGGTTAATTCTCATATTGATGAATAACATTCACTACCAAAATATGCTTGTTAGCATTGCTAATATGATTTCTGCATTAGTATTCTGGGTGAGCCTGCCGTGAGAGTATATATGTTACTTACAAGTATGTGCAGAGATAGGTGTGACTGTATCTGTTATGGGTGATTCTACACCTGCAGGTTAAGAAACGCAGTTTGAAGTGAACATTTGATTTGATCAATAGATGCTCCTGATGGCCTGGTGGCTGATGAACTTTTGCACTGAACTTTCTCTGCTGGCCTAAAAGAAAACATGATGGTTGACAATCTTTTTCATTTCAGCTGTGTCAGATCCCAGCAGCACCGTTCACAGACCTCAACCGCTTCCTCCAAGCACTGTACACCAAAGCACGATTCCTTCCAACCCAGACAGCAGCTCTGCCTACTGCCTCCCCAGCACCAGGCATGGATTTTCCAGCTATACAGACAGCTTTGTGCCTCCGTCGGGGCCCTCCAACCCCATGAACCCCACCATTGGCAATGGCCTCTCACCTCAGGTCAGTCCCGTGTTTCTAGACAGACGATTTGCTGTATACCAGAACCAAATATTCAATTCCCTGAGGCAGTAGTGTAATGAATTGCCAAATTTAAACCATAATGTATTCTTTATAGAAGCCACATGATTTCAGTTTTCTGGTTTCCTTTCTCTCCACCCTTCCTACTGGCTTCATCAAAAGTTGTAGCTTAGACTTAAAATTCAAGTGATTTTTGATATAATCTTGGAGACTTTGTGTTCATATTTAGCTGTGAAGGTGTTTGCCATGTTTTGTCTTCTCCATCCTAGTTCTGGGCTTTGGTTAAGAAGCTTGCAAACAGTGGCAGGTTTTTTGTTTTGTTTTTTTGTTTTAAATTGTATTTAAAATTGATAAGGTTTCAATCAATTGATAAGGTTTTAAATTGATGAGGTTTCAATCAAAAGCACCTCATAAGAAAACACTAAAGCTTTGACAAAACAATCAGAGAGGAAGCAAACAAGTCCTGTGGAGAGAGACCCAGCTGATGACTACGAACTCTGGAATAAACGAGTTATAAATGCACAAATTAGGGGAATTACTGCTCTTTGGGACTATATAAATATTTGAATGTTGTAATTGTTTTTCTAATTTGCATTGGACTATGAGCTTTTCTTAGGAGATCACATTAATAAATTGCCTTGATAATTGCATGTGAGAGGGTTGGTTAAATTTCCTACATGTGGCATCTGTCTGAGGTTGACATTATTAGCAGTTGTTTAAATACAGATCCCTTGATTTTATTAGAGAGTGCTTGGCCCAGGTGGCAAGGATAGCTGCCCACTAAATTTGGAGAAATGTCACAAGGGGTTGCAATCTATAATTGCAATCGAGAATCTCTTCAGAGAGTTTGAACAGCTTTATCTGTTCTCAACCCCCTTTTTCCTCTTGGTGGTTAGAAAAACAGAGAGAAGCTCAGAATGACACAAATGAAAAGTGAAAAGACAATTATACTCAATTACACACTAATCACTGACTATCACCGCTGCCTAAGCACCAAGAGGGCATTCTAATAGGCAGAAAATGAGATTTTAATGGCACAAAGGGTGGCCAAAATAACGACTCGTATATCTTTGCCTCTTCGTTTTCTTCAACTTGTGGTGTGTGTCTTGGGAGTGGAATTCCTGGGCTCTGCAAGACAGTGATAACTGTGAGCAGCTGAAAAGTTCAAAGCCGGAGGAGTTGAAAAGAATGGATAGCAAAGGCAATGAAATAAACATTTCCGCCTAAAGGCAAAAGTTCATAAATCCTTTTTTGTAACAGTAAATGTAATTAAGTTTCATAGATTCCTATAGCACATCCTGGGATAAAAAAAAAATTATGAGGTGGCTTTAAACCTCAGCTGAAAAATAACAACATGAAAACAATGAAAGTGCTTCCTACAGGACTTTAATACATTTTATTTCCAAGTACTGGCATTTGTGAATGTGATTTCTGCATGAAAATCATGGACTTATATTGATAGAGTCATCCTTAAAATACCCAGATTCATGGCATATGAGCTTCTTCCACAACTTAGAAGTAACATCAGAAGTACTTATCTCCGCGATTTTTTAAGATTTGTAGTTTTGGGGGCTGTAGAAAAGCTTTTCATGAACATGATTTGGTTGAAAGTTTTAATAAAAGTAAACTCCTGCCCTAGCTGCTTCTGCAAGGTGAGATCCCAGATTCCATTGGCATTTCTTAGTACCTTATTTTATTCAATAGCAATAAAACTAATAAGAACCTGTATTCTATAAGTGAAACTGGTACTTTCTTGTATAAATGTATTATCTTGTATGTTATGATGTGTATTCTTTTGTATTATATAAGTATCACATAAGTAGAATTGCTAGAATGTGATCTCCTAACTATTAATCCTTGACTTCAAGAAGCCTGGCTATGATTCTGGAGTTGATGGTAGAGCAAAATCATTCTAATACTAAGCAACGGAAAATTCCATAGGCATTTTTCCTGTATTTCTTTACTATATCTTACATATTATGGTAATTCTTTATTACATTGCAATATGCAGGGTATTTTGCATTTCTGCCATACATTTCCACCTCAAACCACCACTAGGAATTTATGTTCTCTTGGTTTTTGTAGCAACCCCACTGAGTTAGAAAAGAGACAAATAATATGAAATTCCTCCTTATTTCCTCAGGCAAAGTTAAAGAGCAAAGGACAATGAGCAAATCAGTATCTTGCCAAACATATTTATGCAACAGTGGAGTAGGAAAATTGGATTCAAACTTAGATTTCTGTAAACTTTGGGCTATATCACTTCTCTGTAATGACACTGTTTAAACAAGAGGTGCCTACACTACTTTTGCTTCTCTGGCTTTCTTAAAAATATTTTAAAGAAAAATGTGAAGCAACGAGTTCATGTCTAACACCCTGGTTTACTTGTTAACTAAAGAAGAGACTAGAGAAAGGCTTGTGACCTATAAGTCACTGCTTATCATAGAGTGATTATGAATATATTGGATCATATAACACGGACAGTGTTATGCTGAGAATAACTAATAGCGTTATGATTACCATTTCTCCTTTTCCTCACTACTTACTCTTCTACTTCCTCTACCTCTGTCTGGTTATCTAATATGCAGAAAAACCAACTGAGGCCCAAAATGATTGTCACCTTCTGCCAGCCAAAGGATTGATAGGGAGGGAATTAAGACTAGAATCTAGGATTCCTGGTTCCTGGTCTAGGATCTTGTCCATTATAGTCCAGAGTTGAATGAAGAGAAAACAGGTTTCATAAAAAAACAGATGCAGGAGGTTTTAGTCATATTATAAAATAATTTAGTAGAGACTAGTTTTTTAAAACTTTTCTGTTCAGGTCAATTTATGCTCTTTTTGCTAAGTTTAATTTCCATTAATCTTCTATCTTCTCCTCATATTAAAAGCATTGGATGTTCATTGTAGATAAATAAAAAAAATTTGCTTAAAAAGTGTCTATAAAGTAGAAAAAACAACCCCCAAGGCAACTACCATGAGTATCTTTGCATATTGCCTTCTAGCTTTTTAGGTTCTTATGCCTCCTTTAGAAACATAATTGAGAAAGTAGAAAGTAGTGCATACAACTTTGTATCTTGCCTTTTCTCTGTCTTTACGTGTCATCATAGGCCTTCTGCCATCTGTCAATTTACACCGAATTGGTTATAGTTTTTTGAGTCACTGTGATCAGTTCACTGTAGATCTCTCTGGTGGAGCTATTTGACATGTTAAAAATATTTCTGCATTTTATTCGACTTTTTCCCTAGAGCCATTGAAATTGATGTATTGTTTGCCATCCACACTTGGAAATTGTGAGCTAGAGTATGTGTGAATGATTGTAGAGTGGGCTTTCTAGTTTCTCATCAAGGAATTAATAGACACTATAAGGATAGCCAAAGCATCTCTCTCTCTCTCTCTGTGTGTGTGTGTGTGTGTGTTTGTGTATGTGTACAATAGTTGGTTTTTGTTTTGTGTCTCTAATGTATCTTTTCCCTTGAGCAAAGGCTGGGAATTACAGCCATTTGCCAAATGGCGCATCATAGATGCCCTCAGTCCTTTCCTCAGAGAAGGTCTCAGCTTCATGAGGGGCTGGTGTGAAGCAGTGTCTCAGGGAGGTCACACCTGTCCAGATGGTCAGAGCTTGGCAATGGACTGATCTGTATTTGTGACAGCCTAAATCTCAGAATACCAACAGCAACCTTTAGAAACTCTGATGTCGTTCCTCCTCAAGTTGCTGAAAGGGTCTGTGCATTTTTTAATCATTGGCAAGTTTTTCTTGTTCTGAGGGAATCAGCAACAATATCTGGGGAATATTTTCATTTTGCTTATTGGAAAACTGAGGCCAAGGCAACACAATCATTTAATTGATGGAGTGAGCTAGTGGCAGGGTTAAGAGCCAACTCTATGTCTTGTCTAGTTCTTACTAGTTCTTCTATGAACACAAATTACACATTTTAGTGGCTGGTCAGCACCAGAGGAAGCATAATGTCCTAAGAAATTTCCCAAGGGCTGCCCCAGTGATATTCGACTGAATTTTCTTGCAGCCATGGTTGAATGGCTTCACAAATGGTGGGCTTGGCTTTTCATTCTATCAAAGGCTGCATGTGTCAGGGAATTTAAGGCGAGATTCTCAGTGATGCGTGAGAGGGTGGAGACAGGCTAATGACCTCAAAATTTTCCACCATCTCTGGATAGCTGTTTGAACTGCATAACCTTTTTGGAGATGGGGCTTATAATGAATGACAAAATACGCTCTGGGAAGGGAAGCATTTAACTCACTGCAACACGGGCTGTCTTCTGTAGTACCATCCTTCTGAAAGTTTCTGTTCTGTTGATGTGAGGAAAATATAGTGCATGGGGTAATACAGACCATTTATTTCCCCTCCATCCCCAGAGAGTACATTACCAGCACCTTCCTACACATGCAGGAGGAAAAAGGAATGCTGCCTTGGAATATGGAGTACCGAGGAAGTACTACCATATGCTCAAGATGTGAGGCTAATTAACATTTGGCCCATGTTCTTCTAATTAACTTTTCTTTGCAAGAAATACTACCCTGACTGTTCCCCTACCCCCAAGACACACATAGCCAAACCCCCAAAACAAGACCAATTAAATTAACAAACTTTTATCATTTCATGCCTCACCCCCCACCCGACTTCTACAAACTCCACAGTTCTTTGGTAACAGTTTCTAAAGATTTCCTGAGTGAAATACAGTATCAGTGGGTTACACTGTTTATAGGAATCTTTTCTATTGTTTTGTAGTATACAAAATGGGCCAACTTGGCTGCATTTAGGGTTCATCAACCATTGCAAATGATTCTTCAAATGTTTTGGGTTTGGTAAAACCTAAAACACATTTTTGCCAAGCACTTTTCCTCCTTAATTTTTCAAACTGTGTATTTTAAGGAAAATTTGATCCATATGGTTTTGATTCATTTACTCTTATATCACTGACATTTTTTTCCCTATGAAGCCGTTTGATATCCAAGAAGCTTTCTGAGCCTTTCCTACATTCATTTTAAGCATTTTCCTCCCTGAAAAGAGGAAGTTCTGTTTGCAACCTCAGAGCCCATAAATTTTGAGTTCCTCTCATTTCAGCAATACTTACAAATACATTTGGTATAAATCTGGATTATTATGAACACATTTTATGTTTAGAACAGATGGGCAGATTTTAGTTTCTGGTTTATGAGTGAAACCAATGACAAAATAAGAAAATAGGCTTAAATTACAAAAAAAAAGTTTTGTTTTAGAGAACCTTTAACTGTTATTAATAAATCCCCATGGTAAGAACTATGCTGTGAGGCCTTGTTTCAAATTTTGTCCAGGTCTTGGGTAAGATGTAATTGAATAACCAGTACACCTGTCCTATTTCATGGATAATCTACTGAGGAAAGAAAAAATTCTCATAAAGATTTGTGTACTGGGCTTGAAAAAGCCTGAATGTTTGCCCACCACTCAGCAACACTCAGGAACAAAGAAGAGGTCTGCAGATCTCATCAAGTTTATCCACCATTCATCTAGTAAGTTCGGCTGAATCATCACAGACTTGTGTTGATGAGATACCATCTCTGAAATAGACCCAGAAAGAGCAGATAGCTCTTTACACTAATAAGACTGTGGTTAATGGCATAAAATGCCAGGATCGACTTTTTGTTCTTATTCACATTTTACAAAAGCAAACCTTTAACTCTACCACCCATCCAGTTGCTTTTAAAGAATAATATTAAAATTGAGATTATTAGTGTGTAATGTATGTAAATTGCATATTTGGTGTCAGCTACGCCTATTAGGAAGCTTCTTCGTTTCATGCATATATGTATTAGACTATCGTGGTTCCATTTCAAATTAGATTTCAATTGCTCAGCACAGTTCCTTTTGACAAACATTTGTTAATCCTGAAACTTATTAGGAAGAAGCATTTAAGTGTTAATATGTGTACACAAAACTCAAGACTGCTTTTGATTTCACTTGTCATTTTTGGGACCACAGTGCTAACAATAATCTCAAATTCTTTAGCTGCCAAGGCAAAATGATGGTTGTTTGCTCATCCAGGGGGTAAGGACTTGTTATGTGGATGGGATATAGTCATTAAAAATTGTTGCATTGGGTACTTCTCTGTTTCATTTGTTGCCGTTAAAATCTTTCCTACTATGGCTTGGTAATTCCTTGCCTTTCTCTTGTGCTGTTGATATAGGTCAAAGCAATAAGGTTCACCCTGGCGGTACAGCCAGCTTCTATTTCAAGATAGCTAATTTTTTGGGACGTTTTTGGGTACGCATCCAGAAGCTACCTGATGCTAGTCTTGTTGATAAGGCATTCGTTTCACACACTGGTTGCAAATTCTCTGCCCTTGACCTACCTTTATCATTGTGAAGAATCAGACAAGCAAGTAGCCTGACACCAACCTATTTCCCAATGGAGGGGCTTTCTTCCCTTTACACTTTCCAGGAATTTATCTGTAGAAGAGAAAGGAGTGATTTTGATTAAAGAAATTTGTTGGGTGTCAAACAAAGCTGGGGGCAGAGAGAGATTTTTTACAAAAGTGGCAGCCTCTCAAAGGCTTGAGCCTCTTTCTGTTTCTTTTCTAAAGCAGTTTGTGTGCTGATTGCCAGGGCTTCAGAAGCCTCGATGTTTGTGAAGGCTCAAGAATGTTTATGATCATAAACGAGCCCATTTCAGCTACACCAGAATAACCACTGGCCATTTGGAGGTTTCCATTCTGCCATATTAGGTTTTCGAGATGTTCTGCTCATGGATGAAAACATGGCTGTTAATCCATTTGTTGAATCAATGAGCAGGCTGTAATTGACCTGGTACTTTTGGTTTTTCTCTAAGGCTGTGGTCGCTACACTTAAGAGTATGAGGAGAGCCCTGGTTTATGTCAGCTCCAGTCATAGCCTCTTGAGTTAGTTTAATTTGGTGAATTGTGAAAGAGACAACGACCTGGCCCAAATCTCCTTTTTAAAGAAAGGGAGAATGTAGCACCCAGTGACTGAATCTTACATCACGTCACTGAAATGAGCCAAAAGAAAACCTTCCTTGCTGAATTAATTATTTTTGTGTCTGCCGAGTTGATTTAAACAGAAATTCTGTCAGCTATGTTCTCCTGTACATTGGACAAATCAAATGCAACAACCTCGTGTTTTCTTTTTTAGTCCCATTTGAATTCCTCCAGCTTTTGAGTCGAAAAAAAATGAGCATTATTGCTTAGTCTATAACTAAGCAACTAGGATAAAAAGTTTTTCTTTGTAGTCAGCAATACATAGCCGTGCTAGATATTATGTGGGGCCAATGGCCTGAATCAACCCTTTATATGTGGGTGGAATGCGATGTAAAGCTTTTAATTTATTATTGCATTTGCAAAATGGCAATATCTTCAGAAATCTGAATACTTGCATATTTATTCAATTAGGGGATGAATGTGTGCTTTGTACTACAGACACAGAAGACTTGATTTAGTCATTAGTTGTATACTATTCGTGTGTGTGTGTGTGTGTGTGTGTGTGTGTGTGTTTGTTTTTCCAAAGAATCTGTCTCTGTAAAACAGTCTGGGTTTCATCAGAGGTGTATTTTTTCAATGTATAGTATAATATTTAAAAATTGCTCTTGACATTTAGCTCGAATTCAGTAAACTAGAGTTTCTGAGATTAGCGATTGCACCTCTGCTGATCAATGGAACAGATGGCAAATTGGGAGACGTTTGGGGACAGTACATTTTGCAGAATAATGGGGTAACGTGTCTACATTGAAGGGAATATTTCTTAGCTGTGAGATGACTGTTCGGGTAACCTTTAGCACTGAACTAATGAAAGAAGCAAGCATTACTTAAAGAAGTAACTCTTCTTTTTTCTCACAAAAATACTGATGTCTCATTCTGGGCAGATTGCGTTAAAAAAATCTAGTTAAACTATTGCATCTGTCCTGAGATTTCAAAATACCTGCTGTAGAGATGATCCTCTATTTGTGTCACTCTATGCTTCTAGCTCAATGTCAACCCTTCCATGACTCTTCCAGGCAAAATTTCTTTTTTAGCCTCTATTGATGCCACATTATTATATTTATACCTTGTTGAAACACATACCAGACTCTATTCTATTATAGTGTATCCACACCCCCACTGCCTTTGATTATAAGCTTCTAGAGGAATGATGCTATTTGAACACCCTGAAACCAAACCAAGCCTCATGATAAAGACTTGTTCCCCAAAGCAGGCTCTGTAGAACAGTGGTGTGAGAGAAAAGTATTCTGAAGGTAAAATTTGGTAAAAGTCAGAAATTATATCCCTTTACCTTTCAGTGTACGAGTGCACATTAGCCTACTAAAGGCCCTGACAAGTCTTGAGGTATGAAAACATGTTTAATTTTGTTTAATTCAGTGTATTCTAATCTGATTATGGAGCCCTTTTGTTGAATACCAAACTATCAAGTTTTAAGGAACATTTCCTGGGATGTACCTAATAATGGAAAACCCACGTGGAGACCTAACTCTTGATCCATTTGTTTCTAAAATGGCTTCTTGATTTTTTCCACAGGTGAATTTTTTTTTCTAATTAATGTCTGATGGTGTCTTCTGTCTCAACACAGTGTCAGCCCTTTGTGTAAGAACTTAGAGTAGGGGGAGACTAATTTTAAAGAAGAGGCTATAAACTACCTAATAATATTTAGGATGAGGCAGATAAGGGGGTAAAGGAAAAGAAAGAATTCCTATCTAATGAAGTGATTGCAGTGTGGGTATAACTCATTAATCTAAAGACAGCACCAATAGAGTTCAAACTTAGCCACTTACTAGCTGTGCATTTTCACATAAACTGTTTAAACTATCTCAGCTTCTTCTGTACCTTCTTGTTCAACTTAGACGATACTAAAAAAATTGTCTTGTAGACTTAGGCTGAGGAACATTAAGTGATTTTTGATAAAGTACTAATGCTATTGCAACAGGGTTTCATTATTGTTGTCTTAAAAATATCATGTATGGCCAAGTGTGGTGGCTCACACCTATAATCTCAGGACTTTGGCAGGCTGAGGTGGGATCGCTTGTGTCTAGGAGTTTGAGACCAACCTAGGCAACATAGTGAGACCTCGTCTCTACAAAACATACAAAAATTAGCTGGGAATGGTGGCCTGCACCTGTACTCCCAACTACTCAGGAGGCTGAGGTGAGAGGACAGCTTAAGCCCAGGAGGGTGAGGTTGCAGTGAGCCGTGATTGCACCATTGCACTCAGCCTAGGTGACAGAGTGAGATTCTGTCTCAGAAAAAAAAATTATGTGAATCTCTGACAAAAATATACTTTTGCTTGTCCATGAAAAATAAAGCAAACACGGAAACTGAGTGACATCAAAGGAAAGGCGGTATGTTGGTAAATTGGAGTATTTTCAAGTATTCTACTTAGACATTTCAAAGATCTAAGGATTCATATTGATGTCCATTTAGAATGCAGTAACTCTAAGGTGGCTGGATAAGATAGTCTCCAGAAATATAATGTACTAAGATCAATTTATTTGAGAAATTCAGGTTACAATACCATGAGAACCCACTATAATGAAAACTAAAGTCAACCCTTTATTCCATGGGGCTAGGAGCAGGGAGGGGAGAGGGTCATCCTGTTGTTTTTCTTTTTGTATTCTAGTTTTGACTTATTGAAATATAATATTGACATGAATGAATGTATTTTTGAAAATATACAGTCCATCTTCTATAACAATAGATACTGGGTAAATTAGAAGCAAGATACTCGCCTCAAAGACAGGGGAATCTGATATGCAGTGATGCTTCTCTCTCACCAGCCAAGGATAAGGGTAGCTAAAACATCATGTACCATCAAAAAGTTTTGGAACATAAGGGACAATCTAAGTGATTTTGAGTTTATCAATTGAGGAGCATTTTTCAAAATCACTAGATTACAAAGATTTTATTTTGCTAGGATCTGCAGGAACAGAATTAGTTTCTGAAGATCAAAGTAGGTTCTGCATGTTGCCAGCCTACATCAAGTTGCCTGTGCAGTAGGAGACATAACCACTGCCCAAATTATGACCATAAGCACAAGTCATCAGGTG
Organism: Homo sapiens; assembly: GCF_000001405.40. Taxonomy (NCBI): domain Eukaryota; kingdom Metazoa; phylum Chordata; class Mammalia; order Primates; family Hominidae; genus Homo; species Homo sapiens. The sequence goes on along the minus strand of NC_000002.12, from coordinate 222,210,081 downwards.
GAAAAGAGAACACGGCATCTTTATTGGTTCAGTGTCCCTGGAGTTAGGTATGGGAGAGAATTAAGGTAAATACGATTTTAGCTTAATGGTGTAGTAGTTTCTAGCTTTTGGGAGACTGTGTTCTCAGATGTTGTCTCACATTTGTAGAGTTGGTAGAAATTCCATTAATTTGATTAAATTTAATTTTTTTTGAGACAGAGAGTCACTCTGCCACCCAGGCTGGAGTACAGCGGTGCAATCATGGCTCATTGCAGCCTTGACTTCCTGGGCTCAGGTGATTCTCTTACCTTAGCCCCCCAGTAGCTGGGACTAAAGGTGCATGCCACCATGCCCAGCTAATTTTTTTTTTTTTTTTTTTTTTTTTTTTTTTTTTTTTTTTTTTTTTGTAGAGACAGAGTTTTGCTGTATTGACTAGGTTAGTCTTGAACTCCTGGGCTCAAGCCATTCTCTGGCCTCAGCCTCCCAAAGTGCTGAGATTACAGGCATGAGCCACCGCATCTGGCCAAATTCCATGAATTTTAAATGAATGCTTATTCTGCCTTACCACAGAGCCTATGAAACAGACCAGCAAGTGTTTTCTAAAGAGTATGTTCATTCTTAGACTTTTGCAAGCCTGTTCTCCATTTCCCCATGATTACCAGAAATACCTTTCCTGACATTTACTCATCAGTATCACAGGTAAATCAGTATCACCAGGTCTTTTCAGTTGGTTCTTTTCTTTATCTTAAGGATGTACCTTCCTTCACAAGAAAAGGGCAAGGAAGCGTCTTTTCTGTAGTCTTCAGACATTTCATAGATGCAATCTTATGCTATTGACTTTAGGCAGCCACAGAAATATTTGCTTACATCATACATAGTGTGAAAGAAAGAAGAAATTTCCTTGTTGAGCTGGACAACCATTTTCTTCCTTTAGCAGATCAGAATGTCTTCCCTACATGTTGTTAGAGTGGTAGGTAGAGGGAAAACTTTTAGGGAAATGGGAATATAGTATATATAGACCAACATTCCTCTGCTTGGGAGAGGCAGAGTTGAAGCTCTTTTCACTAAAAGGCAGTATTTCTAGTTTATTATAAGTGATTTGTGAGTCTCAAATGGGACTGTGAAGTTAAAGGTCACTAAGATTTGCATTTATGAATGGTTATTAGGGTGAATCAGCCTTGCATTTCCTTACATGGAAGTTCGGTTTACAGGCAATTAGAGAGAAAATTTTGAATGCCATATCACTGAAGTATTGTGAGATGCCCAAACATAGAGCTTTTCTCTTTCTATATTTAGAATCCCAAGTCTCAAAGGGTCAAGTAATATTTAGCAAAAGTATCCTAGAGTAGTCATGAAATGAAACCAAGATACACGTTTGATTTTCCACAGTCATGTTCTCAGACTGGATTTTGAAACAGTGATAGGTTTGAGCACACGCGCTTTAGAGGGCTACAGTGGTTGTGAGAAATTTCCTGAAATGAGAAGAGTTAACAGCAGGTAATGTCATTCCTCCCAGAAAGAGTTTGAGGCTCTGTGTGTTAAGTGATGAATGAGGGTATCTGACCCACATCTGTTTTACATTAGAATGGAACATTGCCCTGACATCCTCAGGAGCATTTGTCAAGATTCCCTGGACAGAGCTTCTGTAAATTACATGCTGCAAATGTGTCAGGGTCAGATAAGAGGATATCATTAACTCCCCCAAGTTTACTCAGGACTCTGTCAGTCCCTCTTAATATGCTAAGGGCCAACAATTTTCCTGAGCTGTTTTGTTATATTTTTCATTCATAGAAAAAAAAAATATTTGCTATAGTCCCCCAATATTGCACATGTTCTTTTCCCATAAATCATATTAATTGTAGACATGGTCACAAAGCATATTAAATGCAGGCATGCGTAAATGAATTAAAACATATGAGAATTTTATTATGCCCATGGTGGGTCTAACATAGTCAAATACCAGTGGTATTAACTGGCATGCTTTTTCATTTAGGTGGAATGAACTTTTTCTTAATGGGCTTTACTGATAATAGATGGACGTGATATGGTCATTCATCACTGGCTAGAAGTAAACTAGAAGTTATATATATATATATATACACACACATATATGTATATATATACATATACATATATACACACTTTAGAGGGAAGGCTAGAAGCCTGAAAAACCCTTTATATCATACAAAATCATAATTCACAATGGTTTTTTAAAAAAACAACTAAATGTGCATATTAAATGTTAAATTAGAAGAACATCTGCCTAGTTAAGAACAAGTATCTATGGTTATGCAACTCATTTCTGCGCTAATTCTCTGTCTAGATTTATATTTTAGTCATCAGTCCGTAAAGAATATTGCTATGAAACTTAACACTTAGCTCTATTGAGCAATAGGTATTCAAAATAATTGATAAAAATAAGCTATCTCTGTGATTGGTCACAGGGCTGGAGATGAAACATACATAATCCCTTAGAGTTTAACTGAGACAATACTTACTGTACTCTTTACAATGAAAACATGGAAATGTATGCTGCATATGAAGCACACTTGTCTGGCACTCATACTTTTTCATCATGCATTAAGCACAGCTACTTGTAAAATGTAGGCTAAGGATTAAAATAAAACATGCACAGGTTTTCTATCTGGTTAGGTAAAGGTCAGTCTTGGCCTTTCCCTAACTCTCAGGATGGGTGAGAAGGTCACCACACATACCTTAAGAGAAACTTCTGCCTTCAGGCAACTTCCCTCTTACAGCTTTCAAACAGACAGGACCCAAAATCTAATTATTTAGATGCTAATCAACTGCAGGATAATTCCTAAGGCATTTGAATCTGAGGACATTTTCAGGAAAGTCTCTGCTCCTTAAATTTAGGTTTTTAACCTCAAAGATACAGTTACTGAAATTTAACCATTAGATGACTCCAGTAACACCCACATTGGCAAAAAACATTTGGATAAACATTTGAACATTTTTGATTGGTTCCGAAAATATATTATATCTAAATAAAAAAATATAGTCAGTAGATTTTTGGAGGAAAGGATGGAAGAATAAAAAAACTCTTTATGTCATACAAAGCTGTAATTCACATTTCTTTTTTAAAAAGAACAAACTAAATGTGTATGTTAAATGTTAAATCAGAACACCTGACTACTTAAGAACAAGAAAGAAAATAAAGACGTGAACCAAGAATTCCTACTAAAGAAAAAAGAAGCGCCTGGATGTGCACCATAATTTACTGAATCATTTTAGATTTCTGATAAGCTTCAGGCACTTTCAACTGATGGGAAAACCATAATGCTTGTGCCAAGACAAATATTTTCCAGACATATCATTTTAAAGGTAAATCTTAATTTGGCCCATAGTTTTTATCTTTTTTATTTAATCTTGCAATAGGAAAATTAATTCAAGAGAAATATGGCATGGAGCAATTGTAAGACTTAGTTTTTCCTGAACCATATAATCTTCCAATCAAGATATAAACAACCTATTTGGAATTCTGAAACTTGAGAATGAGTTTAAAGAGATCTTCAGAAAATGTCTCTCTAATAATGCAAAAGATGGAGGAGCTGCTAGGAGAAACGTGGACATAAATTCGGAAGCTTTGAATTTGTTTTTAAAGGCTGTTCAAAGAACAATTTAGAAACAGTATGTGGAACACATTTCGGAGGTAACAATTTAGAAATCTGCTCAACAGATTTTTTTTTTTTAGATGGTTCACAACTAAAAGTAAAAAGAAAGAGTTCTCCTTGCTTCCTTTTCTAATGAGACAGAGCAGAGATCTTTATTAAAGAAAAACTCTTTCTGGTCATTGCATCTCCTGGATTTACCTGGCATTTAATGAGTGTGATCAGTGTTCAGGAGACAGAACTGGGTAGCCTTGAATTTGTTTCTTTTTCTTTGAAATTGTTTGTCAAAACTAGGCAATCAAGCTTCTCTCATACCCCAAATTAAAAAAAAAAAATTGGTACAAAATGCCAGCCCTGTAGTAGAAATATCTTACTAATGGTGTAAGGGGAGGGCAAAAAAATCCACTTTACAACAAATGAAGATTTGATTTTAGGCTTTGAATTACAAATTTGAAGGAATTTGTAGGAAAAGCGTGCATAAAAGAAATTCTGACATTATTCTTAAAAAGAAAATGTGACTGGAAGACATTCCATAACCATATTGGATAAGTTCAAAGAAGTTCATTTACCAACTTCTTTGTGCACAGAAAGAAATTTCCATAGCTTCCCTTGAACCACATGAAACGCAAAATAGCTTTTAAAGAAACATACATGAAAGTGTAATGGAACCCTTCTACAGAGATTTGAGGTTTTAAATTATGTGAGGGGAGAGTAATGCATTTTCTATTGATGTCCTCACTCCCCCCACCAACACACATTTTTAAAAACTGTAAAACAGTAGGTTTTTAAAATGGTGTATATTTCTCAAGTTTTCTCAGTGTGAAATATTGAAATAAATCACATTATAATTATTTATTAATCGCAGTTTCAGGCCAAATGTAGGAAAATGTTAGTGCTGTATTCCCCATCCTTTTAAGATTCTTGAGATTACGATTATAATATGTGACCATCACAGTGGAAATAAGAACTTGTGAATGTCTGTCTTGGGGGCTCTATCAGGGAAGTCAGAGGAACAAAAGATAACTGGTCTCTGGTCCCCTCTATGCTCTCACATCAGCCCCTGCAAGTATTGGGCTGCTGTGCTGAGTGCTGTGGCTAAAGGAGATGCCCTCACTAGCTTTCTGTGTGTGACAATAGTGACACACAGGAAGACCCTGCAGGTGTCCTTCCTATTTGGTCATGTTTTGGGAAGTCTTAAAGCTACTCAGCCCTGGAACCTTTGAGGAACTATCTTTCTATTGCCCTAATACGGCTCTGCAAACAGGGTATCTTCTCCACCCTTCAATAGATATACTTCAAGGTCTTAAGAGTTAAATCCTTTCCTAATGAATTTTCTAACGCAGCGACTGCCAAAAGTTGCTTCATGAACAACATCATAAGCTGATTTTTGCTTATAGGAAGGACATGTTTCTTCTCTTCTAGGTCCTTCTTGAGTTCCCCCATCCCCTATAATTAGTTATTGCTGCCTTCAAAGTTATGCAAACAAAAAATGTATGGCAGGGGATTTTTTTAAAAAGTTTATCACAAAAATGTACATATAGCTCATGGGAAAGTGTGCATGTTTTGAATAAAATTCTGCTCTGAGCTCATCAAGTATAACTGTACATACAGCATTCCATTTCTCCCTTAAAGTGACATACCATTGACTGAATTTCAAGTAAGTATCTTCATGAAGGACAATATTAATTTAGAGTTTATTTTCCTTTTATTTAGTGCCACTGGATATCTTTCCTCTCTGGACTGATATAGTTACAAAATTGCTTTTTCTAAGATTTCGAATTTTGCTTAACACAACTTATTCATGGTAAAATATTTGCCCTGTGCGATTATTCCCTTTTATTAAAAAAATCACATTTTAAAGTGTTTTTATGTTCATGTCCAATCTCACCCATCAGGATCACACACGAAAATGTACTCCTGATTTGAAAGGAGTGTGTTTGGCACCAAACAACCTCTAACTTAAAGACTCTTTTCTTCTAAAAGAAATGTCTAATTTGGGCTGAAATTTCATAAATAATAAACTAGTGTATCAATTGAAGTTCATGAATTTTCCAAGTATACACTTATATAGAAATCATCTATATAAGCTCAAATAAAGGCAAAAAGAACCCATATAGATGGAAAACATATCCAGGAACTAATTTAAATGCATTCTTAGTTATGTTCAAGTTCTTTTAAGTAGTGAAATGAAGAAATTGCTATAAACAATGCTGGGTAGGGCCCTAAAAGAACCCACATTCTAGTGATTTTCCATCTTCCTGGAATTGTCAATCCTATTGATGCTTACTTTATTTTGTGACTTTCACTTTCTCCAAATCCCCAATAAAACAAAATTGGGCTCTGCCACAAATGATGTTTTGTGTGTTTTTTTTAAAAATATAACTAATTTTTAAAAATTGTAAAAAAGGATGTTTTACCACATATCTCAAAAAATCTTAGATTCCTGGGATGTCTTTCAAAATGTGGGCTTTGCTGTGTTGCTTTGCCCACACCAGCCCACCTTCCCATGTGTGTGCATAGACAATAACTCAAATGAAAGAGAGACAACAAAATGAAAAACAGGATTTCTGGGGAAGGCAGGGACATCCGTTCAAATTTTCTGTTAAAATGGAGGAAGAGTGGATAATTGATAATCCACAGAAGGTGGATCTCTTTTTCTCTGTCTTTTGGGGTCAGCTGAAGATGGATCAGCTCAGAGCTTTAGTTCAAGAAGATTTTACTTAATCATAAGGATTATGCAAACCCTTCCCAAAGGGAATTATGGGATCCTTGTTTTTGGAATCTGAGTTGAGATGCTTTCTGGGAAGCAAAACTAGACCCGCCCCCCGCCTCACCTGCCTCTCAGATTCCTGCCTTACTGGAACTCCTAGATCCGAGGTTCTATTGCCTGAATTATGAGAGTTATTCTGCAGTTAGCATGAGGGCTTATAGTCAGGGCTTGGTTGTCATTTCTGCCCTCTCCTCTTTCTCTTATTTGCACACTTTAATCTCTGTAGGCTTCACACTTCCTAAAATAAGACAGGACTGTTATGGAAATGTTGTGGAATTGTTGGATACTGCATTTAAATACTTTGTAAGTAGATGTGTCTTCGGGGGGGCTCTTGACCTGGCGTTAGATTTCTTTTGCAATTGCTTTTGAACCCTGCCACAGAAGGGTACATAGTTTAGAAAAATCGCTTCCTCTCTCGTGTGGCAGTTTTCCAGCTGCAAAATTAATTATCCACTTACTTTCACCACAAGGTGCTGTAAGGGTCAGGGATCTTGAGTTGGTGAAGCACTTCACCATGTTGATCTGAAAGTTATTCTGTCACAGGATATTTTTTTTTTTCCAAGTTGTCTTACTGTCCAGGTTATTTACAAACTGAACTTTTTAAGACCATGTTTGCATTTCAGGCTTGTCTTTCCTTTTAACACTTCATATATATATATATATATATATATATATATATATATATATATATGAAATGGTTGTTTAGAGAAGAAATAAAATAATAGGTAATGGAGGCTTTTACTTGGAGAATCATTTACATTTCATTCATTCGGCACTTAATATGTGTCAAGCATTCACTGCTTTAGGTGCTGGGATATAAAGATGAATAGATTGCTCCTCTCAAAGCTCTCACCAGTCAAAGCAGGTGACTGAACTAATGAATATACAGTGGGAGGGGTAAATAAAGTACCAGAGACCATCAGGAAAGGAGTAAATATTTCTAATTATCAAAGAATGGCCAAGATAAGGAAAGGGGCTTTCTTGAGAGGGAACACTATTTAAAAAAAAAAAGGCACAGAGATCTCAAAGTACATGAAAAATAACTTGATTTGGATTCATTTATCTTTTAAAAATATAAGCAAATGACTGTTTAAAAATCACATGTGAAACTTCCAGATATAATGTATGAATAGACATTTTTCTGTATGAACAGATACAATTTCTCCCTCTTTTCATCCTTTTTTCCCCCTTCTTTGAAATTCCAGTCTGATTTTATCACTAGGGACGTGGTGTAATCTCTCTCTTTCCTCTTCTCCTTCCTTCTTTTCCTCTTCCCCCTCTTCTCCCCTCTTCTCCCTCCCCCTTTCCTTCTTCTGCAACTGCAGTCAGATGTTATCGTCGGGCATGATGTAATATCTCTGCCACTTAGAATTGGGTTCATAGTCTCCTGGACAGCTCTTTAACCAATTTCCAAAGAAATAAAAACTGGACTGTCAAGTTATTCTTTCAGCTGTAGGCTGCAATCTGGATCTCTCTGCATTTTAACCTCTTCCCAATCTGGCTGTTTTTTTAGGTAATGGGACTCCTGACCAACCACGGTGGGGTACCTCATCAGCCCCAGACTGATTACGCGCTCTCCCCTCTCACCGGGGGTCTGGAACCTACCACCACGGTGTCGGCCAGCTGCAGTCAGAGACTAGACCATATGAAGAGCTTGGACAGTCTGCCAACATCTCAGTCCTACTGTCCACCCACCTATAGCACCACAGGCTACAGTATGGACCCTGTCACAGGCTACCAATATGGGCAGTATGGACAAAGTAAGCCTTGGACTTTTTAGGGGGCAATTTCTCCTGGAAGGGAGATAAACTCAACTCTTCCTTAAGAAAGGTGAATTAGAGGCAAGATTAAGCCACACATGCCGGTATCAATTTTTTTTTTTTTTTGCAAAGCCAGCTGACTGTTCCAGCAGGGGCTTCCTTGTGTAATTATTTTCTTAACTGATGTCAACAACATCTTGCGGTTATTAATTGTTGAGACGTGAAACCTGATTGCCACTAGGTAAAACACAAGGGTTGGCCAAAATGAAATAATCCCTGACATTAGAAACACATGTTCTTAATGAGGTCAGCTCCAGGATCATATGGGGGATAATCCCAGGGACACAAAGTTGTGTCAAACTTGTCTCAGGAATAAAAATATTAGTCTCAAGCCTTTGATAGCACGGTATTAAATATGACATTGTCAGCCTGTAGCTGATCTTGCCCCTGACTGTGAATTGTCCCAGCATGACCTAAAAAGCTGCGTGTGTTTCCTTACAGGTGCCTTTCATTATCTCAAGCCAGATATCGCGTAAGTGAACTGTCCACTTGGAGCTAAAACTGGCCCTGTTTCTGGTCTTCGCAGCCTAGATATGAAGAATCTGCTCTGAAAACAAAAAAAAATTACCCTTTTGTTGGGGGGGGTGGGGCAGTGGTCCCAATAGGAGACAAAGGAGAGTGATTGATTTTCTTCCTCCAATAGTTGGTTTCAAATCCTTTTGAACACGTTCGACAAAAGCAGTGGAGAAGAGGAAGACCTGGAGCAATAAAAGACAAATGCAACATTTTAAGGCAATGGTTTCACATGGTTACATATCAAAACATCCCAATTCTTTAGTGCTGATCATCGAGGAGCTAGAACATTCCATTTGCTTGTGTGCGTGCGTGCGTGTGTGTGTGTGTGTGTGTATTGAGATTTACCCAGACTGGTTTGGGCAAGCAGACTGTTCTAAAATATAATAGAATACCCTAAAGTATAACATGTCGATGTTCGATGCTGATACTTCTACAACTTTAAAACTGCTCATTTCATGAAGCAAGAATGGAGGAATCCTTGACTCTTACACACTGGAAATTGAAATAAAGATAAATGCAACCATTTTTAGGAAGCTAGACTAGCTGTAAAGGACCTCCTAAATAAATTATTTGTTACTGTATCCTCATTTGTAATCTAGTTGTCAATAAATGGCCCGGACATGTCTTGCTAACAGGATATGGGCTACCAGGAAGAAGGACTTGTTTCCCTTTCCTGTGTGGGGAGAGGTGTGTGACGTTTTTCCAGTTCACATTTATTTGGTAGCCCACCTGGGTTGGAGGAAGGGCACGGTGGAGAGAAAGTGACATGCATTCACATATCTGCTTATCAGTGTGCAATACTGTGTACCTCATGGATGCTTTGGCAATGCCCAAGGCGATATAAGCAAAATCAGAAGTATATTTTTGCAGGTGCTTTTATTTTCACAGCCCATAATTCATAGTGATAGAGTGCAGTGATGTTTGCCATTTGCTGGACAACCAACACCCGGGTTGCTCCTTTGATTAGAGACCAGATCAGATAATTATGCTTTTAAACTGATTACGTTTACATTCTTCTCTTTTCTATGAAAGGCAGGGCAAGAACAGAAGTGTTCACATGGCTCTCATGTACTTTTAAATTATACAATGATATCCAATATTAAAAGATTATAGGAACTGAGGTTTACATACGTTTGTGTGGTGACATTTTAGAATGTCAATAAATTTGCTTTTTGAGATGTTGAGAGGAACAAGAAGGTGGAAGGCAGTGTTATTTATTTCTTTCTATTCTTGGAACCACGAATGAGGTAGGCACAAATACATTCCTTTTAGAGTTAAGAACTATGACGTAGCGAGTTAGTGAGACTAGACATAGTACCGAATTTAGTTCATGCATTGGTCTTAGAGGGTGATGGAACAAGAGAAGTACTATCTTTGTGTTGCAGCCTCAACCAACAACAATGTGTTGTAAAAATGTCTTTCATGTAAAAAGTGCAGTAAATATTTACTATTTATAATGAATAAACAGTTATGAAAACTTGCCCACTACTGCTTTTTTGGGGGAACTGGTGAATGTAGTATAAATGAAAACTTGGCAATGGGGAGCCCAATGTACATGAACTTCACTTCTGGTGGACCCTTTCTATGAGAGTATTCTGTCGACAAATAAGGTTACACAACCCACAGTTGTATTCTCTTGAAGAAGCTTGGTTGAACACACTTTTAAGGATTGAAGTTTATGTTTTTATCAGTGTAGCATCTAGAAAAACCCTTCAGTTTAGCTTCCTTCATCTTTCTTTGGTTCTCTCAGAGTTATCCAGTCCCTTTACTGTCACTTAGAGATATGTTTTCCCTGGAGTACCCGGTTCCATCTTCATCTCTAAGTCATCTCCACGGAAATTTTTATTTAAAACTCTCATATTTTATTTATTTTATTTTAGCAGCCTACTTTATTCTTCATGAAAGGTATTACTGCGTACTTCATTCATTCTTCCTTTCTTCCTTCTCCTTCCCTCCCTCTCCTGATCCTTTCTCCTCTCCCTCCCTCCTTCCCTTCTTCCTGAATGTATTTAATGAGAGTCCAAATGTGCCAGGCATGGTGATTGGCACTTGTGTTATAGCGGTGCTTGTAGCCTAGTAGAGAAGGCAGAGAAGTAAATGCATAGTTTCAATAAAGTGTGAGGACTGTTATTTTAGAAGGAATAATCATAATACCTTTTGAAGCTCTTACTTGTATTAACTTATTTATTACTCTCCACATGTCACATGCAGCAAGTGATGTCACTACCATTCCTTTTGTACAGATGAGAAAACTGAGGCTCAAGGAACTTACATGAATCACTCAGTGGCAGAGCTAGGATTTGAACCTAGTACAATCTCAGTGCCCAAGGTGTTTAAACTCATGCTCTTCTGCTTCCTCAAGACTGGTGTGAGAGAACCTTACAGTCAGGAAGATCTAAAAGGGTGCTGTCCAATTCAGAAGCTACTAGCCATGTATCCCTATTTAAATTTAAAGAAACAAAAGTACATAAAATGACAAAATTAGTTCCTAAGTTGCACTAGCCACATTTCAAGTGTGCGATAGTCACACGAGGCCAGAAGCTGCCATACTGGGGATTGTTGCTGTGGGACATTCCACATCACAGGAAAGTTGACTGGTCAGCTGATTGAATGCACGTGAGTTCATAGTTTAACAATATCAAAAACTTGAAATGCAGTGGGTAACATTTTCCAAAGTTGTAAAATGCTTTATTTTTTTTTTTTTAGCTCACACACTTATCTTTCTGATCAAATGTGTTGCTCTTCTTCTGACAATTTTTCCAAAAATAATTTAAGAGGAAAGGAAGTTAATCTTTACAGCACATTTACTTTTATTGTCTTGTTTAATCCTCACAATGTCCCGTAAGGTGGGTGTTATTCACCCAAACTTATAGATGAATGGACTGAGGCCAAAGCTGTTAAGCAGTTGGGCCAACATTACATATAGCCAGAAATGGCAAAAGAAGGCTTTGACTTCTATGCAACCATGTGGCAGAACCTGTTTGTTTTACCCACTTAATTATATCAGTCTATCCTCATGCCAAACTCAAGTTGCAAACAGGCATTTAAAAAAATCATTCACTCCCAATACATGAGAGGAATGCTGCCAGGATTCAGATTACACAAGAGAAACTCATTTTACATGATCAGTTTTCCTTTCTGTCTCCTGATATCAGAACTTGTCATGAATGGCTTATATCTTATTTTGATATACTTCTTTGTGTCCTTTTCTTATTTCTGCATGTCTTTGAAATCTACTTCTCTGCTGTTACTTCTCATGTTGAAAGTCCCTGTAGATCTTTTTTCTCCAGACTCTTAAAATATCTAATCAATTTCTGGGGAAATGTGACCTGATTTCTTTCAGTCAGAGTTCCTACCCTCATTTGCTGGGACAAGCAGCCCTAAGAACTTTGACCCTTTGACATTCAACAGAACTTGAACCTGATTGTATGTGGGGGGTTCCCCCTTGCCCATGTAGTTATTTGATTTCATTTGAAAAATTAAAAGTAAGAGCTGAAAATTAAAACTCAAATTATTAAATTGTGGATGTACCATTGTCAGCTGCTGAGCCATTCCTTGGCAGCAATTTTTCTAGGAATAGATATCATACATTTCACATCTGTGACAGAAACAAGCATATTGTTTTATGCTTTTGATTTAGCCCAGTCTGGAAATGTGTTTTCATACACACTTGGATGCTTGGGAAACATCCTAGGTTAGAAGGGATCTTCATTAGTGCTGGCATATAGAACCAGAGTAAGAGACAAGATCACTGGCTCATGGCTATAAGTTTAGGAAGTCTTAAATGGAGAAGGAGATGGATTCATTAATGCCTTTTATCTGAATATGGCATGGAAGAATCTATCTGAAAACTACATAATTAAGAGTTAAAATTAATACACAGGACCAGAACCAAAGTATCTATAAAAAGGAAATCTATTTACCTGAGCCTCAACCATTCTGAGTGAATGAGTCTTGGTGTTAAGTCATTCATGGATAAGGAAAGCCGGTGTCAAACATGGTGGGCACAGTAAGTGACGAGTGGCAGTATTTGTGCAAAAAGTTCCACATGGCAAGCCTCAGCCTCAGAAAAGTGCTCATGGAGCTGGAAGTCAGTGGTAGATGACGTATGAGAGAAAAGGAAGAAAACAGAGCTGTGTATAGGACTTCTCACCAGATGGCTGTGATATGAGTTAGTTCTCTTTATTCCATAGATCCCCCTTTGGAATTGCTGACCATGGTGTCCCAAGTGCCTAGCACCATGTCTGATCCATTACAGGTACTCAATACATGCCTGTTGAATAAATGAATAAATAAATAGATGAAAAGTGATTTTCTTATACTGTCCCTACATGATCTTCTGAGCAGGGAGACATTTGCATGACCAAAGGTGCACAGATTGCCACCAGGTTAGATTGGTATGAAGTCTTAGGGAAGGAGTGAGAGGCAGCTGGCCTAACAAGTCACTCAAAAGCCATATTTCTGATGATTTTGACTGTAGCAGAGGATACAAGGTGGTGATGTGTGGGATTCACCACTGGGAGGATTAGAACAGAAAAGGGAAATAGCCAGTTGGTTTATTGCTTAGAAAAGTGACTATTAGCCCTGGCTGTTTAGTAATCTGCACATTAAAAACAAAGAGAGAGAGAGAGAGAGAGACCATTGAGACTACTGAACTCAGAATCCACAAAGACAAATGCCAGGAAAGTTGGCAAAGCAGGAGCTCCGGGAGAAGCCTCTGGCTGCATTGCAACCGTGGCCACACCTGACTAGGTAAGTTTTCTGGGGCTTGAAGCAGTAGTCAGGGCTGTTTACCACAGCACACCTGAGATAGGAAATATGGACACAGCTTAGCCTTATCTTCCAACAAACCTCACTACCCCCTCTCAAGCCAGACGGTGAGACATAGAAAGGCAGGAGTTCTGGCCATGGTGCATGAGGAAGAGGGGTGGAGTTAGGAGGAAGAGTCATGCCAAGTTGGTTGCTGTTGTGTTATGATCCCATCGTTTTCCCAGCTGGAGGCCTACAAAGCCCCACCATGCAAAAATGAGGAATGCTTGAGCTCTTCCCCAAGAGGCGTGGCGACATCTTTTTCCCCAGGCTCATGTGCTTCTGTGGCGTTTGGGAGAGTGTAAAGCATGGAGCTGAAAACCTAACTGCCTTTCCATTCTGCTTGTCTGGCATCCCCCACTCCATGCCGCTGAACATACATAGAGCTCCCGACTCTCAAAAATAATCCCCACAAACCCTGACTCTTTTCACTGCTTGCAGAGTTGAGGGAAATGGGCAGTGATTGTTATTTCCTAATTAATTGCTTAATGCATTGGATACTAACCAAGCTCCTATTGTGCAAGTAGGAGCAGTGGAACTCTAACGGTGAATAAAACACAGTTCCTGCTGTTGAAAGACCCCAGGGCAGAGGAATGAGCTGGATAACTCAGGAAAGAGTTGGAACACAAATAACATGTAAGCAAAAGTTAGTATAAGAACCAACGTGTCTGACGTAGGAGCACTTTTCAGAGGAAGTGGGCCTGGGGCTGAATCTCTAAGGATAAGTGGAAATTTATTGGGTAGATGCAGTGGCAAAGGGCATGCCAATTCACTTTTACATGATGCCAGCTCTTAGGTTATCGGATTAAAGGAGCCAGGAGATCAGACAGTGGCTGGCCCCCACTGATTCTCTAATCAGAAGGGTCCGCAGGCAGAGCCTTCTGAGAAATCCTGGTTGATAGGGTCCAGAAGGTCTGAGATGAGGCGCAGTGGGGCAATTTTTTCTTTCCTAAAAACAGATTGAGAGAGTCTCAATCTCAAGGGCCAGTTAAGAAACTCATGGGTGAGCCTGTAATCCCAGCACTTTGGGAGGCTGAGGCAGGCAGATCACTTGAGGTCAGGAAATCAAGACCAGCCTGGCCAACATGGTGAAACCTTGTTTCTACTAAAAAAGTACAAAAAGTAGCTGGGCATGGTGGCGGGCACTGTAATCCCAACTACTCGGGAGCCTGAGGCAGGAGAATCGCTTGAACCCAGGAGGCAGAGGTTGAGGTGAGCCGAGATCTCACCACTGCACTCCAGCCTGGGTGACAGAGTGAGAATCCATCTCAAAAAAAAAAAAAAAAAAAAGAAAGAAAGAAACTAACTCATGGGTGAAGGAACATATGTCTGCTATCATTATCCTCTTCCTAAGCTGACCCCCAAAGTTTGGTAGGGGGGTAATGCTCACTGTTAGTGGCCCAGTTGCATTTTTATAGGTGGACAGCTCTTTATTGGAGGTCTCGAAGCTGCTCCATGCTTGTCCCTGGCATTTGCCTGGGAAGCTGCAATGTTCCTCAATACTTCTACAGATTGTTCCAGGCTTACTGGGATGATCCATTCTTACTAATTATCCAGTTGTGTATAACTGGGGCTTTGCGGAGGACAGGCCCCAAGATCTCTTTGCTCAACTTTGTTGGGTCAAAATGAGAAAAACTGCGGTTTTTTTCTCTTCTATTTTGAGCTCCAAGTTTAAATTCTTCTTTGGGGCACTTTTCCCCTTTGCAAGCACGCTAGTGGGTCTCTTGATGATTGTGTAAAGGGAAAGCAAATATCTGACTCTGAGATGGAGGGTGTACTACACGTAGATGCACATAGAGATGATGAGAAGCTAAGCAGCTTTGTATGAGCATGTCAAAGCTCGTAGGTAGAGTTTTATGTTTGCAGATTATATTTAGTTGTAGGAAACCAACTCCTTCTTTCTGGCTTGGAAGAGTAGAGGCCTGCTCAAGGGAAGGAAACTACTCCCAGAAACACAGGGGCAGGCTGAGGACTCGAGCAGAGGAATGTGGGTCTGGGAGAGCTGCTGTCCTCTCTGGCAATCACGGCTGAGTCAGGATCCCAACAGAAAACAGCCGCCACACTTGAATTGGAAATTTAGAGAAGCATTTCTAATAAGAGACTATTTACAAATGTGAAGTGGTGGAGGGAAATCACAAAGGATGATGTAGAAACCTGAGGATAGTTGGACAGCTAAGGAGTGGGGAGGGTGAGCTTACTGAAACCTGGAAATAAAGAGCCGTGTAGCACAAGTGGTTCTGACAGTGACCTCTGAGGAAGGGATGCAGACATCCAGAGGAAACCTCAAAGGGAGGGATCCAGGGGACAAATGTCCTGGTCTAATTTTCTTCTCGTCTCCCAACTCCTGCTGGGGCTTCCATTGACTGAACCCAGTTAGAACCAGAGGGCACAGGAGTCAAGCGTGTGCTCCATACACCAATCCCCTGCAGAGAGAGAGCCAGGTAGAGAAAGACAGAGAAGGATCTGGGAGAGTCTGCAGCTTATGCCTAGGCTTGAGTTTTCTGTTTTGCAGTCTGCTATGGCCTGAATGTTTGCGTCCCCTCCCCACCCTGCCCCCAAATTTTTATGTTGAAATCCTAATCCCCAGGGTAATGGTATTATAAGGTGGGGTTTTTGGAAGATAATTAGGATTAGATGAGGTCGGTAAGGTGAAGCCCTCATGCATGGGATTAGTGTCCTTACCAATAAGAGTCCCAAGAGAGTTAGCTTCCTCTTCTCTGCCATCTGAGGACACAGTGAGAAGGTGCCATCTATGAAACAGGAAACAGGCTCTCCTTAGACACTAAATCTGCCAGCGCCTTGATCTGAGACTTCCCAGCCTCCAGAACTGTGATAAATAAACTTCTGTGGTTCATAAGCCTCCCAGTTTATGGTAGTCTGTTTTATCAGCCTGAATGAACTATAACACAGTCCCTTTCAGTTATACCCAACCCTTTAAAAAGGCTTAGACAGCCTTAGCCATCATCCTAAGGAATTCAGGGAAGGATCCATGCCCAAGTTGGGGAGAGATGATGCAATGCATACGGACGCTGCTGGAGGAAGGCTAATCTCCAGAGGGCAAGCAGCATTGTGTGCAGCAGCCATTCAAAGTTAGCTGGTTGACTGAGATGACAGAGTGAGATTTAGGAAAGATACAATCTTTTCTCAGGAATTCCCAGAAGTGTTTGGAGGAGAGGAACCTGTTCAAACGCTGTACTTCTTATCAGTAAGCAGTATGGCTCTTTGCACTACAAGAAGCTGGATATGAAAAGGAAAGGGAGAATGGTCCTTTTTAGTCACCATACCAGGAGATCTGGAACACCAGACTTACCCATAGGAACAGTTTCATAACTGTTTTAGATTTGTCTATTTCCTCCATAGTTTAAGTTTTTGGAAGATAAGGACAGTGTCTTGGTCATTCTTGCATTTCCAACTTTGTGTTGTTCACTGTCAACCTGTCTGACATGCTTATTGAATGGAATTAAATTGTTGCTTACCATGTATGCTTGATTATTATGCAGCACATGAATAGTTCTTTACACCTTAAACATAACAGATTTACTTGTTTTCAGCTGCAATTGATTTAAATACTAAAATTCTGTAATTGTGTGTTTTAGTCTTTGTGGTTTTCTGATAATGTAAAAGAGATGGTCCATTACAATTGGAGAAGAAAATACAGAAGGCATTTAGGATGTTATAGAATTCACTGCATTTACTCTACATCCCAGGTGTTTGGGAGATAGACAAAACAAATCATGATTCCTACATTCAAGAAGCTCTAATATATGGATAAACTTAAAATATAGTTTGTATGATTATATGATAAAAGCTAAAGTTTAGTTAATTTTTATACTGGAAATAAAGAACTTGCCAAGAATATTATGATGTCAATATGATTATTCTGACAATAATAAGAGTACTTAATAAAGTCAAGTCTTCAAGATCACAAGAAGAACTACTTATGAATGAACAAAGTTATATGGCAATTATAATTCAGAGGGCATGTATTTGTTTTTGAAAGGACATAGAAATTTGTGTTTGGCAACACTTCTTTAGTTGGCAGCTGAAGTTACTATATATGTTCGATAGTAGTAACATTTCTTTTCTTAAAAAAAGTTCTATCAATTCAATTTCATTCCAATTAAAAAATAAAGACAACAGTCCAATTTTAGAGAAAGCTTAACAGTATGTTATTCTACCAATACGAAAGACATTTTCAGTTTTATATATTCTCTTCCAGCCTTTAGCCAAGTAAACCTATGAGTATACTAAGTATACCTTTTCATGACCGTTCAAGTACAGTAAATTAAACAACAACAACAACAAACAAACCAGTTTTTCTTTTTTTTTGAGACGAAGTCTTGCTCTTCTCCCAGATTGTGCAGTGCCATGATCTCGGCTCACTGCAACCTCTGCCTCCTAGGTTCAAGTGATTCTCCTGTGTTAGCCTCCCGAGTAGCTGGACTACAGGCTCCTGTCACCACTCATGGCTAATTTTTGTGTTTTTAGTAGAGACGGGGTTTCACAATGTTGGCCAGGCTGGTCTTGAACTCCTGACTTTAAGTGATCCACCCCCCTTGGCCTCTCAAAATGCTGGGATTACAGGCATGAGCCACTGCACCTGGCCACAAAAAATTTTTAGAAAAAAAAATTATTATTAATGTCAATTACTACATAACTGTCTCATTTCTCCATGTGTCTAAAATTCTAAAATTCTAGTAACATGTGTGATTTAATTTAAAGTATAGGACTTTTTATGTGCTCAATTTCTTCTTTTTGTTCAGACCTATTCTCTGCTTACAGTGTGCAATAAAGGGAATATTAATAAAAACTAAATTTCTTAAGTCTGGTTTTCTTTTCTTTTCTTTTTTTTTTTTTTTTTTTGCAAAATTCAAGTACTTTTTTGGGGGGTTTGTTTTATTTTGTTTTATCTTCTTATCTCACCTAACTTATTTTCCTTTTTCTTTTGTTTTTACTCTCAAATTTAATATTAAAAAGAAAAAGTCAACTTGAACATTGATAGTAAGAAAATATCTCTGTATCTATTTCTATATTTGTAGACTTTTTATGTAATTGTGAATATCAAAGAGTTTGAGGAGTAGTATTATGTATCTGTGATGGTCTGTATAACACCTTAAATTTCAAGGAATTTTCACATACATTACATTGCTCTTCCCAATATCTTCATCAAGAAGGCAGCACATGAATACAATTCTCAGTTTACAGCAAGAATATTAAGCAACAGAAAAGTCAAATGATTGTCTAATATTTCCGACTCAGCTAGTAATGGTGGAATCAGGAATGCAATTCAGGCTTCCTACTTTTTCATTTAGTAATCTCTCCACAACACCATGTTTCAGTTAGAATATGCCCTCAGTGAATTCTTAAATACTTGCTTACTGTTACTATTAGACCTCTAGACCCCCATTCACATTATTTAAGCTTGTAAGAGAAACTGGCTTTCTACGTTTTATAAGGCATTGTGGATCATTGCTTACTCTGCTAATATAATATGAATATAATACTGAGCCAGTTTTTAAAAGATTGCCTACTGGCTATGGTTGCTCAATCCTCACAGTGTTGACAGCTCCAGCTCAACTGTGTAAGAGCAGATGGGGGTGAAGGGAAGCAATGATGATGGGAGAAAGGGATGTCTAAGCTGCATTTGAATCTTGTTGATAAATATAACACCAGTTGTCTATATGATAGAATGATGGTGGAAGTGGTCTGATGGAGATAGTTGGAGAACTTAACCATCTATCATTGATAGCTAGTCATTCCTCAGCCCTGTCCACTGCTTTGCAGGTTCATGCACCAATTTTAGCCCTGTAAGGTAAATGGCTTCTTCCTGGAGTTTCAATACCTCAGGTTTCTAATTAAATGTAAACCTTTAGAGTCCCATAATGGGTTGTCCATGAGTGGGTCTTTTTTTGCTTCAAGGAGTGCATAGCAGAATTAGGAAGACGTGAGTAAGTAGATACCTCACCTGAAGAGGGTTGGACAAAGAGGAGGGTCTCCTGAGCCAGACCTGGGTAGTGTGATCCAGGAAGGTTTGGAAGAGGGGACACTGGTTTGGGTCTGAAAGGTGAAAAGAAAAATATCCAGGAGTAGAAGCTTGACTTGATTGGGTTGAGGGGAAATGAGTTTTTCATGGCAAGAGCTTAACATACTTTGAGAACTGCCTTTGGGTGAGATCATGGAGAAGCAAGGAAAGATGGGCTTGGAAAGGTAGCCAGGACCCAGTGACACAATGCTTTGTGCTGTATTTAGTTGACACATTTGTATCTTATTCTAAAGAAGAAAAGATTCCACTGAAGAGCTCTAAGTAGAAGACCGACAACTTAGATTGCCAATTTAAAAATAACTCTATAATTATAATAGTTGTATTTTACTGAGCTTTTACAAGTATGGCCTCTCCAGCATTATGAAAGGGACTTTATATATTATCCAAAAATACTCACAGCAACTCAACAATGTGGTGATATCATCTCATGCTTAGAGAGTTTAAGTACTCTCCTAAAGCAACAGGCAAGCTTTGATGCCCGGTAAGATGAAATCTGACTAGCTCTTTTCCTGTCCTGCTGCCCCAAAGGCAGACCTTCATACTCTTCTTGGATTTTTTCCTCCTAAACCTTACAGTAGTTTACAAAAACAACAATCATATAGTAAGTGTCAAAGCTTCTAAGTGAGCATTGTTCTTACTGGTCTACAGGACACAGTTGTCTTTGATGTGGTATCTAAAATCATTGTGGAGAACAGTTTGAATGGGATTGACTGAAGGCAGGGATTCTAATTTAAGAAGCTATCGCAGTAGTTTAAGGAAAGATGAAAAGGGCTCAGAGCAGCACCGTGGAGCAGGGGAAGGGATTTGGGAGGTATTTAGAGGTAAACTGCTGATAGGTCTTGTTGACAGATGTTTGTGCAAGGTTAGCACAGAGAGGAATCTAGGGTAATTTCCAGGATTCTCTCCTGGGTGATGGGCTGGCAGTGATTCTACTCCTCAAGACAGGGAATACAGGAGGAGGAGTAGGCATGAAGAAGGTAATGCCTTCTTTTTGTGCATGACCTACAGGTGGTAAAGTGACCCTAAGACCTCCAAGGGGAGTTGTCTAATAGGTGGCTGGATACATAAATCTGAAGTTATGAAGTGATGTCTGGCCAAAGATATTTGTTTAAAAGTCATAGATGGCTCGGGAAACAGGGTATTTTTTTTCATAAGATTGGAGAGCTTTAACCACGTTCGTGGGCTGAGGGGAATAGGTTGATAGCATGGGAAATTATTGTGTTTTGTATTTTGCAACCCCAAAAAATGTATGTTCAGGTCTTAATCCTTGATACCAGTGAATGTGACTTTATTTGGTAATTAGGTCTTTGTGGATATGCTATAATTAAAATGTAAATGAGGATGAGGTCATAGTGGAGTATGATGGGCCCTTAATCCAATATGACTAGTGTCTTTATAAAAAGAGAAGTGACACAGACACATGAGGGGAAAATGTCATGCAAGGACAGAGGGTGAGAGTGAAGGGCTGCAGCTGCAAGCCAAGGGTGAGAGGACTGTCAGCCACCACCAGAGGATGGGAGAGAGGCATGGAGCAGATTCTTCCAGAGCACCCAGAAGAAATCAACGCTGCAGACACTTGATTTCAGGCTTCCAGCCTCCAGATCTGTGAGAGTAAGATTTCTGTTTTCATAAACTACCCAGTTTGTGGTACTTTTGTTATGGCAGCCCCAGAGGACTAACAGAGGTGTTATAAGAAAGGGGGCCGATGGATGGAAGCAAGCAAGTCCTTGCAAAGCAGGAAGGAAATGAACAGGATGCAGTGCACATACAGAAGGACTGGCTTTATCCAGGAATACATGAGTCTTTTAAATATTTTCTACTTAAACAAAGGAAGTGGGAAAGAATGCAGACACATTTGCAGGTGGAAGAGGAAAGCTTGAAGTTGAGGGAGTTCATTTCTGCTGCCTCTATTTTTTCTAAAGTTGAGAGCAGGTGTTTATGGGGGTAATGGTGATGGAGTGGGGGTGGAGTAGCATTTAAGATGGCTGCTTATAGACAGGAGAATAAAACTAGATCCTTACCTTTCACCACATGCACAAATTAACTCAAGATGGATTAAAGATTTAAATGAAAGACCTCAAACTATAAAAATCCTAGAAGAAAACCTAGGAAATATCCTTCTCAACATCAACTTTGACAAATAATTTTTGGCTAAGTGCAATTGCAACAAAAACAAAAATTGACAGTGGAGCCTAATTAAACTAAAGAGCTTCTGCACTGTAAAAGAAACTATTAACAGAGTAAACAGACAACCTACAGAATGGGAGAAAAACATTTGCAAACTATACATCTGACAAAAGTCTAATATCCAGAATCTATAAGGAATTTAGATCAACAAGCAAAAACAAACAAACAAACAAAAAACCATTAAAAAATGACAAAGACCATAAACAGGCATCTCAAAAGAAGACACACAAGCAGGCAACAAACATGTGAAAAAATTCTCAGCATCATTTACATCAAAATGTAAATCAAAAACACAATGAAATACTATCTCACAAGAGTCAGAATGGCTGTTATTAAAAAGTCAAAAAAAAAAAAAAACAACAGATGCTGGTGAGGCTGTGGAGAAAAGGGAATACTTGTGCACTTTTGGTGGGAATGAAAATTAGTTCAGTCACTGTGGAAAGCAGTTTGGAGATTTCTCAAAGAACTTAAAAAAGAACTACCATTTGACCCATCAATCTCATTACTAAGTATATATACCCCAACCCCCAAAATTGATCATTATACTAAAAACACACATTCACTCATATGTTCATCATAGCACTATTCACAATAGCAAAGACATGGAGTCAACCTAGGTGTTCATCAATGGTGAACTGGATAAAGAAAATGTGGTAGATACATACCATGGAATACTACACAGCTCTAAAAAATGAAATTGTGTCTTTTGCAGTAACATTGATGGTGCTGGGGGCCATAATCCTAAGTGAGTTAACACAGGAACAGAAAACCAAATGCCTCTTGTTCTCATTTACAAGTGAGAACTAAACATGGAGTACATATGGACATAAACAGGGGAAATAGACACTGTGGACTACTAGAGCGGAGAGAGAGGGAGATGGGTGTGGGTTGAAACACTACCTATTTGGTACTATGCTCACTGCCTAGGTGTGCAATACCCATGTAACAAACCTACAAATGTACTCCCTGTATCTAAAATAAAAGTATAAATAAATAAATCACTAAATAAATAAAATCATTGCTTGAAGGCATTGTCTTGGGACACAGGGAAGGATGGTGGCACAGCCTTGAACACCCAGGTGTGGAGGGAGTGATTTTCTGCAGTTGAACCTCATGGCTCAGGCTTAAGGACTGAGACTGAAGACTAGATTGATTATTTCTGGGCAATGTCCAGCACAGCAAGCAAGGAGTAAATGATTGAAATGCCACCAGAGAGAATGGCAGAAACTGGGTCTTGTAGGACCTTGTGGGATATTGTAAGGGATTCCTCCTAAGTCCATGTAAAGCTGCTAGACAAGGCTTTTGAAGCAGCCAGAAACACAATCTAAACAATCTAAAATATGTTGTTGAAAACATCATTTTGGAGAGATGCATTTTGGTGCTTGTGACAATACATGAGATGGAAACTACTGCATGGCCAGAGAAGAGATGGCCTCATCTCTGCCTAAGGATTCCACAGATCCATTAATGAACCCCAAGCTGCTCGGCTTGATAGGATGCCATGTACAAGAGACATTCTTCTGAGACAACTCCTCCCCTCTCTACCTTCCATGTCTTTAACAATGTCATATTGCTTTGAACGTGATATTCTCAAGGCTGTGCAGCCTAGTGCTAAAGAGCAAAGACTTTGAGGGAATGATAGGATTAGTTTTTAAAATTCTGGATTAGCAATTTTAAAATGTTTTGCTAGCTGTGTGAGTTTGAATAAGTTATCTAAATTGTCTAATTTCCAGTTCTGTAAAGAAAGAAAAATGATGATGATTTCTTTATCATACACTAGTGAAGATTAAATGAAATCTTGCATTTGTTTGGACTATGGTGAACAATCAATAAATGTTAGCTATTAATATTATTATTTGATCACCTTAATCATAAAATGCAGATTATAAAATGTGTTCCTGAGCTTTTAAACTTACACATTAATCTATCCAGTTTACAAAAATAATGAAGGGATTATTTTTAATGACCATGAGTGAAGAAGTTACAAAATAGCTTTATTTATTTATTTATTTTGAGATGGAGTCTCCCTCTGTCACCCAGGATGGAGTGCAATAGCATGATTTCAGCTCACTGCAACCTCCACCTCCCAGGTTCAAATGATTCTCCTGCCTCAGCCCTCCAAGTAGCTGGGGTTACAGGCTCCTGCCACTATGCCCGGTTAATTTTTGCATTTTTAGTAGAGACAGAGTTTCGCCATGTTGGCCAGGCTGGTCTCGAACTCCTGACCTCAAGTAATCTGCCCGCCTCGGCATCCCAAAGTACTGGGATTACAGGTGTGAGCCACAAAATATCTATTTCATATGAACATAATTTATTAAGAAGATATATCCATAGTTTCTTTTTTACACCATAGGTGGTCATGGTTTTTAAATCTCTCTTTTATCACAGAGAGTTACAAAAATAATGGGACTAAAGCTACAAACAAGGAAAAAAATAAGCTTATCTCTACTCCAAAGAGTGTTTACTGATGGTAGCTTATTTATCACTGCAACTTAAGTCATGAAAACAGGTATGTATCTAAAGCTCAGAGAAAGTGCAGTAAGAGTCAGTTCAAGGCAGTGGTTTCCAGCCTCCCCAACTCCCTTGTATTTGTACACTGAGGAATATCTCCATAGCAAGACTGATTCTTAAGAGTGACATAAGAGTTCTGGAGGAGCAGTTACTAGGAGTATCAAAATCTGTGGTAGAAAGACTTTTCTAGTTTTGTTTGTTTGTTTGAATTTTACAGAAATCTGTGTTTTTTTGTTTTTTTTTTTTTTGAGACAGAGTCTTGCTCCGTTGCCCAGGCTGGAGTGCAGTGGGGCGATCTTGGCTCACTGCAAGCTCCGCCTCCTGGGTTCACACCATTCTCCTGCCTCAGTCTCCCTGAGTAGCTGGGACTACAGGCATCTGCCACCACACCCGGCTAATTTTTTTTTGTATTTTTAGTAGAGATGGGATTTCACCATGTTAGCCAGGAAGGTCTCGATTTCCTGACCTCGTGATCTGCCCATCTTGGCCTCCCAAAGTGCTGGGATTACAGGCATGAGCCACGGCGCCCAGCCAGAAATCTGTAGTTTTAGGGAGAAACTGTGAGTGGATTTTTGCAGGCACAGGTCTATGGTCCACAGCAAGAAGTGGTTTATTTTTTTGACCACCCAAGTGGCCATTCCTATCTTCTTCTTTGCTAAAAGAGACCCAGTTTTTTTAGGTACATGGCAGCCATATGCTTAGCTCAGATGAACCCCGTGGAATTCATGAAAATGATGGAGAAAGAAAGAAGAATGGTGTTTCAGTAATACTATTAACTCACTCTTGAAGATGAAAGCAAGGCAAATACTAATTGATGGCAGAGTTGGACCCAGGCAGGACAAATGACCTTTTGAATGAACACTAAAAAATCATGTTAACAATGAGAATGTGAACTGGGAGTCAGTGAGACTTGAGATCTAACTCTTTCATTCATTTATGTGGTAAATACTTCTTGAAAATCTTCTACCAGCCAGGAATTGTTTTAGTGTCTTTGTTGTTTTGGTCAACAAACGGACTTGATTCTCAGCTTCTGAAGCTCATGTGGGGAAGATAGATATAAATTAATAAAAACATGAACATCTAATTTGAAATTATGCTTAGTGTTAAAAGGAAAAGAATAGGATGAGGAGAAAATAGCAGGACCTACTTAGGCCGACTGGTCAGTGAAGGTCCTGAAATTAAGCCCTGGGAAGAAAATAGAGAGGTTTTCTAGACAGAGGGAACAGTGTGTGTGATGGCCCAGATTTGAGAAAGAGCTTTGCCTGTTTGAGGTACTGAAATTAGGTGCTTGCGTCAGGTGTGCAGGGGTTGAATGGGGTGGGGTGGTGCAATGTGGCATATGATGAGGCTGGCCACAGTGATGAGCTTAGATTTGATTCTATATGCAGTGGGAGCTTGTCTGAAGGCTTTCAAGCAGAAGAGGGATATTATCTCATTTCCATCCTTGATGGAAGACACATTGAAGGGAGGCAGAATTGGAAACACTAAGAAAGTAGCAAGAAGAGACTTGAGCTGCGTGTTTAGGACTGGAAAGCATGTTGGTTTTAGACTCAGTCAGACATGAGTTTGGATCCTGATTTGATCTCTTATTATTGGCTGACTTATACCATTGAGATGTAGCTTCTCTGAGCTGCCATTTTCAGATCTACCAAGTGAAAGTTAAGGAATATTTAGCTCATAGGTTGGTGAGATTAACTGGGTTAAGTTTATGTGTCTTAGAACAGTTCTGGCACATATAGTGACCTTTCTAAGATGTTATTGTCTTTTCTTCCTTCGTGGGTATAAAGGGTATGACACTCTGCTCCTTAATGAGGAAGCATGTGTGGCATAGAGGCCAATGGGTTGCTGACAATAAGGCAGAGAAAAGACATTAAATCCATGTTTTAGGTAGTATGCGATGGGATGAGATGTATCTGTTAGTATTTGCTTCAAAATGTTAAAATTCTATTTTCATTGTAAAAATAATAACTAATTAAAGAAAAACTGAAAAATACGGAAGAGTAGAAAGACTAAAAAAAAATTAAAGAGCCACAGTCCAAACACATCCACCAAAAACGTTTTGTTTTCTTTGCCTCTTTGCACTGGGGATAATAACATCTGATAGTGCCCACTCGTTAGGGATGCTGAAAGGAAGATGAGATAGTATTTGCAGAAAGTGTCATAATTTCTGAGTAAAAGATACTGCATAAATACGGTGCTCTGTTGTTTCATTGCCACTTTCAAAATTATAACAGTGATATAATAACAATTTAACTATTGGGGTCCTCTTTTGCATTGGTCAACTATTCAGTGTCTCCAACTTTGCCCTAATATGAGGAAAAAGAAGGCATATTGACTAACAGAACTTTGACAGCTCAAAAGTTACTATCCTAGGAGCTAAATGGATTTCATGCCTTTTGAATAAATTATTTCGCTCAAGAAACATGTTGACTATGGCAACCTGAGGATATCATGCCCTGTTGCTTTCAAGATGAATTGAAACTGGTGTCTTATTTTAATGAGAAACAGTTAAAATGGACTTCTGACAGCTGGTAACTGGAAAATTTTCAGGCACCTAAGAAGGAACTGGCTGAGAGACGGTACGTACACAGCGTCATATAAAACCCCATTGTCTAAGTGACTAATATCACACCAAAGGAAATAGCATTTGGGTGTAAATGTCTTCCAGTCTTTGGAAATACAGTGTATACTATGCAGTTATTTAGTCTGTGTCATGAAATATGAAAATAGTCCAGAAAAGACACATCCCACTTGACCTTTGCAGAATGATTTAACAAAGTTAGCTTGATACAAAAATATGAGAGTAATTGCTGATAAAAGCAGAATTGTGGCTTCCTTCAGATTCTCCTTTCTTTGGGAACACTTCACAAGCTTTATTAACTCTTTAATGTTTTTGTAGTTGGCGGTGTTTGTCCCTGGGGCCATATTGCCAGCCTTGGAGTTGGGTTCCATTAGAACAGAGATTCCATATCTCCTAGTTTTTCATCCCCTTTCAGCACTCATCTTGATATCCTTGTCTGTATAATTAGGCAAATATGTTTTCAATTGTTTTTACGTGTGTACACATTTCACCCCTTTTACTGCCATCCTGATTGATGTCTTATGGGATAAATTTCCCATTTGTGGCCTCCTCCACTTAGAGAGGTGCCAACGTTTGTTTCTGTATCCACTTATGACTCTATCGGTTCCATCTGCAGGTGTAACTGAATATGGTCCTTCACCTTCCAGATGAAGGCTGGGCCGCCTGGGTTTTCTAGCTGAGGACTTTATTACCCCCACCATTTTACCCACTCTTATTTATTTATTTTATGGTGTTATTCTGATTTAAAATGAAACATAGACCTACTTGAGAAAATTTGGAGACTATGGAAAAGTTTAAACAAACTTCTTTGTGGTTTTATAACCACAGTTGTCCCTCGGTATACGCCCCCCTTCAGCCCCCAAGTATATCCATGCAAACTCAAGCCCTTGCATTGGAAAAGTTGGCCTTTCCTATATGTGGGCTTCCCATCCTGCAATACTGTATTTTTGATTTGCATTTGGTTGAAAAAAATCCACAGATAAGTGGACCCATGCAGTTCAAACCCATGTTGTTCAAGGGTCCACTGTATTGTAATTGCAACCATCAGCTTAAGCCATTTATTCCCAGAAACCTCTCTGACCAACTACTCACCCAGTCCTTTCTGATAATATCATGGAACTTTATTTCCATCAGAGCTTGCATCGTTACCTGATATCATCTTACTTATTAATTTGTGTTAACTGTGAGAGTGGGGCTCTTGTTTATCTTTTTTTTTTTTGAGACAGAGTCTCGCTCTCTCACCCAGGCTGGAGTGCAGTGGCGCAATCTCGGCTCTACAGAGTAGCTGGGACTACAGGCGCCCGCCACCACGCCCGGCAAATTTTTTGTATTTTTAGCAGAGATGGGGTTTCATCGTGTTAGCCAGGATGGTCTCAATCTCCTGACCTCGTGATCCACCCGCCTCGGCCTCCCAAAGTGCTGGGATTACAGGCGTGAGCCACCGCGCCCGGCCTGTTTGTTTTTTTTTAATGGTATTTCCCCTGTGCCTGTAGTGCTTGGGACATATTTGGTCCTCAATAAATATTTGCTTAATAAGTAAATAAACTGATATATTATTTTAAAACATATGTTTTTCCTTAACATTTAAAAGTATGAAAATGTTACAATGTAATTGTAGATTTGTATTTCCTTTGCACTCCCTAGCATTTCTTTGTTTAAAAATCTTTTTGGAGACAGGGTCTCACTTTGTTGTCCAGGCTGGAATGCAGTGGCAGGATCATGGCTCACTGGAGCCTTGAACTCTTGGGCTCAAGTGATCCTCCTGCCTCAGCCTCTCGAGTACCTAGGGCTACAGATGTGTGCCACCATGTCCAGCTAATATATATATATATATATATATATATATATATAGAGAGAGAGAGAGAGAGAGAGAGAGAGAGAGAGAGGGAGAGAGAGAGAGAAAGAGAGAGAGAGAGAGAGAGGCAAGTTCTCTCTCTGTCACCAAGTTGAAGGACAGTGGCACAATCTTGGTTCAGTGCAGCCTCAAATTCCCAGGCTCAAGCAATCCTTCTACTTCAGCCTCCCAAGTAGCTAGGACTACAGGCACGTGCCACCATGCTCGCTAATTTTTTAAATGTTTTGTAGATATGGGATCTTGCTGTGTTGCCCAGGCTGGTCTTTAACTCCTGGCCTCAAATGATCCTCCCACTTCACCTCCAAAAGCACTGGAACTACAGGCTTGGGTTTGTAATGTTCTATCAGGCAGGATAGGCTGGGTGATGCTGCCAAAACAAACAACTCCAAATGTTAGTGGCTTCACTAAGGATTATTTACAACATGAATTATTTCTCATTCTATGTGTCTGATATGAGTTGGCAGCGGAGCTTTGCTCATCATAGTCACTCAGGGACCCCAGCTGATGAAAGCTTTATCTCTACACATGCTTTCACTGTGGTTGGGACAAAAGAAGGGAATGTGGTGAGTTGGACATTGATACCTAAAACTTTGACCCACACATGACACATTTCACATCTGCTCACATTTTATTGACCAAAACAAGCCACACAGTCTAACCTCAAAAAGGGTGGGAGGAGTGCATTCTTGCCATGTGCCAGGGAAGAGATTTGAAATTATTTGAACTGCCACTCATGACTACCACACAGGTTAGAAGCACACATAGGAAACAATGAAAAGTAAAAAGTTCTTTTCTTTTCTTTTCTTCTTTCTTTCTTTCTTTTTCTTCTCTCTCTCTCTTTCTTTCTTTTTTTTTTTTTTTTTTTTTTTTTTTTGAGACAGAGTCTCACTCTGTCACCCAGGCTGGAGTGCAATGACGTGATCTCAGCTCACTACACCGCCTCCTGGGCTTAAGTGATTCTTCTGCCTCAGCCTCCCGAGTAGCTGGGACTACAAGTACACACCACTATGCCAGGCTAATTTTTTTTTTTTTTTGTATTTTTAGTAGAGATGGGGTTTCACCATGTAGGCCAGGCTGGTCTTGAACTCCTGGCCTCAAATGATGCACCTGCCTTGGCCTCTCAGTGCTGGGATTACAGGTGTGAGCCACCATGCCTGGCCAGTAATGTTATTTCTTACCTTAGACCCTCAAGTCCTTCTCACCATTGGCAGCCACTGTTAGCAGGCTCTCATATATCATACTTAAAATTTTCTCTTCATGTATAAGCATATGTGGTGTGTATGTAGATATATGTATATAACCTTTTTTTGCTACTGAAATAAGAATGTTCAATAAACACTATTCTGTCTTTTTTGATCGTTGGCTTATTTTGTCATTTTATTTCTGCATAGCATATGTTGGAGACCTTTCTATATCATATCAAATAGTTCTTGTTCTTGCATTAGTGTTTAATTGATTAAATGTACCATAATTGACTTAACCACTCCCTTTTTGACAATGAAGTAGGGTGCTTACAATCTCTTCCTTTGACAAACAATGCCAACAGCACACTTAGAGGAAGCTGTTGTGATAATAGTGTAACAAGAACCAGCTTGGCTTGACTCCAAAAAGATCTGGTTTGCAATCCCAAGTCCCACTGATTAGCTGAATAGGCAACTCATTAAACTGCACAAGTCTTGGTTTTCTCAACTATAAAATAGAGACATTAATTTATCCCACCAAAAGTTGTCATGAGAAACAACTGAGATAATTTTCCTGCAGCCTAATGGCTGTTCCATAAATATTTGTTGTCGATTGAGTATTTCAAGTCATTTAACTTGAATGTAAGTGCTTGTTCATATGAATCTTATTATAATAGGAGATAACAGTTAGCAACCACTCAAATGTATGGAAGTCATGGAGATTCTTTCATTCTTTTTCCTATCTCATATATAAAACCTGAATTTTAAAGAAGAGAAAGAAAATTTGGGTTTATTAATTTTATGATTTCAAATAATGGAGGCACACAAATATGACTGGAGGTATGGATGTAAACACACAAAAATGACACCGTCATCAAGATTCTTGAGTACATGCAAAAATAACCATGGGTTGAGTGGTCATGGATGGGCCTTTTGGTCCTTGTAGTATTATGTATCCCAGATGGCTTATAAACTCATCTAAAGAAAGAGAACAAGGTAGAAAAGGGATAGTGAAGGGAGGACTAGCTTTAGGTTGTGACCCAGGGATTTTTCTCTATCTATTTATATTCAATTCCTATGTCTTAACTGAAAATGTATACAACATGAACCATCCTGTTATGGTAAACCATCACCTACTGGAAAGTCAAATGAGATGTAGGTGAATAGAAGATCAAATAATTGGTTGCATGGTTTTTTTTTTGGACAAGGGTGTAGTTCTTGCTAAGTGTGCATGTGGTGTCCTTTGATCTATTCTTGTTCTATTCTGTTCTATTCTATTCCTATTCTATTCTATTCTATTCTATTCTATTCTATTCTATTCTATTCTATTCTATTCTATTCTATTCTATTCTATTCTATTCTATTCCATCCCATCCCATCCTATCCTATCCATTTCATTTCATTCAAAGAATGCCTGCCATGACCCGTACATGCATTTCAGGACTGATTAAAAGGGCCAAGATTCACAGTTTAAAAATCCTGCCCTAAAAGCTTTCTGTTTGTTCTGTGACTTTACTTGCTGGCCACATAGATAGTGACATCATCCAAATTTACATCTCCACCAGAGTGACACACTTTACTTTTGCTCATACTTCGTTGACCAAAGCAAGCCACATGGCCATTCTAACTTCAAACGGACCCACTCAACTTCTCCAAGTGGGTGTCTGAAAGGCAAGTAGACCTCTTTATTCCCTCTTTGCTACAATTTGCTGTTACTATGTTGCTGTTCTTTTAAGTAAATGGCATCACCGTTCGCCCAGTTGATCATACCCCTGTAGGAGACATTACTGATACTTCTTCTCTCACATGACACATCTAAATTATCCGTATGCTCTGGTGGCTTTGTATGAAAAATACATGCTAAATCCAATCACCTTTCATTGTTTCCACTGCTGACATTCTAGTCTAGCCACCACTCTTTTAGCTAGCCCGCTGTCTCAATATCCCCCAAACGGAATCTTTGTTTTCTCTCTTGCCACCCTACTTTTAGTCTATTTCCACACAGCAGCCAGAGTGATTCTTCTAAACGCCAGTCAAATCTTATAACTCTTCTGCTTCCGGTGATGTTTTCTCAAACTTAGAATAAAATTTATTGTTTCTCAAACTGTGGTTTATGATCTGTGTGTTTGTGTGTGTGTGTGTGTGTGTGTACATGTGTATGTAGGGATGACTTGTTTATGATGCTAAAGTATTTTTCTTACTTTGAATTGCAGTTTAAAAAAATTGAAAATATTTTGGATGATTTGGCCCCTGGGTCCTTTTATAACCTGTTTTGTTCTAATCGTTCCTTTCACCCAGCTCTAACCTCACTGACTTCCTTGCTATTTCTGAACACTCCAGACACCCTCTACCTCAGTGCTTTTGCATTCTGAGTTTTTTCTTCCCGAAACATTAATTCTCTAGATATTCTGCAACTTCAGTTTCCTTTGCCAACTTGGAAACCCTCTCCCTATTCCTCTTCATCATTTTCAGATACCCTAAGGGTTGGTTCAAAAAATTACATTCTAGAACAAAGGATTCCAAAAAAAGAAAAAATGGATAGGGGACAAAACTTATATATTATCTCCTTACAGTCCTTTTTTTACATATATAATATACTTTACATAATTTATATATATATATATACACACACACACATATATATGTGTATGTGTACAAATTGATTCTATACTACTTGTGACTAAATCGAAAAGAGGCATATAAAGAAAGTTATGAGTCTGCCTATCTCTCTCTAGTCTCCCAGTGTTAATTGTATCCTTCCACTTACTCCTTATGCTCATAAAAACTTTATTTTTTTGCTATCAGTAGATCATAAATAGCCTGCTTAACAATATTGCAGAGGGTGGGTCTGTCATAATTCATTACACCATTTGCTAGTGAGTAAATGTAAATATACTGCAATAAACTATATATATATATAAAATATCTCCTTCCACCTTGGTGCTTTTAGTTCCATAGGATAGATTCCCAGAAGTGGGGTTGCTGGGGCAAGTAACTCTTTTTTCAGTTGACTCCCCGCCCTGGTCAGTAGCTTACCATCCTTTTCCCCTTAGCGTTGAGCCGTGTTGGCTCCCACCACTACCCATTCCACCAAAGTGCACACAGGATGGAGACAGCAGGAGGGGAAGTATCTATTGTGGCTCCTGACCTAAGTTGTTTGTTTATAGTGACCCAACCTCAGAAGCTGACAGCCTGCTCTTTTTGACTGCTGACAAAGGAGGCAATTAAGATAAAATTCATGTGCTTTTCTGGATTCTGTTGTGTACTATGTTCCTTTAAGAGAAATCTGAATGAAACTAAAAGCACCTGGATTTAGAAAAAATGTTACATAGTTCATAAAAGAAGTGGCAGAATGAGATGCTATTAAATGCTATTCAAAGTCCCATTAAATGGCATTGGTGGTCTCCATACCCCTGGATGTTTGACAAAGAGTATATTAAATATATTACTAGAGTACCTAAATGGTGTAGACAATTTTTAAATATAATCTCACTCAAATTTAGAATTTGAATCTAATTTCTACCAGAATTCATTTGACATTAATGTAATTAACAACTTTTCAATTTTTCTTTCTATCTCCTCTTTCATGATTGACTGCTTCTCTGCCTTATCTTTTACAGTTTCAAATTCATTGATTTTATTATTTTTCAAGCCATAGATATTTGAAAATTAAAAGAAACCTGTGATTAAGAAAGAGTTTAGTTTTAGATTAACTGGAGTGAAGGCAACAACAGTGGCAACAAAAAGCCAAACCCAGAAGAAAACATGTGGACCGGAAAAAAATATGAAGACAAAATGCCATAAATCAACCAAGGATAAAATAGACAAAACAGTTTGACAAACACACATATTTAATGGTAAAGTGTATATTCTACCTTAAGATGTATAAAATTAGTTTTATCAAGTTGATTAATATATACAACCTGAAACACTTTCTATAACCCAAAGTGAATTTAAGTGATTATTTCTGGTATCCAAATGGTATAATTAAAAAAGAAAGAACATCATTAAATGACTCTACATGGCAGAGTTGGCTCTGATTTTACTATGCCAGAGATCTAAACTCAGAACCCAGGGCACTGATCAAATAAAAATCAAGAAATGAAAGGGAATGTCACGAATTTATTATTGTTGACTATGTTCTCTTAGCCTGCTTTTTTTTTTATTTTTCCCTGAGAAAATGAAGAATTTGATTCTAGAAAGCAGTGGGGGTGTTATATAAAACATGAGACTATAGTGCTATCGCTTCTTTTCTGATCTTGCTCAAGTTTATCAGGGAAAATTAACCTTGGCAGCTTATTCAGTGACTAAATCTTGATATTTTTCTGGCTTAATTCATAACATAACTGTACGCTATTGCTTTGTGTTTATATTTCCCATCCATTTCTCACATTTCCAAAGCATGCTGATATGTGATCCGGGCAGTTTAGCTACCATAATTGGCATTTTTCTTGGGCCAAAAGGAAACAAATTCCTTATCCACCATACTTTTTTAATTTCTGAAAAACAACAAGTAACATGGCTAATCCCCTTTTTGATCTTTTCCGCTTTTGAATTTTCCTTATATTCTTTCCCTCTTTTAATCTTTTACTCTTTTTAATCTTCTCATTTTGCCCCTCCCCTTTTATTTGACTTCTTATTATGTATCACTCTAAAAGAATTGGTCCAGTCTATGGAAATGGGTCTTCAGAGTCTGTTCAAAGACCCATTATCCACATTTAGACCCCTCACAATTTCTTTAAAGAATTTCATTGCAGCGTTTGCCAAGATGTTTCAACAGACTATCTTTCACAGCATTAATAGAACACAAATTTTGTGGACAAAATGACACAATGAAATTATTTCCTGTAATGAGAAGTAAAAAAAGATTTTTTTTGTCTTCTGCATATCATATACATTTAAGATAGAATGTTATCTTAGCAACTCACAAAATGTGGCAATTGAGTTAACAAGCTACTTGGCTTTTTCAATCAGAAGCATCTCTATACCAGCTTTTTTACGATTTCTGTTAGGCAACTTTGGTGATGGTCATAGTGGTGGGAGGACAGGTTAGTTTGAGATGCACGCACTGCTTAAGAATTAATCTTTATATTATTTTTATATGATTTTGAAACATATAGCAGTCATGTTGTTCGTGTATAAGGTAGACTTCTAACATTAGCTACTAGTTTGAAAAAGAAAAATAAAACTTAAGGAAGTTATAAATAAAAATGTATATATTTCTTTGATATAGCGCTATATATATGCCTTCTACATAACTGCTTGAAAGAATTATTTAAAATGAGTTGCCCATTTCTCTTATAAGTCACATTTTCAAAACACACTCATAATATGTTTGGCTGATGGTCTAATATTACACCTTTCTCTTTCATCTTTCTTTTTACTACAAACCCTTAATGACAAATGCAGGCAGGTCAGTGATACTGATATACCTTGCTCTTAGCATGTGAATTAGTCATCAGACAATCAGTTCAGGGGTCAGGCTTAGAGAAACAGTGCAAAGTTAGCAAAATGCAGGTCGGCAGAGGTGCTCTCCACTTCAAAGGAGGCGTGCTTGGCCACTAGGATTGGGATCACAGGCAGAAACAGCTGGGATTGTCGTTTGCTTAGAGATGGAGAGTTTGTGTGTATTTCAGCATGTTTGTAGCTGAGATAGGGTTTCACTACTTTGTAAAACAACAATTTACCTTAGAATGACTTTACTGGTAAAACCCAATAGGAAGTTAGGAGCCACAGGAGCCCAGGTGCCTGATATCAAACAAGGGAACCTGATTTAGAACAAACTAAAAAACAACAACAACAGCAACAACAACAAAAATTCATGCTGTCCACTTGCCTGGGAGAGTTAAGGACTTTATTTTCTGAGAAATTTATGAAAGGGTTTTCTTTTCTTGGGGGTAACGTTAGAACGTGGTCTTGTTTGAGAATTAATATGAAAATGTTAAATTTTGAATCTCTCCTGAAGATTCTAAAATATACTTTTTCTATCTCTTATTTTTCTAAGAGCAAATGTATGAAATGAGAGTTATGATTTAGATTTGTGTGAAAATATATACTAATCCGTCCTTTTAAACTTCTTAATTTTTCCTGGAAAAACATGTGAAGTCAAGCCTGCATGTCTCCCCAATATTAGCACTTGATTTACTTAAAGTTGCAATGAACGTTTAAAGGTGTATTCAGTCTTCAGTTGTATGTTAGTTTCAGTTTTAGAAATGAATTTTCTTCTTGGGGTACTTAGAGTTTTAGGGCCAACCCTTGTTCATTATCAAGTAGTTAGAATTCCATAAGTAGGAAAGACTCTGCCTTACAAAGAAGGGTCTCAAGATAAAGTCACCCTTTTTTATTCTTGAGAAAAGCTACAGCATAAATCAAGAAAACTAGATTCATCTCTGAGTGTTTGAAAACTGCTGGAAAGAAAACTGGAAAAATAAGTAAAAAATGCTACAGAAGAAAAAAAATCCAAAATCCAAACCATATGACAATGCCTATTTCTTCATTTTCTTTGTCATGTTGTTTTCCTGGCATTAACTGTCTTTTAGGGTTATTTTTGCTCCAAGAAAGCCATTTCAAAGAAAGATCTTTAAAGGGAATTAAATGAGAGTAAGTACTGAAACAAGAATGTGACCTGTCCATGGCGGAGAAGTATTACTTGGAAGACAAAAGTATTCTTTGAATACTTAAACGAGGATACTGTGCTGAATACTTATAGAAAGCACTTATCTCAGGGATATGAAGACACCTTATTCAGCTATGTACAGCTTGAAAAGGCAAAATTATTGCCTAAACGTAGGTGATGTCTGAAGCAAAAGAAAAAAGATGAACTTTCTAGAAAACTGATTTATTTGCAAGAGACCTCATAAGGACCAGCATGACTTATAATAACTTCTCTTCCTTTATTTTATAAGTTGGAGAAGACTGAGTTAGTATTAACATGCAACTAATTTATCCTGCAGCATCAGTAATGGATTTTTTTTTGATTGTGCTCTTTTAAGTTATAGGCAGGAAAAGAAGAAAAGCAGTTAAAATCAAGAATGTAAATCGTTCACAGGAATTTGTCACTTATGATATTATCAGGCTACAAAGGCCATCAGTTTTTACTTTCTTTGGGAATTAGCTCTGAGAGTATCTGCAGTATAGCAGAACACGTTTTAAACTTCTTTGTGTATTAATCCCACTGAATATGGAAAAATATATCAATTCCCTACTTTATCTCCCCCCAGACTGAATTTATATGCAATGGAAAAATTATTAACATAACATCTGCAGAATATAATTACCGTGCTGTTTTATATCCTTTGACAGGAAAACTATGAATTGAAGGCTAACATTTTTTTCTTTCTATGATTTGGAAACATTTGTAAATCTTACAACAGAAGTGTTTCTCTGATTTTCATCAGTGGTTATTAATAGTCATGTAATTCCATTGGTGATTTTCATGAATGTAAAAATAGTATATTTTAAATACCTATTAAGCTAATGCAAATGCATAGTATATTTAATGTGAATTTATTTACAATATGTCGGATTGTCTAACTTTTTTGGTCAATGATTGCAATGGACTGACTGTTTATGTCCCCTCTAAATTAATACATTGAAATCTAAATCCCTAAAGTGATGGTATTAGTAAGTGGGGCCTTTAGGAGGTGTTTAGGCCATAAGGGCAGAGCTCTCATGAATGGGAAAAGATACCTCAGAGAGATCCCTCTCAATGACACAAGAAGATGGCTGTCTAAGATCCAGGTAGTGAGTCCTCACCAGACACAGAATCTACCAATGCCTTGATCTTGGACTTCCCAGACTCCTGAACTT
The DNA here is from genome assembly GCF_000001405.40 of Homo sapiens. NCBI lineage: Eukaryota > Metazoa > Chordata > Mammalia > Primates > Hominidae > Homo > Homo sapiens. The sequence continues at coordinate 222,172,391 of NC_000002.12, read as the reverse complement.
TGAGAAATAAATGTTTGTTGTTTGTAAGCCACCCATGGTATTTTGTTATGACAGCCATAACTATGGTTTTGTTGTAACAGCCAAAACAGACTAATCTCAATATTTTTGAGATTGTAGACCAATTTAGACACCCTTTGTGCTTGTTTTGAATATCAAATGTTTTAGTGGCACTCCTGAGGGGTAATAAGATGATAACAACATTATCAATATTAGTGAACATTGTACTGCAAACATTATTAATTAATAAATAAGTTATTATTTTATGGTCAGCTTTCACTACTGTCCTATACATTCATTAATTGTTTACTATGTGACAGACACTATTCTAGAAGCTGGAGATCTAGATATGTGCTAAAAATACACCACACTTACCCTCAAGGAGCTTAAATTCTAGTGAAGGAGACAGACAAGAAATAAATGCCAGGTCAAGTTGTCATGATAAGAAAGGTAAAGTAGGACAAGAGGTTAGGGTTGGGAGTGCTGTTTTAGATAAGGTGGTTAGATTCCATGTTCCATGTGTCTGGGTGATATTTGAGTAGACCCAAATGACAAAAAGTTAGCTATGCAATGATCTGGGAAGAGAAGATCCTAGGCAAAGGGACCGGAAAGCCTGAAGGCAATGAATGCAAAAGGGAAGAGTTTGGCATATTGGAGAATAAGGGCAGCTGAGGAGGAGAGAAGGAGGAGGAAACCACAGGATATGAGTCTGAGAGAACTGGACGGGTCCAGATGATGCAAAGCTTTCTTGGCCAGTCCAAATATTGACTTTTATTCTAAGCATGAAGGAACTAGAATATTTTTATTTTTAATTTTTAAAAAATTGCTCTGGCTGTTGTGTGAAGAATAAACACTTAGTGTATTAGTCCATTCTCATGCTGCTAATAAAGACATACCAGGTAACTTATCAAGAAAAGAGGTTCAGTGTACTCAGTTCAGCATGGCTTGGGAGGCCTCAGGGAACTTACAATCATGGCAGAAAGGGAAGCAAACACATCCTTCTTCACATGATGGCAGGAAGGACAAGAATAAGCAAAGAGGGGAAAAGCCTCTTATAAAAAACCATCAGATATCTTGAGAGCTCACTCACTATCATGAGAACAGCATGAGGGTAACTGCCCCCATGATTCAGTTACCTCCCACCAGGTCCCTCCCATGACACATTGGGATTATGGGAACTACAATTCAAAATGAGATTTGGGTGGGGACACAGACAAGCCATATCACTTAGGAAAGCAAGAGTGAAGTCAGGGAGGTCACTTAGGGAGCCACTGAAATGGTCCAGAGGAGAAATGATAGTGTCTTAGACCAAGGGCTGCAGATTGTGTGCAGCCTGAGAACAATCAATTGCAGTTCTGCTCAGCCATTCCTCTGTGGATCAATTCTGTCCACAATTAAAGATTCGGTTTTGCTTAACTTTAATGTAACTTGGGCTTTTGTATTATGGTTTTTAAATTCTCCCTGACTTCCTGGGGCTGATATCTCCCAGGGGCTGAGACAGGAATGCATTTATAGAAGAAGATGGGAGTGAGAGGGGTTAGGGATCAACTGACCCAACTGTGCATGAAGGAAGTCTATGTGAGCAGGGGCCTTAGAGAACTAGCAAACTTTAATTTTTTAAATGTCTGCTATGCTTAACATTCAACCATATTAGGAGTCTATTGGGAATAAACAAACAAGAAGAATATCAGCACATTTGCTGCACTATACTTTCTGATATGGTTTGGCTGTGTCCTCACCCAAATCTCATTTTGAATTGTAACTCCCACAACTCCCACGTGTTATGGGAGGATCCCAGTCGGAGGTGATTGACTTATGGGGGCAGGTCTTTCCTGCACTGTTCTTGTGATAGTGAATGAGTATCATGAGATCTGATGGTTTTAAAAAATGGGAGTTTTTTTTGCACAAGCTCTCTCTTTGCTTGCTGCCATCCACGTAAGAGGTGACCTGCTCCTCATTGCCTTCAGCCATGATTGTGAGGCTTCCCCACCTTGTGGAATTGTAAGTCCAATTGAACCTCCTTCTTTTGTAAAGTGCCCACTCTTGGGTATGTCTTTATCAGCAGCATGAAAATGGACTAATACATTTTCCTATCTTCTTTTTCCTTTTAGACTTCTAGTTTCTGTATGTAAGAAAACCACAAAATTCTATATTCAATCATTGAAATTTCGAGGAGAAAAGTCCCCTAATGGACTATAATCTATGTGGTGTATGGTGCTGGTTGCATTGTTAGTTAAATCCTCGATGGCCTTGGGCAAACCGCTCGGGTCCCCTTCCACGCTGTGGAAGCTTTGTTCTCTTTCGCTCTTCACACTAAATCTTGCTGCTGCTCAAACAAACAAACAAACAAACAAAATAATAATAATAATCCTTGATGGCTTCCTCAGTGTCCATTCCCTTCTTTTTCCATTCTAATAGAACTTTGATATTACTCAGGTATTTAGTCAACCCTGCGCAGCTAGCTGTGTGACTTAATAGAGGTTGAATTCCCCTCCCTCCTGCTCTAGGAGTGGGTGTAATTCACTAAGAGGAATCACATTTCCCTAAATGGCGATTTGTTTAAAAATAAGCACGTGACTTGAGGAAGAATCTGCAAACTGTTTCTTGGAAAAGTTTTGCCTGTCCCCTCAGAAAAAAGGCAAAAGAAGAGACAGACTCTTTATCTTCTTCCCCCTGCCCTTGTCTCATGATATGGTGTTCGGTGCTAATTCAGCCATTTCCACCCAACTTTATCAGGCATCTGATGTGGGCAGAAGAGAAAAGAAAGAACTTGGTTCCTCTTGACCCCGTGGTCTGCTGAATTAACCAACCCTGAAGTTTGATTCAGCTTTGGACTTTCTGCTATGTAAGAGATTAAAATTCCTTTGTGCTTAAGCCAGTTTGAATTTGGTTTTGTTGCCAAAAAACATTCTCACTGATGTTATCTGCTATTATTTCCATGGTGCCAAAAATTTTGACACAGCTTTATTCTGTACCTACGTGGCTGCTTGGGTAAGAGGAAATGCATGGTTTTTTGTTTTGTTTTGTTTTGTTTTTTCACCGTTATAGTCTTCCTTTATTGGCTGTCCTTGTATAATACAAACCTGTAAGTTTAGATTAAAAACAAAATCTGGAAATAAAAGGTGGAAAAGTACCCACCAGGCACCCATCCTTCTTCCCAGACCCCTCCCCAGTGGGCACTGACATGAGGTGACTGCACATTTTCTCCCATCACTCACTGCCACCTGGGCCCCCAACTTGGCCCCAGCTCCAGAAATTCATGCTTTTTGACCTAGATTACCATAAATGAACAAAGTTTCTAAATTGGAAGTCCTAGCATTAGCCAGTACTGTTTTCAACTCTCATTCTATCCTGCTCCCTCATCCTTTATTGAAACTGCTCACCTGGCGTAGCCCTGCTAAAAAGAGAGGCCATGTTTTTAACAAAGAATGTTGTTATGATCTCTAGCAACCAGGTGATTTAAGAGTCTGGGCAGCATATCTGCATTCCCACATCTGTTGCAGCACTGTTCACAACAGTCAAGATTTAGAAGCAACGTAAGTGTCTATCAACAGATGAATGAATAAAGTGTGGTGTGTATACACAATGGAGTACTATTCAGCCAGAAAGAGAATTAGATCCCGTCATTTGCAACAACATGGATAGCATTGGAGGTCATCATGTTAAGTGAAATAAGCCAGGCACAGAAAGATAAATGTTGCATGTTCTCACTTATTTGTGGGAGCTAAAAATTAAAACAATTGAACTCACGGAGACAGAGAGTAGAAGCATGGTTACCAGAGCCTGGGAAGGGTAGTGAGGGAGGTGGAGGGAAATTGGGGATGATAAATGTGTGCAAAAAGTAGTTAGAATGAATAGGACCCATTTAAAAATAACTAAAAGAGTATGATAGGATTGTTTTTAATACAAAGTAAATGCTTGAGATGATGGATACCCCATTTACCAGGATGTGATTATTACGCATTTCATGCTTGTATCAAAGTATCTCATGTATCCCATAAATATGTTCACCTACTATATAGTCATAAAATTTGAAAATTAAAAAAAAGAGGCTGGACAATTGTCTCAACTGAACCAATTGTATTCTTATTCTGGATTTTTTTTTTTGCTTTAAAATAAAATACAGATATCAAAAGGAATGCAAAACAAAGGCTTTGCTTCATGAATTATTATAAGGCAAACACCTTTATAACCATTCCCTTGGATAAGAAGTATAACTTTTCCCACCAACTCTGAAGCCCCTTCAGGTACCCCGTCCCAATAATTATCCCAACTTTTATATTGATCACTTCCTCAAGCTTCTTTCTTATCATTAAACTGTGCACCCGTAGGCCCTATGGTTTAGTCGTACCCACTTAAAAAAAATCATAGAAGTCTCTTAGACCTAGGAGTATCTTGTAATCTACAGGTGGCGCTTTATAGATGATATTGTGGTGCGCCCTCCAGTGCCCATCACCATCTGTCAGGGGGACCGTGGGGACACTCTTAGGATGTCCTCTATGAGCCCTGCCTCCTCGTATTCATGCCTTCATATAATGCTCTCCTTTTGAGTGTGGGCAGGACTTATGACTTGCTTCTCACTAATAGAACATAGCAAAGGCAGGGGAACGTCATCCATGATTACATTACATTCTATAAGACCCTGCCTTGCCAGCAGAGTTCCTCTGGAAACTGTCCTTGCTGCTTTGATGAAGTAAGTGGACATGCTGAGGAAAGATGGCAAAAAACGGGGGGCTTCTAGGCCGGTTTCCTGGGGATAGCCTGCATCTGCTGACTAGTCTAGGCAAAGCCTAACTTGGTTTGTCTCTCTTCTGTCAATTCGAGTAACTGTGAAAAGCCACCCTTCCAGTGCTGTGTCTTTGTTACACCTACATGGTAGGTCAGCCTCCCTCTGCCCAATCTTATTGCTCCACTCACTTTCTTACAAATGTCGTTCTATAGTTTATTCCCCAATAAACCTTCTGCGCACAAATCTCTGTCTCAGAATCTGTTTTTAGGAAACCCCCCAACCATTTCCTTTCCTTACAACTTATCTTTTGAAGATTCTAGCCGATTTGACCTGTAGAGTTTCCCTCTATCTGGATTTTGCTGATTGCAAACTCCTGGTGCACGTCAGCATGCTTCTCTGCCCTCTGTCTTTCCTGCAAATTAGCAGCTGGATACAGGGAATGGATGAGACTCCAGTTCCGTTCCCTTGAAAAGACCACAGGTGGTGATGTTTCATGGATAAGATGGCCTATAATGTTTATTTTGCTTTTTGATATTGATGCTTTTTGATATTGATCAGAGATATTGATACTCAGTGCCCAGTTGTATTAATTCACTGGGGGTTAAAAAGTGATGCTATTCTAATTTTATTATTTTGTTTTTACTTATTAGCTGGGATAATTTTATAAAGAGATGCTTGTCCTCATTTACCTAGTGGTGTAGTTCATGTAGAAAACACAAGACAAATATATGATTCTTTCCTTTTATTTACTCAGTTTTTTGAGACAATGAACTGGATTCCTGTCCTCCTCAGATGAGCAGTTTTTAATATGATTTTTAAACATTATAATCTCGTGATTTAGACATATTTGATAGATTTTCATTTATCACAATTCTTATTTTTATTGGAGTTCAAGTTGGCTTGTCTTTGCAAGTGAGATACTCTTTGGATGGGCTCCTGATTTTTTATTTTTTATTTTTTTGCTGTGGTCCTAACAGTCTCTTATAGCTCCCCCACTCTCCGGTACATCAAGAGGTCCTTGGTTTATTTTATATGTTTCTTGCCTAGGGCCAGGAATAAGCCATTTCTCTTTTCTTTATGGAACTTCCCACAGTTTCATAAAGAAACTAAAAGGTTTCTTTTAGTGTAAAATGGTATTTCAAGACCATAATCTGGGTTTTAGGGACCCTCATTGATCTTGGGTTGGGTCATTGTTTCTAGATCTTTTAAGTGGTGAGAGCCAAAGAAGAAAAATAAGTATGTGAAATAAATACATATGTGTGTTTATTTTTTTAACATACATACACAAATTGCATATATACACATACATACATAAAATAAATATTTGAAATAAATATATATGTGCATGTATTTAAAAATACTATATATAATCCATATATACAATATACTTGTAAATAAATGTATGAAATAAATATATATGTATTCAAAAATATGATATATAATAATATATACTTGCACGTGCACACATATGTATATCAACAATCTTGTGAATTCATACAGAAATATCCAACTCAAATTTAGGAATTGCTTTTCACTTAACCTCTCCTATATTAAATCTTTATTTCCTGTCTTTTTCACTAAGAATCCTATTTCTCAAGACTATATTTCCTGTCTTTTTCACTAAGAATCTTATTTCTCAAGGCCACAGGGAATGATAGAATTAAAATCCCAAAAAAAACTCATTTACTTTATTCCACATTACTCATGCAATGATCTCAGAATAACAAGACTAATAATACTTTCACCACTTCCGATTACTAAAAACAGTTACTGCTATTGTTATTTATTGTTTATTATTATTTATTATTATTGTTATTTAGTAATGCAGTCCTCACTCTCCCACATTTTTCTGGTTGTACTATATCGTAATTGTCTGGTCATAGAGCCATTTGCATATTAGATTTTCTCCTTTCTAATGCTCACTTAGTATGCCTGCTGTGAGTTATCACATGCTTAGTGCTCACCAGCAGTCCTTATGTTGATGTCTTTCTCGTCATTTTCATTGTCTCAAGCTTGATTTTAGCAGAGTCCTTGTGGAGGGGGGGTGGGGTTTATGGGAACAATATTTCCTCAGTTGTTGGTAATGACTTTTCTGTACCCTTTATTCTTGGAAAATAAGCTCTGTAGGATGTAAAATCCTTAGCTCACAGTTTCTTTCTTTGGGAACATTAAATATGTGGGTCAATTTTCTCCTTCCGTAAATGTCACTGTGAAAAACTCTGAAGCCAATTTAATTTTCTTTCTAAGGTATGTGTTCATTTGCCTAGGTGTCCCTCAAATTTCTTCTTTCTCTTAAAAGTCCAGTAATTTTACTAGAATATATTTTGGTGTTGGTTGTTCTGGTTCAATATTCTCATGCTGCTGAGAATTATACACACTTTTTTTTTATTTCAGGAAAGTTTTCTATAATTATACTTTTAAATATTTATTTGTTTTATTCTCTTATTTTGGTTTTCTTCTTCAGGGACTTTCCTTATTTGTCAGTTGAATTTTCTTTGTCTATCTTCAATATTTGTCATATTCTCTCAAACTATTTTTATCTCTTACTTCATTTATCTGATTTAAAAAAATTCTCTTTTTTTAACTTTCTATTTCTCTTAAAACATTATTCGTTGTATTTACTGACTCTTGTGTTTGTCTAATTCAGTCTTCATTTCTCAAACAATTTTTCCCCTTTATTTTTAACTCTTTCTTCAATTCCGTCACGTACCTTTTGAGTTTTCCTAATGCTGATTTATGCCGGCCTTTCTTGTCTTGTTTTGTTTTGATCTGTTTTTTGGGCATAGACTTTCCATCCTGCTGGATGTCATTGCTCTTCGTTCTTTTTTTGCACTTTTGAATGGGATTTGACCTTACTGCTTTTAGTTACTCATTTTTTGTGTAAATTTAGTTTTCCTGACATTTTAGAGAAAAACTGGGTTCTGAGAATCTTTCAGCTTCACAAAACTGCCTCTCCTTTACTTTTTCACGTTACATAAAATGGCAGCTCCGTTTCTGAGATTGCCGGGCTATCCCCACCCCCCGCCCCACCCTGCGCTTTTATCTGCACCTTCTCTTTTCCTTATTTCTGTTCTCCCTGTTCTGTCTAATAATGGTTATTCTCCTAGCAGTTTCTCTTCAATGTGGGGCTCTGTTTTTGAAGATAGCGTGGTAGATCATTTCTGAGATTTCACAGGGGTCTACACTGCCCAGCTAGCTCTTCAGAAATTCTTGGGCAACCCCTTGCCCGTACTGATTGCTGGAGGAAGCATGACTGTCCAGCTATTGATTTCAAATGGACCATCTATCCTTTCCAGGAAGTATTTATCTACTCTTCTGGGATTTTCCTCTTCTCAGCTTCATCAAATGTCCTCTTGCTGCATTTTGCTTTCATCCATGCAGATGCCAATAACACACAGTTCTAGGTGCTGTTGGAGATTTAGCCCATTTCTACTTATATTATGGGGTTTATTGGACTACCTGTGAACTTAGTTTTTCTTTCAGTTGAGGTGAAATTTACATAACATAAAATTAATCACAACTCAGTGTCATTTAGCCACTCACAGTATTGTACAACTACCCCCTCTATCTGCTTCTGGATATTTCATCACTCCAAAAAAAAACTCTGTACTCGTTAAAGAAGTTCTTCCCTTTTTCCCTTTGACCCCAGCCTCTGGCAACCACCAATTGGCCTTCTGCGTCTATGGATTTATCTATTTTGCACACTTCATATACAAGAAATCATAAATTATACGACATTTTGGGTCTGGCTTCTTTCACTTAACCTAGTGTTTTCAATTTTCGTCCACTTTGTAGCATGTATTTGTACATCATTTCTTCTTATCACTGGGTAATATTCCATTTTATGAATGCACCACAATTTGTTTAGTCATTCATTCTTGTCACTTAGTTTTATTGTAAATTTTGTCCATGGGCTTTGGGTTTTGTTCACTAGTTGCTTAGTTTTTGTGTAGGGACTCAGGAAGACCCAAAACCTGCTGCTACCGCTTTGGTCATTTTTCCAGTACTGTGTCTGAGAAATTTTACTTGAGACTTCAAACATGTGAGTCAGCTATTATTTCAGGAGAAAAGAAAAGAATCTGGTGGCGTATGAGAGGACAGAGCCAGAAAGTCCTGCTGAGGTCCTGGTGCTCTTCTCTTCTATATTCTTCTTCAGGCTGGTTATTCAGTCTTTCCATGAATTCCATAAAATCTGTATTTTCATTGCCCCTACCCTCTTTCTATGAACTTGAGCCAGCCTGGGTAGGTTTCTGTTTTTTGAAACCAAGCATGACATGATACCAGCCTTGTCCCCAATCTGTTGCTTGTGTTTCCTCTACAATTCTACCCTAGGTCCTATTCCCTCTTGGGAACAACAGCAGGAATACATTTCATTGTGTGATTCTTCTCTAGTTGAAATGTTTTTCAACAAACGCTCAACAAAACAGAAGACTTGGCATGCTTGAGCTCTTAAATTCTTTCTTCCGCTTTTGTATTTGATTACTTAATATGTTGCTGCCTGGCTTAGACTGGGTTCCTTATATACCAAGCCTGAGACAGAAATTCTTGAGCAAGTGATTTATTGAGGCAATGCTTGTTCTCAAGCAAAAACCATAAGGGAGTGAGAGCAGCAGAGTAAGACAGAAGCCAGGAAAATGTGGCTTTCACTGAAGTCTGGGCTCCATCTGGTCCAATACAAAACTCCATAGTGTGAAAAATACCAAGTGCTGTCCCACCTTGAGGAAAGGGAGCAGGACTTTTGTTCAAGACGCTAATGACCAGGCATATTTTGTATAGTGCATCTCCTCTGGCCAGGGATAATTACCAGGAGGATACAACTTTCAGCTATTAGCAACCACTTAAACTAGGGGATGGGAGCACCAGTTCAGTGACAGAAACCTACGTGGACCACTGATATAGTTGGATCTGTGTCCCCACCCAAATCTCATGTAGACTTGTAATCCCATGTTGGAGGTGGGGCCTGGTGGGAGGTGATTGGATCATGGGGACGGAGTTCTCATGAATGGTTTAACACCATCCTCATTGGCACTGTTCTTGTGATAGTGAGTTCTCATGAGATCTGGTTGTTTAACAGTGTGCAGCACCTTCCCCTCAACCGTACTCCTTCTGCTCCCACCATGGAAGACGTGCCTGCTTCCCCTTTGCCTTCCACCATGACTGAAAGTTTCCTGAGGTCTCTCCAGATGCCAGCATCATGCTTCCAATATAGCCTATGGAACTATGAGCCACTTAAATCTCTTTTCTTTATAAATTACCCAGTCTCAGATATTTCTTTATAGTAATTTGAGAACGGACTAATACAGCCACCAGCCATGCCTGCCACTCTCCCTATCTGGATCCGTGTGTCAGTTATTTTCCTTCCCTACTCACACATATCTATACATTCCATGTGCATGTAATACACACACAGACATGCAGGTATACCTGTATGTACATGTACATTTGCAATGTGGATATATTGCATATTTATATATTTGTATATTTATAAATACATGTCTTTTAATTTCAGTGTTTTTCCCATTGCATTTAGGGTCTTTTTAGACAGATTGAGGGATGGATGAGTAGTTAGGTACAGGTTTGGGGAAGGGGTGGGGCAGAGGTTTGGCCACCAAAAATAGAGTTTATAGATTCCAGTGGCTCCTACTAGAAAAATACTCCTATGAGAATTGGTACATTTGTGGCTGGAAGTGGGGTTTGGGATCTGAGTCTTATAAGAGTGGGAGGTGGGGGAGTTGGGGGACAGAGGGCTTCCTTAAGAAGGCATAAGAGGACTAACCCTGGTACCTATGGGTGCAAAATTAAAAGGGGCAGGAAGTGGCTATTTATATGTGAAGGTCATTTGAAAGTCAAATTTTCTTAAAGAGACAATTGCTTGTTTTGGAAATTTGTGGTGTCTCATACGATGAAGCTTAAAATTGAAGATATTCTTTGGGTTGTGGAATGGGGTAAGTGTGGAGGCAGCAGGTGCAGCTGAGTGAGGAACTAATTAATTTCTCAAAGTCGATTTCACTTTTTAATATTTCTGGTTCTGTGGCTTCTTTTGTTTTTTTTTCCCCCTCTTTATTAAAACCTATTATAGAAGTGATGGAGCTAGATGGATCTTCAGAATGACTTCTGAAGAAAAAAGCACTATCGAACATCTTTTGATAGTTTCTATTATTAGTTCAAACATGTATTTTAAACTTGTGTGATGAGAAATGATACATATTTGCCTTTTTAAAGAAATATTGTATGGAATGCTTGAAACAATCTCAGTCCCCAAAACCGTTTTAATACTTAGATATATTAATAACATATTTATGACTTGCTATGTAAGGAATCTAATGTTTCCTATCCAAATTGGCAAAAAAGAAAGAAACAGGCAAATGCATTGCTTCTTTCGTTTTTCTACTTTTAAAGAATTGTCAAAACCCCTTTGTGTCCTTTCCCAGCATGGAGCCTGCAGGCAGACGGCTGAGGGTAATTTTAGAAATGGGTGATACAGAAGGAGGCCAAAACCCAGGAGGTCACGACCTATGACTTCTGTAAGTGAAGAGCTTCTATTTTGGGACGACAGTGTTTGTGATGTTCTCTGATGTTCTGTGGATCTGACAGCACAGGGTGTTTCAGTAAGCATCTGACCCCATTTTCCTACCGGGTTTCTTGAGATAATACACAAGCAAAGTCTATATGGTCTTGTCTTTCTCTTTGTGCATTTCTGCATTCTTGTTTCATATATATATACACACACACATATATATATACACATATATACATATATACACATATATACGTATATATATATACATATATATACACACACACTTATATACCTTTTCACTGAAGATTGCTGAAAATTTCTATCTTATTTTAGTTGTGCTTTTCTATTTTTTTTTGGGTTTGTTTCCTTTTGATCCAGATCTTAATTTTCAAATGTTGAGCGAGAACCTTGTTTGAATCATAAAGATTTGGATAAAGGGTATTGTTTCTGTAATTTATTTCCCTATAGCCTTCATAAATCCACAGTTTTGACTTCCCTGCTGTTGGGCAAGAACTGTCTTACCTAATAGAAAATCAGTTCATATTTTCTTTAATAGACTTTTAATGTTTGAATCTAGTTGAAATTGTAAGATGTCAAGAGCCAAAAATGTCCTACTCCAACAGGAAACTAAGGTAGTGTGTACTTTTAAGAGCTCTTGGGGGGAAGATGTCATTTAAAAAAATGAAGAAATGAAATAAATTAGATTGTAGCCTCCAGAGCTTTAGCAGTGGTTCTTAGAAGTCAAGTTTTAATCATGTGATATGAGGTAACTTCCTCCCAAAGAATGGGTCCATTTAGGCAAAAGATGACCCTGTTTTTATGACCAGAAAACACTATGTAATGTTTCTGATCACATGGTTTTATAACTCTATTTCACGGCTAAGTGTGGGACAGGAACTGGATGCACAAAATTTTCTTAGTTTAAAACTGCCAAGACACAGAACGGTGTTTTCTCCTGTGGTTTAGGAAGTGTTCTGAGATACAATATACTCTCCCTCTGCAAAGCAAATGTGTTCAGCAGTGAAGAGCTAGTAGTTAGTTCATAGTATTCAGCTGCTGGAAATGAAAAGTCACAAGCTAGATACTCTTAAGACAGGGAACAGCACACTTTTGCTCTGTAAAGATCTCGAAAGTGAATATATTTTAGGTTTTGCTGACAAGAGGCAATACTGAGAATATTATGTAGGTACTTATATAACAAAAGAGAAAAATATTTTCCACATTGTATTGACAAAATTAGAAATTATTGACAATATAATTAGAATTATTGACAAAATTTGTACATCATTGTGTACAATAATTGTAATGCAGGTCTACTAATGAGAAGAGTAGAATTTTCTTTGTAGGGGGCTGTGATGTTTTACTTAATTGGGGTTCAATGTCAGCATTCCACATCATTAAATCAATTGCAAATGCTCATCGTTAAAGGTCATTCTTAGTGGACGGACCATACACAAACAGGTTGGCCCATGGACTGTATACTAAAAGAGCCCATCCTGGATACCACTCATTGAGTGCTAGGTCTGGATTTATTTCTACAGCCCGAGGCTAACAACAGTAGAGAAATGTATACATTCAAAAATGTGTATGTATGATGTAAAGTAGTAGTCAATCTTCAATTTCATTTTTTTTTAATTAGGAAATGTGGAACTCTCTGCATATGCCCATGGCAATAGATTCCAGTGTCCTTTCTTTTTCAGTGAGTGGACCAGTCCTGACATGCCATTCTGCTAGGCATGGCTTTGGTTGCAGGTAATATGAAGTGCTTTTCTCATTATTTAAATTGCCTACCACATTCCAGGTGCTGAGATAAAATGAAGAGGAAGGGTGACAACTCCCACATTGATGAACTCGCCTTTGACAGCTAACATATACTGGATGTCTACCAGTGCAGCGCGCACTAGGCAAAGCACTCTGCACTAACCATCATAAGTTGTTTCCACAGTAAATCCTTCACATCCTGTTTTTATCCTTATTTGACAGATAGGAAATGAAGGTAGAATCATAAATAATAATAATTGGGCACTTATTTTGTGCAAAACTTGTCTGTAAGTGACTACATGAATTGTCTCATTTAACTACTTCCCTACTATGGTTGGTGCTATTGTCCTTATTTTACAGATGAGGCACAGAGAGATAAGGAGCTGTCCAGAGTTGTACAGCTGGTAAGAGGCAGAGCTGGGATTTAACCCAGGCAGTCTGTGCTCCAGCAGTCAGGTGCTTAACATTATGCTTTTTTTTTTTAGAAAGATTATGTTACTTGCCCAAGAACACACACAAAGTCAATGGCAAAACCTGGCTTTGAACTTCTGGGGTCTGGCTGCAGACCTCTTTTATTCCCTGCCACCAAATGATCCCTTATATTCTGGCTTGTCTGGAGTTGATCCATCAGTCATAAATGAGTTGGTTCTAAGAGAAGGTAAAGAGGGTCACATGGGGCAAGCTCACCAGAAGATAAACGCAGGAGGCAGGATGATCGAGCCCTGTTTCTACATAGCTTCCGAATTGGTAGAGGAGAGGGAGGGTTGCACAGGTTGTGTTATGCTCCAGGAAATGGCCTGTGCTTTGGATTTGGAGGGGCTTGGCTGACCTTATTTCCTGGTTGATCTTGGGCAAATCATTTAGCCTTTCTAATCATCAATTTCCTTGTCTATAAAATGGAGCTAATACAACTTCCCTCCAAGAGGATTTAAAGAGGAAGTGTTTAAAACATTCTTGTCTTCTGTGATGCTTAGATTTTGGTGTCAACTTGACTAGGCTACAATACCCATAATTTAATCAAACATTAACCTTGGAATTAGTACAAAGGTATTTTCTAGATGTGGTAAACATCTACGATCAGTTGACTTTAAGTAAAGGCAATCACACTTGATAATGTGGGTGGACTTTGCCTCATCAATTCAAGGCCTAAGAACAAAAACTGAGGTTTCCTGGAGAAGAAATTCTGCCTCCAGGCCATTGCATCAGCTCCTGCCTCAGTTTTCAGCCTGTCTGCCTTACAGAGAAAGTCGTGGAGAACTCTGACTGATACATCCTCTTATAGGCACTCCAAACGGCATCACTAGGTAACTGTAGCCATAGATACCCTAAGATCCACAGAAAATCTTTGAATCTTGATGATACAAATGATTGAAATATCCACATTTTACTTTCATTTCATTTACACATTTCAGGACTGTAAAATAAAAGCACTCCTACCTCCGAATTTCATTTCAATTGCAAAGTGTATTTGTAACACAATTTTCTTTGAGCAGTCCTGCTGTGGTAACAATATAGATATGGTTCCAACATCATCTTAAAGCCTGGCTGGTATGCTGATTAAAGGGAAATGGCATGGTGAATTGGAAGATATTTTAACCACTATATCTAATTACAAAAAGAACATGTTGCTTACCAAAATTTGAATGCATTCTATAATAAAAAAACAGGGGCAATTAACAATCAAACAAGCAACTGCTTTCTTGACAGGCAGATGACACAGAACAGGACTAAGAAAATGTAGAAAGCCTTTACTTGACGAGGAAAGCTGAGATGGTCCTTCAAGTTGTAAGGTAAGATCCAAAGAGCGTATGACTTTGTGGTTAAAAGGCCAGGGAGGGACTCAGGAAGCACTGGAGTTGCTATGCTTGGCTTTGTATTATTGAAGCAAAGTATTCTTTATCGTTAAAATGGGTAAAAACAAGTATTTACAAGTTCTCAGAAATTTTGATATAAAAGACACTTTTTCCCCATGTAATTTGACTTGGAGATAGACTAGCACTTATTTTTAAAATGCCTATTTAAACATGGACCTTTATTTCCCGTTTTATTCTTTATTTAGTTTTATATTCAGAATTTTGTAATCTTGCCCCCTGACCATGCCATAGGGATTTGTGCGGTAAAAGAAGTTAATATCTATACATCAATGAACTTTAAGGATGAAAAGTCCTAGAACAGTTAAAAATTCCTAAGAAACTCAATTCTTTCCTCTAACAAACACTAAAAGGTAATGTGTTCTCTTTTTCCTTGACACAAAGATGCCAGTTTCCCCAATAATTATTTTGCTTATGAAGTCTGAGAATGGGTTAATAGGCTTATCATTGTCAACTCAGGAGGGAATGGATCCTTTACACTCAATATATAGTCTCTGGGAGCATGGAGTGTATCATGGCTTTGATTCTGGCATAATTTTCTGGAGTAGAGGCCTTGGTTTGCAAACCGCAGCATGCTTAAGAATCACCAGGAGAGGACCGGGAACCGTGGCTCACGCCTGTAGTCCCAGCACTTTGGGAGGCTGAGGTGGGCGGATCATGAAGTCAGGAGTTGAGACCATCCTGGCTAACATGGTGAAACCCCGTCTCTCCTAAAAATACAAAAAATTAGCTGGGCGTGGTGGCCGGCGCCTGTAGTCCCAGCTACTCGGGAGGCTGAGGCAGGAGAATGGCGTGAACCCGGGAGGCGGAGCTTGCAGTGAGCCGAGATCGCACCACTGCACTCCAGCCTGGGCGACAGAGCAAGACTCCAAAAAACAAACAAACAAACAAACAAAATCACCAGGAGAGCTTATTAAAAATGCAAAACCTTGAATGGCACCTCGAGAGATTCTGAGTTAGTAGTTCCGGGGTGAAATTCAGGAATTTCTATTTTTTAACAAGCACCCTCAGTAACCCAGAGGCAGGTAATTCATGGACCACATTTTAAGAAACAGTCATGTGAAGCAGTGTTATGCACACCACCCCATGTTTCTTTTTAACCTGAAACTCCCATTAGTACATGTTTGTGAACTTATCTCTAACACTTATTTATTTGTAAATTATAGATCTGATCTAAATTTATTTATTTATTTATTTATTTATTTATTTATTTATTTATTTATTTATTTATTTTGAGATGGAGTCTCGCTCTGTCGCCCAGGCTGGAGTGAGTGGCACGATCTCGGCTCACTGCAAGCTCCACCTCCCAGGTTCACGCCATTCTCCTGCCTCAGCCTCCCGAGTAGCTGGGACTGCAGGTGCCCGCCACCACGCCCGACTAATTTTTTGTATTTTTAGTAGAAATGGGGTTTCACTGTGTTAGCCAGGATGGTCCCGATCTACTGACCTCATGATCTGCCCTCCTCGGCCTCCCAAAGTGCTGGGATTACAAGCGTGAGCCACCTCGCCCGGCCTATCTGATCTAATTTTTAAATATATACAAACATTCTGTGCATTGTAAAATACATGTAAGAATGGGAGTTCAACATTTTAAGATGCTCTCAAGAACAAGAAGTAATATTTTATAAATATTAACAATCTATTTTATTCATTAATTACACACACTATTTTTCTCTTACTAAAATATTATTTGTATAGTTATTACTAATTATATTTGGATAAGAGTAGTGTGATCAGACACATTCTATTATTTCAAAAATATGGGTTAAATATATCATGAAGCCATTATTTGAAGGTCTGTCTCATAGTTCAGTTTATTTTGATACTTGGTTGTAATGGGTTTCATAGATGAAAGAGGTACCTTTCAAAGATGTGTAGATAGAGGAGGAGCCAAGATGGCCGAATAGGAACAGCTCCGGTCTACAGCTCCCAGTGTGAGCGACGCAGAAGACAGGTGATTTCTGCATTTCCATCTGAGGTACCGGGTTCATCTCACTAGGGAGTGCCAGACAGTGGGCGCAGGCCAGTGGGTGTGCGCAACGTGCACGAGCCGAAGCAGGGCGAGGCATTGCCTCACCTGGGAAGCGCAAGGGGTCAGGGAGTTCCCTTTCCGAGTCAAAGAAAGGGGTGACGGAGGCACCTAGAAAATCGGGTCACTCCCACCCGAATATTGCGCTTTTCAGACCGGCTTTAAAAACGGCGCACCACAAGACTATATCCCACACCTGGCTCGGAGGGTCCTACGCCCACGGAGTCTTGCTGATTGCTAGCACAGCAGTCTGAGATCAAACTGCAAGGCGGCAGCGAGGCTGGGGGAGGGGCGCCTGCCATAGCCCAGGCTTGCTTAGGTAAACAAAGCAGCTGGGAAGCTCGAACTGGGTGGAGCCCACCACAGCTCAAAGAGGCCTGCCTGCCTCTGTAGGCTCCACCTCTGGGGGCAGGGCACAGACAAACAAAAAGACAGCAGTAACCTCTGCAGACTTAAATGTCCCTGTCTGACAGCTTTGAAGAGAGCAGTGGTTCTCCCAGCACGCAGCTGGAGATCTGAGAACGGGCAGACTGCCTCCTCAAGTGGGTCCCTGACCCCTGACCCCCGAGCAGCCTAACTGGGAGGCACCCCCCAGCAGGGGCACACTGACACCTCACACAGCAGGGTATTCCAACAGACCTGCAGCTGAGGGTCCTGTCTGTTAGAAGGAAAACTAACAAACAGAAAGGACATCCACACCGAAAACCCATCTGTACATCACCATCATCAAAGACCAAAAGTAGATAAAACCACAAAGATGGGGAAAAAACAGAACAGAAAAACTGGAAACTCTAAAACGCAGAGCGCCTCTCCTCCTCCAAAGGAACGCAGTTCCTCACCAGCAACGGAACAAAGCTGGATGGAGAATGACTTTGACGAGCTGAGAGAAGAAGGTTTCAGACGATCAAATTACTCTGAGCTACGGGAGGACATTCAAACCAAAGGCAAAGAAGTTGAAAACTTTGAAAAAAATTTAGAAGAATGTATAACTAGAATAACCAATACAGAGAAGTGCTTAAAGGAGCTGATGGAGCTGAAAACCAAGGCTCGAGAACTACGTGATGAATGCAGAAGCCTCAGGAGCCGATGCGATCAACTGGAAGAAAGGGTATCAGCAATGGAAGATGAAACGAATGAAATGAAGCGAGAAGGGAAGTTTAGAGACAAAAGAATAAAAAGAAATGAGCAAAGCCTCCAAGAAATATGGGACTATGTGAAAAGACCAAATCTACGTCTGATTGGTGTACCTGAAAGTGATGCGGAGAATGGAACCAAGTTGGAAAACACTCTGCAGGATATTATCCAGGAGAACTTCCCCAATCTAGCAAGGCAGGCCAACGTTCAGATTCAGGAAATACAGAGAACGCCACAAAGATACTCCTCGAGAAGAGCAACTCCAAGACACATAATTGTCAGATTCACCAAAGTTGAAATGAAGGAAAAAATGTTAAGGGCAGCCAGAGAGAAAGGTCGGGTTACCCTCAAAGGGAAGCCCATCAGACTAACAGTGGATCTCTCGGCAGAAACCCTACAAGCCAGAAGAGAGTGGGGGCCAATATTCAACATTCTTAAAGAAAAGAATTTTCAACCCAGAATTTCATATCCAGCCAAACTAAGCTTCATAAGTGAAGGAGAAATAAAATCCTTTACAGACAAGCAAATGCTGAGAGATTTTGTCACCACCAGGCCTGCCCTAAAAGAGCTCCTGAAGGAAGCGCTAAACATGGAAAGGAACAACCGGTACCAGCCGCTGCAAAATCATGCCAAAATGTGAAGACCATCGAGACTAGGAAGAAACTGCATCAACTAACGAGCAAAATCACCAGCTAACATCATAATGACAGGATCAAATTCACACATAACAATATTAACTTTAAATGTAAATGGACTAAATTCTCCAATTAAAAGACACAGACTGGCAAGTTGGATAAAGAGTCAAGACCCATCAGTGTGCTGTATTCAGGAAACCCATCTCACGTGCAGAGACACACATAGGCTCAAAATAAAAGGATGGAGGAAGATCTACCAAGCAAATGGAAAACAAAAAAAGGCAGGGGTTGCAATCCTAGTCTCTGATAAAACAGACTTTAAACCAACAAAGATCAAAAGAGACAAAGAAGGCCATTACATAATGGTAAAGGGATCAATTCAACAAGAGGAGCTAACTATCCTAAATATATATGCACCCAATACAGGAGCACCCAGATTCATAAAGCAAGTCCTGAGTGACCTACAAAGAGACTTAGACTCCCACACATTAATAATAGGAGACTTTAACACCCCACTGTCAACATTAGACAGATCAACGAGACAGAAAGTCAACAAGGATACCCAGGAATTGAACTCAGCTCTGCACCAAGTGGACCTAATAGACATCTACAGAACTCTCCACCCCAAATCAACAGAATATACATTTTTTTCAGCACCACACCACACCTATTCCAAAACTGACCACATACTTGGAAGTAAAGCTCTCCTCAGCAAATGTAAAAGAACAGAAATTATAACAAACTATCTCTCAGACCACAGTGCAATCAAACTAGAACTCAGGATTAAGAATCTCACTCAAAGCTGCTCAACTACATGGAAACTGAACAACCTGCTCCTAAATGACTACTGGGTACATAACGAAATGAAGGCAGAAATAAAGATGTTCTTTGAAACCAACGAGAACAAAGACACAGCATACCAGAATCTCTGGGACGCATTCAAAGCAGTGTGTAGAGGGAAATGTATAGCACTAAATGCCCACAAGAGAAAGCAGGAAAGATCCAAAATTGACACCCTAACATCACAATTAAAAGTACTAGAAAAGCAAGAGCAAACACATTCAAAAGCTAGCAGAAGGCAAGAAATAACTAAAATCAGAGCAGAACTGAAGGAAATAGAGACACAAAAAACACTTCAAAAAATCAATGAATCCAGGAGCTGTTTTTTTGAAAGCATCAACAAAATTGATAGACCACTAGCAAGACTAATAAAGAAAAAAAGAGAGAAGAATCAAATAGACACAATAAAAAATGATAAAGGGGATATCACCACCGATCCCACAGACATACAAACTACCATCAGAGAATACTACAAACACCTCTACGCAAATAAACTAGAAAATCTAGAAGAAATGGATAAATTCCTCGACACATACACTCTCCCAAGACTAAACCAGGAAGAAGTTGAATCTCTGAATAGACCAATAACAGGAGCTGAAATTGTGGCAATAATCAATAGTTTACCAACCAAAAAGAGTCCAGGACCAGATGGATTCACAGCCGAATTCTACCAGAGGTACAAGGAGGAACTGGTACCATTCCTTCTGAAACTATTCCAATCAATAGAAAAAGAGGGAATCCTCCCTAACTCATTTTATGAGGCCAGCATCATTCTGATACCAAAGCCGGGTAGAGACACAACCAAAAAAGAGAATTTTAGACCAATATCCTTGATGAACATTGATGCAAAAATCCTCAATAAAATACTGGCAAACCGAATCCAGCAGCACATCAAAAAGCTTATCCACCATGATCAAGTGGGCTTCATCTCTGGGATGCAAGGCTGGTTCAATATACGCAAATCAATAAATGTAATCCAGCATATAAACAGAGCCAAAGACAAAAACCACATGATTATCTCAATAGATGCAGAAAAAGCCTTTGACAAAATTCAACAACCCTTCATGCTAAAAACTCTCAATAAATTAGGTATTGATGGGACGTATTTCAAAATAATAAGAGCTATCTATGACAAACCCACAGCCAATATCATACTGAATGGGCAAAAACTGGAAGCATTCCCTTTGAAAACTGGCACAAGACAGGGATGCCCTCTCTCACTGCTCCTATTCAACATAGTGTTGGAAGTTCTGGCCAGGGCAATCAGGCAGGAGAAGGAAATAAAGGGTATTCAATTAGGAAAAGAGGAAGTCAAATTGTCCCTGTTTGCAGACGACATGATTGTTTATCTAGAAAAGCCCATCGTCTCAGCCCAAAATCTCCTTAAGCTGATAAGCAACTTCAGCATAGTCTCAGGATACAAAATCAATGTACAAAAATCACAAGCATTCTTATACACCAACAACAGACAAACAGAGAGCCAAATCATGAGTGAACTCCCATTCACAATTGCTTCAAAGAGAATAAAATACCTAGGAATCCAACTTACAAGGGATGTGAAGGACCTCTTCAAGGAGAACTACAAACCACTGCTCAAGGAAATAAAAGAGGACACAAACAAATGGAAGAACATTCCATGCTCATGGGTAGGAAGAATCAATGTCATGAAAATGGCCATACTGCCCAAGGTAATTTACAGATTCAATGCCATCCCCATCAAGCTACCAATGACTTTCTTCACAGAATTGGAAAAAACTACTTTAAAGTTCATATGGAACCAAAAAAGAGCCCGCATCGCCAAGTCAATCCTAAGCCAAAAGAACAAAGCTGGAGGCATCACACTACCTGACTTCAAACTATACTACAAGTCTACAGTAACCAAAACAGCATGGTACTGGTACCAAAACAGAGATATAGATCAATGGAACAGAACAGAGCCCTCAGAAATAACGCCACATACCTACAACTATCTGATCTTTGACAAACCTGAGAAAAACAAGCAATGGGGAAAGGATTCCCTATTTAATAAATGGTGCTGGGAAAACTGGCTAGCCATATGTAGAAAGCTGAAACTGGATCCCTTCCTTACACCTTATAGAAAAATCAATTCAAGATGGATTAAAGATTTAAACGTTAGACCTAAAACCATAAAAACCCTAGAAGAAAACCTAGGCATTACCATTCAGGACATAGGCGTGGGCAAGGACTTCATGTCCAAAACACCAAAAGCAATGGCAACCAAAGCCAAAATTGACAAATGGGATCTAATTAAACTAAAGAGCTTCTGCACAGCAAAAGAAACTACCATCAGAGTGAACAGGCAACCTACAAAATGGGAGAACATTTTCGCAACCTACTCATCTGACAAAGGGCTAATATCCAGAATCTACAATGAACTCAAACAAATTTACAAGAAAAAAACAAACAACCCCATCAAAAAGTGGGTGAAGGACATGAACAGACACTTCTCAAAAGAAGACATTTATGCAGCCAAAAAATACATGAAAAAATGCTCATCATCACTGGCCATCAGAGAAATGCAAATCAAAACCACTATGAGATATCATCTCACACCAGTTAGAATGGCAATCATTAAAAAGTCAGGAAACAACAGGTGCTGGAGAGGATGTGGAGAAATAGGAACACTTTGACACTGTTGGTGGGACTGTAAACTAGTTCAACCATTGTGGAAGTCAGTGTGGTGATTCCTCAGGGATCTAGAACTAGAAATACCATTTGACCCAGCCATCCCATTACTGGGTATATACCCAAAGGACTATAAATCATGCTGCTATAAAGACACATGCACACGTATGTTTATTGCGGCATTATTCACAATAGCAAAGACTTGGAACCAACCCAAATGTCCAACAATGATAGACTGGATTAAGAAAATGTGGCACATATACACCATGGAATACTATGCAGCCATAAAAAATGATGAGTTCATGTCCTTTGTAGGGACATGGATGAAATTGGAAACCATCATTCTCAGTAAACTATCGCAAGAACAAAAAACCAAACACCGCATATTCTCACTCATAGGTGGGAATTGAACAATGAGATCACATGGACACAGGAAGGGGAATATCACACTCTGGGGACTGTGGTGGGGTCGGGGGAGGGGGGAGGGATAGCATTGGGAGATATACCTAATGCTAGATGACGAGTTAGTGGGTGCAGCGCACCAGCATGGCACATGTATACATATGTAACTAACCTGCACAATGTGCACATGTACCCTAAAACTTAAAGTATAATAAAAAAAAAAAAAACAAAAAAACAAAAACAAATATGCGTAGATTCAAATGAAAGACGTGTATCTAGGACTGTGCTTTCTAAGCTATAGTACTCATTTTTAAATGTCATCCATCAATCATGTAATATTTTTTACCAGAATTTGGCTGGTAAGTTTTCATATTCTTGGAGGTCATTTAGTTTTATTTTTAATTAATCAGAATATGCTGATTTTTAAATATTTTTAACTGATTGGTTAAAAAAAATTGAAACTCTTCATTTGGAAGATTTCAAAACAGATTAGAAAGTTTTTTCTAGATTTGACTGCATAAATCTGAATTTCTGTAGTGACATACAGCTTTTCCTTCTGTAAGTCATGTAGCAATGAAAATATTTCTAATCTTGTTGTCTTTTTTTGTTTTTATTTTATTTTATTTTTTATTATTATTATACTTTAAGTTCTATGGTACATGTGCACAACGTGCAGGTTTGTTACATATGTATATACATGTCATGTTGGTGTGCTGCACCCATTAACTCTTCATTTACATTAGGTATATCTCCTAATGCTATCCCTCCACCCTCCCCCAACCCCACGACAGGCCCCAGTGTATGATTTCCCCTTCCTGTGTGCAAGTGTTCTCATTGTTCAATTCCCACCTATGAGTGAGAACATGTGGTGTTTGGTTTTCTGTCCTTGTGATAGTTTGCTGAGAATGATGGTTTCCAGCTTCATCCATGACCCTACAAAGGACATGAACTCATCCTTTTTTATGGCTGCATAGTATTCCATGGTGTATATGTGCCACATTTTCTTAATCCAGTCTATCACTGATTGACATTTGGGTTGGTTCCAAGTCTTTGCTATTGTGAATAGTGCCGCAATAAACATACATGTGCATGTGTCTTTATAGCAGCATGATTTATAATTCTTTGGGTATATGCCCAGTAATAGGATGGCTGGGTCAAATGGTATTTCTAGTTCTAGATCCCTGAGGAATCGCCACACTGACTTCCACAATGGTTGAACTAGTTTACAGTCCCACCAACAGTGTCAAAGTGTTCCTATTTCTCCACATCCTCTCCAGCACCTGTTGTTTCCTGACTTTTTAATGATTGCCATTCTAACTGGTGTGAGATGATATCTCATAGTGGTTTTGATTTGCATTTCTCTGATGGCCAGTGATGATGAGCATTTTTTCATGTATTTTTTGGCTGCATAAATGTCTTCTTTTGAGAAGTGTCTGTTCATGTCCTTCGCCCACTTTTTGATGGGGTTGTTTGTTTTTTTCTTGTAAATTTGTTTGAGTTCATTGTAGATTCTGGATATTAGCCCTTTGTCAGATGAGTAGGTTGCGAAAATTTTCTCCCATTTTGTAGGTTGCCTGTTCACTCTGATGGTAGTTTCTTTTGCTGTGCAGAAGCTCTTTAGTTTAATTAGATCCCATTTGTCAATTTTGGCTTTGGTTGCCATTGCTTTTGGTGTTTTGGACATGAAGTCCTTGCCCACGCCTATGTCCTGAATGGTAATGCCTAGGTTTTCTTCTAGGGTTTTTATGGTTTTAGGTCTAACGTTTAAATCTTTAATCCATCTTGAATTGATTTTTCTATAAGGTGTAAGGAAGGGATCCAGTTTCAGCTTTCTACATATGGCTAGCCAGTTTTCCCAGCACCATTTATTAAATAGGGAATCCTTTCCCCATTTCATGTTTTTCTCAGGTTTGTCAAAGATCAGATGGCTGTAGATGTGTGGTATTATTTCCAAGGGCTCTATTCTGTTCCATTGTTCTATATCTCTGTTTTGGTACCAGTACCATGCTGTTTTGGTTACCGTAGGCTTGTAGTATAGCTTGAAGTCAGGTAGCGTGATGCCTCCAGCTTTGTTCTTTTTGCTTAGGATTGTCTTGGCAATGCAGGCTCTTGTTTGGTTCCATATGAACTCTAAAGTAGTTTTTTCCAATTCTGTGAAGAAATGCATTGGTAGCTTGATGGGGATGGCATTGAATCTATAAATTACCTTGGGCAGTATGGCCATTTTCACAATATTGATTCTTCCTATCCATGAGCATGGAATGTTCTTCCATTTGTTTGTATCCTCTTTTATTTCCTTGAGCAGTGGTTTGTAGTTCTCCTTGAAGAGGTCCTTCACATCCCTTGTAAGTTGGATTCCTAGGTATTTTATTCTCTTTGAAGCAATTGTGAATGGGAGTTCACTCATGATTTGGCTCTCTGTTTGTCTGTTATTGGTGTGAAGGAATGCTTGTGATTTTTGCACATTGATTTTATATCCTGAGACTTTGCTGAAGTTGCTTATCAGCTTAAGGAGATTTTGGGCTGAGACAATGGGGTTTTCCAAATATACAATCATGTCATCTGCAAACAGGGACAATTTAACTTCCTCTTTCCCTAATTGAATATCCTTTATTTCTTTATCTTGCCTGTCTAATCTTGTTTTCTAATGCTTGCAATTTATATCTTGTATTACTCTCTAAAAGCAGTATCTTTTCTAAGTTATTGTTGAATTATCACCTTTACTTTGAAGGAACAGGGGAAATTTAAATAGATACAGATATATAGATTTAGATCTGCTAGACAGCATGCAATTGAGAGATACTTATGACAAAAAATGATGGCAAATTTAGAACACGTGCTGTAATAAAAGAAAAACATGCAACTCATTATTAAGTGGAGATACTTTAAAAAGTACTTGATTTTTTAAATTAAGTAAGTTACCTTAGTAACTTAATCAAGGGACAACCAGGGAACCTCTGCTCTTCATGACTACTCTCATCTGATGACAAAGAATGATGCCATTTTCTCTACAAAAGTGCTGGTTTTTTTTTTTTTTTTTTGAAAAGCAAACAATTCAATGGCATCTTGAGGAACTTTGTGCACTTCTGGCTTTCACTTCTTTATTGCAATAGCTCTAAGAGAGGTGGGGTATGAGTTTCAAGTGCGATTATATCTCTGTAATCTTAGCTTGAAATTGTGCCAAAGATTTTTTTGTTTCGTTATTATGCAAGGGATCTCCAAAATGACTTCAAGACAATTTCCACTCCGTTTCAGAAAAATTTTGTAAAGCCCTATTACATGACTTTAAACATTGCTTGAAAAAAAAAATCACAGCTTTGATTTTATGTTCTTGAGGCTTAGGTTTTAAATGTCTTGCTAATCATGATGACTGAACTCTACCATTAAATAATATCTTAAAGTACACCACATGCTTTGGGTGAGGTCATTATTTGTTAAAGTGGACAAAAACCCAAATTTCAGAGAGTTTTGATAATGTTTAATTTGGTTGGTCATCCTTTTGTCAGACCTGATTGTATTGTCGTTGTTTTTACTGATGTAACAATTTTGGACATTCTACTTCTATTTTGTAATAATATAAGCTTGTTTTGGGGAAAAAAGAAGTCTCAGCTCTGCCTCTTAATTTATTTTTTGGTTGGGTCTGAATGAATTTTATTTTTATTTTTGTTTAAATTTTTATTTCAATGGCATTTGGGGGTACAAGGAGCTTTTCGTTACATGGATGAATTATATAGCGGTGAATTCTGAGATTTTAGTGCACCCATCACCTGAGTAGCATACATTATACCTAATATGTAGTTATATATCCCTAGACCCCTCCCAACCTCCCCCTTCTGAGTCTCTAAAGTTCATTATATTACTCTGTATGCCTTTGTGTACTCATAGCTTACCTCCACTTATAAGTGAGAACATATGGTTTTTGGTTTTTGAGTCATAAGTTACTTCACTTAGAATAATGGCCCCCAGCTCCATCCGAGTTGCTGCAAGAGGCATTATTTCCTTCCTTTTAATGGCTGAGTAATATTCCATGGTGTACATATACCACATTTTTGTTATACACTCGTTAATCGATGGGCACTTAGGTTGGTTCCACATCTTTGCAATTGCAAATTATGCTGCTATAAACATACATGTGCAAGTGTCTTCTTCATGTAGTGACTTCTTTTCATTTAGGTAGATACCCAGGAGTGGAATTGCTGGATCACGTGGGGGTTCTATATTTAGCTCTTTAAAATATCTTCATACTGTTTTCTATAGAGGTTGTACTAATTTACATTCCCACCAGCAGAGTAAAAGCGTTCTCTTTTCCCCACATCCACAGCAATATCTATTGTGTTTGATGTTTAATAATGGCCATTTTTTTGCAGGAGTAAGGTGGTATCTCATTGTGGTTTTAATTTGGATTTCCCTGACAATTTTTTTAGAAAAATTGTTAACTTGTACTTTTGTTATTTTTATTATCTTTCATGCATGTTTTCCTTGCCAGACTCTTTTTAAGTCACTAGTCCATTTTGTTACACATTCAGTTAAAACCAGATAATATAAACTCTGATTTGGCTTGAATCTGTGTCCTCACCCAAATCTCATGTTGAATTGTAATCCCAAGTGTTGGAGGAAGGGCATGGTGGGACGTGGTTGGATCATGGGGGCGAGGTTCTCATGGTTAACACCATCCTCCCTTGGTACTGTATAGTGAGTTCTCACAAGACGTGGTTGCTTAAGGCAATGCCTTTATCCATGAGTACAAGTTCCCTGAGGTCTCCCAAGAAGCTGAGCAAATACCAGCATCATGCTTTCTGCAGAGCCTGTGAAACCGTCGGCCAACTAATCCTCTTTTCTTTATAAATTACCCAGTCTCAGCTATTTGTTTATAGCAGTACAAGAAAGGACTAATACAAACTCGACAACTTTTCAGTCTGGCATATGTAAACTGCAGAATTTCCTAATATACTCTGCATGAATGCAGTAAGTAGAGGAGGGCAGGGGCTGCTGTTGAGCCCACTGGTAGGAGCTTCTGTTCCTCTCTCAGGTTACCCCACATGCCAGGTCACACTTGATGTGACATGCAGGCTGAGTGAGGTCACTAGCATCCACCCACACATTAAATATTAGTAAAGCATAATTTATTTTATTATTATTATTATTATAAAATATAAGTAGAATGTCCAAAATTGTCTTCCTCTATCCTGGTAATCACTTGAAACATCCTCATGTATCACCACTATCTAGATGGGACCTTCAGTGGATAACTGGTGACAGTGCTCACAGTGTCAGGACAGACAGATGCAGGACATCCAACCCTCACCCTCTGGGTCCATACCGGGGTCCATGAGGCCAGGCTGAGATACATAGTACAAAGCATTCTACACTCACTCTGCGTGAGTTCTGTGTGTATCTGTACTCCCATCATCCTAAGCATGTTGATAGAGGAAGAACTGTCTTCTGCATTTCTTACAGTGTTGCAGATTTTTTATAAATTGCCCAAGGAAGAAAATCTGTCCTAATAATTTATATTGATATACGTGTGATTTGAAAATAAATATTGGCCAAGTGTGGTACTCCTGCCTATAATCCCAGCACTTTGGGAGGCCAAGGCAGGTGCATCACATGAGGCCAGCAGTTTGAGGCCAGCCTGGCCAACATGGTGAAACCCCATCTCTACAAAAAAATACAAAAATTAGCCGCGTATGGTGATGTGTACCTGTAATCCTCCAGCCTGGGTGACACAGTGAGACTCCATCTAAAAAAAAAAGAAAAAGAAAAAGAAAAAGAAAAGAAATATTAAGAAATGGGCTAAAAATGTGAAAATGCCTTAATACCAATTATAGTTATGTCTCTCATCTTTACCAGATACAGGACAGATATTCCACAAATGCAGGATCATGTATCTTGTTCACTGCAGGGTTCCACAGTACAGAAATGAGCACATAGTAGGCACTCAGTAAATATTTGTTGGAGGACTGCAGGAGCAGTACAGGTTTTGTGTATTTACCTCTTTACTGGCCTCATGTTATTTTTCCTACCCTTGTTTTTCCTCTCTGCCAATTTACTTGTGTCTTTATTTTATTGTGTTGTATTTCATGTATATTTGTAAGCTACCTTGAATCAAATAGTAGTAAAGTGTCACGTACTGTTATAATTACAGGTATCCTTTACTGAGTGCTTATGTGCTATTGAGTGCTAGGAGTCTTGCTAAGTACTTTATAGACATTTGCTTATTTAATTCTCACACAACCCCATGAGATAGGTATTTAACTAGTTCTATTTTGCAGCCAAATGAAGCTTGGAAAAGTTAAGTAATTTGTTCAAAGTCATACTGAAATGTTAATTCTGATCTATTTCTTTCCAGGGCTTGTTCTTTTGGAATGTTTACAATTGATTTATGAGATTACTTTAAAAATTTGAGGGGATAATACAGTAATTTTTAAAGTTGATTTGCAAATTCATGTTTTTCTAACAGTATGTCTTCTTGAATCCATTGTTTTGAATTGTCCTTCAGGATTTTTCCTGCATTTGGGCCAAGTTGCATATGCCACATCTTACACAGAGTACACAGATCATATTAGGGCTGATGTTTTAACTTGAATTTTTGTATATTTATAAAACCAAATCATTTAATTTTTCTTAGAAAGTATTTCAAAATTAGCCTGGTTATATAGTTAGTATCTTCATTACACAGGAAAACTAAAATTCACTCTTAATTTGTTGTGTGAATCAAATGGTGTTTGTTTGTTTGTTTGTTTGTTTTGACAAAGTTTCACTCTTGTCACCCAGGCTGGAGCACAATGGCGCGATCTCAGCTCACTGCAATCTCCGCCTCCTTGGTTCAAGCAATTCTCCTGACTTAGCCTCCCTAGTAGCTGGGATTACTGGTGCCTGCCACAACGCCCAGCTAGTTTTTGTATTTTTAGTAGAGACAGTGTTTCACTATGTTGGCTAGGCTGGTCTCGAACTCCTCACCTGAAATGATCAATCCGCCTCGGCCTCCCAAAGTACTGGGATTACAGGCGTGAGCTACTGCCCCTGGCCTAATTTTGTATTTTTAATAGAGATGGGGTTTCACCATGTTGGCCAGGCTGGTGTCAAACTCCTGATTTCAGATGATCTGCCTGCCTCAGCCTCCCAAAGTGCTGGGATTACAGGTGTCGGCCACCGTGCCCGGCCCCAAATGGTGGTTTCATCAACCTGGAGGGAAGCAATAATCAAGCTGGATGATAGTGTTCAGAAGGGCATTATGAAAGACGTATTTTATCTGAGAATCTCTACCTCAGAACATGTTTAGTTGGATATTCCAAATTCAAATGTGAAGAATTGTTTCCAATTTCTGAGCAAGACCTTTTATGAGGATCATTTTTAATGCTATAAGAGTCCCATGAAAAAGATTTTCCTTTTTCTCTCTCAAAAATCTGCCATTCATTCCAATTTTCCCAAATATAAATAGTTAAGTTCTTGTTTTGAAAAAAAAAAAAAGGATTCTTAAGTCTGTTTTCCTTACCTACTCAAAATGTGGAATTGTCAGTAAGCTTTAAGAATCTCATTGTGGAAATTACTCATCTTTGGAGAATTTCATGGTAATAACCATAGCCACATTCCAGATAAATTAAGTGAGCGTGAATTACTGCAGCCTTGAAGCTCCACTCACTCTGCACCTTCCATTACTGCTTGTGAGTCATTAGCATATCAGGTGTCACCATCTTCCTTAATCCAATGTGAGACACACCTTTATGCAGGCCCAAGTGATTTCAAGGCAAACTGATTTCAAGACAAACCTTGTTTTTCATTTTCAGATGGAGCACCAAATCCGAAAATCAATCTCATAATCATAATCTCTCTAGTAGATTCTGTAGGGCTTAAAAATGGAAATTGACTCTTTTTTTTTTTTTTTGGTATATTTGTGTTTGAAAGCTTGAAGAAGATACCCAAAGTGGTATTATTAATGCATCTTGAAAACTCACATCATCTGACTCATCCTAATTTTCATACTGGATCTCCTATGAAGAGACATGTGACCAAAAAACCTGTAAATAGAGTTACAACGTGAGACTTTGAAAATGAAATAATGTCATCTAATTATAGATAGAAAACTGTGTGAGTGATGAAAATGAGTCTCATGGGAACAACTGTTTCAAGAACACATCATCTGTGAAATTTCCTTGGGGCCTAAACCACCCTCATTAATTTTAGAGTTAAGTACTCGAAATAGCACTGTTTGTCTATGTTGAGATTCATATGAACTTGTCACATGGAAATAAAAAAAGATAGAGATAAGTTTTGTTGGGTAACCCCCATTGTCCTAATTATTCCCTAAGAAACATGTTTTCAGATGGCTATGGGAGCAAATCAACATACGCAGAAATGGTTAAATTCTGACTTGGAATTCCATGGGAATTAGCAGGCTGTAGACGAGGTTCTGGCCGAGAATGTCATGGTTGGACCAAGACTTCCCATGGGGCTGCTGTTTGTGGCCAGTTTCTTGTTTTTATTTATCCAATGTGTACATATGCCCAGAAGCTATTTGTAATGGGAGTGTTTTAAGAAATTCATAAATTTAAAACACTCCACACATACAAAACTCTTTCTGAAATGTGACATCTTAAAATTATTTTCTCAAAGTGACATAAAATAAAACAGCGTAACAGCCATCTCTTTGTAATATGCTCTCTTATATTTAATTTTTATTAATCTTCACCTAAATACTAGATAACATCATGAAGAGAGCAAAATAAACTGGCCATCTCAGTTTAAATGGCCAACAGTCATCTTTTGATGTTTATTTCTTTGAAACAAAATGCACCCTACATTTTATTTTGGAGCAAACAGTCATCAGAAGTAATGTGAATTTGTATGTTTTGACAAAAAGTTTTACATATATGATTTAAAAGGTGTTTATGTAATATGAATTAACTTGTGTACAAAAGAGATACAGATTTTTCAAAGAGCAAGCATCTGAATGTTAAGAACTGAGTTCATTGAGGTTAAATTGTTCTCAGGAAGTTTAAGGTAAAAAAGAAAGAAAAAGATTGTACTTCTCCTATGGCAGGAAGAGGCTCATTTCCAGGGTAGAGACTTCTGAAATCCATAAAATACATTCCAGATCCAAGACTTCATGCATCATACCTGGACACTGCTGTCATAGAGAGAGACTTGTGAGTGGTTTCCTTTCATTTACTGAATAGAGATAAAAATGCCCAAAGCATATGTGAGGGACAAATTTTAAAAATTAATTTAAAAATTCTGTTCTGTTTAACACTAATAATCTCTAATGTATCCAACTTTTCAATTATTGAAAATCCAAAAGTCAAATGTGGAGCAAACCTTGAAACATAGAGCAGTAATGAATATCTGCTGCCAATAGCAAAATATTCACCAAAATTCAAGCAGAAGGTGAATGTGACTGAATGAGAGGTCCTTAAGCTTTTTCATGCCATGGACCCTTTGGTAGTCTGGCTAACGTTTCTAATAAAACAAAACACAGGCTTATAAAGAAAATCAATCATATGGAAATGAATGTTGATCACAATATTTAAAGAAATACCAAGTTTGTGATGTAGTAATATTTGTGTCTTTATTAATGCTATAAAAGGCAAGAATGAACAGGAGGCTTGATATTGACTCCTTTTTGAAGTAGGATGAGCATAAATGATACATTGAAATATCTGCAAAGTTATAATGTGATATGAAAGTGTCTGTAATTTTTATTCCTGGCAATGTGATAGAAACTGCTAGTAATACTGTGGTTTGTTGAAAGAAATGCTACATTTCAGATAAGATTAGTGAAATTGAAGATATAATTTTTTTCTATTCAACTTCATGGAATCTGAAGAACGTAGGTTAGAAAGCCCTGATGTAAATGTACAATGCAAGGTCATGGCCATAAATGTATAGTTTCACATATTTGCCTTTGGTCAAGATTTTGTCTAATATCTTGGTTATTTTAGCCAGTGAGTAGTATTTACCACATGGGTTTTCACTACAAAGAGGTTAAAAATAAAACAGCAACAACAAAAAACAACAACAACTGGCAAATGGTTTATTTGTTTGACTTGAGGTTATTTAAAAGTACAAGAAGGTTGTATCTCCTTTTTAAAGACCCAGACCCACTAACATTTACCCCCATTAAGTTTTACCCATAATTTTATTTTGTCAAATATCATGACTTGATTTGCCTTATATTTTGCTTAACATCCTATGTGCATGTGTTTGATCAAGTAAGTTGTTGAAAATTCTTCAGGGGAAAGGGATATGTATTATCCTTTTCTTTTTGTTTAGAAAATGCCTAGCAAAGTGGTTTACACAGAGCAGAAACTTAGTATTTGCAGATTGAAATAAACGACAGGCTATAAAATGCCAATATTTACACTGCACACTGTGAAATCTTTCCCTAGAGAAGCTAGAAGTTATTTGGGTTTTTTCCTCATTTATCCTTTCAATCTTTTGAGAGATGAAGTGAAATGGAAAGTTGACAAATAGAATGGATACAGATAAATTATTCCATAGAAAGCCTGCGAGTTCCATGAAACCTTATTATTGTTGATTAAGAATGGATTATTTTGCCGAGCTACCTGTTAAATTAATGCCACATCTTCACTATACAGCCATCCTCAGTCTATGTTAAAACCTCTATGGGCTGGGAGCATTGGCTCACGCCTGTAATCCCAGTACTTTAGGAGGCCGAGGTGGGTGGATCACCTGAGGTCAGGAGTTTGAGACTGGTCAGCCTGGCCAACATGGTGAAACCCCATCTCCACTAAAAATACAAAAATTAGCTGGGTGTGGTTGGTGGGAGCCTGTAATCCCAGTCACTCAGGAGGCTGAGGCAGGAGAATCGCTTGAACCCAGGAGGCAGAAGTCACAGTAAGCCGAGATTGCGACACTGCACTCCAGCCTGGGCAACAAGAGCAAAACTCTGTCTCAAAAAATAAGAAGCAAAAAACGTCTGTGACAGGAAATTACTTCCTAAGACAGTCCCTTCATTTCTTTGTGATCATCTTATTGTTAGAAAGCACTCCCTCAGAGTAGGAAACGTGTGTCCCACCTTAGTGTTTAGGTAATGTTTATGATAAAACACATTGCTGAGTACCAGGAGGCAGGAATTTTGCCTTGAAGGACTCTGTCTGAGGACTGGAGAGAAAAGAAAAATACATTGATTCTCACTGAAGCCACAGATAAAATGGAGGCAATAAAATAACTTTCAATGATCCCATGATGACAGAGTCATCATTTGAAAAAGATTCTATTACATGGTTTATCATATGGACATGTCTGGGCTCTGTAGTCCAACATAATGAGTTTGAATCCTAAAACCAGTACTTCTAATTTCATGAACTTGTACAAGTTACTGACCTTTTTTAAAGCTGTATGTCCTTTCTGAAAAATGGCAATAATATCTGTCTCATAGAATTCTTGATGAAAGGTAAAGAATGCATGAAAAACACCAGTTCACCACTTAGCATATTAGTAGGAATGCTCTCAGCTTCACGTAACATATGGAACCAAGTCAAAATAGCTCAAACAATAGAGAGATTTGTTAACTCACATAAGAAGATTTTTTTTTTAACCATAAAGTGTTGTCAGTTTTTGATAATGAAATTTCTCTTGGGAGATTTAAGTTTTTCAGTAGGCTTTAAAAGTTTATTTTTATTTCTCTTTTTTCTTATAAATGTCACCCCCAAATTTTGTATTATGCCTTGATATCTGTTGCTGTATAAATTATCAGTAGTGTTAGTAGTGATTGGACTTGAGGACTTCTACTTCCAGTCAAGATGGGGTGGGGTTTATTCTCCCACCTGTAACAATAAAAAAACTGGAAAATGAAGTGATCATACTTAAAAGGAAGTTTTGTGACTACAGCACAAAGAAGGGAACACAGAAAGATGCACACGGTTTTTGAGTTGAGGAGACAGTCTGGGCAAGACAAGGCAGCTAGAGTCAGCAAGGTGAAATACCAAAAAGCAGAGAGCTGTACGGAGAGAGAACACCAGAAGTCTGCAGAATGTCTCCCTGAATATTCAGTTGAGCAGTAATCGGCACATACATATGAGGAAATTACTCCAGGCTGGGGAAAGAACCACGCAACAGGATAGAGGGAACAGTGCCCGAAGGTCACACAAGACCAGGAATAATGGCTGTTCCCAATAGCCAGTGTGGAAAGTTTTATTATAATTAATGGACTATCAGTTGGAGAACCAAGAAGGGTCTTGCCTCAGTACCAGAGAGAGTAAAAGCTACAATAAACCTGCTCTGATTCTGCCTCACTAAACTTAAAAGCAAGATTTGAAAGACATAAACCATTTTCAAGTAGTTCAACAGAATGAAAGTCAATAATATTTATAGGAATTAAAAATATCCAACATGCAAGGTCAAGTCTAAAATTTCTGGCATCCAGTAAAAAATTATCAGGCATGCAAAAAAGCAGGCAAATACAGTAATGAAGAGGAAAGAATCAATCAATAAAAGCTGACTCAGAAATGACACCAATGATGGAATTATTAAATAAGG
Organism: Homo sapiens; assembly: GCF_000001405.40. Classification (NCBI taxonomy): domain Eukaryota; kingdom Metazoa; phylum Chordata; class Mammalia; order Primates; family Hominidae; genus Homo; species Homo sapiens. The sequence continues at coordinate 222,137,329 of NC_000002.12, read as the reverse complement.
ACATTAAAACAGATATTATTATTGTATTCCAGATGTTCAAGAAAATGGAAGAAATACTGAACATGTAGAGAAGTGGAAAAAATACAAATAACCCAAATCAGATGACTAGAGATAAAAACCACAGTGTCTGAGATGAAAAATATACTAGATGGGATTAACCATAAATTAACATTAGAGGAAAAATAAATTAATGAATTGAAAACATAGCAATAGAAATGATTTACAATGAAATGCAGAAAGAAATAAGACAAAAAAAGAAAGGCAGAACTTTGGGACAATTTCAAATGGATAAACGTATATCTAATTGCAGTGCCCATGTGAAAAGATACTGGATGAGAGCGGCAAGCAATTTTATTTGAAGAAACAATGGCTGGAAAGTTTTCAAGTGTAATGAAAACTATAAATTCACAGATATAAAAAGATCAACAAATTCCAAGCACAAGAAACATGAAGAAAAAGCACATATCAATGAAATTGCTGAAAACCAGTAATAACGAGAAAGATAGTAAAAGTAATGATTGGTCTTGAAAAGTTTTTTTTCCTCATCTTATACCATAAAGGCATAAACACATTTGCCCCTCTCCACCCCTCCCTCCCTCCATCACACACACACACACACACACACACACACACACACACACTCACTTTAATTTGAGTAAGATTCTCTCTGTCTCCAGCATTTGGTTTGATTAAGCATTTGCTCTGTGTTACTACAAAAGGATAACTTTTATTATGAAAGTTAATTCATCAGATCTGATTTGGTAATAGCATATTCCCTTAAATATAAAACTTAAACTCCAGTGAGACAGCTGTGGCCTTGTTCTTGCCTGGGAACCAGGACCCCAGCAAATGTTTCGCATGCACATCCGTGCCTTTAAGCTCTTGATGATTATCTACAGCAATTAAGATGTTATGACAGCTAGTGCATCCTTGATTAGACCCGTAATGAACATTCTAAATGTTAAGAAATCAAATGGTGAGGATAAGCCGCCTCTTTCATGGAACAAAAGACCTTTCTTTAGGTCAGACAACCACTTAGCCGTAGGGCAGACATTTCCCCCTGTGGTTGACATGGGCAGCACTGTGGACTCATGGAATGGAGCTTAGGGATCAGCTGTCTTCTCTTTCACAATAAAAAGAAGAACAGAAGCCCCAGGAGTATCTGGTTAGATTAATTTTCTGACTCTAGATTTTATATCCAGATTAGATTAGATTTTAATTTCCAGATTAGAAATCATTGACTTCTAGATATTCTGATTTAATGAAATTCTAATTCGATCATTTCCTTCAAACTGGTTGCAATAGAGCTTGCTCCAAATGTTATTGCCAGGGTGGACATTTTAGTATTAGATCATTATCATCTGAAGTCCAAAGTACTTTTTAAAAATCCCCAATTCCCATTTTTAAATATTCCTCCATAATGTACCTTTTTGTCTCCTCCCCTTGTTCCTACACTTCTTCAATATCTGTATTCATAAAGCCCAAATAACATACACAAATTTCCTGTAATGTGAAAATATCATCTTAACATTAAACAGCTCATGTCTTCCTTAGTTTTCTTGCTTCATAGTTTCTGTTGAGGCTGTATATCTGCTAGGCAGTTGAAGTGTCAGCTTCTTAACCATAATAAGATTGGCCATCAGGCAAGAATGCTGCAGAGGATACCCCCCACCCCAATTACTCTGATGTGATTATTACACATTGAATGCCTATATCAAAATGTCTCATGTACCTCAGAAATATATGTATATATATATACCTACTATGTATTCATAAAAATTAAAAAATAAAAACAGAATGCAATAGAGCTATATTTCATGTCTAATGGTATACAATTCAAGGAAAATTGAGTTGAGATCCTAGTTATATATATATAATAATATACGAACTTACAAGTATATGTTCTGTTATTTGAATCCTTAATTATAGAAGCACCATTTATATGCACCTCATCCAATGAAATTAAAATTTCTACAAAATCAGAAACATTAATGCTAAATTGCATTCTATATGTTTTGATTGTTTTGACTCTTACTGGAACCTTTTTAAACCAATGCATCATCATGAAAGCATGTTGGAGTGTATTATATGATGAAAAGTTCAAAAATCTCTAAGTACATGTTTCTATAATAGAAGACAAATTAAGAAAAGAAATTTTGGTGTAAAACTGCAGATGGTCTTTTACAAAGATGAAAACGCTATGCATTTGCCTGTAATGTCCTCTACGAATGTCTTACTTTGTATCAGGAAAATTCTATTTATTCTCCTTTGGTTCATTTGCATGTACCTGGTAGGCCCATCCAAGTGGCTAGGAGCCCCATTAGCAATTGTGATGGGTGCCCCCAGTGGCTTGGGAATTCCTCTAGCATCACATCCTTTCTCTCTGCTTTGCTACTCCTCATTAAGGACTGCCATGGTTTCTTGTGTTGGCTTCAGCCTTGGCTCTGCCTTCTGCTTAGCAACCTTGGACTCAAAGCACTTGACTTTTGTTTAAATGTGTGTGTGTGTGTACATGTGATGGTTGTGGGGCTTGTTTGCTCTAGGTACAGTGATGTTGTGTAAGAAATTACCTACCCATTCTTTACTTTGTTTTTGCCAAGTTCGCCTGTTACCTAGTTCTTTAAGAGGAAAAGGAGGTTGCTCAATTCTGTCATATTAATGTAAGATATCTCAAAATACTTGGGAAGGAACACTTCTCCTATACCCATCTCAATTGTCTAGACATATTTTAAGAAATATGATTAATATGGAATACATCAAATGCACAAAACAGATAATTTTGCATCCTATATGTTTTGTTGAGTCAATATTTATTTATTTATTTATTGAGACGGAGTTTTTCTCTTGTCGCTCAGGCTAGAGTGCAATGGTGCGATCTTGGCTCACTGCAACCTCTGCCTCCTGGGTTCAAGCGATTCTCTTGCCTCAGCCTCCTGAGTAGCTGGGATTACAGGTGTCCACGACCAGACCTGGCTTTTTTTTTTTTTTTTTTTTGTATTTTTTAGTAGAGATGGAGTTTCACCATGCTGGCCAGACTGGTCTCGAACTCCTGACCTCAGGTGATCCACCTGCCTCGGTCTCCCAAAGTACTGGGATTACAGATGTGAGCTACCGCGTCTGGCCACCCATATACTAATTTATTCCCTCATTCATTCAAGCACTCAAAAATGTCTCTGAGTGTGTTTCAGGTGCTGTGCTGACTACCGTGTGGTTATGCCTCTTGTATGGCACTCATTGCATACAGCACGGCTATTTAAGGGCAGGTTCCTTCTGCCAGTCTCTGCACTGTTTAAGTGTTGTGCTGGGATTGTGCAAACATGAATTATGCTCATTTTCTGAGCTGTCTTCCTGACCTCTAGTGTTCTTCTCAAGGTGCCACTATTTTCACAGGTAGTTAATTATCAAGATTTTTAAAACCTCCGGCTTTTACCAAAGTACAATTTTAAAATGACCACACATTTCCTTCACTGAGAGAATATTCAACACACCTTGCTAAAGCGTTCAATCCAGGTTACATTTACACCAAAATACAGATACGCAGGTGGGGATTCTCAACTAACTGTATGAAACTCTCTGTTGATGTTCTCTCTACCTTCATCATCTCCTTCCCTAAATCAGCTTTATCTTCTAACTTCCCTGTTTTTGGTATCCACCATTCTCTCAGTTGCCCCAAAACCAGGGCTCAAAGTCATGTCTACTCTTTTCATTTCCACTGCTTCCTATTGAGTCGATGTGGACCAATCAGTGCTGGTTTCTTTCCACATTATTTTATATATTTATTCCCTTCCTTTCCATGCTCACTTCTTTAGCTTGGTCATTCATTCATTCATTCATTCATTCATATTTACTTGTTTTTTTCTGAAAGGCTTTGTGGGGTGCTTAGCGTGTGATTTGCAGAGTAATTTTGCCACAGAAATTTAAAGATAATTAAGATACAACCTTTATTCTTGAGTATCTTAGAAACTGGCATGCATGACCAGTATATAAAGAGCTGTACTCAGAACTCAATGGGACACAGAGGCAGGGCTGTCCCACTGGGAGGTGTTGTAGAAATCCAAACTGATCTCCCTCATTCTATGAAGTTTCCACAGTATTTACAGAATTAAATACACACTCCTCACCCAAGCATGCACTTGCTTCTACAATGTGGCATCAATTTAACTTTCCAAATTAATCTCCCACTTCCAATGGATATATGGCACCCCGTACTCCAGCCAAATTCTTCCTCTCTGATTCCTGCAAGTGCCACCAAGTATTCTGTTCTCTTTTTCTCCTGCAGATCCCTCTTCTCTGTATCTTCTGTCAAAATACCATTTACACATCAGCGTCTACTTGGAATACTACCTTCTACTTTCCTGCCTGCCTGAGATGTCTCCCCTTTCTTTCCATTCACAGAGCATTTTTTTACACTTTTTATATCATGTAACACTCCCATGTTATAATTATGTGCATACTGGGTTGTAGGTGTTTGAGGCAGGCTGTGGGTTACTTATCTTTCTTGACTAAATGCTCAAAATTACTTGTTAAATAGAACTACGTATATGACAAGAAAGAGCTATTATATGGAAGGAAGACTGGAGAGAGTGTTAGGGACTTAGAGCCAATTTTGCCATGAATTTGTGGGAAAGTGCCCCAAATTACTTAATCTCACAGTCTCCATATGCTCCTCAACAAAATAGGAATATTAAGACCTGCTCTATTTATCTTATAGAATGGTGACAAAAACTTAAAATAGAGATATGAAAATACTTGAAAAATATTGAGAACTACAGACATTTGTTGTTGATGACAGCACCAAAGAAATCAATAGGATTTCTGTGGAAAATATTTAAATATGTGCAATACAAAAAATTAAGATTTTTATAAATGAATTTTGATCTGAGGACATTCACAAACAGCTCTTGATTTCTATTTAGGTATAGATATCAAGTTCTTTTTCAAATTCTAGGTCCTGTCTTATTTTATTGGAATAGTATAAGTCATACTGTGTTCTTGAGTAGTGTACTTTTCAACTGGGAATATTCCATCATTAACAGACTTCGGCTTCTTCTAACATTTGTAAGCAGTATTGTAACCAGGTTTCCAAATATTTCTATCACTTTTTTATTTCATAGTAGTCCTTTGGAGTTAAGGGTTTGTTTGTTCACTTGCTTTGAGTTAGCTTTTTCTTAAAAAGTTGACGTTTCCATAATATCTCCCAAAACGTCTTCCATTTCATTTCACCTCACCATGATTACTTAGGTGTAAAGAAGAAAACACCATTAGGGACTTTAAGAAGCAAGGCAATTGGCATTTATTGAGTAACTGCTGTGGCGTAAGCACCTTGCTAGACAATTTACGTACACCATCGCACATAATCTTCACAAGTACCCCACTGAGTGGGTATTTTCATCCCCATTTTACAGATGAGAAATCTGAGACTCAAATTAAGAGACTCTTCCCAGGGCAGGCCTTAATTCAAATCTAGGTTTGTCTTTTGATGATTCCAAAGCTGGGATTCTTATTTTCTGTGGTGTAATGCCTCCTAGATTTTAATTCCAGAGATATTTTTTGAAGGGCTATCTTAAGTCTATAGTAAGTTTGCTGGTGGGTAACAATGGAATTTCCTACTTTTACATCCTCCAAAATTTCTAGTCAGCCCTCTTAGATACCAGGGGCTCAATGAGTTGATAAATGTTGGATAAAGTGTGCCAAGGAGTGCTTTATTGGTATAAACTTTGTTTCAGTTATATTAAACAGGTGGCCAGCATTGTTCTTTCCCCTGATCAATTCTTAGAGACTGATTTCATGGCTTATCCCTAAGTTTTTCTATAATGAGCTATCTTATTCACTGCAAGGGAAATATTTATGCTGCCCTATCCCTGTAATCATACATTTATGGACATCTTAGGTCATTAAGTGTATGTCCAACTTTCTTCCATCTGCTGTGTATAGCACAAAGCACTTAAAAAAAACCCTCCTGAAACATTTTATAGGCATTTATTTTAGGAAAGTGTTTCTCAAAAGTGGTAGTATTGACCTTTTGGGATGAATAATTCTTTGTTATTGGGGGCTGTCCTGTACCTTGCAGAATGTTTAGTAGCATCCCTAGCCTCTACCCACAGGACTCTATAGATCCCTTCCTCCATGTGACAACAACAACAAAAAATGTCTCCAGACATTGCCAAATGTCCTCTGGGGCACAAAATCAGCCCGGGTGGAGAACCACTGCTTTAGTATATTATAAATATGTAAAGACTGAGAGTGGAAAAAGAATGAAGATTTCTATCTCGACAACAAAACCCAGACTTCCTATGAAAAGGCACATTTTAAGAAAGCATGAATGTGTCAGTGCTTAAGAATGCATTTCATTTGATTAAATTTGGAGCATAAAACATCAATAGCCACTTTCCCCTTAAATTTATATGATAGTCACTGCATTTCAAAGTAGGTGAATTTTTAACCAGCGTAAGCACTAATAGTTGAGTAACCTGATCTGTGATAAGGAAGAAACCCAGGATTTTTGTTCTGCTTTCCCCTTTAAGTTGTATATTTCAATTGTATTAGAGTTGAGAATATGGTTACTGCCGGCAGATGTTCAGGGATGCGTAAGTCAGAAACACCGTGATTTTCTTATGTTGGTTTGCATCTTCCTAATTTGACAATTTTTTCATTCACTATCCCACCTTATTATTCTATTCGAAGCCATTTTCCTACTTGGAAAATGTAAAATATACTTTAGTAAACCAAACGGTTAATTACCCCAAATGAGAAACAGCCTACCAAGGCCTAAATCTAAAATGCAAAACAATTGTGTATTTACATTTTCACTAAGCTGTCAAATAAATCTATTCCACTGTAATTTTGGCATATCTTTTATTTTCTGCTGAAGTCTGCTTTCTGAGTGTATGAGACGAATAATGAATGTGGTTTTAGAGTATTAATCTTGTCTCTTTTTAAAGTAGTTGTACTCAATGCTTACATGTTCTGATGATAAGAATGTCAATAATTAGGGAACTATTCAATTACACTGTATTCTCATTCTTTAAGCATTCAACAAGCTTTAAATAAAAATATAAAAATAACCTATCATTGGGTAATATTTTAACCTTTGGGCAGCATTATCTCAATTAGTCCTCACAACAAATCTGGTGGGATCAATATTTTTATTCTCATATCCAAGAGTAAAAATACAAAGAGATTTAGCAAGTTTAAACACTGGGTCCAAGCAGCTACAGTATTTATATTGTGTGTATACATTTATTCATGTAATAAGTATTGGTCTCCGATAGTGTACCTGGCAAAAGTCTAGGCTAACACTGCCCAATAGAAATAGCATGCAGGCACATAAATGATTTTAAATTTTTAATTAATTTAATTTATCTTAGAGACAGGGTGTCCCTATATTGCCTTGGCTGGAGGGCAGTGGCTATTTACAGTGTGAGCATAGCACGCTATTGCCTCAAACTCCTGGCCTCCTGCCTCAGCCTCCCAAGTTGCTGGAACTATAGGAGTGTGTCACCATCCTCGGTTGTTTTAAATTTTCTAGTGGCCGTATTTTAAAAAGAAAGAGAAACAGGTAAAATTAATTTAAACAATATTTTATTTTTTCTGGTATATTGAAAATATGATTTCAACAAGTTGTCAAGATAAAAATTATCAATGAGATCTATCAGATTCTTTTCTTTCTACATGTTTGGAATCCAGTTTCAAAGGTTACAGCACACCCCAACTGAGAGGAGCCACTATTCAAGTGTTGAGTACAGCTGCACATTGGTCACAGTTTTAGGTAGCACGTCTCTAGGCATCCAGGATGTGGAAGTGTTCAAGACAAACCCTCTGTTGACACCAAACTTGTCTTTCAGTGTGATGATAATCTGTAAGTGGTAGAACTAAACCTATGTTTTCTGACTCAAGATGATATGCATGTTTTTTTTTTTCAGGACACTTGATTGTATTACGTGAGTTTTCAGACACATTCAGAGCGAGAGCTATGCTTTGGAAGCCAGCTACAGAGTCCCTGGTAGTGAAACCCTAGGTGAGCAGAAAGGGGATCCCAGGCATGGATGAGAGTGGGCTTTGGGTTCAGTGAGAGGGTGATCAACTCTGAACTCTAGGTAGGTGACAGGTGACAGTAAACAAGGATGGATCCTTATGGGGAGCACGTGCTGCTGTAAGCTACATTTGGTGGGGGCAACCAAGTCTGATGTTCAGAGCCTCAGGTGTCAGAGCCAGGGAGGAAAAAGCCACCGGGGATGGATGCTTCCACGGAGCACCCAGAAGCCTGTTCTCTGCTCCACCACTCCCCACCATCCAACGCGAAAGCACCTGCTCTCAGTGGACAGATGCTGGCTATTCATGATCTCAGCTTAGTGCTTTCCAAAGAAAAAGCAAAGGCTGCTTAAATTTGTGCCTTCCATTTTTGATCAAAGCTTTTCAAAAGGCTCTTTCATTGTATATAAAATTTAAGATGCTGAAAAGACCCCACTATCTGAGAGCAAAGAAGAAACAGGTATGTCCGTTTGTTTGTGCCTTTTGAGATGTTCAGTCCCTCCTTATTAGTTTCTTTCTTGTGTCATTTTGTTTCTCAGTTTTCTCCCTGTCACCCAGAAGACATCCCCTTACCTGGTATCTTTTCCTGCTCTCATCACATAGGGTTGGGTTGATCTTGGCATGTTTGGCTTCTTTAACCACCCCCGGCAACCAACACACACACAGACACTCACCTGCTCCCTCCAATACCTACCTCTTTTGGTCTCAACATCTCTGCTTTATCAGAGAAGGGAAAGATAGACCCAAGGCACATCTTATCCCATAGCATCCTCACCAGAAGGGAAGGAAGAGCTCAGCAAAACTGCCAAGGCATTTTGCCTCAATTTCCCCTTGTCCATGTCCTTTACTTGATGTGTTTTTACCCCTCCCACTGACTGCTTTGACACTGGCATAGATCTGTGCTTGTCTAGTTCTTGGCAAAGCTTAGGCTGAAAGAGCACATAAAAATACGTGGCTGGTCAGGTTATTCCATGAAACTAAGACTTGGAATAAAAGACTTGGATTGAGTGTGCAGCAGGTGAGAGAAGAGGCTCTTCCAAGCCTCTCTCTTCACTCCTGATACTGAATATGCAGTTGAGCCTTACATTGAACTCAGTCTGAAATAGTCATGTTGGAATATCCCACGAAGTGTATTTTTACAAGGCCTTATCAAGACCAGGTTTCATCTTTTAGGAGACCGTCAATGTTTAGTAGAGCTTTTTGGGTACTCCCGGCACACACCAAATCATAGATTATGGGTTTCTCTGTTCATACTATGGGCTGGGCTGCTGTGCCAGAGAGTGGAGCTGGACAGACAACAAGCTGCTTGGTGCCACAGCTGACGGAGCAGGCCCTGGTCCGTGTTCCTTTAGTGGGAATGGCATGGCTGGTTCAGTTCCTCACGGGGTAGACTTACACAGCAGCTTCCCTTCCAGGCACGGCCTGTTTCCAATTAGGAGCAGGACTCCTTCCAAGTCTCAGGAAGGTGCCAGGGTTCTGAAGCGTCTTCATGTTGGTCCTCCAAGTTGTTTACACTGTGTTGCTACCAGCTTGCAGTATTTTCAAGACTGCAGAAGAGAGTCATTGCGTGGTGCAGAATTCTGGCAATGAGAAACAGAGCTCTCCTTATAAAGTCTTCAAGAGCTGATTACTCCCAGGTAGAGAGGATGTGTGTGTTTTCTATGTACACTGGAAGGTTGTATCTACACAAGCAGGTTACCGAGGCCATCATCAAGGACCAGTTTTCTTTTTGTTTCCATATTGAGTCCACGTTTGAAAAAGTTTGGCAGACAAAATCTCCTTTACACTTATTAAGGAATTTTAAAAGTTGCAAAACAATCAATGCTCATTGTCTAAATTCAAACCACAGAAAAGTTTAGAGAAAAAGTAAAAGACCCTGTTTACCTGTCCCCATCTCTTCTCCTTCCTGGCAGTAACTGCCATTATCATTTCACTTTTTCTGTTTCCATTTCTTTTTCTATTGGTGTACTTAAAAGTTACATAGCAGAAATGAATGTCTTCATTCATGTACATACGTGTCTGTATCCATATTATCTTATCCTACTGTGTGCATAAAACACGCAGTATCCATGTAGTACATGTTGTTCTGTGGCCTGTTTGTTAGACATCTCGAAGTACATCCGTCCTGTCCTTTTAATAGTTGTATGGTATTCTCTTGTATGAATTAACTATAATTTACATAGTTATTCCTTTATTGATGAGCATTTAGTTTCTTTTCTTCCTGCTTTTATACCATAAGAGCAATACTGCAATAAGCATAAACATCCTGGCACAGATACATTTATGACATTAAACAATTGATATGGTTTGGCTCTGTGTCCCCACTGAAATCTCATCTTGTAGCTCCCATAATTCCCACATGTTATGGGAGGGGCCTGGAGGGAGATGATTGAATTATGGGGGCAGGTCTTTCCTGTGCTGTTCTCATGATAGTGAATGGGTCTCACAAGACCTGATGGTTTTAAAAACGGGAGTTTCTCTGCACAAGGCCTCTCTTTGCCTGCTGCTATCCATGTAAGATGTGACACGCTCCCCCTTGTCTTCCACATGACAGTGAGGCCTCCCCAGCCATGTGAAGCTATAAGTCTAATAAACCTCTTTCTTTTATAAATTGCCCAGTCTTAGGTATGTCTTTATCAGCAGTGTGAAAACAGACTAATACAGCAATCATTATATTTTTAAAAACACTTTTATTAATCAAAGACACATGCAGCTCTCTCGATCAGTCTTTCTAATCAGGATGAGATCATTGGTACTATTACATTGAGTTGAAGCAATTCTGGCAAAAAGCTTAGGAATATGATTATTTAGTTAGACTGTACTGCCTTATCTGTGAGACATATCTGATATGTTATAGTCTTTGAAATGCTAAAAATAGTCCTCAGACCTTTGCCCCTCCCCCACATTACATTACAACACTACCTTTAAGAAAAACAAAAGATCTGATCTCTGATTGTGAGTGTATTCTCTCTCTATCCATATAGAAATGAAATGAAAAATTAAACTTCTGTTTTTGATTTGCAACATTTAAAACAAAAAGCATAAAATTTGACTTTTTTAATGGAACTGTCTAATTTGCCTTAATGAATTGACTTCTTTGATAAGCTTAGTCAGCTTTAACAATTTTTTTTGTGTTTTGTAAATACTGACTATATGGCCTTAGCTGCTGTGCCAATTATACTACCAACTTTATTATTTTCAATTGTTGATTTTACATGGTTAAGCCAGATAGATAAACCAGTAATTTTATCCTTCAGAAATTTTATGGAAGTGTTTTGTAAACTATAATTTTATTAGAATCTCTTAATAATAATTGTATAGTAGAAATAACTCTATCATTTGAGTCCTATAGGCTTGGGTTTGGATTCAGTCTACACTGCAATTAGTTGCATGGTCTTAGGAAAGTAACTTAAGAATGTCATGTTCCTCATATGTTAAAAGTTGATAGTAATTAACCTACTTTTAACAACAACAATTGTGAGGATTAAATTAGATGATAGGTGCTTTAAAAGCACCTAGTTTACTGCTTACCTTATTAAAGGATTAATATTAAGCTATTATTACTATTACCTGATAAATGGATCATGTGTTTATTTATTTATTATTATTATTATTATTTTTGAGACAGGGCCTTGCTCTGTCACCCAGGCAATAGATGATTGCTCTGTGGCATGATCATAGCTGACTGCAGCCTCAGACTCTCAGGCTCAAGCAGTCCTCAGCCTTAGCCTCCTGAGTAGCTGGAACTCCAGGTGCATGCCAGCACATCTGGTCATTTTAAATTTTTTACAGAGTTGGAGTCTCACTACATTGCCCAGGCTGGTCTTGAACTCTTGGCCTCAAGTGATCCTCCTACCTCAGTCTCCCAAAGTGCTGAGATTACAGGTGTGAGCCACCATACCTGGCCTATATGTTTTAAAAATATGACTAAAATCAGAAGTTGCCTCAATTGATTTATTAAGGAGTCTTGCTAAAAGAGTTTACAACTGGCTTTACAGACACTGGAGAGAAAAAGTGGTTATTAATATATTCAGTTTATCCATTGGAAAACTGAGACAGTGAGAAATTAAGCAAGTTTTTATGATAATGCAGAATGTTAGGCGTGGAGCTGAAAATGCTATTCCAGGGTGTTGATGTCAATTAGACATACTGCTTCTTTAAAGTACTATGCTCCTTAGGAACCACCTTTAAAACAGTGGAGTTGGGAGGCAAGATTAATGGCCCTGTGTTAGTTGGAGGCAATCACCATATAAAGATGGTATCCTCAGGGGCAAAGTTGGATCCACAGTGCACCTGAATCTTTGATATCCCAAGATTTTTTTTTTTTGAGATGGATTTTTGCTCTTTTTGCCCAGGCTGGAGGGCAATGGCACGATCTCGGTTCACCGTAACCTCCACCTCCCAGGTTCAAGCGATTCTCCTGCCTCAGCCTCCTGAGTAGCTGAGATTACAGGCATGTGCCACTACGCCTGGCTAATTTTTGTATTTTTAGTAGAGATGGGGTTTCTCCATGTTGGTCAGGCTGGTCTCAAACTCCCAACCTCAAGTGATCTACCTGCCTCGGCCTCCCAAAGTGTTGGGATTATAGGCATGAGCCACCGCACCCGGCCCCTAGATGTTTTTAATGAGAGGCTACTGCATTTCCAAAGTCCCTTAGGAAGCTATCATTTCTATTCTCTAAGTATGACCTTTTAAATCCACATTTTTGATCTTTCACATTGCATCTTGCTAATATCTCTTAAATGATTCAAATCAGATAACTTCTTTCATTTCTAAAAACAGGCTTTAAATTAGGTTTGTGAACCAGCAGTGGTCAAGGACCTAACTACACAACCACATGGTGCCTATTTTTCAAGCCTCAGGTATAGCCCAAAGCTTTACAAATAATAGATGTTAAAGGGATGTCTGTTAAAATAATTAGGCTTGCAGAAGGAGGACACTTGGACCAAATCTTTATACCTGCAAACTTTCTGGGGCTCAATTCCTTTAAGGCAGTAATGGGATTCGGTCCCCTGTATTCTGAAGTTTGAAATGGGTGTGGTAGGGGGATGGTGTCAGTGAGGAAGAATAGTCCAAACCCTGCCTAGGACAGACAAGCAATTGTAGACACATGATTTCTTGGCAAAACCTTTACTTTTTCCTTTCTCATTTTAGATTCTGAATCACATCTTTTTAGCCAGTTTCCTTATCAACCTCCTGAGTGCTCCACATTGAAAATACGCAAGTAACAGATAGAAACATGAATGGGGTGTGTTTCTAAACTGCTTTTCAAGATTTCATTAAGTGTACTCACGAGCACCATTCCAGTGTAAAATGTGTGGGTTTCTAGAGCCCTAATCAATGGGCATCAAGGAAACTGAGGACAGCAGTGCAGTAAGATTGGATGTCCGTGTTAACCAGCACTCTGCTGTTTGCCTTGCCTGCACATGGGGGTGTTTTTAGGACCAGAACAAATATGTCTTTCTTCCTTGTAGGAAAGTTTGTGTCTTGAGAAAAGTCCATAATTATTACTTTAAATGGAAGACGAAATATTTCCAAAACTAGTCAGTAAGCAGAACACCTGTCATCCAACTGTTGTGTGTGTATAATTTAAAGAAATATTAGCCATGTATTACTTAGAATTTATGGATTTGGGTACCACCCAATGCAGAACAGATTAATTTCATGGTTTCTATATGCATTTGCACAAATTAAAATATAAGTCTTCACTTGATGCGTTGGAACTCCCTTCTTCAATTAGCTCTGTATGCAGAGCTGCTCAGATGGTGGTTTTCAGAAACTGTCCAGTTTATTCTATGTGCTGTTATTTTATTGTTGAATCCCTTTATATTGCACCTATCAATGTGACAGGACTCATGCCTAAATTATAAGTTAACTACACTCATCGGTTTGCGCCAGTGACAAATCTATATTCAAATCTGTAAAATCGTGAGAAATCTTTCCACAGGAAAAAAATCTTTTATATTGAAGAACAAGCCCAGACTTCCTGTGGAGAAAGATCTCCCCTTCAAACAGTAAATCAACAGTTCTTACCTTTAAACTTTTTTTTTTTTTTTTTTTTTTTGAGACAGAGTCTCACTCTGTCTCCAAGGCTGGAGTGCAATGGCGGGATCTCGGCTTACTGCAACCTCCACCTCCCAAGTTCAAGCTATTCTCCTGCCTCAGCCTCTCGAGTAGCTGGGACTACAGGTGCCTGCCACCACGCCCAGCTAATTTTTGTATTTTCAGTAGAGACAAGATTTTACCATGTTGGCCAGGCTGGTCTTGAACTCCTGACCTCAGGTGATCCGCCTGCCTCGGCCTCCCAAAGTGCTGGGATTACAGGTAGGAGGGGCTCAGACCTTTAAACTTTTTAAAAAAGTAAAACAAGTTATTGGTTACACTATTTTAATCTCAAATTTCAACAACTTTTAAAGAAGTTATTGAGCTTACAGTAGAACTTTCCAAGAGCAAAATATGAACTGGAGAAATAAACTCTGGTGACCGCAATTAATCAAGGCTTGGAAGGCTAGGTGAAAGTTAACCCAGTCATCGGTAAAATCTAGGTCTCTAAACTCTAGACCATTTATCTCCTACTGTCCTTTCTATTTCCTCTAAATCCTTTCCTCTTAAATCCTTTCAGCATTTAAGAGCTGAAGATGGGTTTTCTTTGGTGACTCTTAAGGGGAAACAGCAAGTTAAGTTTTGCTCAGATATTTTCCCTACCTCACTTTCTCTATTTAATTTCTTTTTTTTGTTCACATATGTGTTAAAACATTCCTTAGAAAAGTAGTTATTTTAAGAAACTAAATTTTCATTTATCCTACAAAGATGAATTGTACACCCAGCATGTGTTCGACCCCATGGGAGGCATTACCAAGTGAAGGAAAAAATGAGTCTGTCTCCAGTATGGAACTTGAAACAATCGGAAAAAAAAAACCTGACATTCATATATGAAGTGCTTTTGCAAACATGATCTCACTTGAATCTACCAATGCTATTGAAAATCCACTATGGCTAGTGAAGGGGTTTGTAATGATGTTATTTAAGCAATTACTTGGTCATCTTACTACTATTTTGGGAGAGAGTAGAAATATGTAAGAGAGGCTGATTGACAAATGAGTCATTCATTTGTTCATTCAGGAGCCTACAAATATACATGAGTATGGTGTTTCAGACACTGTGTTAGAAACTGGGAAAACTGTCATCAAATAGGTATTATATGGCAGTCAGGAACTCCAGGATGGTGGAAAAGTAAATAGTCCCACAAATAATTATACAGTTACAAACTATGATAAATACTGTGAAGGAAAAGATGGACTGCCATAAGAGGGCATCATAAGAGGATTTGATTTAGATTAAGGAGTTAGAGGAGGCTTCTACAAGGACCGAACTTTGAGCTGAGACCTCGAAGATGCACAGTAGTTCAGGAGGCTTAGTCGGGGAGGACAGCACACATTAAACGCATCAGAAAAGAGGACCGCCCTCTCCCCGTTTGGCAGCATGTCACCTGGTCAGGGCCTGCAGATCAGGGAGAGGCAGTGGAGCTGCAGCTGGAGAGGTGGACACAGCCTCCTGGATGTGTTGACAGCCTCATCCAACCACACAACACTCCTTCAAGTTGATGTCAAGCTGCACACCTCGGGAGAAGAGGCTTTGGTTATTATTGGTTTCTTGTCTCATCCTTTTGATATCATTGGCTACTTCTTACCCTGGACTTTCTTCAGGTCTGTAGTTGGACCTTACTGATTTTGCTCCTGTCAGTTACCTGTTTCCATAGTCAACTGGACCATCTCCAGTGATAACTGATGTATGACAGCTCTAAAGTTCTGGCTTGCACTAAGTCAAAAAGCTGGGAGCAATAATGGGCTTCTGCTCTAAAATAAGATTCACTGGCAGTTTCTTATCTTGACAAGGACTACTGCTACTACTACACTTGTCCGTAAGACTATAAAGGCAGGTTGTATATTGTAGGTTGGCATCTTCCTTCCCTCCCTCCCTCCCTCCCTGCCTCCCTTCCTCTCTTCCTTCCTTCCTTCCTTCCTTCCTTCCTTCCTTCCTTCCTTCCTTCCTCCATCCATTCCTTCTTCCCTCTTTCTTCTATTCTGTCTTTAGAAACACACATACTAAGAAGCTCATAAAATATTAATGTTTAGCTTAATAATTGTAAAACAAATATCTGTGTAATCTTTACCTAGAATGCAAAATAGAATGTTGCTTGCACTCCAAATTTCTAAGCATGCCCCTCCCTTTTGTAATCTCCCCTCCCTGCTAGAGGTAACCACTGTCATATTATGATATCCTATTATAAGACTACACTACTCACACACCTATTACAGCATTCATTTCCTTGCTTTTCTTTACAGTTTTACTACCTAATTATGTATGCTCAAAGAATATCATTTAATTTTGCCTGGTTTTGAACTTCGCATAAATGGAATCACACAGAATGTGTTCTGTTGAGTCTGGCTTATTTTGATCAATCTTTTATTATTTAAAAATTATTTAGAAATGAATTTTTAAAAATTTGTATATGTTTATTTGTAATATTTTTACTTTATACTTATTAAATATTTAATACTTATTAAAATAAATATTACAAATAAACATATAGAAATTTTAAAAATTTTGTTTCTAAGTAGTTTTTAAATAATAAAAGACTGATCAAAATAAGCCATACTCAACAGAACACACTCTGTGTGATTCCATTTATACAAAAAGTTCAAAACCAGGCAATTAAACTATATTCTTTGAGCATACATAATTAGGTCATAAAACTGTAAAGAAAAGCAAGGAAATGAATGCTGTAATAAGTGTACGAGTAGCATACCTTTTAAATATTTAATATTTATTAAAGCAAAAATATTACAAAAATAAACATACACAAAGAACACCCCTTCTTCTTTCACCCAGATTTACCCATTATTAACATATTACCCCACTGTTTTTATCATGTGTGTGCTTTCTCTCCCCATATGTACATAGTTTTTCAGAACTAAATGAAAATAAGTTGCATACAGCATAGCACTTCATCCATAAATACTTTTGTGTGTATTTCTTAGGAATAGGGGTATTCTTTTTTATAACTACGGTATGGTTATCAACCTCATCAATTTACGTTGATCCAATTCAATCTATGTCCATAATTTAATTTTGTTAATTTTGTTAATTAACCTAATAACCCTTTATAAAATTTCCCCTCTTCAAGTGAAGGGCTCCCCTCTGATATAGGATCCAATTCAGGGTCAGTTGGATTTAGTTGTCATGTTTCTTTAGCTTATTTTAATCTGGAATATTTCCTCATCCATTCCTGCTTTTTTATGTGATATTGACTTCTGTAATGAATACATTCCCCTCTCTTTTAAATAGAACATTCCTCATTTCTTGTTCATCTGATTGAACATTATTTTTTTTAAGATTTATTCACGTTGTATCTTTCGTAGTTTTTTTCATTTTCATTGATAAATAGTATAGATAACATTTTAAACATGTGTATGCAAATGCAGCAGTTATTTCACATGTATGCTTATAACTTTTAGTAAAGGGATAAATTAACTGAACTATTACGAGATTGAATGATCAGTTTTTAAGAAAAACTCAGCTAGTACAAAGACTTGGAACCAACCCAAATGCCCGTCAATGATAGACTGGATAAAGAAAATGTGGCACATATATACCATGGAATACTATGCAGCCATAAAAAAAATGAGTTCATGTCCTTTGCAGGGACATGCATGAAGCTGGAAACCATCATTCTCAGCAAACTAACACAGGAACAGGAAACCAAACACTGCATGTTCTCACTCAGAAGTGGGAGTTGAACAATGAGAACACATGGAACATGGAGGGGAATATCACACACTGGAGCCTGTCAGGGGATGGGTGCAAGGGGATGGAGAGCATTAGGACAAATAGCTAATGCATACGGGGCTTAAAACCTAGATGATGGGTTGATAGGTGCAGCAAACTACCATGGCACATGTATACTTATGTAGCAAACCTGCACATTCTGCACGTGTATCCAGGAGCTTAAAGTAAAATAAAAAAATTAAAAAAAAAAAGAAAACCTCAGCTAGTAGATCTGCAGTGTTGCACCCAAATCTACCTGATGGAAACTACCTGATGCCAAAGTGATGCCCCAGAAGAAATAAAAGGTATCTGAAGTATTAGGATTGCAAACTCAAACCCACAAAATGATAATAATCACAATCCTAAGGCTTCAGCTTTAAATGTCTTCTGAAAAGAAGCAAAATTATCAGTTCCTGAAGCTATTGAACTAGGATCAGGGGGTATTAGGATGTACAGTTAATTGGAAAATGAGTAGTGATGGATAAACCTCAGAAACTCTAATATTCAAGGATGCTTACATGAGACTTTACAAAATACTTTTAATCAAATGAACTCAAATCTTTTTGGTTAAACCCTTTTTCTCAATTACTAGTTCTCTTTCTACTCAAATCAACCAGAATTCATGTTATTTGCTTTGTCTCCATCGAGATATTCTTTCTCATGTCTAAGAGCAATCGTCTTTGTTGAAACTTTACTTTGAAGTTCGTACAGGGTTGCAGCACATGATGACTTTTACAATAATAACTGTACATTTGAGCCAAAAGAATTCCAAGAACTAAGTTTGTTCTAGGAAGTGGTTTCAACCTTTATTCTTCCATGTTCAAAATCTGTATTTTTTTGTAACTTATTATTTTAAAAAGATAGATCCTTGTGCATTTAATGTGCATATTTTCAACTTGTCTGGAACTCTAACCTTCTCCCTAATTCTTTTCAATTGATTCTCATGGTGAGATCACAGACAATATTTTCTTCTTTCTAGACCAGATGTGTCTCACTAAGAAATGGATTCCTGATTGTCAAAAACAAAGTTTGGCATTGTGCTAGGTAGTGATGGCTTGATCCTTCTAATAAAGGTATTTACTCTATTGAGGGATTAATGGAAGGATGAGAATTATTATAGCATTTTGATTATAAATAAAAAATTTTGATTTAATGATATGTTATAATTTTGATTACCTTTACAAATTCTAAATCGCAAGAAAGAGATAATAACACAATTTTTTTTCTGCAGTGGGGTGGAGGGGAAATGAAAACATCATCATTGAAAATAGCAGACAGGTAGGCAAAAGGGTTTCCATGTCCACAGATGACTCACAGTGAAAATCATAAGATGTACGTTTGAACAATACAGCTATACAAAGGCATCAGATTTCAAGAAAGTAAATTTTGGGGAATTAGGAAATCTGGTGAATAAGATGCAATAAGAGGAAGTATAAAATTTACAAGCATGAAAGCAGCAGAAGAATTTTTTAAGACACCATAATTAAAGCTCAAAGAACTGCTGTCATCCTGAAAAAGAATGTAGGACTTAACAAAAATAGTAAGTGCATAACATAGTGGAGAAAACAAGGAGAGCTGTGTAAAGATCTGAGAGAGGGAACACTGTCATTACAGAGCTATTGTCCTGTTTTCTAAATCAAAATGATAGGGAAGCTGAAGAGGGCTATGCAGGAAAAAGATAAATATGGAGAATTATCTGATGCTCTTGCTAAAAGAATGGACAGAAACGATCAAAATTGGTAATTTTTAATTATTGGTAGTTGTTAGGAGAGTGGTGAGGAAGCAATTTCTACCCAGAATAAAACAGGAATTAAAAACAAAACACAACAAGGCATGCTTAAGAGAATAAAAATCTAAAATAGCTAAAATGATTGATTTTAAACAATTTAGCTCTTTAAAGGGGAAAGTACGTGGACAACTGGGAACAACTAAATTTTAGTTTAATAAACGAATCATGAGCTTTCTGCATTTGGTTAGACAGATGATTCAAGTGCATAGGCCACAAAGAGGAGGATTTAGAGCAAGGTTTTCAGTAAGATTTCTTAGTTCCAGAGAAACAAATGTTTTGAGTCTCAAGGACAGACAGGAGCAAAAGTAGTTTCAAGAAACCCATCTGAGCTGAGAGCAGTGACACACATCTGTAGTCCCAGCTACTCAGGAGGCTGAGGCAGGAGGATCACTTGGGCCCAAGTGTTTGAGACTAGCCCGGGCAGCAGAGTGAGATCCCATCTCTAAGAATAAATAAGTAAATATAAATTAAAAAAATAAATGAAAGAAACCCAGCAGAAAAGAGGTAGGAAATGGGGCATTTTCCCTTGTGATTAAATAAAATAAATGGTGGTTCTTGAGAATATACAGATAAACAGAGAGACACAACAATGAAATGTCAGACCTTTTTTCCTTATGATGAGCTTATCCCATTCAACATTTGTGTTTTCACCTCTGGTTAGATGCTACCCATTTATAAGCTCTTTAATGCTGGCTTAGAGATACAACTGTCAGAGGAAGAAGTGAGACAGCAGGTAATAGAGTCTTTTAGGGATGGAGAGGATCTTATATATGATTTAGTTCAATCCTCTTATTTGCAGATGATGAACTGAGACCAAGAAAAGACCCACTAAAGATCAAAAATTGGTGAGTATCTATAATAGACTTTTGTTCATTACTTAACCTTTTCTTTTACATTGACCCCCTCATCACCATTTGGGAAAAATCTTTCCCTATGGAGATATAGATATCTATATCTATATCTATATCTATATCTATATCTATATCTATATCTATATCTATATCTATATCATCTATCTATCTATCTATCTATCTATCTATCTATCATCTATCTATCTATCTGTATCCTTGTTTTTTGTGTGTTTGTTTTTTCAATTGTCTAAGTTGGGTCTTCTGGCCTTTTGATGATTTTGCATCTTTGATTTCCTTCCTTCCTTCCTTCCTTCCTTCCTTCCTTCCTTTCTTTTCTTTTCTTTCTTTCTTTCTTTCTTTCTTTCTTTCTTTTTCTTTCTCTTTCTTTCTTTCTCTTTCTTTCTTCCTTTCTTTCTTTCCTTCTTTCTTTCTTTCTTTCTCTTTCTTTCTTTCTTTCTTTCTTTCTTTCTTTCTTTCCTTCCTTCCTTCCTTCTTTCTTTCTTTCTTTCCTTCCTTCCTTCCTTCCTTCCTTCCTTCCTTCCTTCCTTCCTTCTTTCTTTCTTTCTTTCTTTCTTTCTTTCTTTCTTTCTTTCTTTCTTCCTGTCTGTTTTTGAGACAGGGTCTCACTCTATCACCCAGGCTGGAGTGTAGTGGTGCAACCTCAGTTCACCGCAACCTCTGCTTCCCGGGTTCAAGTGATTCTCCTGCCTCAGCCTCCCAAGTATCTGGGATTACAGACATATACCACCACGCCTGGCTAGTTTTTGTATTCTTAGTAGAAACAGGGTTTCACCATGTTGGCCAGGTGGGTCTTGAACACCTGATCTTAGGTGATCTGCCCACCTCAACCTCCCAAAGTACTAGGATTACAGGCATGAGCCACCGTGCCCTGCCTAATGTCCTTTCAGTGATGGTATTTTTTGCTTAAGATGACCACAGTCTGTTGCAACCGAGAGCCATATTTTGTACTTCATGACTAAGTAAATTGGGTAAATAAGTTGGATAAATACAAACTGCCTCTCAGTTCATTTTGCTTTCCATGACTTAGTTCTTTTCTGCAAACATCAGCATCTGTCCCACCCAGTTCACTATCACCATTAGGGAAGAAGCAGAGCTGTGATGTAATAAGCAAAGCTATGCACATGGAAAAGGATTATCTGATGGAAAAATGAGCACTCTTGTTTTTTGCTATCGGCTTATTTTTAATATAAGAGAGGTATTTTCCTCCCTTTTTGACATCAAGAAAAGAGTCAGGGCTTAGTCAGATGGAAGGAATTTTTTGGCTCCAAGAGAGAATGAAGATTTCCATTTGGGAATGTTCCAATGAGGGGGCAGGACCCAAAGGGCAGAGAAGAAGAGGGTGCCTACCCTAAAGGTAGGGAGCTGAGTCATGGTTCAACAGTGTGATCTGGGAAGTAGCAGCATCTTTGGTGGTCTCGAACTCCTGACCACAAGTTATCTGCCTGCCTCGGCCTCCCAAAGTGCTGAGATTACAGGCATGAGCCACAGAGACCTCATCTTTGGTGAGGCCTCATAAATGCTGAGGGACAGAACACCAAGTGCCTTAGCCTTGGCAAACCCAGAAAATGTCACTGCAGCTAAATTTGACCCAGAGAGATGAGTGCAGTCCATGGAATCTCTACTCTCTCACAAATCACAAAAAGTTGCAACGTGGTTACACCTGAATGTTAGGGAACAAATCTGTACTTACTGCCTATTTCAGAATGCTGAGTAGCCACGTGAAAACCAATAACTTCGGCCGGGCTCTGTGGCTCACGCCTGCAATCTCAGCACTTGAGAGGCCGAGGCAGGCAGATAACTTACGGTCAGGAGTTCGAGACCAGCCTGGCCAACATGGTGAAACCCTGTCTCTGGTATAAATGCAAAAATTTGCCGAGCATAGTGGCACATGACTGTAATCCCAGCTACCTGGGAGGCTGATGTGGGAGAATTACTTGAACTCGGGAGGTGGAGGGTGCAGTGAGCCAAGATTGTGCCACTGCACTCCAGCCTGGGCAACAGAGCGAGGCCCTGTCTAAAAAAAAAAACAAAACAGAAAACAAAAACAAAAGCAAAAACCTCAAACCAATAACTTCAGACAAATAGTCAAGCGTTTTGTCTATAAGATGTCAAATATATGAATTTTTGGAACAAAAAGGCAGCAGTATTTAGCTCTTTGGTTGGGATGTTTGATATGGTGAGATGTAGCTAGCGTCCGACCCACATCCTTGAGGAGGAAACATGGCGGCTTCTTTTCCTTTCAAGAACAGATGGTGGAGAAAACTTTGGCAGTAGGAACTGGGAGCCAAGAAAGGGTACTAGCTATTAATAAAGTTTTCTTTCACACAAATATATCAAAAGACCTATATTTTTGTATCACTTGGAATTTTTATATTTGATTTCCTGATTCTTGTCATTCACTTCTTCATTCAATCCCTATAAATACTGAGTAAGGCATAATGGCGGGTAGTTTCAAGATTATTTTCTGATTTGATCCTCAAAAATGAGTACAGCAGCCATTAGATCCTCATTTTCAACTGAGCAGATGAACTGATAAGAGTCACATGAGAGCCGGGCGCAGTGGCTCATGCCTGTGATCCCAGCACTTTGGGAGACCGAGGCAGGCAGATCATGAGGTCAGGAGTTCGAGACCAGTCTAGCCAACATAGTAAAACCCTGTCTCTACTAAAAATACAAAAATTACCCAGGCATGATGGTGCATGCCTGTAGTCCCAGCTGCTCAGGAGGCTGAGGCAGGAGTATCGCTTGAACCTAGCAGCTGGATGTTGTGGTGAGCTGAGATCGCACCCCTGCAGTTGTCAGCCTGGACAATAGAGCGAGACTCGCTTTCAAGAAAAATAAAAAAAGAGTCACATGAGTTCCCCGTTTTCATCAGCTGGTGGTAAACAGCAGAACTGGTCACTCCCAGATCTTCAGATGCCCGTTCAGTGCTTGCCAAGAATGATATTGAGTTTGAGGACACAATATGTCCTCAGGCTGTTCTATGCTGTCACTTCTCGTGGTTCCTTGGGGGTCACTTTGCACTCTATCCTAACATGGGTGCTGTTTGAGATGATCCTGTTCCCTGAGGAGGGTACCAAGATATTCGTTCATGATTAGGTCATGAGGGCAGACCCCTCATGAATGGGATTAGTTCCCTTACAAAAAAGACTCCAGAGAGCTAGCTAGTAACTTCTACCATGTGATGATGCAGCAGAGAGGTGGCATCTATGAACCAGGAAATGGACCCTCGCCAAACACTAAGTCTGCTAACACCTTGATCTTGGACTTCCCAGCTTCCAGAACTGGGAGAAATAAATTTCTGTTGTTTATAGGCAATGGGTCTATAGTATTTTTGTTACAGCAGCCCAAGCAAACTGAATCAATCTATCTATCTATCTATCTATCTATCTATCTATCTATCTATCTATCTGCCTACCTATCTATCTATCTACCTATTTATCTACCTATTCATCCTTCAGCTAGCTCTCTATCTACGTATGAGTTATGTATATGGATAACTTGATATAAATTAAGATGGCTAGCTATGCTGGGCATTGTATTTTCAAGCACTATCTCATTTAATAAATAAGAAAAATGAAACCTGATGAACTTCACACAATAAGACCCAGAGCTGGGACCTAAACATTCATTTGTTTTTGTTCCAAAGCACTTGATGCAAACACACACGCATGTATGTGTGCAAACAGGTATACACAGTATTTCCCTGAATGCAAATTAAAATCACAGTGGAATACCACTACATACCTACTAGAATGGCTAAAACAAAAAAGGCAGACACTATCCAGTGTGGCTGAGAATATGGATTATCTGGAACTTTCATGTACTGCTGGTAAGTGTGCATATTTGCATAATCACTTCAGAAAACTATTTGCAGAATCTGTTTAAGCTAAATATATGTCACCTGTGTCCTTGCAATTCTGTTTCTAGGCATAAACCCAACATAGGCTTATCAAAAGACATGTACCAAGATTTCTATAGCAGCAAAATGGAAAAAAAAAAACAAGTGTCCACCTACAGTGGAATGAATAAATAAATAAATTCATACAATGGGATAATTTATAGCAATGAGAATTAATGAACTATAACTATATGAAATAACACAGATGACTCTCTCAATGTCTAATAGAAGAACAGACACATGAGTACATAGGGCATATGACTATGTGTATATAAAGCTTACAAACAAGTAAAAATAAAATAACTGGTGGTGGTAAAAGTCAAGCTGGAAGTTACGATGGTGGGTTGGGGGGACATGTAGTGAGTGAAAGACAGCATTGGAGACTTCTAAGGGTGCTGTTAAGATTCTGCTTCTTGATGTGGTTGCTTCTTACATAAGTGTGTCCACTTTGTGAAAATTGATTGACTTGTACACTTCTTTGGGCACTTTTCTGTATGCATATTTCAATCAATTACATTAAAATTATTAGCTCCCCTGAAACTAGGCCAAGATGATGATAGGCAGAGTTTCAAAAAATGGATGTTGTTTAGACCGGTAAAGTGCGGTGTGATCTTTTGTCACAAATTAACGTTTATACTTAAAAATTTTTTTAAAGACTTTATATTTTTAGAACAGTTTTAGGTTAACAGAAAAATTGAGCATAAGATATGGAGATTTCCCATACGTCCCCTGCCCTGACACATGCATAGCCTCCCCCATTATCAACATCCTCCACCAGAGTTGTACATTTGTTACAAGGACACATCATTATCATTCAAAGTTCATAATTTACCCCGGGGTTCCCTCTTGGTGTTGCACGTTCTATGGGTTAGGACAAATGTAGAATGACAGTTATCCATCATGATACTGTAGTATGATACAGAGTGTTTTCACTGCCCTAAAAATCATTTGTGCCCTGTCTATTCATCCATCCCTTCCTCCAACCCCTGGGAACCACTTCATCTTTTTACTGTCTCAATAGTTCTGCCTTTTCCAGAATGTCATATCATTGAAATTATACAGTATGGAGCCTTTACAGATGGGCTTCTTTCACTTAGTAATATGCATTTAAGTTTCCTCCATGTCTTCTCATAGCTTGATAGCTCATTTCTTTTTAGCACTGAATCATGTTCCCTTGTCTGGATGTACCACAGTTTAAGTATCCATTACCTCCTGAAGGACATGTTCGTTGCTTCCAAGTTTTGGCAATCGTGAGTAAAATTGCTATAAAAATTCATGTGCAAGTATTTTTGTGGACATATTTTCAACCCTCTTGGCTTAGGAGCATGGTGCTGGATCATATGTTAAAAGTATGTTTCGTTGTATATGACACTATCAAACTTTCAAAGTGGATGTATCATTTTGCTTTCCCACCAGCAATGAATGAGAGTTGTTGTTGCTCCATGTTCTTGCCAGCATTCAGTGTTTTCAACGTTCCAGATTTTAACCATTCTCCCAGAGACATAGTGGCGTCTCGTTGTTTTAATTTGCATTTCCCTGATGGCGTATGATGTGGAGCATATCTTCATATGCTTATTTGCCCACTCTATCTTCTTTGGTGAGGCTTCCATTAAGGCGTTTGGTCCATTTTTTTATTGGGTTGTTTGTTTTCTTGTTGTTGAAACAAGTTAATGGTTTCACATGTATGTATATTACTGCCAGACCACAAGAGAAGACAAATGGGAGAGTGAGAGATACTCCCAGATCTATCAGTGAAGGCTGGGTTGACTTTACCCCAATATGTTAAAAGTAAACTATGTTATTTGATCTTTCCTTGCTTTTCTTATTTCCTTTTCCTCTCGTCTCTCTCTTTACTACCACACAACGTATTGTTAATATAATAGAGAATACATTTTGTGAAATATGTTAATGTGCTTCTCTCCTTTGCATTTCCTTTTCTTGCACTTTCCCTACTCTTCCGGACATGCACATTTATTTGCCTTGGGAAGGATTAGGATTGCTACAGAGGAATGTGAAGACAAAGACACAAATTAGATTTTTCAGCAGGCCAATAATCTCGAAATCCAAGACTTAGTCTGGAGAGAAAGGATTGTCTAGATTATTTTAACTGCTGTTAATATACCAGGAACAAGCTTGGAGGACTCAGATGGATCATAGACCCAGTACTGAGGTTTTTCCATAGTTCAGGGCAAATACCACCTTTTCTGCCCTGCCTATGGTGTCCGCACCTGAGGGAGGCTTAGAGGAAGTAGAAAACTGGAAGCCCACCTCTCTGGACCTTGAGAATTATAGTGAGAAGGAACTCAGAGGTAGAGGAGTAGGACAGATCCCAAAGGTCTCAGCCAATCACATGCTCTTCCTCAAAGACCCCCACTTGGGGCTTACCCTTAAATGAGATGGACTTTGGAAGTACCCAGTTACATATGGAAAGAGCCTGAGACTAATGGGTCTAGCGCATCTTTCTTGAAAGATCCACTTTCACAGTCCCAGGGTGTTGGCCGGTAGAATCCATGGGAAGGACCAGAGGGTGTGTGGTAAGGGGATGCAAAGTGCTGAGTAGCCAGAGGATGGCCAGAGCCCTGGCATCAGCTAAGTGGGACTGTCCCTGGACTATGACATGTTGGGGAAGTGGTCAGGACTGTGGATCCCATGGTGTGCGCCAGTGTGCCAACTAAAAAGCCAGTAGTACCAGTTGCATCTCAGCAGCCACAACTTCAGAAAACAGCTCAGCTCAGTCATTCTGCAACAATTATTTTAGAGAGATTCTGGGAAGGGGACAAAATCACACCAGGATTCATGCTATACCTGAAGGAGGCTGAAGAGTTACCTGAAGAGAATGTTTAAATGACTGAATCAGACTGAACTTATTGGATCAAACTAAAATAAAATGTCTTCACAAACCAGATTGATGAAAATTCATAATGAAAACCAATCAGAGAAAAACGGGAATGTTATTCTCTGCACATTTAAGGTGGAGATCAGTCTGAGATCCTGCTGTAGTAGGAGATGTTTGAAACAGTTAGGTGTACTGTTTCTATGCACAAAAACTAACCTTGAAACTGACTTTCAGGTAAAATGAATTTAACTGCCTGAGGAGGAAATGACAGCTTTCTGATTGGAAAGTGGTGTTTTAGTAAACACAACCCTGCCCACCTTCACAAAACTGGATGGCTGGGAGGCAACTCCAAGGTCATCAAGCCCATTTCTTTTATTGTCTAGATGAGGCCTGGAGTGTTTAACTGGGTCGTGCATGGTCTCACCAGTAGTTATGGGAAAAGTTGAGACTATAGCCTGGAATTCCAGACTTCTAAAATCATGTGTGTTCAACCCTACCATGCTGCATTTGCATTCTAATTTGACTTCTTCAAGTCCTGGGTACCAAGACTGGAGGCCATGAGCTTGGTTATGATTTCTCTTGGCATTATTTCCTAGTATGAGAAGTATGCTAACTCTGCATTTGAAATAAACTAGCCACTGGGATCTGTTGACAATGTGTACCCAAAATAACTTTGTGCAATGAAATTAATGCTGTGCAAAATCCTCAGTCTTTTCAGGAATGTTTCTCTGTAAACTCTTTGGAAAACAATCCTCCTTTAAAAACATCTGGCTTAGTCATCACCATTCCAGTTCGGAGAATCCTTTATCTATGAGTATTTATATATGGCATAAATTAAAATGCATATTACAACTCATTTGTTTTCCCACACCACTGAATGGAAAATTAACAGAGTCCAGGGCTGAAAAAATGACGTAATACAATATAACCTACTTTTCCAAGAAAACGACCACAGCAACTGCATCAAGTACTATAACTGGAAATTCATTAAAGTCATCCACATACCAGTGAGCCTTCATCTACTGATATAGACAAAAGAAAGAGCACTCATCCTACAATAAAAAGTAGGATCGTGAGGTGAGGAAAATGGAATGGGGCAGAAAGCAATGAATGAAAAATGGCTAACCAGTTAGGACAAAGGAAATAACTCACATTTGTAGAAAGAGTTTTGAAATGTTCATGAAATGGAGCTTCTCTGGCCTGTCTACCTTTAGCCCCTACTCTCAGAGGCTGGGATTTAAAAGTGATTTATGCTAGAGAGTAATCACATCTAGTGACAGGCCCTTCTTATGCTTCTGTGCCCCTGTACAGGCCTGACAAGGTCATTTCCGTGATGGCTGGTCATACCGCTACCTCTTCTGTGCTGTCAAATTCTAAGTCACCGGAGACATTTTCCCCCACCCTCACTACAACAGTAGCTGCTGCAGTGTCTGAGGCTTAGTGGATGACACTGATATATGGGCTTTTTGTGGCCTATGAAGAGTTGGTCACAATCAATGTAAATGAGCCTCATAAAGGGACCATCAGAAATCACCTTGAGTAAATTACAGTGGTTTTTTTCTGGGCAATAAGCAGAAATGACAAAAGTGTGGGGAGAATTTCTAGCAAACCTCTAAGCATCTCTGGGCTCACGGAATGACAAACTCAACTAGAAAAGTCAGGGAAAACTTCCTTTACTCAAAACTTGCCAGATGCAAAAGGAAAATCCAGTGGCTTAAGTGGAAAGAGCCCTGTAACTTTAACTGTTTCTTGCCTATCCTTGCAGAAAAGGCTTATGAAAACACATGTGAATATCTATAATTATATCTATGTATGTATCTATATTTTTCTCTATACTTATTCTTTTCTTCATTTCCACAAATGGGATTATAAAATAAATATCTCTCATGCCTTGCTTTTCTCTCCCCAATCTAGAAGATTGTTCCAAAACAACATACAAAATTTAGTTCGTCTCTTTAACAGCTGTACAATAGTCTACTATATGGAGGTATCATAATTTCTTGATATGAATTAATAATGTTTCTAGTTTTTGTTGTATATACATCTGCCTATTTAGAAGACCATATCCATTGTATTTGTTGGGCAAAATAATTGTATATTTAAAATTTTGAATGATTTTGCCAAATTAGCTTCCAAAAATGTTGCTTCCATTTTACATGTTCAACAGTCAATGAAAAAACCTGCTTCTGCAACACCATTTAGACACATCACATTTTAATTAAACTTTTCAATATTTAAAACAAATTATTATATAATTGAAAAAGCAAAATAATCTCATTGTTCTGATTTGCATGCATTTAATTATGTGTAAAACTGAGCATCTTTTCATTTATTTATTAGCTCTTTGTATTTCGTTTTCTGTGAACTACCCACTGATAGTATTTGCTCATTTTTCTATTGGGCTATTCATTCTTTTCTTATTGATTTGTTAAAGGCCTATGTATATGATTAGAAATCTTGTCTGTCTCTGTTTATCATTTATCTTTGTACTCTCTATTTATGTACATACCTACACACACATACATATTTATTTTTCTGATGTTTTAATTTTTTTCTGTATGTCTTCTGAATCTTATGAAATGCTAGAAAGTTTTTAGAGCTAAGAAATTTAAAACTGAATTTAAAGGCAGTTCAATTCTATCTGGACTCTTCATTTTTTCTAAAATGAAGTGTCCTTGGAAATGCCAATTTTATTTCATTTTTGTAAGATAAAGTTCTAGAGGTAAACAACCAGGGAGATGCACAATGAAAATACTCACCTGCTCTTGGGCATGCTGATGCCCAAGACTTCCTTTGGTAAGGAAGGGATGCTTCTTCTCTTCTATGAAAGAGTACTCCTCCGTTCTGGGGAGAAAAGACTTGAGCTTAAAGGTTAACATGCTTAATCTTTACTAAGCAGCGGTCAGGAAAGATGCCATCTAGACTTGAGGAAATTTTCACAGAGTTCTCTTGAGGAAGAATGGCTTGTTCACAGAGAAGCAGAAAGGAAGGACAGCACCATTATTCAGGGTGAAGGGGTCTTTGTCATACCCCCAGTTCACATTCCAGGAAAATATAGCTTATAGTGAGTAGACTTATGCACTTGGATTTTCTTCCCATAAGAATTAATATAGACCAGGCTCAGTGGCTCACGCATGTAATCCCAGCACTTTGGGAGGTCAAGGCGAGCAGATCACCTGAGGTCAGGAGTTCGAGACCAGCCTGGCTAACATGGTGAAACCCTGTTTCTACTAAAAATACAAAAATTACCTGGCCATGGTGGTGAGTGCCTGTAATCCCAGCTACTCGGGAGGCTGAGGCAGGAGAATTGCTTGAATCTGGGAGGCAGAGGTTGCAGTGAGCTGAGATTGCGCCACTGCACTCCAGCCTGGGCAACAGAGACTCCACCTCAAAAAAAAAAAAAAAAAAAGGAATTAATGTAAAAAGTTTAAATGTGTTCCAACTACCATCATACAACATTTCTTACTACTAAAAGTCACTACATTATGTTAACATCGATGTAAATAATAAAGAAATATGGAGATTCAATTATCTTTCTGTAATTGATTCTGGGGTTGATGAAAGAATTGGTGAGACATGCTAGGGTGCTGAACCAAAGAGAAAGGCTATGTAAGCTATTATAAAGAACAGGTGTCACAGAAGAACCATCCACCCTCAACTCCCATCAGGTTTACATATACATCCTTACAGTGATAGCTGAGGAGAGGTTGCATCTGGTTGGGGTAGAAGAGTCCTTGCTCCGTCTCTTTTTCACCTTTCGTTGAGAGCTTAAGCAGAGTTTCCACAACAAATCTTACTGTTGAAAGCAACATGACTTTGCTCTCTCAAAGCCAGAATGGTTGCAGTCCTTACCAATGTGAAAGGCAGAAATGTACTGCAAAATGTGTCCTATGTAACTGAGTGATGGAAATGCACAGTTGGCAGCAGGCTGTTTTTAAGTGGTAGGTAGAGGAAGTGTCCTTCCTATATCTTGTTTGAGTTACAGGCATTCCCACAACCCTTTCTCCAAAGAGTGGGGTGCATTGTCAGCAGCAGAGACATCTTTCAAGGTGGCTGTGATAGAGCAGTGGCCACTGTCAGGGCTGCAAAGATGAGCTTAGACCTTCTAGGAGCCCTGAAGCTGGAAAAAGCCTAGGGGATGCATAAATCCTGCAGTAGCCAAATAGATTAAAGGGTTACAACTGGCTGGAGGGAGCAGGGGAGGGGTGAAGGAGAAGGACCAGTGGCCCTAAAGGGTAGAAACAAGTTTTAGAGATATAGATGGGAATTCCTGACTGGCAATGTAGTGGAAAAGGTTTAACAAGGAGAGAAATTCCAGTAGGTCTATACCAAAGAGATCTTGTTTTATTCATTCAGCAAGGAAGGTAGAAAGAAAGGCATTAAAACAGAAGTCAGAGGAGCAAATTGTGAAGTGGGAGAGTCGTGTCTCAGGGACGTGAATTGCATAAATGGGACTTGTTGGCCCCTCTCTTTCCTGCTCTTTCTCTTTTTCCTCCAGTATTGTCTCTTTTCCTGTGGCTTTCTGTATCTTTCATTCCTTCTAATCCTTTGGCTTTTTTATGTTCTCTAAATATATTACTTTGGTTCAATATCCGTTAAATGACACACTCTTACAGCATGAAATGATAGTTACTTCTGCCATATATTGACTCAATTTAAATTTTTCTGCCTTGTTCTCAAAACAGGAAAAATCACTAAAGGTGTAAGTAGGGTTTTGTACTATCCTGGTTGGTTGGCTGCCCTGCTATTTTCCTATTTCTGTGGGAAAGGCTTCTTAGCCAAAACTGCCAGCTTAGTCCTAGGCTCCAGTACTTGTGTTAGTCAGAGGGCAACTTTGTGGTTGTACCCAAGTGAATCAGCAAGTGGTCATTCTTGCTGCTAGTTCTGCTCTACCTTTGCGATGCTGGGCTTGTAGTGGGGATGCTCTCTGTTGTATTTTTGAGTCCTACTAGGTAGTTCTGGGACATGCATCTGAGTTCCTGTTACATTTCCTTGTGCCCAAATCTTGTTTGTGATGCTCTTCCCAGTTCTCTAGGACTAGGAGAACAAGAGTCTTTCTTTGATTTTGCAGAACTGAAGGAATAATTATTTCCGATCCCAGCTGGGTTTGGTAGTAGACTGGTTATCTACAATCATCTACTTCAGAAACCATGTTGTTGGCCTGGCCGTGTGCCTTCTCCTACCTCCATTGTCTAGTTCTAGTTCTCAGGGCCCCTCTTGCTCTTTGTCAACCCCTTGCTGCCAATTCATTTGTCCAAATTATGTCACAGGACACTATAATTTGATTTATATATACATATATATATATTTATATCTTCAGGTGATATTTTTCCTTTGAGTTAATCACCCACAGAACAGCTCCTCTTATGACATCTAGTCTTCTTTTAAAAAATGAGTGAATTAGAGCATTTTCCTTTTTATCCAATGCAGCTGACCAATTTGCCACAGGCTGCTTTACCCGCGTGATTTTAAGGTACACACGGGGCACATATGGATGAGCTGGTCATTTCCATGCAGATTTAGGGTGGAGAAAGAAGGTTGGGAGGTGAGGGAGGTGGAGGAGGTGGTTTGTCAAAGGCTAAATCCAAAGGCCTTAGTGTTTCCCTAAGATCATTTGCTGGGACAGTAACTACTTTATAAAAGTATCCCTTTTATATGGCTCTCCCTGTACTATTTTCATTTGAAAATGCAAGATCCGTCTTTATCTAACAGAGGGCAAGCAATTCCGCTAAGCACAGCTGGGCATCTTTATCCATGGCTGATGTAACCCACTGGTTCATGATAATAAAGAGATGGAATCCCCTCTTTCAACAGTGAGTTTAAAAGGATCCTCCTGCATTAGCCACGTGTAGGAATCTTTGATAAATGAAGCAAGCCAAATATAAGTTAACTGCAATTAGGAGTGCATACTCTATTATTCTACTGAAAATGCTACTTGTAGAAAAAACTGCTTGTTAATTCACCCATGCTGAGTTGTTTCCTTCTTTTCATTTTTAATAAAATTTTGGAAACAACAACCGACTTTTAAAAATTTGTTTACTACATTGCTTTCATTTTCCAGAAAAGAAAAGTGGATTCTAAAAAGGTTAAATGGATTGTGTAAAGTTGCTCAGTTTGTAATAAAATTGGGTCTAGAACTTTGGGTCTCCTGGTTTATGCTCCAGTGCTCTTTCTGTTGACACCTGTCCTCTGATTTTATGCCATGTTAGCAGAGAACAATATTTCAAGAGGTACGTCTTGGACATAAACACTGGAACCATCAGAGAAGCTTCTACAAAACACAGATGCCTGGGACCTGTACTTATCAACTGTCACTTTTAATTGGCCAGGGGTGAGCCTTAAACAAGACCAGTATTTTGTAAAAACTGCCCGACGTGATGGTAATTTGCAGCTAGGATTGGAACACTCTGGTATTACACAACAGGTAAGTCTGAAATTTGATGCCTTTCTTGTCTACATTTTGTAATTCTAGATAATATGCAACACAAACATGCTTTTGTTAAACTTAGCACCGTACCATCTCTTACTAATCTCACTTTATATTTTTTAAATTTTTCTTTAAAGAAATTTAAGTATTTAGAAAAATAAGAAAAATAATAATTTACATAAACATCTGTGTTTCCACCATCCAGCATTGAAACTTGCTAACATTTAATCAAATTTGCAGAGTCCTTTTTAAATATTAGTAGCTGAAATGAAACTCTTTAGGCAATATTGAAATATACCCTTTGGGGCTCTCATTTTATTTCCAGGTTTTCATCTGTTATGATTAAGGTCAAAGAACAGACAAACATTCACTCCCTTTCTTATGCTTTTTCCCCTCCTAGGAATCTACAGGAGAGGCTTATTTGCAATAAGGAAAATGCCCACTGAGCTCTCAGAGACTTTTAAGTTTCTCACAGTAAATGATGATGTTCTTGTGTTATGGAGAGCACCTGCTGGGTCAGGATAGTAAATACCTCATCCACATTTCAGTGGGAGAAAAATGGCTTAGTGAGAAGTTTAAGGAGGTCAGTTTTCATGCTCACAAAATGACTTGGGAATCACAGACCACAGACATGTATTTAAGAATGCAAAAATTCGTTCGCTAAAGATATGGGAAGCTATTATTTTCCTTGGCTGAGACTAATCATTTTCTTCTTTGCCCCGTAAATTAGAGTTTTAAAATGTTGTTGCTACCACTTATTTCTCTTGGCATGTTAAATGACTGAGTTTCTTTGTTCCCACTGCTGTTTCTGTGTACCTTCTTCAGCTCTTTCTCTTGAGTAAATAATCTAGCTTTGCTGTGGCTTGTGTAGCAGCTTAGCACTCCTTCAGTAGTTTTTTTCCCCTGGCTATGGGGCTTTGTTGACCGTATTCTTAGTATATATGCTTTCCTTCTTTAGTTTCTGAAATTAAGGGGGTGCTATTTACTGTCCTCCAACAGGCAATTATCTTTCCCTGTCTACTCTCCTGCAAGCATCTCAAGTGAGCTGGAATTCTGTTCTGATTGCAATTCTGTCCTTGTACAGTCAGGCAATGTCTCAGCCAAATAAAGTGATTCCTATGCTGCACTCTGTATGGGGTTTTTTTCTGTTAAATGACATCATGTCCCATGTTCTTATGATTTGTTGTTAAAAACCAACAAACAAATAAAAAAACAAAGATAAGTGAAGACCTCGATCCTTAATCTATTTCAATTGTTTCCTTAGCTCTCATTGTAAGTCCACTGGCTTCTCTCTCCTTTTTTATTTATATATTTTTAATTTTTTTTAACTTTTATTTTAAGTTTAGGGGTGGATTTCTCCCTTTTTAACATCTTGTCTTTTTTAAAACAATTATTTAATTTTTTTTTTCTTTTAAGTGCTGGGGTACATATGCAGGATGTGCAGGTTTGTTACATAGGTAAAGATGTGCCACGGTGGTTTGCTGCACCTATCAACCCTTCACCTGGGTATTAAACCCAGCATGCACTAACTCTTTTTCCTATGCTCTCCTCCCAGCTCCCCCGACAGGCTCCAGTGAGTGTTGTTTCCCTCCCATCTTGTCTTTTATAACTATGTCCCATACAACCCCAAATGAACTTGGGCTAAAGCTAATTGCTTTTCTCTTCTAAGCTTTTCCGCTCAGCACTTGTGCATACTCCATAGTTGTCAAATCAAATTTTTGCCAAGGAAGAACAGGCCTGGAAGATCCAAGGAACTCCCACAAGCAGATACATGTGTTTTTATAGGTTAATGTCAAGTACACCAAAACACATGAAGAAGAGGAAGGAGATTATGGGTGTGCAGTAGCCTGAAACACCGCATCCACCCATTTAAGAAGTTGGAATATTGAAAACACAGTGCCATTTTGTTCATGGAAATGATTTCCTTTCTTTGCAAAGCCTTTTGAATATTAAAGCTAGAGCTTGTTTTCCTGTACTGTAGTTTGAAGAATGCAGCCATGTAAACATAAGGAAGAACCATGATTTGCAGCAGAAGAGCAAGCTGTTTTCCTAATGGTTGGAGAGCATTTGCTACCTGGGAGGTGCAGGGAGGCTGAGAACACCACCTACCCAGACAGAAACTCCCTCCCCCTGCAAGATGGCTGATGTTATAAAATCATGAGTCATTAGGTCTCTTCCCATGTGTCTCTGGTGTGCCTCTCAGAAATGTATCACAGGAGGCTAAGCTGGATTTATACTTTCTTAGGTTAAACTGGGCTGCCTATATTATCTGCTCTACTAGAAAGACTTGATAAATGGATTGTTGGGGGAATCCTGTCCATATTCGGTTTATGTTGTTCATCTTATTTTGAATTCCAACTTTTAAAATAGCTTACAAATGGCTTATAGTCGCTATTGTTGTTTTCCTTTTAAAAAGTTCCACTGCATACTAATGAGCGGTTTAATGCTAACAGAAGCTACATTTCCATGAAAGCTGAAGTTTGCCATATGCTTAACTCCTGTTTCACACAAGCACCAAGACTGCAGAATGCAGAGTTGCCACAAATATCCAAGTGCAGAATTAGGTCCCATGTATAAGTATGTGAGTGAAGAATTTGGCTCAGGCATATACTCTCAGAAAAAAATTTTCCCATAGTTTTCTTTTCTCTAAGGTATTGAATGGGCCAATACTTGTCCTCATGTTTCAAACATTTCAGCCCCCTTGAAACATTTTGATTGCCTCTTACATTGACTAGAATTGCACAATACTATGTTCCAAATGATCTCTTTTTCACTGGCTTCATATAATTCTAGAATAAACCCTCTGCTTCGTACACTATGCCCTCATGTATATCACTTCTATTTTTACTTCGGCTCTTCCTCTGTTTTCCTTCTACCATTTCATCCAACATGTTTCAAATTTGTGTAGTTGTTTATATTTGAGACAATCATATTTGAAACCAACAATACTTACTTTATTTTAAAAATATTTGTCTTGATGCAATTCCCAATTTTGGGTCCTGGCACATCAAACTCAATAGAAAGAATGCAAGCCTTGGGAAGATGGAATAAACCCATGATGTAATCGGCAGAGTTGATGTGTTGATTCCACCCTTGTGGAATTAGGATCTTTATTTTATTAGCTTTTAAACTGAACAATAACAGAAACGTAAAAATAGTTTTTCAGCGCAAAAACTAAATTTTAAAAATGTGAACAAGTAGATTTGAAAAAGAAGACTTGTGGTCTTGTACTTTTTAATTTTATTTTATTATTTTAATTTATCTAATTTCATTCAATCATCTGATATGTGCCTAGGTACCTAAGATATGACTGGTGTGTGTGTGTGTGTGTGTGTGTTTTCATTTTAAAGCACCAGGTGTTCAGGTAAGTTAACAGCATGCTTGACTCAGTAAATCAGAAGACCTAGATTCTTGGTCTACTCAGGCCTGGAAGTAACATGCCCTATTGAGTAGGGAGATACTCATGAACCTGGGCTTCATCTTGTTGACAAAAGCAAAATGAGACACGAAGTTTCTCTGGTGCAACTTGACTTCCTGGGGGAAATCAGTTTCATGGCTCCATTTTCAGCAGAGTCTCCACTGTAATTACTTGGAAGTATCTTTAGTTTCTGACATGTAGACTTAAAGCCTGTCTGTTAATTCATCAGCCTCAATTAGCTCCTGCCTCCAGCATTGTTCTGCCTGGGCCATCTGCTCAGAACTGGCCCTCTTAACAGTTAGTTGATCCATCTTCTCCCACAATTACTTCTAATCTCTCAGTCTTGGTCCTCAATCACCTGACTAAGTGATAGGAAGGTCCATCTCTTTCACTTATTGGTGCTGTCATCTGTGTTCTTGACCAGGCTCATTCCTAAACATTTACCGCCAATGGTCAGTTTCACCTGTCTTGATTCAGCAGCTGGATTTCTAGAACAGATCTTTTCTTTTCCTTCTGTCTCTCAGATTGACTTTCAATAAGTTCATAATCAATTAGAGGCTTATCTTTGCTTATCTTGAGTTACCCCCAAGGCAGATCAGAAACAAGTATTTGGGCACAAAAAGTTAATTAGGAAGATGATTTCAGGAAGCACAGGGAGGGAGTTAGGAAGGGAGCCAGGGAAGAGAGGAAATTCAAAAAAAAGAGTGTGTTCATGATTGGGGTACTACTGTGGGAAAGAGATTCAATCCTTGGGGGTCCCTCTGAGAGACTGCAGATCATTCAGGTAATGAGATGTGAAGGTTGTGGTAGTTATCTACCAACCATTCTTCATGGTTTGAGGTTTGCACTAAGTAGGTGTTAACTGGACATATCTAGCCTGCCTTGTGTACTCTCCTTTGATCAGATAAAGCTCTCTCCCAGAAGGACACAAGTGTTTGGGGTAAGAAGCCACTAGTATGTTCAGGAAGTACCTAGCAAGCTGCAGGTGACTTCCAAGGTGAGCTGTGCCCCCAGCACAGGTTATACTAATTCCTAATATTCAATAATAACTGGTAATATTCTAATAATAACTGATTAGAAGGCACTGTTCCCAAAAATTAGGAAATGCTTGTAACCAAAAATTTATTTCCTGGATAAATTATCTTTTTTGATAAGCTTTTTATACCAATGGCAACATCTTGGTTTCCTGAAAAGGAATTAAATAGCATTTTCCATTGTGGATGAGAACTGAAGAATATAGAAAGCATTGAAAGGAAAGCCAGAGTTAGAAAGGGTGTTACAAAATGCAAAGCTTTAGCTGTAGCCCACCAAAGTTCAGGCCGTTCTAAATGATTCTGTAATTTGGGTTTATGAGAATTTTCCGTGTTTTCCAAATATAAGTATTGTGCATGTCTCAAATGCCAAACATTTTTATGAATGATAGGTCATGTTCACTATATTGCTGTTTGTAATTCTTTTTACTCACATATTTGTTATATGGCTTGATGAAAGAAACATTTTGCTTGTGTCTTAAGTATAAAGTGTGCGGTGACTGAACCTGACATTCAACTGAGCTAGACTCCTGTGAGCTTAGCTGGGAACTGAACAAAGACCTGTATCAACTCTGTTTCTAATTCCGAGTTGGGGGAAGTATGGTTAATCTAGATGAAACTCACGTATACATAGTTTATTTGTACATATGGTTGTATAAGAGATTTGTAATGAGTTGTATATGCTTAATTTGAATGCTTGGTAAATTTTGGTTATATCCTTATGCATATGCTATGTGCATTGAGCCATTCTAAGGATTGCCTTTGGTTATAAATTCTCAGTTTAAGAGCTCTGGCAGGGCAGACCCTGCTACACATCTGGCCCTTTCTTTGTTCCCAGGCAGTGACTAATTTTGATCAGATCTACTTGCACCTCCTACCTTCCAAGTAAAAAGAAGATAGATTCCAGAATTAAAATACCACAGTTGATGTTTATATGAAGAAATTTAAAATTCTCCTATAGGTCTTAGAATTTTAGCATCCTGTGCTGGAAATTAACTTTAAAGAAATTAAAACATAGAGGTTTATGGAGGAACAGTGATTTTCCTAAGGTCATGAAGATAATGGCTTATCTTCAACTTAGATATAATTTTGGTGATACACTTGCTGTATTGATAACAGACTACCACAATTTTGATTGCTGCTATGTCTGGCATCATGTAAAGTTAAGACCCATTTATGGGTTCCTTTCAACACAGTAGAAGCTATTGCAGTCACAAATTTCCTCAACTGAGGCAGCTGCTGTGCAAGATAGTAGTAAAAATTCTAACAACTTCTTTTTCTTTCTGAAGACTTCAGGACTTTATGAACTTTCAAACTACCCTTTACAAATTGAAGTGGAACCATATGGCAGTAGCTCCTGCCAGAAAGCAGCCAGTGACAAGAAGAATCTTGATTGATATGCATTAAAAAAAATGCTGGGAAAAAAGGAAGGGTAAGAGCTGTTAACTTAGGCAAGGGGTACTTATACAAAACTTTCAATCCTAGCCAGGCGATGCAGTAAGAGAATGACCTGGTTGGCAACTGGCAAAAGGAAATATGAAGCTAAATGTCACGGTAAACACTCTTTCTTTGTTTCTCCCCAAAGAGTGCCAACACATTTTTAATTCTCAACAGATATATTAAACCTAGAGCTAAACAAGGTACAGATTTATCTTTCTGAGAATAAGTATGTATTAACTCTGCAACAGTGTGGAGAAAGATTGAATCGTTTATTCCATGGTCAGTAATAAACAAAAACACACAAAGAAAAAATTATTCCCTTAGTACACCGTAGACTTCTCACTGTCTGCTTTTGTTTTATAACTATCAATGCTTATAACTATCAATGCTTTCTGACTTCTTGTCAGAAAAGATGACTGCATTGTAGTTAGAACTTAT
Organism: Homo sapiens; assembly: GCF_000001405.40. NCBI lineage: Eukaryota > Metazoa > Chordata > Mammalia > Primates > Hominidae > Homo > Homo sapiens. The sequence continues at coordinate 222,097,318 of NC_000002.12, read as the reverse complement.
CCAAACAAATGTAGCAAATTTCTTTGATGCAATGGTGATGTTTCTAGAAATGGATTATTTAATGGGTTATAGGCATCCCTTTTCTTTGTAATATTCTAAAGGCTGAACAAAGTATTTAAAATACAACATGCTAATAACAAATACCACATTCCATAAAGTAAGCAAGGAGACACAGGGCTTCATATTTGAGTACAAAAATATGTTGATGATTTTACTTCAACAAGGAAAGATAAAACAAATTTAGAACTGTTACCAATAATTTAATCTAGTTCATCATTAACACCCATGGAATAGTCAAGAGTTGAAGACACCTGCCACCAGGATACTGAAATCTGAGAAAATGTTACTTGCCCTTGACTGCAATCGGAGGTAATTTAATTGCAATTTCTGATCAAAATTTGTTGAATGACAGTCTAATAAACTCTACTGAGGTAAATATCATTTTATTATAAATATAATTTATGATTTTCCCTGCTGGAAGTAGATGAATGACAAAATTAAATGCCATTTTCTAGACATCTAAACAACAGCTATAATAATAACTTTATAACATCTTTAGTCTGTTTTCTGATCTGTGACTCATAAATCAGAAAGCCATAAACTTGTGTCCACTTATATGACTGGAAAATTAATTTCTCTCCTCTGGAGGAATGGAGGAAAGACATTTTTTTCTCAACTCTTTGACTATTGAGGACAAATAGAACAAGAAGTTGAGGATCAGAATGGAAGCAATGTGCTTAGTTTACGTAGTTCGATAGTTTATGCACAATGTTTAATCTAAGTTTTAGTTTGCAGGTGTTAGACTAAAGAGATGGAACTGAACTTCATCTTAAAGATCTTTTCAGTTAGAGAAAATTTAATGGATACTGATGTACTTAGAGTTTATTTGAATTTACTTGAGTCTTTGATCACAAAGAAATAATTAGCAGAGGGAAACAGAGTTTAATTGTTTGGAAAGGACACCAGAAAATAATTTTCAAGCTGAAAACAAGAAGAAAGGTGATGGTGGAGTGAGATGTGGGGTAGAAGAGCATAATTGGTTTCTATCTTGAGCATATTAACTTGATGATAATAAAAAACACCTAACTCACGTCTATGTGGGCACAGAAACTGGGTCAGGCTCTCAGATATATTTGCTATGGGATAACACAGGATTTCTAACTCTAGAAATGTAAAAGACCTGCACCATTAGATCATGGTTGGCTAAATGCAAATGGATAGTTTGTTAGGGCTGCCACAATAAAATGCCATCGACTGGGTGGCTGAAACAACAGGATTTTTTTTTCTTTTTTTTAAATTTCACAGATCCGGAGGCTGGAAGTCTGAGGTCCAGGTGTTGGCAGGGCTGGTTTCTTCTGAGGCCTCTCTCCTTGGTGTGTAGATGGATGTCTTCTTTCTGTGTCTTCGCATAACTCTCCCACCACCCCATTCTCCTCGTAAGGACACCAGGTATATTGGATCAGATCCCACCCTGAGGAAGGAGCTCGTTTTAGCTTAATTACCTTTTTAGAAACCCTATCAACATATATTGTCACATTCTGAAATACTGGGCATTAGGACTTCGGCAAATGAATATTTTGGGGACATAGTTCAGCCCATAACAGATGGGTTGTGTGAGATTTGGAAGTTTTATTGCGGCTAATAATACTATGAAATGTCTTGGTTGCTTAAATAATGGTACTCTGTGCTGTAGCTATTCTGAGAAAGGTAAGTGGGGAGTTAAGGCAGTGATTTAATTAATTTTTAGAAATCTCTTTTTGGGGAATAGTCATTTTGACTTTTGTCCCCTAGGTATTTTGTCATATACACCCTGTCCTTGGGTGGCTCCAGAGGAGCAAAGCAGCACAGTAAAGCTGTCACAGACCTGCAGAGTGAATGAGACATGTCATTGCCATCATGGCGAGTCAGGTCTTGTTGTGATTGTCAGGATTTGGAAACATCTTACTGCTTCTTGGTTGTGAGTTTCAAAGAAGGGAAAGCAGCCAGTGCTCCCAGCTCACTTCCTGTTCTTTCTTCTGCAGCCAGCTGCTGAGACACCAGCTCTTCGGTAATGCTACTTAGAATGTCCCTTTATTGACTGTAAACTAGTTCAACCATTGTGGAAGTCAGTGTAGTGATTCCTCAGAGATCTGGAACTAGAAATACCATTTGACTCAGCCATCCCATTACTGGGTATATACCCAAAGGATTATAAATCATGCTGCTATAAAGACACATGCACACGTATGTTTACAGCGGCACTATTCACAATTACAAAGACTTGGAACCAACCTAAATGTCCAACAACAATAGACTGGATTAAGAAAATGTGGCACATATACACCATGGAATACTATGCAGCCATAAAAAATTATGAGTTCATGTCCTTTGTAGGGACATGGATGAAACTGGAAAGCTTCATTCTCAGCAAACTATCGCAAGGACAAAAAACCAAACACTGCATGTTCTTACTCACAGGTGGGAATTGAACAATGAGAACACATGGACACAGGAAGGGGAACATCACACACCGGGGACTGTTGTGGGGTGGGGGGAGTGGGGAGGGATAGCATTAGGAGATATACCTAACACTAAATGACGAGTTAATGGGTGCAGCACACCAACATGATACATGTATACATATGTAACAAACCTGCACATTGTGCACATGTACCCTAAAACTTAAAGTATAATAATAATAAAATTAAAAAAAAAGAATGTCCCTTTATTAACTACCTAAGGCAAACCTGCTGTGGGAGAAACCTCCATATTGATCCTGCTTGCCCAATTAATTAACTTCCACTAATTGTTCCATCACATCATTTGTACTAACTACTTGTGTGTATTTTGTCTTAAAGAGAGATTTCCAATCAGATCTACAGTTTGCAGGTGTGACTGGCTTACATTGTCTATTGCTGGGTCCTCTTAGCATGTAATAATATTCCCACGAGGTGTCCCAACGCTTACCAACCCCAGGCCAGGTGCTTCCCATGCTGTTAGGACTCCATGAAGCAAATGCTGCCAGGTGCTTATGTTAGGATTATGTTAGGGGTGATCTGTGGGTATGTGAAGCTGTGTAATATTTTCCTTAAAGCACTTCTCCCTTTGATGAAGGTTAGCAGTTACACAGACAAGGGAAATATTAAGGTCATCTAATCTAAACATGTATGAGTTTGTTTGTGTAACTTGAATAGCCCTTCACAATGTGTAAAATTTAGTGAAAGAACATTCACATTAGTTGTTTTGAGACTCGTAGCATCTGTATGAATGGGATGAGGAACTTTGTTGATGAAGACATTTTGCCTCAGACATTAAGCAAAGCAATATATTTATTGAGTGGAGTCACTATGGCTTCAAGTATGTATCTATTGACATGTTGTCCAAAACAATATTGAGTGAAAGTACCATGGCTTCAAGTTTAGTATTTTTTCGATTACCGCATACTTGCAGAGAACCATGTCCACCCCTAAGCCTGATTCACTGTGTAACAGAGCATTTTTTCTTTGACTAATCACGATAATTAACATAGAATGTTTAAGAAGATTGACTTAACTTTATGTTTTCAATAAAACAGTGAAAAGAATCATTGTAAATCTTCTATCTTTATTTGTAAACTTTAAAAATCATTTCCTTGCCTGTTTCTCAGGGCACCTGTAGAATGATATAATGATACTCTGAAACCTCCAATAAATTAAAATGCTTCCTTTTTCTTATTTGGGAATAATTTTTCATAGTTGATATGCTTAGGATGAATAATCGCACTCAGCAGAAAAAAACTACAATTTTTTTTTTGTAAGGTTCAGAAAGTCCTTGAAGGAAGTGAAATAAGTGAGACAGATTACTCAATGGGAAGTAATTACTCTTCAAAATTTAAAAAATATTTTAAAACTTGTCAAAATCCTACTTTTAAATCCATTCAATCAATAATTTTCTTGTTCTACTCCTTTTTAATTTGCAAACATTTTTTTCCCAGATTTTCTGTAGCTCTTTCTCAGCACCTCTATCTTTTGTATTATTGCTTATTCAACAGTTTGACTGAGGTACAAAATGCTCTATGTAATGTGACTTGGGCATGAAAAGTGGGTCTGAGATAAGAAACCAGGCATTCTGGTACAGGGGCCAGGCACATGTCTAGATGTGCCGGTTTAGATGTTCACCCATACCTGATGTTTTCCTGATTCTAATATTTATTTTTCTTCTGTTTGAGTGATTTCTGAGAAATTTTTAATTACATTTACAGTCTCCTTAACAGCATCCTGAGAGGCATTGGGTATTAAGGTAGTCTTACGTTTTATGTCTCTTTCCTCTTCCTTTACGTCCCTTGTCTGCCTGATATTTAAAGTTTGTTGTACTTCGATTGTTTAGACTGGAAGTGACAGAAATTCATATTCAAAATAATTTAGGCAAAAATAGGAATTTATTAGTTCATGTGACTGGGATGCCTGAAGTGAGATAGATCCATCTTCAGGCAAGGCTTAAACGAGGGGATTCAAATGAAGCTGTCATGGCTGTCACTCTCTCTCCTTCTCTGTCACTGTCATTCTTTCCCATCTCTCAGTTCTGCTTATTTCTGGTTTATGTCTAGTTACTGTTGCAACATAAGGAACCATGCTAAACTTTCCACTACATTCATGGTTTTCTGTGAGTCAGGAACTCAGAGAAGGCACAGTGTGATTAGTTTTACTTTGCTACACAATGTCTGAAGCCTCACCTGGAAAAGCTCGAAATGTACATGGTGACTGGGGGCTGGAATAATCTGAAGGCTCATGTGCGCACAGGAATGACGGTTGCTGCTCGTGGATCACTTGGACTTCAGCAGAAGCTGTCGGACAGAACATTCACCTGTTCCTGCTCTATGTGGCTGCTTGGGCTTCCTCACAGCATGGTGGCTGGGTTTTGTGAGCAAGCATTCCCCAAAAAACCAGGTAAACCTGAGTTGCCATTTATGTTCTAGTCTCAGAATCACACAGTGTCACTACTTCATTTCCTAGATTCAAGGGAAGGGAACATAGGCCCCATATCTTTATAGGTGGCATATCAAAGAAGAGCATGTGGGATGAGAGACATATTTGCAAAATACAATTAGCCACTGTTTCATTCTCAGCCTGGCTCTATGCACATGATGGCAAAGATGGTCAGCAGAAGCTCCAGGCATACATCATCCTTATTGCTGGAGATCTCAGAAAGAGAAAGACTTTCTTTCCCAGTGTTATTGTCAATCCCAAGAAAAGAACTCAAATTGGGCAGCCTGGGTCACATGCTCACCCAGTCACAGAGCAGTGGGACCATGTGATTGACAACAGATGTTGACAAGATTTCATTAAACCAGGGACAGTCAATTCCAAAAAGGAAAACAATTCTTTTGATACCAGGAGGAAAAAATGACACAGAAACAACAAATGCTGATTATAGTTGGTTTATTTAATCACTAGATATTACACACTGTCTCCTCCTTTATCTAAATCAGCTCCTGGATCATCAGGAAGCCTATATTTTTCTCTGTGATTGCACTCATCCAACCATCTCACAATTGTTGATTTGCCTTTATGCCCCCTCCACTAAAGGCTAAGCTGTGTACATTCATGACCATATCTTCCATGACACTATGTCTGTGGTGTCACCTGAATTCTAGATCCATGGTTTTCACAGTGTGGTTTCTGAATCAGCAGCAGTGGCATCACTTGGGGGCTTGTTAAATATGCAAATTCTCAGGCCATCTTTCCCATCCTACTGTATCAGAAACTCTAGGGCTGGGGCCCAGCACTCTGTCTTTTAATAAGCACTGCCAGTGATTGTGAAGTAGGCCAAACACTGAGAACCACTGTTTAAGATGCTTAGAAAGGTTTACTAACCATTGAATGAGCAAAGTGAATATCCCCCAGGACTTTCTGTGAAAAGGTTCTCCGGCCAGTGGTTTGGGCTGCAGGTGTATTGAACATTTGTTTGATCAAAAGTGAACCCTTTGCCAGGGAAGATAGTTGACCCTGGAAGAATTGGAAACAAGAACTGACAAGGAGGCAGTGCCCTCCGGCCAGTTGTAAATGGAGCAAGGTCTCCCAGGAGGGCTTCAGGGAGGCGGCGAGGAGGATCCTATCCATTGTTACCAATAGGAGGGGCAACTGCTTATAGAGTCAGCACTGCCAGGAGCCACCAGGACATGGAAAGCTATGGGAGGAAGTGCTGCTTCTCCTTACATTTGCATTTTCTTTTCATCATGTTGACATGAACTCATTATAGCAAAAAGATAACTTATTCCAAATAGCACAAGATGTTTTCCGTGTGTAGCCCAGCCTCTGTGCCTATGCTTGATACACATGGAGACTAAAGCACATGTGGCCAAATTATCTCCTTGTTACACATGTACAACTACTAATGATTTCAATGGGAATTGCTTATAATAACCAAGGGTAGGATTTGGCCCATGCAGCTTAAATTGAACTAAAGCCCAATTTGTAATACTTCAGTCGAAAACCAGCAGTGATTATAAGACTAGCATGTGATTAAAGCTTCACCTTCAAAATCTGCTGTCCAGAAATAAGAAAAGCTTTAAAAATCATTATGTATTTTTTTAACTTGTAGTAAGCGGTGGATTGTTAAAACTTTCAGTCTAAGAAAAGAATTAAAGTATTGGGGGAAATTGGATATTCAGGGTGGCTGTTTTCCATTACACTGCAGCTAATGAAAAAAGTGAGACTTCAAATAGGATTCTGCTTTCATTGTTTCTATTTCCCCAAAAGGACTTTCATCACATTTTCTGAAATCATGTCTATGCCTTTTTTTTCTGAAGTCAGTCTTACCCTAGGAAACAACATTCTATGAATTTTCAAATTCTTAGTTTTCAGTTATTGCTTTAATATTCTTCATTTCCATTCATACGGTTGTGCAATAAACTACACCAACACTTAGAGGTTTAAAACAGCCACTTATTTTGTTCATGCTTTTGTGGGGCAGAAATTCATAGAGGGCTCACTTGGTAGTCTCTCTCTGCTCCATCTAGTAATGGCTGGGGCTGGAGGGTCTGCAGGATCCACATCCAGGATGATTTCTTCACTCATTCTGCTGCCATTCTCCCTCTCCATGGCCTCTCCACGGGATTTGGGCTTCACACAGCATGGAAGTCTCAGGGAAGTCACCCTTCTCCTCTACCTGTCTTCCAAAAGACAGGAAGTGAACCCTGCCAAGCTAGTTAATGCCTCACTGAGAACTGGGGCAATATTACTTCCATCATGTCTATCAGACAAAGCAGTGACAGGACCCGCACCAACTCCAAGGGAAGGAACAAGATTCTGCCTACTGCTGGGACATGGCGAGGTCCCAGTGCCAAAACATGGGTGGGAGATGATAGATATTGTCATGACCATCTTTAGAAAATACAATCTGCCACATTCTTAATACTTGAGCGAGTTTAACCTATCCTTATTTCCACAGGCATTCTGAACTTTTACGTCCAGTTTATGATATCCTGTCCTGTTATCACAGAAACCAAACAGCATGTCATTTCCTATTGTAAAATGTGCAGAATCCATTCACTCTTTATACAAAGGGAAAAAAGTGTATCCAGATTTAAGTGTTTAAATGACTGAATTATAAAAGTGTAAATCACACTTATCATGTGTTGGGTAGAAATGTAAACAAAAATAAGTAGGCTGCCTTTAGAATTATGGAAGTTATCTACCCAAGTACCCCAGTTTCCAGATAAGAGAATCTGGTGAGATGGCCTAAGCACACACAGCTAACTTGCCCTAGTTTGGGATTCCCACAGAGCAGACTATGAGACAAGGGCTTGGTTATGGTCTGTTTGGGAGGTGATCCTAAGAAGTGGATGTAAGGAAATGGAGAAAGTGATAGGGAAGGGAGGGAACCCAGTGAAAGGCAAGTCAGTGAGTGGGTTACCCTGTGAGCAGCTGAGGCTCAACCAAGAAACTGCCTGATAACACACTTAAGAAATGTGCTTCCAGAGGATGGAGAGAGAGCCCGGGAAATTTATCCACTGGCTGCCGTCCTCCCTCAGTTGATGGTTGCCTCTGGCTGAGCAGATAACTACTGTTCACAGATGAGTAAGTCCTTATGATGCCAGAGAAATCCTCAGGCAAAGAACAGAGGTGCTGCTGCTTAAGATTGGACATTGACTGTGCTAGCAGCTCTCCCTGACAACTGCTGATGGACTCAGGGGCTTCAAGGTGGCATGGGGCAGGGCCTCAACAGCATCAATGGCACAACTGGTGGAATGAATTTTAAAGTGACATAATCACTATCATTTGTCAGGCACTTAATATATTGCCAAGTGCTTTGTACGTATCATTGCAATGAGTCATTGTAATAATCATATGAAATAAATAGTAACATTATTCCTTTTTGATAAATGAGAAAAGTGGGGCTCATAGAGGTTTAGTAAGTTCTTCAAAGCCATTTGGATGGGAAGTGGCAGAGGTGGAAGGTGAACTTTCATCTTTTGGATGCCGTAATCCTTGCTCTTTACCATCATATGACTCTAAAAACATGTGCATGTGGTCACTATGATATCTCATCTGGACTTCTGCAATGGTCTCCCAATCCTTCTCCCTGATGTCACTCTTGCCTCCCACAGAGCAGCCAAAGTGGTTTTGTGAAAACACAACCCAGATCCTATCTCTCCCTTCCACTGGCTTCTCATTGCATTTGGAATAAAATCCAAACACTGTACCAAGGCCTATGAGGCCCAGCTTGGTCTAGTCCCCTCCTCCCCCTTCAATTTCAACTCCCGTGGTTTCCTTGGTCCTTTATGTTCCAGCTGCACTGGTTTGGTCTCTTTTCTGTCCCTCTGACATCTAAGCTTGTTCCTGCCTCAGGGTCTCTGCACTCACTCTTCCCTCAGCTCAGAATGCTTTTCTTCTGGACCTTGGTAACTGGATCCTTCTTATTACTTTGATCTCAGCTTAAATGTTACTTCCTGAGAATAGATTTCTGACCCAGATTATGAACACAATAAATCAGACTGGTATTAAGCCTAAGCTGTGAGCCTTTGGTGGCTCCCTTTAGCTTTATCAGTTTATTGAGGGAGAGAGAGAGACAGAGAGAGAGAGACAGAGAGACAGAGCGAGAGAGACAGAAAGACACACACACACACACACACATGCACACACAGATTGAGAGAGGAAGGGAGAGATAGGAATCTGGGTTATGTTTGTACAAGACCATTCTGGCTGCTCTGTGAGAGGCAAGATTAACATCAGGGAGAAGGGTTGGGAGACAATTGCAGGGATCCAGATGAGATATCATAATGACCACACAAACGTATTTTTAGAAGACACACATACACACACACATGCACACATACACGCACACACACACAGTTTGTTTACAGAAAGTGACATTATTGTTTTTGCACATTTGTCCCTGAGCAGCATTTCTGTCCTGATGTCATCAGCACTAATAAATACTTGTTTTAATCAGGTAAGTCACACCAGGGGGTGTGTGTGTGTGTGTGTGTGTGTGTGTATTGTATGCACACATTCAAGTCTGTAGGAGAAATGGTCTCATTTGAGAATAATACACAAGCCCTTCGTTGACATTCTCCATCATATTTCTGGCTCCATCCTCACATATGGACATCTATGAACTGTTCTTTTGAAACAGCTTTATTGAAGTACATTTTACATGCTATGCACACATTGTAAGCACACAGTTCAATGACTTAAGTTATACAGTGTGCATCGTCACAATCCAGTATTAGAGCATTTCTATGACCCCATAAAGTACCCATGTTCCCATTTGTATTTGACTCCCCTGCAACTCCAGTCTAAGTTAACCACGGATCTGCCTTGTGTCTCTATAACTGTGCCTTTTCTAGAAATGTCATATAAATGAAACTTTACTACATTTAGTTTTTTTGTGCCTCTTTTTTTTACTTAGCATAACGTTTTAAGGTTAATCTATATTGCATGAATCAATAGTTTGTTCCTTTTTATTGTATGGATATACCACACTTTTAATCCTTTCACTAATTGATAGGCATGTGATTGATCTCAGGTTTTAGCTATTATAAAATAATGCTGCTAAGAAAATTTGCATGAAAGTATTTCTATGGATATACGTTTTCATTTTTCTTAAGTAAATACCTAGTAATAAAATTGCTGGGTCATATGGTAAGTGTATGTTTAACTTTTTAAGAACTTGCCTGTGTTTCAAAATAGCTGTATCATTTGTACCAGCAATGTATGAGTGTTTGAGTTTTTCCATATCTTCACCAACACTCAGTATTGTTAGTCTTTTTGATTATAGACATTTCAATGGGTATATCTTAGTATCTCATTGTGGTTTTCATTTACATTTCCCTAATAACTAATGATGTTGAGCATCATTTCACTTGCTTATTAGCCATTTGTATATCTTCTTTGGTAAAATGTCGATTCAAACTCAGCTTTTACAGAGTTATTTTTTTTCTTCTTGTTAAATTTTAAGGGACAGTTTTATATATGTATATATATGCATATATATATATTTTTATTTTATTTTATTTTGAGATGGAGTCTCGCTCTGCCACCCCGGCTGGAGTGCAGTGGCAAGATCTTGGCTCACTGCCAGCTCCACCTCCAGGGTTCACGCCATTCTCTTCCCTCAACCTCGTGAGTAGCTGGGACTACAGGCGCCCGCCACCACGCCTGGCTAATTTTTTATATTTTTAGTAGAGACGGGGTTTCACCATGTTAGCCAGGATGGTCTCGATCTCCTGACCTCGTGATCCACCCGCCTTGGCCTCCCTAAGTGCTGGGATTACAGGCGTGAGCCACTGTGCCCAGCCAAGGGACAGTAATATTTTTAAACCTCCTTTGTTTGTTACTTTTCTTTCCAGTAGCATCAAGATTGTTGTTTGGGTGACGGTGTCACGGTCAGGTTATGTCAATGTATTAAGTGGTATCAGAGGTCATTTCAAGTGTTTCCTAAACTGGTGTTTCATGGAGGAATATTTTAGGAGACATTAAATGTCTTCCTTGGTTAAGGAAATTTGGAAAACTCTGCTTACTATATCCCTCATTTTAGAAGGCATAATATTTGTCAACATGTTAAAGGCTCTGAGACGTTCTGCAACAACAACTTGTTAGCTCCTTAACCCAACATCTTTTAAATATACTTTAGCATAGATAACATTAATAATTAATTATGACTAGTGATATTAACATATTTGTAAAGGAGAATTCTTCCAAGCTGCTTCCTGTGGACCTAGTTAGTATTTGAACAATGAAAAAGGAGGGCCAGGGAGTTTAAATTATTTGTTCAAGTTAGTGAAAAGTTAGTGGAAAGAATACAGTTTTCTCAATACCCATCTTGGTCCTCTTTATCAGTGCTCCATTGGGTTACTATCAGCATCTGTCTAAAAACAAAGGAGGTGAGACTTAGATACACGTAATCAATTCCAGTCATCTGGTTGGCATAGAAGGCGTTCCAAAAGACCTCCTCTCTTTCACACTCAGCTAGTGGGATACAGGCATGGCCTGCCAATGTGCTTTTTCCCCATTATGTTTTTAAAGACTCATCTCAAGTTTAATTTAAAAATTTAATATATATCTGTGAGGTGGGGCTAGGGAGACCCTAGTCGGAAGCTCCTTCAGTGGAACTGATTGTGAAAGAGTCAAAAATCTGGATTCTCTGGATTCCTCTTTTTGTTGCAAAATTATTTGATTTAGTCTTTCAATAAATATTTATATGTACATATAATATATATATATATATTTACATATTATATATTATCTTTCCAGGTAGGTAGCAGGAATGCCCTAGTGAAAAAAATGCATAGTCTCTGAGCTCATGGAGCATATAATTTATTGGAATGAATGTAAAGATAGAGACAAGCAACACATACATGGATAGATGGTGTATTATTCTGTTCTTGCTCTGCTAATAAAGACATACCTGAGACTGGGTAATTTATAAAGGAAAGAGGTTTAATTGACTCACAGTTCCACATGGCTGGGGAGGCCTCACAATCATGGCAGAAGGTGAAGGAGGGGCAAAAGTACGTCTGAAATGGCAGCAGGCAAGAGAGCATGTGCTGGGGAACTCCCCTTTATAAAACTATCAGATCTTGTGAGACTTATTCACTATCATGAGAACTGTATGGGGAAAAACCCACCCCAATGATTTAATTACCTCCCAACAGGTACCTCCCATGACACGTGGGGATTATAGGAACTATAATTCAAGATGAGATTTGGGTGGGGACACAGCCAAACCATATCAGATGGTTATAATGTCAGGTAGTGTTATGTGCTATGAAGAAAAATAAAACAAGGTAAGGGGAAAAAAAATAAAAGAACAATAGAGGGAGTTATTTCAGTAGAGCTTTGGTTGAAAAGAGGAGTCATGGCCGGGCGCGGTGGCTCACGCCTGTAATCCCAGCACTTTGGGAGGCCGAGGCGGGTGGATCATGAGGTCAGGAGACCGAGACCATCCTGGCTAACAAGGTGAAACCCTGTCTCTACTAAAAATACAAAAAATTAGCCGGGCGCAGTGGCGGGCGCCTGTAGTCCCAGCTACTCGGGAGGCTGAGGCAGGAGAATGGCGTGAACCCGGGAAGCGAAGCTTGCAGTGAGCCGAGATTGCGCCACTGCAGTCCGCAGTCCGGCCTGGGCGACAGAGCGAGACTCCGTCTCAAAAAAAAAAAAAAAAAAAAAAGAGGAGTCATGTGACTGTCTTTGGGAGGAAGGTTTAAATTACCTGAGTAGAAGTGCAAAGGCCCAAGCCAGGAGTGGGTTTTGTGTGCCTGGGGGGCGCTGAGTTGAATGAGCAAGGGGAAGAGTGGAGGGAATGGATGGGGCTGGGAGCTCACCAGAGCCACGGGGATGTAACGGTTCCTCCAGACTTCACAATCCAGCTGGGAGTCATAGTTTCAAAACATGAAAATGAACTCTAAGATTAATTTTTAAATATCTGTTTTTCCATATGGAGTTTTTATGGAAATGATTAATGTTGCTCCAAAACCAAAGATGGAATAGGAATGAAATTTTTAGATAATTTTGGGAATCACAAACAATTTTCTCATTTTTGAAGATACAGGGCACACACACACAAACACACACACACGTGCATGAACACACATTTCTAGGAAGTTTAGCAATAAAAAAACACTCTAACTTTCTGTAACACAGCATGTATCAAAATAATTAATCATGGAAATCTTTTGTTTCTTAAAGAACAGCCTGAGAAATAATAGTGTGGGGTAATATATTTTATAAATTGATGACTCCCTCTTCAGAGTCGTTGTTTTATAAAGAACATCAAGGACTTCTCCAAGTTCTTTGGCTGTTTTGCAATTATTAGATTGGTGCAAATGTAGTTGCGGTTTTTGCCAAAGTAATGGCACCAACATAATAGAAACCTCAGGGATGTTTCTTCAGCCTCCTGTAGACATATTTCTGTTTTGTTCACAGGAAATGTTGAATGCTGTGCATTTGATATGCACTTAGTACATGGAACTGAGAGGATGTATTAAGAGTTTGAAAAGTGAAACCCCTTCTCTACTAAAAATTCAAAAATTAGCCGGGTGTGGTGGCGCATGCCTGTAATCCTAGCTACTCAGGAGGCTGAGGCAAGGAGAATTGCTTGAACCCAGGAGGCAGAGGTTGCACTGAGCTGAGATCGTGCCACTGCACTCCAGCCTGTGTGAGAGAGTGACTCTGTCTCAGAAAAAAACAAAACGAAACAAAAAAAAGTAGACAACTGACATTTTTTACTTTGAAGTATTCTCCCAAGTTTTTAACATGCCAGCCAGAAGGATCAAAATTAATAAAGATGGGAAATGTAGAGTTTTATTCGATACTGGCTCAATTGTTTGGACAGCTCTTCTAAAGTCTAGTTTTCTGATTTATGGCCCATGTGAAATATAATAGTCTTAAGGAGTCTGTTATAATGACATTGTTAAATGCTAAATAAATTCCATTGCAGCTATCAGATGAGAAATGTACCATCAATAAATGATATCTTTCAAGACACAAAAAATAAAATTCACATGAAATTTTATGTGCTTCAGAATAGCATAATCTCTGATTCATGCAGGGAAATCATAAACATGAATGTATGCATATTTATGGGATGTGAAACTGTGAGACTTGGCACGCTGCGTCTAAAATGCTGCTTCTGAAAATGGCAATAAAGTCCACCTGTTATGACTTTCTTTAGACCCTTTGTAAATGTAAAGCAGGCCAAAGAAGTCTTGATGTAGCCTTTCATGTATGGCTTCCAGAAATTGGTCTCATTGCCTTGTATCCCACATCAGAGAAAACTCAATAGCTCAAAACAAATTTTTCAGGAAAAGAAGTGACTAAAAAGTCAGTTAACTAAATCAATGTCATTATTCGCACCTTTTTCTTCATGGGGCATGTGGCAGTGGTCAGTGTGTGGCTTTCTGCTTTGGATATTCTGGATATCCTTTGCAAACGATGCTTGTAAACAATTGGGCTTTCACACCAAAGGCCTCAAGGAGGGTGTGCCTTCATAAAGATGAGCATGTGGGTGCTCTTCTGAAGTAGTGCAGCAGAAAGAGCATTGCTGTGGCGGGGAGGAGACTTGGGTACCAGCTAGACTCTGTATTAAGGAGTTGCAGGAAATTAGGAAAGCCAGATTAAGACCTCAGTTTTCTTCTCTGACTGGAACTTCTGAGCTCTGAAAGTTTTGTGATCTCACATTCTTTACGCCACAATTATTTTTCAAGTGATTGTTCCTTTAAATGGTTTAAAGGCCAAGGAAATAGAAAATAATTAAGAAAGTCGATTTTGGCAAATGTTTTATGTTTCATTATTCAATAGCACATCTTTTGAATCAGAAACCAAAAACACCAGATTATTGTTTCACTATTTCCCCTCCTGGCACTTTTAAGCCTCATGGCAATTTAAGAGAATAGGAAATGTTGATCTCCTTGTAGTTTTTGGATAGCCCATTCTTCTAGCTCTCAGTGGGATGGAGGGCTGGTTTACTTATCCCGTTTCCTTCCAACTGGGGCCACATGGCCTTATGACTAAGTTCCTGTTGGAGGAAAATAGGATTTTAATCTCTGAGCATTAATTGTCATCAAGGTTGGTCTGTTCTTCTACTCAAACCGAAGTTTCCTTTTCTTAGTCTCAGCCTTTCCAAAAAGCCAGCTTAGTCTAATTAGCCATGTAGAGGGAAGGACTTCTTTGCCTGAAATGTAAGGGCTCCCTGCTTTAATCTGTTACTCCCTCCACATCCTCCTGATTGTTGCCATGTCTACCACTTTCTCAACACCTAAATTTGTGTTTATTTACATCCTCAGAGAGTGAGAAGGAGAACCAGCATCAATATCTCTGGCCAGCTCTGCTCTCCAGAGTCAATTTCATGACCCTCTTGTCTGAGACAATGGGTTAGATATCCAGGTGTGAGGTTAGATGACAGTTTATGTCATTTTCTAGAGGGGATCAAGGAATTCTCTGAGTTCTTTGGTTGTTTTGAGATTTTGTTTTACTGCTCCTCGAGGGGTTTTTTTCTGTCTTCAAAATTATATTTTATTGGAAATTTCTCACTTGGTGACATTTTTGTTATATTCAGGTTTTGGAAAAAGGAAACCTTTTTTTAATGACCTGGAGCTTGCAGGTGTTAGAATGGAAGCCTCTTTTCTCACTGCCTCATGGATCTGTGATGTAGAGGGCATCAGTTCAAGGAGGACTCCCCTTGCTCAGTGATCTGCTTTCACTCCTCTCCAGAAAATGAAGGACTATCTGACGGGTTCGTTTGGGAGGAAGAACATGCACGGCATGGCTCGCTCGCTCTCTCCGTTTTCCTACTGATCTGCAGAGACAGTGCATTTGAACTACTGCTGCCCAGGAGGTCTGCACTTGCCTAG
Source organism: Homo sapiens (assembly GCF_000001405.40). Taxonomy (NCBI): domain Eukaryota; kingdom Metazoa; phylum Chordata; class Mammalia; order Primates; family Hominidae; genus Homo; species Homo sapiens. The sequence continues at coordinate 222,081,507 of NC_000002.12, read as the reverse complement.
TTTTGGCAACAAGACACATGGACAAGCCTGTTAAATTCAAAGGTGAAATATGAACACATTCATTGATAACTTCAAAGCCACAGCTTCTCATCTACTTTTGCTTCTTCCTCCTCCTCCTCCTCCTCCTTTTCCTCTGTAAGCAGTAAAGCTGTTTTGATCTCCCAGTATCTGATTCCTGCCTTTCTTTCCCCCACTCCCACTTTTTTTTTTTGGAACTCTTGAGAGAAGCATTGATTGCCTCACTCCTTGATAATGGATAGTGTCTTTTAGTTTGGAGATCTATAACATCTTATGCACCTAAATTTTTCACTCTCAGGAATGTTTTATGAGACTTAAAGAAACTTCCAGATACTTTTTACAAGTAGAAACTAGATTAGCCTTTCAGAATTAATTTAGACAAAAAACAATGACACTAGGAAAGTTTACCAGCAACATAGCAATCATCAGGATGGAATGATTTAATCACCTCCACTGAAAATGGAAATGGGAATAATGACCCAACTTCAATTTTCAGAAATATTTAAGTGCATAAACGTATGTCCTTTGGGCTGCCGTTTTTCAGTAATCAGTTTCTGCTTCTTACCCATCTGTGCAATACTAGGGCTTAGTAAAAAACTTTCAATTACGTATCATACCACACTCATGCTGTCCAGGAAACGCAGCATACAAAAAACAAAATTTTAGCTTTCAAAACAAACACAGAAAGAGATATTATACCAGGTGTGTGAGGAGCTGTGGATGTAAAAACTGAATGGAAAGAGAACTGAGACCGTCCCAGTGGGGAACGTGTGCTTGGATGGCCATCTGGTTGTTCTATTGTCAAACTCTTACACCATCGCTTATCATATGCATTGACTTTTGGTTGTGAGCATTTGGCTTTTAGGGGTAAAAAACTTCCCCATGCATCACTTAACTTTAGTAATATTGTGATGTTTTTCTTGACCCCTATGGAAAAATGACAGCTAATGAGGGTCTCTAGGAGAGACCTTGTCTATAACATTTTAAGTTGATCTAAAAAAGTCTAACCTTTTATTATTAAGTTGGAACCATTTTGGAAATAGGAGTATAGTATTTGCAAAAATCTCATTTGTTTTTCCAGTGTTTTAACATTTCTAACAGTCATGATGATATGGGAAATTGGGAAACATTTCCAAAAGCTTTGCATTTTCTCATAAATCAGTTTGGAAGAATGAGTTTCCTTTTTCTTGTGTTTCTAGCGAAGCTTTTCAGTCCCTGGAAAGTAAAGGCGAGACAAAATCACTAGAGAAATAGCTTTGCTGGTTGTATAGGTGAAGAAGGCTTTATCCAGGCCATTTCTGATAACAGGTTCTCCAGGTGAATGTCTGTTTAGTTGGAGACTGAATTTGTGTCCTGCTATCTGGCACCTCCCAGACCGCTGGCTAGGACTCTTTCCTGTGCACCTGCAAGAGTGCTCAAGAAAGCCATTCACAGTTGTTCTTGGACTTCTTAGAGAATTCACAAGCTTGATTTAAAAAATACGGCTGCTGGAGCACTGCCTGATTGTGAAATGTTTTTAAGGTGTTATGATATGCTTAGCAAGACCCACATTTTAGACATGAATAAAAATTTTGAAATTGAGCTATACATAGGTAGAAAGCAAATATTTGAAAAACAGCAAGAAAAATTCAAGAGAATTGGATGTGTGAGAAATTGTGTCTTGGACTGTCTAATGACCTATAAACAATTATTAGACTTAGGAAAAAAGTAGAGTAAATGGTTTTGTACTGATGTTTCTCTAGCAAGTTTCTTTACAGTAAACTCAACTTGAATAAAGTCAGGTATGTTTGATCGAAAAAAAATCCTGTACATGTGGGAAGTCTGTGTTCTTCAAGGAAGCATGCATCTTTGGGAGAGATAGATTTGGAATAGAGGAGGGAGAAGGAAGAAGGTGTCGTCCACTTCTGAGATTTGTAAATTAACTGTGGTGGCCATCAGTGCAGAGGGTATTGTTTGTTGGCTCCCTCCCTGACACCCATCTCTCCTCTTCCCCATTCCATAATTGCATTTGGTTTGAGTAGCATTCATCCCTAGCAATAGCTTCCTATGTGGACCCCAAAGGAATTGACCCCAGAGTAGTTCTGCCCCACTGGCTGCTATGGTGAGTGGTTCATAGGTGGGCAGGTGACCAATAGAGGGAAGCACAGGTCTTTTGTAGAATCATTGCCAAATTAGAAGTGCTGTCTCTTCTAAATAATGTGATATATGAATGTGAGGCCGGAATTGCTATAGTCATAGTAATTGCTGCAGTCATTTTGCTACCGTGAAAGAGGAAGCCAGTTTTAATCTAATCCAACCAGGACTAAGCTAATCAAAGCATATAATTTTCTGGCCACAGTGATTATTTCAGAAATGGGCACACAATTAGAATGAGTACATTAAGGGAGAAGCTGGTGACTTTTGTTCAATGGTGGGAAGACATAAGTTCTCACTTCTGGGTGATGTGATTTAACCTGAGGCTGGATGTATAGTGGCCATTTTGCTACAATGAAGAAAGATAACCTGAAGACAGAGCCAGCAAATAAAGGAGGCAGAGTCTTGACAACTGCAGAAAAATGGGGCTGAGGCCTTGATCAAACTGCTCCTGAAGTTTTCCACTTTCCTCAACTTTGAGTTTTGTGAGCCAATAGTTTCCGTTACAAATAAATGAATCAGTTGTGTTGGAAGTATGAGTTGATTAAGATGAACTTGAATCAACATTATTCCCTAAAGAGGAGCTGATGTGCTACATTGTTGTATGGCATCATGCATACAAAAATGTGCATTAATTTTTTAGAAGTGTCCTAAGAGGAACTTTAACATATAAAGGATAGAGAACAATACAGCATGCAAATTTAAATCTACACCTTCACTATTATGTAGGTCAAATGCCACAGCCACTTAGTTTCAACTGATTTACTGGAGAAAACACAAAAGCGTATAATAAGAATCAGATGTACTATAAGTTGCATATAACTAATTAGATTCAACAAAACCTTGGAGATGTTTCTGGTTTTTTTTTGAGCAATCCACCAATTTAGTCAAAATAGAAACTGTCTTATTTTAATTCAGAGCAACAAATGAAAAATATACAGTACAACAGAAGAAAACAGTGCAATTCTATTCAATTGAAAGACACATACATACCAAGAAAACTACAAACATATACACACAAACACACAGAAAAAATTATGCAATGATACACACATGCACACAAATAATTTACCGCCCAAAAAACTATACTCTCTCACGCCAAAATCCATGGGTATCAATACACAAAGAAAGGGTATCTGCCCTGTCTCAACAATTACAGCTTGCTGTAAAGTGGCAACTCAAATAATTGAAATACTCAGTGGTTGTTAAATGTATGATAAAGAATTTAATATTTGCATGTTTTTCCTTCTTTAAAATTGCAGAGGACACAGCTATTACATAAAATTGTTCAAGAATCAGATTGAACTGTAATGTAAAACTAATGGAATTAGAAAATGCTTTGAGCTTCATTTCTTTTTTCCATCTAAAACCACAAGGCAGGTAGAACTAGGGAGGAGGAGGAGGAAGAAGAAGACAGGGGGCTGGGTAGTAAGGAATGAATATGAAGAAAGAATAAAAAAAAACTAGAATTACGTTACTTAGCAGGTGAATATGGATAAAATAGAGGGTCAGAGAGAAATACATAGGTTATATTTCTGGGGTCTTTAAGTCTCATCACCCACACCATTATAATCATCATCTAATTCATCAGTTTAGCTATGGGCATGCTTATGTCAAAAAAAATTGAGCTTATCAAATCAGATATCCTAATAAAAAATTGAAATAAAAAATTTTTTTGAAATCACAAGAGCAAAACCAAAAATTTTCTGAAGATGCTAATTGCAATGCCTCTTTTGCCCACAGCCCTGTCTAAAGGAAAAATGTCCTGTCTGCAGTGCCTGTGGTATTGGCTCTTATGTCGTACACCTTGTTTATCTAGGCCCCGTGTTCACAGACTATAAACCAGATATGGGCATCTGACTCCAAGACAGCAAAGCCATAGGCTGTCCAGCAAATTTGAGCATGACCTGGCTCTAGGAGACAAATTGGACCAATCAGATTTTCCATCTCTAGGACTGAAATTAAGAAAGAGGAACCTGACAGTTGGCAATAAAGCAGAAACGGAAAATTGCCTGGAGGTGAATTTGAAGCATCGTAATCCAAAGCCATGTGCAGCCACAAGCATGGAGAAGCAGCTATTTGGAGGAGGGACAGAGGGAAGCTGACTAGGGCATGTATAGAGTCCTGTAGTCATAAAGCTTAGTCATACTGATGGCAGAACGCAGAGTGAAGAACCACAAACTCCTGCTGTGATCTCCCACTTCTTTCTGAGGGGGGATCTATTACAACACCTGTTTTGTGGGATAACTGATCCCACAAGACATGCCAGTGGTGTCAAGTATATCTTTGCAATCGACTCCCCTATTACTGGAGCTTACTTGAGTACATCGCTATTCCTGCAAACCAAAGGAGTTGACTGAAATACTTGTCAACTCATTGTGGGTGCTTCTGCCTCCAAGCATTAGGTTGCATATAGGAATTAGCTGGAGAGCTTTTTAGAAGTATAATTTCCTGGAACAAAACTCTGGCAATTCTGATTCAATGGGTATGGAGCAAGCCTGGGAGTCTGATGTAGCTGTTAGGGGATGTATTTGGGAACCACCGCCTCGGTTCCTCTTGTCCCTTTACTAGGAACCTGCTAATCCTGTGGTCCTTAAACTTTTGGGTTTCAGGACCCTTTTTTACTCTTATCAATTATTAAGGACCCAAAGAGCTTTTCTTTATGTGCCTTAAATCTGTTAGTATTTGTCATATTAGAAATTAAAGTGGATAAATTAAATATATTTTAATACATTGATTAAAAATAATAAACGAATTACACGTTTTATTTGTTTTCTGGGGTTGCTGTAACAAAGTATCACACACTGTCTGGCTTAAACAAGACATTTATTGTCTCCCAGTTCTGAAGGCGACAGGTTTGAATTCAAAGTGCCGGCAAGAGGGCCTGAGGGAGGACCTTCCTGAGGCCCATGAGGGAGAATCTGTTCCAGTTCTCTCTCTCAGCTTCTGGCAGTCTTAGGTGTTTCTTGGCTTGTAGATGGCATTCCCCCATGTCTGTGTCTGTGTCCAAATTTCTCCTTTTTACAAAGACAGGAATCATATTGAATCAGGACCCATGCTAATGACTTCATCTTCACTTAATCATTTGTAAAGAACCTACTTTCAAATAAGATCATCTTCATAGGTACTGGTGCTTAGTACTTCAACATCTTTTGGGAGCACATGATTCAACACATAACACATGTTAACACACGTAACATTTTTTTTTGTGAAAATAACTAAATTTTCTAAAATAAAAAAAAATAGTGGGAAGATGACCATTGTTTTACATTTTTATAAATCTCTTTAACTTCTGTCTTAATAGAGGATGGTGAATCCAGCTTCCTAGTTCACTGGGATATATTGTTTTTGTTGAAGCATATGGAGAAAATTCAATCTTTCATTTAAATACAGTTGGAAAAGGGATGGTTTTCTTAACAGCCTTTTCAGATAATTGTAAATTCTTTGATACCACACCAAAACTCCGTAAGTGGTAGTTTCTTAAAAGTTATTGTTCTGTGAAATTTGAAATCATTTCAATAAGCCTTTTATCCTTTGTTGTATCAAAATCCATTGATATCTCTTGCAATCTGAAGGATTCCTTTACCCATGCATAAGTTTGTAACATCATGCAATGGTCATTTCAAAAATATTGGTTCCCTGAGTTATGCAGATGTTCCAACTATACAATGAAGACAATGAGGGAAGAAAAGCACACAATTCTTGGTATTTATTTGAAAATAATTTTAACTCATATTTCCACTGAAAGGGTCACAGGGACCCCCATGGGACCCCAGACCACAGTTTGAGAGTTTCTATTCTAATTTATCTTTGCTTAAGGAAATCTTAGCAGCATTTCAAGTACCACCTGATATGGTTTGGCTTGTCCCCACCCAAATCTCATCTTGAATTGTAGCTCTCATAATTCCCACGTGTTGTGGGAGGGACCCAGTGGGAGATAATTGAATCATGAGTGGGGGGGTGGGTCTTTCCCGTGCTATTCTCATGATAGTGAATAAGTATCATGAGATCTGATCATTTTATAAGAGGGAGTTTCCCTGCACAAGGCTCTTATTTACATTTTTATCAACTTAGGTAAGAACATAGTGCCTTGAGACAAATCCTTTCCGGTTTGAACCAAATCAAATTCATTATGTTGTTTTTATGTAGAATAGCTTTGGAAAATCAAGGAACCCAGCAAATAACTGTTGCTATTTCTGATGCTTATTATAATGCAGGCTGTCTCATCAATTAAAAAAAATCCTGACTTCTCTACCCAAAGAAGGAAAATAGTTTATAAAAATAAGTGAATCACATGTACTTTCTTGCAATTCCATAAACATACTTTTAAGCTTTTACAAGTTTGTTTTCCTCCATCTAGATTGCTCTCTGCCTTGCAAACCAAACTTTTACTCATCCTTTATGATGCAAATTAAAGGACTCCTCTCCTGATGTCAGGAGACTTGTTTTATCTCCTAGAGCAATTTACTTGTTCTCTATTGTGCCCTAGAGTGTTCTGCTTTGTTGCATTTTTCCGTTAAAGAAATCTCTCCAAGATTTCCCAGTGATTCAGAGGAGAGATCGCTATCTCACTTCTATTGTGTAGCTGGGAAGGGCAGGAGTGGTGTGCTAAGTTATTTATATTTACATGAGTAGAAAAGAGCATAGCACCTTGGATAAGGTGATCTCAGGCATCCTAACACATGATGGATCATGCTTTTTGTCAGACCTTCATTGGTTCCCAGAGGCAGAAATTCAACTCCAAATCAAGTGAAATGGGGGAATTTGTGAGTGAATATTGACTGAGTGGAAGAGTTGCAGAATTGGAGGAACAGCTGAACCACAAGCCTCAGGCATATAGGGACCAGGGACGCTCCAGGGAATCTGATACTGGAACTTGGACCTGAATGCTTTCAGAACCCCATGTCCCATCTTCACTTCTCTCAGTAAACCAGCTTTCTCTATGAAGCTAGGACTGCGGCTGCTGCCAGCAGCTCCTGGAATCATATCTTATCAGCTTTGCCATCCACATGGAAGAGATTTTTCTCTCAGCAATCTAAGGACCATCAGATGGCCTTATTGTAGATTACCTGCCCATTCTTGGACAAATGACCATGACTAGGAAGGTGAAGAACTGGATGTGGCCCTGCTTGGGTCACAGACCCATCTTAGAGACAGTCACTGTGGCCAGGGAGGGGATTCATGAAAGAAGAGGGCAGCAGCCCTTTGAACCTAATTATTGGAACTGAAAAATAAGGGAGTGGGGAGAAAGAGTTCCCAAAATAAGATAGGTGCTGTTTGCAGAAAAGAGGAAGGGTCCTAGACAGACTAATCATTAAAAGTCCATGACAGTATCTGCCTGATCTGTCTTTACAAAATCCGCTTGTGAAGACATTTCAAAATAGGACATTAGCCAGCCATGGCCAATTTAATCATGTTGTATGCTTTGGAGTAGTGACATCAATTAATGTCTGTGGCTGAATGAACTTAGTTATTTAATAATTGCAATTTAATATTTCAGGTTACATGCTTTCCTAGTATTGCAAATCAGCACTTTATAGGGAACTGTTTTGTTATTATTTTCCTGTGGTGAATGATATGATGAAATTACACGGTGCCACTGGATTTTACACAGAATTGGCATCCACATTAGTTTCTACCAGTTTCTCCAGGATTGGTTGGGGTCAGTCATACAATGTAGTCTTCTTAGGGTAGCTGTTGACCTGAGAAGGCCTTCATGAGGACTGGGTAGATGACCCAGGCCACTTGGCCCTTTAAATCTACCCTTGAATACGAATCACAGAGCTTGGTACAATGTGTACAGGTTGAATGATTGCCCCAGGCCAAACCTAATGTCTAGTCGCTTCACCCTAAATAATCCAATGCCATAGAAACGGAATGTCATACTCCATTTTCACCTTACTCTCGCTTTATTATTATTTATCTATTATCTCCTAATTTCCGTGATTTCTTGTTATTCATGGACAACCTAATTCAATGCTTTGCACATAGAAGGCTCTCAAATATTTCTGTCCTCATCATTCTATTGAAGCAGCTCTGGCTCAGATCACTAATGTTGGTGTTAGGACAAATGTCAGAGAAGTCTTTTCTTAGACTTCAATGTGCATTAGATTTCCTCAATTCAGCTAGCTCATCTTGCCCTTTTTTGCTTTCACAGCACTATGATTTACAATTATATATTTGTGTGTGTATTTGACTAATGCCTTCCTAACTATAACCTCATGAAGGGAGTTACCATATCATTGTTCATTCTTGGGATATCCTCCATCTGACACAGGGCTTGGCATGTTAAGCTGCTCAAAACAAAAGATTTCAGTGACCGAATGAGTCAAATTGAGAGTTTATTTTTAAGTCACATTCCTTCAGGAAATGAAATCTGCCTCGTGCAACAGGTGATTGTAGGTAATAGAGGTGGGGAAAGTAACAAAGAAAATAGAAGGTGGCCAAAATACAAAGCCAGTATAGGTGTTTTCTTTTTTCTTTTTTCTTTTTCTTTTTCTTTTTTTTTTGAGACGGAGTCTGTCACTGTCTCCTGGGCTGGAGTGCAGCAATGGCACGATCTCGGCTCACTGCAACCTCCGCCTTCTGGGTTCACGTGATTCTCTTGCCTCAGCCTCCCAAGTAGCTGAGATTAAAAGTGCACACCACCATACTCGGCTAATTTTTTGTATTTTTAGTGGAGATGGGGTTTCACTATGTTGGTCAGACTGGTCTTGAACTCCTGACCTTATGGTCCACCAGCCTCAACCTCCCGAAGTGCTGGAATTAGAGGTTTGAGCCACTGTGCCCGGCCAGCATAGGTGTTTTTTAAAAAATATTCTCTTCAAAAATGGGCTATGCCCTGTGATTCTCTCGAACACTAGCTGTAAATATGAAGTAGACATGTTTTATATTTGAATACATGAAAGAGAAGGCATCTGGCTTCCCACTGTGGACACTCAGAGGGCAGATGGTGGTGACTAAATGCTGTCCTCTTGAGTTCTAGTTACTTCCTCCCATTTCAGACCAGAGAGACTGACCAAATGACTGAGGCCTGTAGTGTGGTCTTCCCCAAGACTGATGCCCAAGGCCTTTCCTTCACACACTGACCACCTCTGAGGAGAAGAGGGAAAAGTGCATTGAGTCAGCAGTCATTGGCACTGAAAACATTTTTCTTTCTCTGAACTCCAGCATGTGTTTTTTAGCTAAATTGAAATGCTTTTTTTACAGAGGAAACAGGAAAAACTTATTTGTTTCCCAACACTTCATCATCAGCATCAAAGTACTTACCAAGTTCTCATCTGTGTGTCGCACTTTGCTACTTGTGTTCTAGCTCTCTCTCTCTGCCACTAATTAGCTGTGTAACTTGGGCATGTCATTTTGTTTCATGTCGCTTTTGACTTTAACTTCTTTATTTGTACAAAATATAAAAAGATTGGAATAGACTATGGTCTTTTCAGGTCTAACAATCAAGGAAGAGAAACAGGTATCATATCTCCTATGTGTGGGCATATTTAATACAACAAAGCATTGCTCAAGGAAACAAGGAAATTCATTCATTCTTTTTACAGTGCTGTATAGTCTTATAATGTAGTGGATAAGATCATGTGCACTGGAGCTTGAATTTTATTTATGGTTTTCCCACTTTCTTGATTTTGGGTAAGTTAGCCACTCTGTGACTCGTTACCTTAAATATAAAAGGGGAACAATGACACTTGTACCTAACTTAAAGGATTGTTGGGAGGATTAAGTGATGTTTTGAATATGTAATAGATACTCAGTAAATTTAGCTATCAGTATTTATTGAGAACCCACTTGGTGCCAGGAACACTATTAGGTATTGAAAGTGTAAGAATAGAGAAAGGGGCATCTAGATGTTACTGACTCCAATGAAGCTTCTAAGTCAGTGGTTCTTAAACCTGGCTGCCTATTAGAATCACCCAAGGGGCTTGTAAAATTTCCTCTTTGTGTCACCCTTTGGGAACTGGGGCTGAGGAACCAGTATAAATGCTGATAATCTGGCTACTGTTATTGCTGTGAGTAATAACTATCCTTTTTCTCTGACCCAGGAGTCTTGTGTCTTCTGCCAGCATCCATGAAATGGAGGCAGGCTGACTTTTAGCTTGCAAGTAGGATAAAAACTCAAACCCTTCATAGTTCTGGACGTAATCTAGCTGTAATCATGAGTTTATAGAAAATTCAAGGTAAAGAGAGCAGGTTAAACAACATTACAAGGATATAATCAGCCAAACACAGAATGTGGGAAATTCTACAGGAAACATAATGCTGTTTCTTCAACAAATAAATAACATGGAGGAAAATAGTGAGGAACAACAGTTCCTCACTTAAGGAGACTTAAGAGACTAACATCAATCAAATGAAAGGTATGAACCTTATTTGGACCACTATTTCAGCAAATAAACTAAATAAACATTTTTTAAATGGAGAAAAGTTAACAACTGGGTATTAGATGCTGTTAAAAATAATTTATTTTGGGGGGTGTAATAATGCTTTTATGCTTATAATAAAACAAAAACATCTTTATTGATAGGAGATAATACTAAAGTATTTATAAGTTAAATAATAAAGGCGAAAGATTTTATTTAAAAAAAAAAAAAAAAACTTGGCCAGGCACAGTGGCTCACGCCTGTAATCCCAGCACTTTGGGAGGCTGAGGTGGGTGGATCATGAGGTCAGGAGACCAAGACCATCCTGGCTAACACGGTGAAATCCTGTCTCTACTAAAAACACAAAAATTAGCTGGGTGTGGTGGTGGGTGCCTGTAGTCCCAACTACTCAGGAGGCTGAGGCAGAAGAATCCCTTGAACCCAGGAGGCGGAGGTTGCGGTGAGCAGAGATCGCACCACTGCACTCCACCACTGACAGAGTGAGACTCCTTCTCAAAAAACAAAACAAGACAAAACAAAAACAAAGCAAAACAAAACAAAGACGAAACTTGTGCTCTTTATCTCAAAAAACCAGGGTTTGGGATAGATGAAGTAAGAATGAAAAGGATAAATATAAGACTCAGTTTTGTTTCTTAAGGATTTCACAGTATATTGGGGATGTATATTGTCTCCCAAAATCTTCAAGATATTTAAAAGATGTTTTTAGTACACTGTAAGCTCATAAGACAGGAACCATATTGGATTTAATTTCCTAATAGCTACTAAGATGTGATAATATGGTTTTATTGAATGAATGAATAAGTAAATGAATGAGTGCTTCATAGGAGTCCCAAAATATCATTGTCTTTGAGTCTCCAACAGAAGAATATCTGATATCATAAGCTCCTCCCAAATACTTTGTTACTATGTAGGAGAGTTTCTGGATGGCTAAGAAATATTTCTTTCTGTAGAAATTGGCATTCATTCATTCCCTCATTTATTTAACTGTGCTGGGACATAGAGATATTATACAAAGACATAATACATCATCCCTACTCTAAAAAATGTCAACATTTAGAAAAGAGGGACAGACATGTTAAAAAAATAAATGTCCAAAAGTAGTATAGGAACTTTGATAGAAGTAGGTACTGGGCATAGTCAATAAAAAAGTGATCATTAATTTATGGAGGCTAGCCAAAAATAATTTGTGTTGGAAGTGACCCTTGAGCTAATTTTAAAATATAACTTATTTAAGGCACATTTTTATAATCATATAATTCATCCATTTCAAGTGTATGATTCAAAGATTTTTTTAGTAAATTTACCAAGTTCTACAAACCTCACTATATACCATCAGTTTGGGAACATTTTTCTTGAGCTGGATTTTGAAAGATGAGTAGGTTTTCTGGAGAGAAAAGAGAGGAAAAGCATACTTTAAAAAAAGAGAAAAGAGTGAGCAAACAACTGCAATATTACCCAATGTTAATAAAGTGTTTATTATGTGCTCAGCTAAGAGCTTTACATGGATTACTTAATTTACTCCTCATAACAAGACAATGATGTAGGTAGCATACTTATAACCTTCATCTTACTGATGGGAAAGCTAAGGTACAATGAGTATATGACCTTAGATCACATCATTAACAAGTGGTGGAGTAGAACTGGAATTCAAACCCAGGTAGTCTACATCCTTAATCACTGTGCTTTCTTGATTGGAAGTCCCTGAGTTCTAAAAGCAGAGTGGTATAAAGGAACTTGAATGACTTGAGTGCAGAGGAGTGGGAGTGGACAGGAACACTGGGCTTGCTGTGATGGGTTCCAGATTCTGTCTGTTGTGATTGATGGATTATAGAGATGAAGAAAGAAGAGGAAAAGCAGGTTTTATTGAGTTTGAGATTCCTGAGGGTCATTCATGTAGAAATATCCCATGGATGTTTTTCTTTCTTTCTTCTTTTTAAAAGAACCCTTCTTCCTTCACAGTGAACCAGTAGGTGTTTGGATACACACAACTAGGCTTGTGATAAAAATTTAACTCTCACTGGCACACAGTTGGTAGCTAAAGCCAGGAATGTGAATAAGGTTAGACAGAAAAGGCACAAGGAATGAGAAGGGTAGGAGTAGGACAGAACCCTGGAGGATGTAAAGTTTTGAAGCTAGAGCAAAGGAACATGCTATGGGCTGAATTGTATTCCCCCAAAATTCATATGTTGAAGACCTAATCCCCAATGTGGCTGTATTTGGAGACAGGGCTTCTAGGAAGTAAAAAATGTTAAATGAGATAATAGAGGTAGGGTTCTAATATTACAGGATTGGTGGCTGTATAAGATGGTGGGGGGAGAGAGAGAGAGATCTCCCTCTTTCCATGGGCACGCATCAAGGAAGGGCCATATGAGGACATAATAAGAAGGCGACCACCTGCAAACCAGGAAGAGAGCTCTTACCAGAAACGAATCCTGCTGGACCTTAATCACTTTTTGTTGTTTAAGCTACCCATTGTATGGTATTTTGTTATGGCAGCCCTAGTAGACTAAGACAGAAGAGGACCCAACTATGCAGCCTAAGAATGAATGATCAGAGACAGAGGAAAAATACCACGATCGAATAGTGTCACGGAAGTCAAGGTAAGAGTTTCAGAAAGGGAAGAGCAAGCTGGATATGCTCCCAAAATGTCATAAAGTTTGACACCTATCCATTAGATTGGACAAATAGGAAGTCGTTGGCAAAGTTGCCAGGGTATGGAGGGCATGAGGCAGAAATGAGATTGTAGTGGGTTGAAGAATAAATGTGAGTTGAAGAAGTGGATTGCCTAAAAACACTTTGCATTGACCTCAACTGGGAGCATGTTGGAAGTTCAGACTCTCATGTCTCACCCTAAATCTACTGAGTCATAATTTCATTGATTATGAGATCAATCAAATCTCATTGAACGTGATCCTCAGATTCATGCACAAAGTTTCAGAAGCACTGGGCTAGAATTTAGATTATTTCTTCTAAGAAACTACCTGAAAATAGAAGGAGAGAGGATTAGAAGATAGTCAGAGGGAAGCAAAAGTGAATTTTTGGTTTTAAAAGTGAGACACTTGATTCTACTGACAGTCTGGTAAGGAAGGAATCAGAGGAAAAGGAGAGATTAAACATGCAAGGGCAAGAAAGAATAACTAATGGCACAAGGACATAAAGGAAGCATTCAGAACTAGGGTGAAGGAATTAGCCTTGCTCGTGAGTAGGAACACCTCCCCTTTCAGCCTGGGAAAAGGGAAGTGGAGGGTTATGTAGATATGGATTTTTAGGTAGAGGTTAGGAGCAGAGGGAATAAGTGTCGAAAAGCCTCATCATTTTTCCTCTCTGAAGTTGGAGACATGAACACCTGCTGAAAGGGAGGAGTGAATGGGCTGAATGAAAATGAGAATCCATGGGGTCTGGGTTGGATAGGAAAGTATGTCCCTATGAAAGCATAAAGGAATGAAATGACAGGGAGGGACTGAGAACTGGAATACTCACTGAAAGCCATGAGGTCAGGAGAGGTCAAGGATGGGTATACTGGAGTTAAATATGCCCAGAGTGAGACTGTTCTGGGCAATGACAATGCCTTGAGAATGGCCAGGGGAGTGGGTGGCTAATGAGTGGTAAAAGATTGCTGTAATTATGGAGATTTTGAGCAGAGTATGTCAAACATATTGTCAAGGTGGGTGTTGAGGTCATCCATGATGACAACAGGATGAAGACAGAAGACTGGATTAGACTCAGTTTCCAAAGTTCTCAAAGGGAGATTCCTTACGGCTTCCAGGAGGAAGGTGCAGAGGATAGAATAGAAAGATGGGATAAACTGCAGCTAAGAAAGGATTTTGTGTAAGAATGGAAAAGTAATGGCTAACAGGTGACAATGGGGAACAAGCAGCATGAGGACAGCGATTCTGAGGCCTGGCTGTGTAAGGAGTTGGGGGGCCGGGAAGGGAGCAGTGCAGCATGTTCCATGCTGCTCCCAGCCATCAGTTCCTGCTATGAGCTCTTGTGTTGCTGCCTGCAAGTCACACTGCTTCTTTTGCCTCCTAGCCTGTCAGTCCTTCCCATGATCACTGGCTGTCACTGTGCTGAACTGCTCCTCATCTGCAGCCTCTACAGGTAGCACGTCTGTTTCAGCCCTCTTGCCTCAAAGCCCATCAAGCAGGATGAGACCCTTAATGGTCAGTGGGGCCTCCAGTATTTGAGAGATGCTCAGTAACTGTTGGTGTTCTTGCTTCCCATCTCCTCTTTCTCCTTGTAAGTTTTGTAGACTGGAGAGTAGAGTTCATGCAGACTGGGAGACGCAGAGGGGAGGGGGCTTGAGAAGAGTCTAGAGAAATATTACTCTATTTTTAGTAGAAATGGGGTTTCTTCATGTTGGCCAGGCTGGTCTCAAACTCCTGGCCTCAAGTGATCTGCCCCCCTTGGCCTCCCAAAGTGCTGGGATTACAGGCGTGAGCCACTGTGCCTGGTCATATTCTTGTATTTCTTAGCTATCCATGTTTAAACATGTCCCAGACACTTCTGTACTTCATTGCTGAAGTGACATTTGGCTTCCAGCATATATAAAGTGGGGAAGCATTGGACACTTTAAACCTGGAGAGTGACAGGATCAGCTTTGTGTTTGGGGAAGATAATTCTATAGACATATAAAAGTATGAATTGGGGCTGGGCGCGGTGGCTCACACCTGCAATCCCAGCACTTTGGGAGGCTGAGGCAGGGGGATCACGAGGTCAGGAGTGTGAGACTAGCCTGATCATTTTTAGTAGAGACAGGTGAACCCTGTCTCTACTAAAAATACAAAAATTAGCTGCATGTGGTGGCGTGTGCCTACAGTCCCAGCTACTCGGGAGGCTGAGGCAGAAGAATCGCTTGAACCCAGGAGGCAGAGGTTGCAGTGAGCCGAGATTGGGCCACTGCACTCCAGACTGGGTGACAGAGGAAGACTCCATCTCAAAAAAAAAAAAAAAAAGTATGAATTGGCAGGCGAAAGGTTAGCAACGAGGAGGTAAGTAAAGATTTAATTGAGCTTTAGAATGGTTGAAAAGATGCTGATACTTAGGGTGATTTGGAGTACAGCTAGGTCTGGATCAGAGAAATTGGTGGAAGGTGGTTTCAAATCATGCAGGCACATAGGGTTAAGAAATGAAATCAGCGTGGGTTAGCACAGAGGAAAAGGAAAGAGGTATGAGAGTTATTTCTTCTTGTAAAGATGGAATTCAAATTGGGTTACAATTACCTTATGTGATCATTAGTTTCATTATTCAGTTATTCTTCTAATTCTTCCAGTTGTTTGTTCATATGGTTCTGTTTAACTAACATGGGAACTTTGACTAAAGTTTCATACCAGTTGTTACATCAGTAGCCAGGAACTAGAGAACTTTTATTTGTAAATTAAGAATATAAGAACTTTTATTTGTAAAAAAATTTCTTTTTTTTTTTTTTCTTTGAGACAGAGTCTCACTCTCTCATCCAGGATGGAGCACAGAGGCACCATCTCAGCTCTCTGCAACCTCCATCTCCCTGGTGGAGCAATTCTCATGCCTTAGCCTCCCAAGTCAAGTAGCTGGGACTACAGGTATGCACCACCACGCCCAGATAATTTTTTGTATTTTTAGTAGAGACAGGGTTTCTCCACGTTGGCCACTCTGGTCTTGAACTCCTGGCCTCAAATAATCCGACTGCCTTGGGCCCCCAAAGTGCTGGAATCACAGGCGTGAGCCACCGTGCCTTGTCATATTCTTGTATTTCTTAGCTATCCATGTTTAAACATATCCCAGCCACTTCTGTACTTCATTGCAGCGTGTTCCAGAAATCCAGCGATTTCTGAATTGGTCTAAAACAAACTATGAGAATGTGTAGCTGTCAATATTGTCTATCTATCTATCTATCTATCTATCTATCTATCTACCTATCTATCATCTGTCTATCTATCTATCTGTCTGTCTGTCTGTCTCTAATATTATAGATATAGCCAGATTGAAACTGGGAGGCTGGAGTGAAGTAAGGGAGAAAGAATTGTGCACATGCTATAACAGAGCTTGCCAATACACAATAATCCAGATTTGTCCATTATTTAACTGCTCCTTGGTCAAATTTCTTCTGGGTGGTGATATAATTTTATTAGATAAGCCTTTGACTTGCAAAAAGGAAATTATTGATTAAATGTGTGTTTTTGTAATAAAGGCACATGGTTCTATGAGTGTCTTAGTCCATTTGGACTGCTATAATGAAGCACTGTAAACTGAGTGGTTTATAAACAACAGAAATTTATTTCTCACAGTTCTGGAGGCTGGGAAGTCCAAGATCAAGGTGCTGGTGGATTGACTCTCTGGCTTGGGCCCATTTCCTGGTTCATAGATGGCACCTTTTTGCTTTGTCTGCATATGGCAGAAGGGATGAACTCTGGTCTCTATAGCCCTTCTTAACAACACTAATCCAATTCATAAGGGCTTCACTCTCAAGACCTAATCACCTCCCAAAGGCTACACCTGCTAATACCATCAAACTGGGGATTAGGTTTCAACATAGGAATTTCGGGCACACATGAACATTCGCAATTAACAAAGCCTCTTTGTTATAAGTTCAGGCCTGCCTTAGATTCTTTTGAAAATGGGGAGAATCTTCTTACATGAGGCTAAGTACATTTGATAAAATGTGCTTTAGGAGCAAGATCTTATGGAGGAGTAGAGCATGATAGTTCACAGGTAAGGATTAGATGGCCCCTGTTTGAGTCCCAAATTTCTGTTTCCTAAGCAAGTTAATTGTCCTTTTAAGCTTCATTAGTTTCATTTGTGAAACAAAATGTAAAATAACAGAATCTACTTCTAAGAGCTGTTAGGAGAATTAAATGAGATAATATGTACCAAGCCTTGCCACAGTGTCTGGCACATAGAGGGGTCTCAACATTACTGGTCATCAGTGTCCCTTTTTACAGAGATCTGTAGAGTTTACAGTAAGAAAAATTACTTTTCTGTTCAGCACTATAACTAGAAAATTTGCAAAAATTTGGAGGAGGAAATGAGATGGAGATACTTCTAGATAGAAGAGCCAGAAAATTATTGCAATGGAAAAGAAAAGATTAACAAAATTGATAGTCATCAAGGTGCTGGAAAGTGAGAAATAAATCAGTAAGTCACTGTCTATCTATGAGCCTCACTTTTATCACTAAGTAAAATAGGGACAATATTTCCTGCTTGGCTCATAAGGAAAATATAAGTATCAGATGATAAAAGAGGAGGCTGTGAAAGTGCTTGGTAAGCACGAAGGGGTGTAAACATATTGCATGAATGCAGGTGTTTAGGAGATGACAAAATGCCATCATTCTCAAAAACCCTGCAAATTACGAAGGACTATTTTTTGACTTCCACAATTTGAGAAGAACAATTTATGTGGAAACCTATAAAACAATCCAGGAGTCCAATGTTTCATGTTGTTTACTGATATGATATGACAGGGAAGGCCTGGGTTGGTCATTGGGCCTAGATTGTGTTCTTTAGTTTTCTGATTGTTTGAACCAGGAACAAACCTAACCCTAACCCTAACCCTAATTCTAACCCTAATTCTAACCCTAACTGAGACTAACTGAGAAGTAGACCCTCTGGGTCTACTAACCCTAACTGAGACTTCATCCCTATGGGTCTACTTCTTTATCTGTAAAATAATTTCTATCTTACAGGGTTGTTTTCAGGACCAAAGACTTGGTAAAAGATCCAAAATAAAATGTCTTAGACGAAGAATCCATTGATTATTTTATTCATTTGAAATGCAGATATTTTGAAAATTAGGTGAGGTAAAGCGTAACAATTCACTGCTCCTCCGCAGGATGGAATATTAGGCCACCCTGACCACTCATGTTTGTGAAGAAAATTTAAAAATATGGGAAAGTTTATGAAATAACAGCAAGTGGGTAAAAAGAACATGCATAGGTGTGCACACACAGAAAGGGAAACTAAGAATATATACACCAAAATGTCTACAGCAATTGTTTCTGATTACTGGAATACAGGTTTTTATTCATTTATTTTTTTTTACTTCTTTAAAGTTTCCTGCCTTTTCCAAATTTTTTAAGTAATATGGACATGTTGCTACTTAGTAGGGAAAAAAATTATTTTACTCTGTGTGTGTGTGTGTGTGTGTGTGTGTGATGACAGGGTCTCACTATGTTGCCCAGGCTGGTCTCCAACTCCTGGGCTTAAGTGATCCTTCTGCCTCAGCCTCCCACAGTGCTGGAATTACAGGCATGAGCTACTGCATCTGGCTGAAAACAGTTATTTTTAAAAAAACAACAAGATAGTGCATGTCGAAGGTGTGCGAACAGTGCCAGGCACACACTGAAGAGGCACTCCCTAGATGTTAGTTGAAGCTGAATGCAGACTCTTAAAAAACAGAAATTGTGGAGGAGGGCTATATGTTCAATGCTCTGCCGTCAGACAGTTGTTCAAAGGAAATGAATAGAAAGACAAGATCCATCAACCGTGCCACCGCTATGAGGCCAGCACATAAGCCCTGAAGTGGATGTTAGGAAAAACCTTGACCCCCTAACCCTGAACGGGTGCTGTGACTACTTCTACATCCTTCAAGACAAACAATTAACAATTAAGCTGCTCTTGTTCTGGGTACAATCAGAACCACGTGAAGGATTTAAAATATCACTGAGATGATATGTTACAGAGCAGCTGGCTGACTGGAGGGTCCTGTAAATGTCACAAAGAAACTTATACCAATAGGGAAGGCAGGAGACAAAAATAATAACAATAATTCCTTGCACTCACGTGACATCTTTCATCTGAAGAGCTCAAAGTATTTTACAGATGTTATATCCATTAAAACTTAGGCAGCAAGCATTATTCTCCCTGGATTACAGATGGGGAAGGAACTGTAATCCTGTCACTTAGACTAAAACTGGAATAAACATGTAATTATCTTTGAGGGGAAATCTTTCTAATGTAACCCTTTCCTTCTGCAGTTTCCTATTGCTTCTGAGTGAGTAGGACAGGTCACATCCTTGGGCCTGGAATATCTGCTGCAGGTATCCAAACACTGAAATGAGATCACCTCTCAGTCTTTTTTTTCCAGACGAAACATATTTAACTTTTCAAGTCTTTCTTCAGGAGCCTAAGCGTCCCTTTTCTCATTTCCCTATAACCTGGGGATGGTTTTCAAGTTGAGTAACTAAAACCAGTGCCTCATGCTTTGGCCCAAATTGATCAGTGACTTTACCTGAATAAGCTGATAGTCTTGAGGTTAGATTTGTGTTTTTGCAGCTGGGCCTTCCACGAAGATACACTGTTTTGATTATGGCATTTTTCTGATAAGGCAGTGACTTCCATTTCCGATTTGCACAATCTTCTTGGTTCCTTTTTTTCTTTGATTTGGAAGTTAATCTTTTAAAAATGTGAAGTAAATTGACAATATTGGAAAGAAGAAAAAATATTTAATTCTGTTGTCTACGTAACAACTATTACTATTTTTGCATATTCCATTTTGTCTTTATTCATATTAATCTTTTACGATTGTCAAAGTAATATTGTATATGTCATTTTGTAGTCTTTAAATTGCATTCTGCTTTTTTAAAATTAATTTTTCTTTTTCTTCACTCTGTGACTCTAGCCAAAGATGCATTCTGCTTTTAAGATCACATTATATTATAAGCATTTTTCTCCACTGCCTCTTACATTAATGACATGTCATTAATATACCACTGGTTATCATTACTGATATATTTAATATTTGGATCTAGCTCTGATCCCTATTAATGTTTGGTTATGATTTAGCTTAATGAAAAACCCTGGCCATTGGCTACAACTCATTTTTTTTTTCTGCTCATAGATTTTAACTTCTTTCCCACCGTTTCCCAAACTGTGTTTTTTTCATGATCTCTATGTTAAGTTGTCTTAGCTTGTAAATTGAGATGGTTTCTCTCTTTTGCCATCATATGAACAAATAAACCTGCATAAACTAGGTTTCCCTCTGTGCCCTACAGGAAGATGGCCTCTTGTCTGTTAAGTCAAAGCACTGAAATTATCTTCTTTAGCCGTTAATAGTCCTTGATCTTTTTCCAGGGTAGGATGTACTTCAGTTACACGGCTGGGAAAGAATTGTTTTTTTAATAGAATGTAGCTCAGTGAAAACTTTGGAATTTAAGTTTTTGGAAAACAACTAAGAAAAGCAAATTTGTCACAAGATTAGTTTCCCCGGGGTGTCTCTCTCCTGCAGCCCTTTGCGTTGTTTACGTTTGCGTGAAGTAGAATGAGGGAGAAAGTGGTTTCAGGACATACCTGACCCGCAGCTCAAAAAACTGGACTGGATTCATCCGTAGAACTGCTTCAGATTATGAAAAAACGAAACCTTTTCAAGTGGGAGATAAAGTAATGGGAAGTGGCTGGAGAAAGGTAGGAATGCAGACAGTAAAACAGCACAGAGTGACTCTGATTAAGATCTTGGGGAATCTGAGACATCAGGTTCTGTTTTACCATGCCCTCCACCTAGTGCCTCCTTCCCTCTCTGCCCATGATTTAGTTCTGGCACTTTCCAGTAACTGCTGTCGTGAAGTAGACCTGGCCCAGTTCACTTTCCATCTCTTATCCTTGAAGGTTTATGGGTAAGGCCTGCCTATCTGCAGGCAGGTTTTGGTTGCTGTGAAGCTGAGACACTGTTCTTGCTGGAGACCACCTGAGAGTAATTAAGCAGCCTCTCCTACCTAGAGCTGAACCAACTGGTTCCAAAATTATATTTTCCTGGAACATCTTGTTGAACTGGAATGCTTTGGCGGTTAAGAAACCACTGCTCACACCTGAACAAATCGGTCTGTTTTTCCTGAAATGTAGTACATGTTCACCTCCTGGCACACTAAGGTAAATGGCAGATCCAATTGTCTGGCTTAAGCAGAATGTGGTGAGATCATTATATCATCATAGAGCCTGAAGCTAAAGATTGCAGAAAATCAAGAGCTGTACTGATTGATTTGTAGTCTAATTATATAAGCAGGCCAGATGAAAAAGTCCAGAAAAAGAAAAGACTAGTGGGCATGTTCAAAAGTATTGGGAAAAGGTGCGTCTACCTCCAACAAGGTTGATTTTCCAAAGAAACAAAGTTTTTGAAATATGAAATAATTCTTTTTTTCTTTTTTTGAGATGGAGTCTTGCTCTGTAGCCCAGGCTGGAGTGCAGTGGCGCGATCTCGGTTCACTGCAAGCTCCGCCTCCCGGGTTCACGCCATTCTCCTGCCTTAGCCTCCCCGAGTAGCTGGGACTACAGGCGCCCGCCACCACACCCGGCTAACTTTTTTGTATTTTTAGTAGGGACGGGGTTTCACCGTGTTAACCAGGATGGTCTCGATCTCCTGACCTTATGATCTGCCCGCCTCGGCCTCCCAAAGTGCTGGGATTACAGGCTTGAGCCACCGTGCCCGGCCGAAATATGAAATAATTCTTACATGGCATGTATAAAACACACACACACACACACACACACACGCACACACACACACACACACACACACACAAACGAAATCTATTGCCTACACCCTACCCCTTCTCTTGGAAAATAAGTAAACTCTTTCAGGATTCAGAGTTCTGGTCCATACTTTCATACCATTATTATTATTTTCCACTTCTTTTTCTCTGGGTAAAAGCCAATAATTCTGTGCTAATTTGTAGGGCAATCTGAGAAAAAGAGAATGTCAGACTTAATTCCAAACAAATGCTTAAAAAGCACTTAACCAAATGTATCTTTGAAAATGTTTTTCCTGTATCTAGATCTAAAGATAATAATTTTTTGGAAAAAAGTACAAAAAAGAAGCTTTTAGGAAGACAAATGTATTAGAACAGGAAAGCATTATTTTTTTCCCTAACACTCCATTTCCAGGGACTGAGTTGGCTTCTTACTTTCTTTTCACTCTGTGGAAAACTGCTCTTGGAATGTTTCAAAGAACCACAGTGAGTGAGTGCCAAGTGCATTCTGGAATTGATACCCTCATCCCCTCCCCGCCCTGGAGAAAGAGTCTCTCTCTTAGCCCATAGAGCCATGCTAGAGAATCCTGGGGACGCCACCTGCAACCAATGGTGAACTGCATGAACTTTGGTGCTCTGGGACTTGACACACTGGCTAGGAATATTAGACACAAAAGCCAAGGCTTTTCAAATACCATGTGGATATATATATTCCTCCAACAGTAAGCAGATAAACACAGCCACAGGAAAACCAGGAGACAAGACAAACTCCTTTTGTGATCTAGCCTCATTTCATTCATGTAAGCTCTTTTGGGTTTTGGCTGATGCCAGCCCACTCTTTTCCTCTGGCTGCCCTCCCCTGCATGGACCCATACATCTCTGCCCCAAATCAATAGAGTGGTACAAATATTAACAATAGCCTCTTGAGCTTTGAGAATTTACTGCTCCCCACCAACCCAGCTTTTTTTCCTGTTCTTGTTGGAAAAAAAATCCATGTCATTAGGAGTCTTGTATTCTTGACAATCATAACTTTAGGAGATATAATAAACCTTTTTGAAGGTTGATCGATTCTGCGATGAAATTTTAGAATGGGGGAAGCTAAACACATGTTTGGCTTTGGATGGTAAATGGAGGTGTAAATATTTACAATGAACAATCAGATTTCCCACGCTCAGAGGTAGGGTTGTCACTCACAGCTCCAATGGTGATTTCTATCAGAGGCAGAGAGAATGGGGATACTACCTCCTCAATGACAACCATTCAATCTGATTCCTTCGTCTGGATCCAAATGACTAATAGAGTAGCTTGCACTCATTGGTTCATTGTATGTGACACTACATGCAATATACAAAATTATGAAAATTAACACAGTGGTATGTGTTTTACACCAAGAAATACAACAGTAGGACTTCAGTACTCCTGGAAATATATCTTTTTTTGTGCTTCTTGCTAGTACATTACTTCAGATGCTAATGTAAGAATGTGCTTATTTCAAGAGACAGTTTTAAAACATAGTTACATTTTATTACTCCTTTAAAAATGCTTCTCACCAATCCCATATCACTGAGAAGTGTGTTGGTCCAATGTTTTATTGAGTGCAGCCCTTGTCCTATTTATGACCCAGGACTGATGCACCAGCCTATAAATGTGATTTCTCTGAAGCAGTGGAGGACAAGTATCTAGCTGCTGTGACAGGAAGACATGTAACACAATAATTTTGCTGCTCTAAAAATGCTTCTGTTGCCGGCATCCCAGATAGGAAGCAAGGCTTCCCATGGATCATGCATTTGCTGGAAAAGCACACCATGTTTTGAAGAAGCTAGTTCTAATTGGTGCGAAACATTTTGAATTGCTGAAGTTCTAATGGACTTGAAAAACCCCCTGGAGAATCGAAGAAAGAACAAAATGATGTAATGGTCTTTAAAAGATAAAAACGGAATGAAAAAAATGCTTTAATTTATTTCAGAAAGATATGTCAACGCTTAGTTTTTGTGGATAAAGTTGCCAGATAAACCTTTCTCAATTTGGGGGTGGGAAATGGAGGGTGGAGGGGGGGAGTAGAATTTTGGGCAGAAAGAGGACTAGCAAACAATTAGTGCCATCTAGTGGTTGTATAGAATAAAGACAGATTGTTTTCGAGAACTGTACTGTAGTATCACAGAAATGTACAAGCAGGCTAAATTACAGTTCTTAGATTAGGCTGGCTTGAGTTTATATCTCCATATATTCACTAATTAATGAACTTCAAGTGATGTGGCAACAGTTGAAATTAGTTTTGATAGTTAAGCCTAAACAGAAAAGAGTTGCACTCTATATAGAAAATAAGCCCTTTGACATGTTTTAATTTGTCATGTTTCAACAAAGTCCAAGTTAAAACTACCATGATATTTCAAAAGGAAAACCTACATCTATTTCAAAGTATGCCAGTGAGAGTTTTCTGTTACCTGGAAACAATAAACACGTTCTAAAGTTAGGCTACTGAACTGAAGGTCTGCTCAAGAAGAGCAGGACAGAATCCAGTGGTCCAGAAATTTGGATGGGAAAAATTTACATCTTTATTTTCACTACTCTAAATCTGAAATTTAGCATTTCCTTCAATCAAGAACGTCAGCTGCAAACCACGGTAGTGTTAGCAATACCTGAGATTTCGACACCAAAAGAAATGAGACATTTTCATGTCATTACATATGCTATTCATCTACTAAATAACAGCAATGATCAGACCCTCACACCAGTTCTTGTTATTTAACAGGTAATAAAGAAGCAAATATGTTATCTTGTTGTACATTTAGTTTTAAAAACATTTAAATAACTATTTTCACAGTAATTTATTCTCTTCGTAATCCTATGTATTTTATTTAAAGCATTATGAGCATTACTCTGACAGGCAGCCTATAGGTTTTGTTAGACTGATGAAGGAGTTCATCTGCGAAAAGGTAGAGAACCCTGATCTAAAGAGATGGCTCAATCATGAAGTTGAAACACACACAGTTTAGTAGTTAAGAGCTCAGTCTCTGAATCCAGTTGCTTGGCTTCAAACCCTACTTTCTGGTTGTATCTTTTACTTAGCCTGCCTGTGCCTCAGCTTACCCATGTACGACACCCATCTCACAGGAGAGATGTGAGGTTTCAATGAATGGACACATGTAAAGTGCTGGAGTGAGCACTCAGCCCTTAGAAGTTCTCAGTGAGTATTAGCTCTCATCATTATTGTCAATGCAATTATTAAGTTTAAAAACTTCTTGCCAAATCATTAAGATAAATGATCTGAATTTGTAATCTAGACTGACAGCAGTTTTGATTAACAAGCATGCTTTGACAAGTATTTTTCATTTAGAAAAAATATTCTTTATACTTTTAGGCTAATATTTGTAATAACCTTAAGAGTGTAATAGCATCCCCACTCTCAGAACCTCAGATAGTTTTAAGTGTTCGATTCAAAGTCATATGGATGAAGTGGCTAGAAAGCAAATTAAAGTATTTTGGTAATTGTTTTTCACTCACTGAATCTTAAAAATCCCAAAGCTTTAGGCATTCTCCAACTGTACTTAAAAGATAAGGCTTTTTAGAAGTCAAGAAGGATCCATATCTAGATGTGTAGACAGATCTAGTTTACAAGACTAAGCTAACCTAATTTGAAGGTTAATCTCTCAGATGGGAGGGAGAAAGAATAAACAGAACATTCATACATATGAACTCATCTGATCTTTACAAAACCTGTGAATCATGTTCTTTTTCCCTACAAAAATATTTTAAGTGTATTGTATGTTTTAAACATTTGAGAAAAGAGGAGTGAACAAGATAAACAAAGTCCCTGCCCTCATGGAGTTTAATTTCCAAAGATGATGAGGAGACAGGTAAGAATGTCCATTTGGCTGATAGAGAAACAAGTGTTAAGGGATAAACAACCCACTCCCTTAAGTTCCCTTAAGGGATAAACAACCCACTCCCTTAAGCTATTGCATCGCAGCAGAT
Organism: Homo sapiens; assembly: GCF_000001405.40. Lineage (NCBI taxonomy): Eukaryota > Metazoa > Chordata > Mammalia > Primates > Hominidae > Homo > Homo sapiens. The sequence goes on along the minus strand of NC_000002.12, from coordinate 222,055,559 downwards.
TCGAACAGAGTTCTTGCTAATGGCACCCCTTTGATAATTCCGCTACACTTTCAGCTGCCTGCTGGGAAAAGTTCAGGCATGCTTTTGACAGTGAAGGCACAGCAGTAAACAGGCTGCTCCTGCCACATTACAAAAGTGAGTATGACTTTCTTATTTTTGTTTGTCTGGGATGCAATCGGATTTTAGTGGAAAGGCATTGAAATTGACATAAAAAAATCTGTGTTAGGTTCTTAACTTTGCCATTTCTGAGCATATCGCTGATTTTCAGTTTTCTCACCCCCACCCTGGTGAGAATTAGAGGCATCTCTTGAGACTTTTGCAAGGATTAAATAAGCCAATGTTTATGAACATCTAGAAAAGAGGTTGGTCCACAGAAGGAAGGCAATAAATCTGTAGAGATGATGACACTGAGTATCTAGTATTATTTACTTGTGGAATTAACCGAAAAGGCATGGTTAATGCCTCATCTCCCCCTTAGGGAAATAGCTCTAGTCCTTGTTTAACTTTATCTTACTCTCTAATATGGGAATGATAGCATCTGCCAAACAGGGTGGTGATTAAGGATTAGCAATAGACCATAGAATGCACCTAGTACAGTTTCCAGCATAGAACCAGCATTCACGAAATTGTAGCAATCACGATTATTACTGTTTATGAGTCTAATAAAGCACACATTCCTAAGAATGTAAACTGTTAGAAATTTGGATTGAGATACTGTTGATGGTTTTATTACAAAGACTGAAATGTCTTATTCAAAAATCCTGAAAAAAAAAAACCATGGAAAAGACTAGAAAAAACACTAGGAAAGAAGTCAAATTTAAGTATGGGTCATTTTTCCTTTGTCAATTGGGAGTTCATAAGATTTTAAATGCCCCTCCAAAAGCATATCATCACATTTCAATATTTTTCTGGCTTTATATATAATTAGAAATCATGTATATTCTATAGCTCATGAGGTACTGGAGATCTCTAGGAGAGAAAGCATGTTTATGGGGACAAGATTCTTCGGCTGCCTTCACAATTATCTGATAAATGTAGGTCTAGCTTCATCCATGTACCTGCAAAGGACATGAACCCATTCTTTTTTATGGCTGCATAGTATTCCATGGTGTGTATGTGCCACATTTTCTTTATCCAGTCTATCACTGATGGGCATTTGGGTTGGTTCCAAGTCTTTGCTATTGTAAACAGTGCTGCAATAAACATACGTATTCTCAGCAAACTAACACAGGAACAGAAAACCAAACACCACATGTTCTGACGCATAAGTGGGAGTGTAACAGGGAGAATTCATGGACACAGGGAGGGGAACATCACACACCAGGGCCTGTCAGAGGTTGGGGCGCAAGAGGAGGGAGAGCATTGGCATAAATACCTAATGCATGTGGGGCTTAAAAGCTAGATGATGGGTTGATAGGTGCAGCAAACCACCATGGCACATGTATGCCTATGTAACAAACCTGCACGTTCTGCACATGTATTCCAGAATTTAAAGTATAATAACACACACACACACCAAATTAAAAAAAAAAGTATTGTCTAAAGGATGAGCAAAATAAATAATTTTTTTTAAAAAATGTGGGTCTAGCTGGCTGTGGTGGCTCATGCCTGTAGTCTCAGCTTCTTGGAGGCTGAGGTGGAAGGATCATTTGAGATCAGGAGTTTGAGACGAGCCTGGGCAACACAGTGAGACCCCTGTCTCAAAATAAAAATAAAAATAAAAACAAATAAATGCAGGTTCAGCAGGACTAAATATTTAAAACTGAGAGTTTGGCATTGCAGGCACAGACTGTTGTTAAAGGAAGTTAAATGGGAAGGGAGTTCTTCATTTCTAAACATTACTTGAGAAACCAGAATTCAATCTAAAATACCTGGCTTCATGTCCTCTTTACAAAGGTACCTATGCATAGGACTGGATCTAGATTTACTTCCGAACTCAAAGCATGTTGCCCTACAAAGGAGTGGGTTGGTGATAATGAACAAATTATGGGCATCATCCTTTCAAGCTTTCTTTTTGGGTGAAGAGTGATTTTCCTCTCCCAAAACACACAGGCATGCACACTTACACACGCACCCCCTTCAGTATGCCATCAGCTGTTCTAATTATGGGGTAATTGGCAAGATAGAAGCTCAACCTTCATTGCATTCTTCAGGGAGAAACAAGGGGCTTCCTCTGCTAGAGGGAGTTAGTGGCTACATGCTGAGCTATTCTTTTAAATGAAGTGAATTCTGGCTCTGTTTTAAGAAGCTCCTTGGGGCAAAGCCTTGGAGGCAGGGTTCGGGGTTTTATGAGTTGCTCGCTCCAGGATGCAATCAGAGTTCCCACCCCTCCCTCCTGGCTGCTTCCTGGAACTCCCCTCTTCTGGAATCATTGCCTATTTCTGCTCCTTCTGAGCCGCTCCCAACTTAATTAGAGCACTCTTCCCTCCGCACCAGACCCAACAACAGATCTCTTGGTCTCTAATTGTGACTCTGGTTAAATTGCCCAGCGGGAGGTTGGTTGCCCAAAGCCTGCTTCGGTTCTGCTGCGCGTCAGTGCCCCTCCACAGGTGAAAGACGTTACTGCAGTTAACCCTTGAGGTTTAGACTCCATCTTAGGGAAAACATACAATTAAAGCTATCAGAAAATTATGACAGTCAGGCTCACAAGCAGATAGGTTGAAGGAGAAGGAGAAAGAGGAAGAGGAGAGAAAAGCAAGAGGAGGAGGAGGCAGAAAGGAAGGGCATATTGTAAAGTTTGGAGTAACTGTTTTTATTTGAATCTTAAACATAGGTAATTATGTTGAAAAAGATACTGCTTAGGCAATTTTTGTTTCAGTGGATTAAGAAACACCAAATAGTTTATTCAATTGTTCAGAGTAGGAGCATCTTTCAATCCTCATCCTCTAGTTAATTGCACAATTCTGCATTTTTACGTGGTGTGGAGGGTGTAAGCATACTCATCAGAGCTTCTGACATACACTCACAGTAACACAACAAGAACCAGGTTCTCCTTATGCCTGGGTGCCCCTTGGCTGTAATTTGGGTGCCTTGGAGAGTTGCATAATGTCCCTTGCCCAACACTACAGTTGATCAGTCAATCACAGGGGTTTCAGTTACATTAATTCTTGTACATGTTCTGTGTGTACATCATCTATATTTCAACACAGTCAGATGAACCTCACAGGCCTTAGCAATCCATTGCATACTCAGGTGATTTTGGTGGAGGTAGAGTTTTGCAGGCCCCTGGATCCTTAGGAAAAAGCTAAGAAGGCAAATTGGTCTTTGGCACCTTCTCCAATGCTCTGAAGGGCTCCCTGCCCACACCTTCTTTAAAGACCTTTGGGAACCAAAATGATTTTTTGTCTGTACCAGTCAAGGCTGCCACTTTACAACAGCTGAGAGCAGTGTCAGTTGATTGATCGTCACTGTGCATGTGAATCACCTGGGGGTCTTGATAAACCACAGATTCCGCATCAGTGGGTGTGGGGTGTGCGGGACAGACTGCATTTCTCATAAATTTCCAGGTGCTGCTGATGCTACTGGTCCTTCCTGGACCACACTTTAAGTAGCAAGGCAATCAAATCATCTGATTAGAGGGGTTCCTTTTAATTAAAGTGTAAAAGAGTGTTAGGCCCAACACAGCTGGTGTTTGCACGTTAATGGGAATTGTATTTTTTTTTAGCAGCCCTTGGAGATTTCTTTTTTTTAATACTTTTTTTAAATTATAGTTTAAGTTCTAGGGTACATGTGCACAACGTGCAGGTTTGTTACATATGTATATACATGTGCCATGTTGGTGTGCCGCACCCATTAACTCGTCACTTACATTAGGTATCTCTCCTAATGCTATTTCAAGAAGAGCAGTGGAGTGAACCATAGGCTTCCTTTAGAGCTTCCTTTTCTATAGTGATGAGGTGGGAGGGACAGAGTTAATTTCTGGAGAATTGCAAAGGTGTTTCTTTGGCTTTCAATCTCCTTTCTGTGTCTGTTTCTCTCTTCCCCTACTTGGCTCTTTTTTTTTTTTTTTTTTTTTTTGTATACTCCTTTTCTACTGTGTGGTTCAAGGACATGAAAAAGGTTCAGATTTTGTGATATTAATATTTAAATATTCTTTTACATGATAAAAATGTTTATACATTCTTGGTATTGGACAGGTTCCTGTCCCAATATTACCGCAGAATTTAGTTACACATATAGCCTATTTCTTGACCAAGTGCTTAAGTACTTAAGTAGCCAGTATTAACTTCCCCAAACTGGTAAAACTTCAATAATTTTAGAGATAAAAGCCCAGTAAAAAAATTGATTTAGAAGTTTGTGCTGTTATAAGTTGATCAATATTAACTTAATAAAGATTTTTCCTCTAGTACGAAGATTACTGGATTGGAGCCAAGAGAGTTTCGTTCCGGTTCCACCCCTAAGGTATCTAGCTGTGTGGCTGTGAGTAACAGCAATAGAAGCTACATCTCAGCATTCCCAGTTGTCAAACCTATTTATTAGTTGAACAAACATTTATTGAGTACTTATTATGAGCTTGTTAAACATCTAGTAACTACCCAATGTTTAAGTATTGATTAAGTTCTTATGTATTTTTATGCGATGGGATTTTTTTGAAGTTGCATGTATTTGCTTTTGGGAAGTGATTTAGGCACATGGAGTAATAGCTGTGGTTCTTGCTCTGTGATCTTCAATGTGGTGGGAGGCAGCCCCCTCCTATTTCCTGTTGCTTTCCTAAATCTGAGATGATGTCTGGAAGCCTTGAAGACTCAGCAGGCTAGTTCTTGTAGCAACTTTGTGTATTGGGTGATGGCCAAGGAAGGTGTTCAGTTGCACATAAATAAATCGTGTCTAGTGAGTGGAGCTGTTATAACTTGGGTGGGCTAAACTGCCAGGGATTCTGGCACTGGCCAAGAGGAAGTGTTGAAGAAACCTAGTACCAGATGGAAACAGGTTAGGGGGCTTTTTTTCAGCCAAAGGTCCCATTCCAGACCCAATGAATGGAGCAATGTGCAGTGCCAGAAAGGTCAGCCACATCATGGCTCTGGAGGATATATGTAGATTGGTACCACTGACAGCAGCTGGGAATATAGGGAACAAGCTACCACCTCGCAGGGGACGGATGAGGGCAAAGACATGGCAAGGTGTCGAATCCCTGCCAAATGGGATATGATGGTTTTAGGCAAAGCTCCAGACCCAGCAGTGGGCTGGAGTACTAAGTAGGAAATTAAGGCTGAAGTCTGGTTAGAGAACAGGGCTGCAGCCTGGTACTCAGGGCTCATCAGACACCAGACCTACAACTGGGAGATGAATTCCAGACTCCACACACTGGTGTTAATCCCTGCCCTGTCCAGGGCTGGCTGACTCAGAGCCTGGGCAGGGTAGTGTCTATAATTGACCGGGACTGGGAAGGCAGGGATTGTAAGAGAGGGATCAGTAGAGGAGCTCTGTAGGTAGGCTCAGTCCCAACATTCCCACCTCTACCCCACCCCTTCTTGGGGCTTTACATGATGCCAGTGGGGAACCAATTCCTTGACTCATGAAGGTTTCGTAAGCTCCATGAGTAATTTGTAAAGTGTAAACACTTCTGAGAGATGTAGCATCTTAAGCCCTGCCTCCCTTTTTCTTACCGAAAATTCTGGCACAAATATATTGTCAATGCCCTTTAGTCAGAGACCACCAAGGATACAGCCATAGTTAGACAAGTTGGGTTGATTCCTCACTGCAATGAGGAAAAACATATACTATGGAGATCTGTGGGACATATCAATAAGAAGGGGTTAAAAATGACTTATTGTAGGATCTGGACTTTGGATGGATGATTTTGAGGAGGATCTAAAGAAGCAGGACTTTGTTCTAGAATGGCTGCTAGAGTCAGAGAGAGGACAGTTCTGTGATTAGGTGTCTGAATAAGTCTTATCTATGGGGAAGATAATCTAGATTGAGGATAAAACTGTGAAGAAGTGGCAGTGGCAGTCGATCATATTCAGCAGGAGAGACCAGGATGTTTGCTATTTGATGGATTGCACAAAAACTATATTTTTGTCTTTTTGTAGATAAAATTATGAAGAGGTCTTGTTTTGTCTCACTTTATGATGGCCTCAGAGTGACCATGTCTGATGTTTGTGTCTGTGAGATTGTTCATGACCAACAGGAGGCAGGAGACACCATGGCCCACCAGTGTGTGCTAGGCCAGCTCCTAACCACACCTGTGCCCAGCTGTAAGTGCCAGGCCAGCTCCTAACCACACCTGTGCCCAGCTGTAAGTGCCAGGCCAGCTCCCAGAGGTCAAGGACTGCTTTTCTCTCCCTCAGTATATCTGGCCCACCTATTCCTAGCAGGTTAGAAGAAATAGGGTTTCATACACACACACACACACACACACACACACACACACACACACACGAAGAGAGACAGAGAGAGACATATATAGATACACAAATAAATAGTCAAAGTTTGGGGAACACAGGGAAACTCACATTCCCATGTTAATATTTTACTCTCAGTAAACACTCTTTATTTTGCCTTTATGAAGTATAATACATCCCATGATACTTCATTAATCTCACTCGGATATTGTTAATTACATTTTACAAATGGAGAAATGGTGGCATAGAAAGTTAGAAAAGTTATCACAGATCATGCAAAAGGCAAATCAGGCTGAACTAGAAGCAACACATGCTAAGCTTCTACAATCATAAGCTGATAGTTGGTTATTAAAGTCAGGGGGCGGCCGGCTTTGCAAATAATGCACCCAGGAGCATGGTGGTTGCAGTTGATAATCAGAATGATGATACGCTTCAGGGTTAGAAATACATCATAAGCATGCCCGACTTTTCTTTAGCACTGATATTTTTATTCTTTAGCATGATATACCTCATATAATCATTATACATAAACATTTTATTGAGCCAACTTATATCTGCAACCAGTTTTGATCTCTCTGGGCAAAGAATCCCTTGAGTTTACTCTTCAACCTATTAAGGAGCATGCCCTCAATCCAATTTATTTCCACTTTTGTTTTCTTCATCAGACTATATGCCACTTGAAAGCAAGAACAGTGTCCCCATGATATTTCACTAGAGTGGAATATTAAATGACTATAGCTGAATGATACTTATTGATTTTTCAAGGAGGCATATCAGTGCAGGACCAAGATACTGTGACAAATTCAGAATCTCATCATCACCACAATTGTCACTGTAACTCCCAAATTCCTTGATCTTAAACAAAAATTCTCTGTTGATAAAAAGCAAATATTCACAAAGGATAGGACTTAACCACAAATGTTTATAGCAGCTTTATTCATAAAAGCTTAAATTGGAAAACAATTCAAATGTTCATCAGCAGGTACCTGGATTAACAAGCTATGGTGTCTCCATCCAATGGAATAGTACTCAGCAATACAAAGGAAGTACTGATTAATAAATACATCAGTGTGGATAATGCTCAGAAACATACTAAGTGAAATAAACCAGACACAAAAGATTATATTCTGTATGATTCCATTTATGTGAAGCTCTAAAAATCACATCTAATCTATAGTGACAGAAAGCAGACCAGCAGCTGCCTGGATCTGGGGCTGGGGGTGAGAAGCTGATTAACTGGAAAGAGCATAAAAGATATTTTTGAGGTGATGAAAATGTTCTAGGTCAGGCATGGTGGCTCACGCCTGTAATCCCAATACTTTGTCAGGCTGAGGTGGGAAGATCACTTGAGCCCAGGAGTTTGAGACAAGCCTGGACAACATGGTGAAACACTGTCTCTAGAAAAACAAACAAACAACAAAACAAAATTAGCCAGTCATGGTGATGCACATCCGTGGTCCCAGCTACTTAGGAGGCTGAGGTAGGGGGATGGCTTGAGCCTGGGAGGTCGTAGCTGCAGTAAGCCATGATTTCACCACTGCACTCCAGTCTGGGTGACAGAGTCAAACACTGTCTCAATAAAACGAACAAAACAAATGTTCTATATCTTGATTGTGGTGGTGCTTAAACAGGTATATACATTTGTCAAAACTCATTGAACACTACAGCTAGAACTGGTGAATTTTATTGTATATGGCTTATACTTCAAGAAAGTTGGTTTAAAGAAAGTCTCCCTTGCTGCCCTTCAGAGTGAAGCTTCCAAAAGATTCTCTGTACCCTTAGTTTCAATTCTTTTCCCCTGATTGTCTTTAGAAGAAAAGACTCTTATCATTGTCATCAGTGGCCTCAATGTCGTGACTCCAGCGGTTAACCGCATGTCCTCATCTCACAGAACCTCTCAGCGGTGTTTAACAGAGTTGTCCACTCTCTCTCATATTCCCAGGTCCCTGGCAGTTCTTCCTCAGTCTCTCTCATTCCTCATCATTGTTTTGGCATTGAATTTTGGAGGCTCACCCCGTGATGATCTCATCCAGTCCCAAGGGTTAAAATACCATCTCCATGCTGACCTCCCAGGGTTCTAGTTCCCGGGTAGACATATGCCCTGTACTCCAGATTTATATAAGCAAGTCCTTACTCGACATCCCCACTTTGGTATCTAGCTTACACTCAGTGTGTCCTGATCTGAGCTCCTGGATGCTGTGGTGTCTCCCCCACACCTTTGCTTAGGAAACCTCCTGCTCCCACTATCCTCCTTACTTAGCAAAGGCCAACTCCATCCTCTAGTTCTTTAAGACAAAATTGTGAAGTTATTTCTGGCTTCTTTCGTATGTCACATTAATTCCAATGAAATTCTATTTACTCTATTTCAGAAATACATCTGGAATCCAGCAACATCTATCAGTCTTATTTTAATGCAAGCTGTAGTTGGTTTTTGCCTGGATTATTGCAATAGTCTCCTACTTCATGCTCTTTGATGAGTCAACTCTTGGGTTTATGCTCTCCTGTAGTCTAATTTCCACACCGAAATGAGCATAATCCTTTTACAATACAAGTAAGATCATGTCACTCCACTGAAAACAAATGTGTTAAGTCTAATGCTTGAAGCTAATGTTCTTAGAATAACCCAAAAGGCCTAATATGATCTGGCCTCCTATTCCTCCCCTTTGCTCACTCTGTTCTAGCTCTACTGGCCACCTGGCTATTCCTGGAATGTACCAGACATCCTTGTACCACAGGAGCTTTGCATTTCCTTTCCTGTCTGCCTGGAACGCATTCCCTCAGACATCCACACTGCTCATTCCCTCACTGTATTATTATTTTGCCCGAATGTCTTCTTCTTAGGAAAAATCTCTGATGGCCCTCTTTAACGTTGCAGCCCCTTCTGTTTTAGTCCATTTTGTGTTGCTATAACAGAATACTTGAGGCTGGGCAATTCATTTTTAAAAAGAGGTTTATTTACCTCAGGGTTCTGCATGCTGGGAAGTACAAGAGGCATGGTGCCAGCATCTGCTTGGCTTCTGGTCAAGGCCATGTGTCGGATCAGAACATAATGAAGAAAGGGCCGCCCTTTTCTTCATGCGTGCAGAGAGACCAACGAGGAGGAGCAACCTTGCTTTATAATAACCCAGTCTCTTGCGAATGAATCTATTCCAGAAAGAAAATTGAAATATTCCATTTCTGCAAGACCTAATCCAGTCCTGCCAGAGCAAGAACTCATTCACTACTGCTAGAAGGGCACAAAGCCATTCATGAAAGATCCACCCCCAATGAACCAAACACCTCCCAATGCGTCCCACCTCCCAACACCACTACATTGGGGATCAAATTTCAACAGGACTTTTAGTGGAAATACACATACCATATGCAAGAGCACACCTTCCATGCCCCATCGATCCAGGTATTCTCTATTTTCTTTCCTGTTTTATTTTTCATAGCATTTATCACTATCTGATATACCATATATTTAACTTATGCATTTGTTTGTTGTATACTTTTTTCCACTTGAAAAAATATTTTCCATCCATTTTTTGTGGTGTTCTATCCACAGAGTCTAGACTACAATGTCTGGTACATAGGAGACTCAACGAATATATAGTTAATTAATGAATGGGAGGAAACTGAGGCATGAAATGACTAAGTGAATTGAAAAACATTGAGAGAGAGAGAATTGCTTTTTTTTAAAAAAAAATCACGTTGAATTTTGGTATGATTTTATACTATAGAATTACTTTAAAATTTACTTCTGGGAAACTCACATATATGAATAATAAATTTCTCCATGTTGGCACAATGGTTCTAGAATTAGATACCATTTCTAAGTTGATTGACTTCAGCAAAGTGTTCTGAAAATTTCCCAAGTATGGTCACTGACTGGTGAATGAATTCTCCAGTGTCAAGGGGTTTGTGATCACTGATGAAAAAAGAACAGCCATTCTCCATCAGTCTCTGAAATAACTATATTTTTTCTTTCTTATTATTTCCATGTCAAAAAGCTGAAAGAATGCTCTGTGATAAAGAGATTGGTATGACATTTCAGCCCAATTTCTCCAAACAGGAGTGCTTGATGACGAGGCAAAAGATTTCCAGCCTTGTATCTCCCTGGGCATGGGGTGCTCTCCGGATGGGAAGTTGTAAACCTGGATCACACTGTTGTGGGAATGTTCCTAAACTACACATAGAGGTATAAAAACAAACACAAAAACAAAACACCCTTTTCACAAGATGGTGCTGAAGGCAAAGAAGAAAGCTCCTGCCCCTCCTAAAGCCAAAACCAAAGCGAAGGTTTTGAAGGCCAAGAAGGCAGTGTTGAAAGCTGTCCATAGCCACAAAAAAAGAAGATCTGCACGTCACCCATCTTCTGGTGGCCCAAGACCCTGAGACTCCGGAGGCAGCCCAAATATCCTTGGAGGAGTGGCCCCAGAAGAAACAAGCCTGACCACTGTGCTGTCATCACGTTTTCGCTGACTACTGGGTCTGCCACGAAGAAGACAGAAGACAACAACACATTTGTGTTCAATGTGGATGTTAAAGCCAACTAGCACCAGATCACACGGGCTGTGAAGAAGCTCTGTGACATTGATGTGCCCGAGGTCAACACCCTGATTAGGTTTGATGGAGAGAAGAAGACATATGTTCGACTGGCTCCTGATTACAATGCTTTGGATATTCCCAACAAAATTGTGATCATCTAAACTGAGTCCTGCTGGCTAATTATAAATATATCTATATATCTATAGATACATATCTTTTCACCAAAATCAACAACAGCAACAGCAATAAAAACTACTTCCAAGATCCACAGTGCTCTAAAAATGAGTGAGCAAATACTTAAAATGTGGTTTTAGAGTAGGAGGCTTAAGCCTGTACACAAATAAAAGAATAATTTTGACATATTCTTGTGATTACAGTGAACAGTTTTTTTTTTTTTTCTGACAATAAGTCTGCTCAGGTGTGCCATTTGTTCAATGTGTTGTAACACGCTGCGTAGGTCTCCAGACCATGTGGGTTTGCTTGGTAATTACCTTACTGAAAACCAGATCACTTATTGTTTGGAAGTCAGCTACCTGAGAGTGTGCCAAATAACTCTGAGACCACTGAGTACTGCCAAGAATACTTTCCTGATGGAGGCGCCTGCATTTTTCATGTCACATGTGCAGCAAGGGTGGGCAAACTGGTTCAGGGAAAAAAACTTCATTCCATCATACAGCAGGCCTCCCTGGATCCACCCCAATCCCTGTTAGGGAAACGCCAAACTGAGCATTTTCTCTGATGGGCTGGTGCTCAGGAGCCTTCATCCAAGAGAAACAAATAATCTGACATGTGTCCTCGTCCATCTCCTCTGCTTCTAAAGTACTACCATCATCATGACAACATGAAATGTGATATTAGAGAAAGCAGAGCTTTTTTGAAAACTTGAATACGAATATATATATATTTGACTTGTGGAAAAACTAGCCTTAAGAGATGCTTATTAGTTTTCCATGGAGAAGTACAGTTAAAAGTGAGGAGTTAGCTGCAGGGTGAAAATCTGCTTCAACCTTCTATTTGTTCATTAATCTCTCTAAACTCATTTTCTTCTTCCTAAAATGGGAATAAAATAGTAATTACATACATAAAATAGTAATAGTAATAAGAGAGTAAAAAAAGTTGTATTTAGGACTAAATGAGAAAGAATACAGGTAGTAGTATCTGACAAGGAACCACTCATTAGTTACAAATTCGCTAATGTTTATTGAGAGTTTATATTATCAACCAAGTTTAGAATTCCAACTATAGCTAGATTGGTGTTTCAGTTCACAGGACAACTTTTCTAATCTCCTAATCTCTCTAATACTCGGTTTCTTCATTTGCAATCCACTGCTGATAACAGTGCCTTGTGCACAGAGGTTAGTAAACATTAGTTAATACTATTATTATTATTCGAAGCTCTGAGGGTTAGGAGACAAAGAACATCCAATAGGTAAACAATTTTAAGTGTTTACCAAGTACTGGGGTAAGAGTGAGGAAAGTGGAAGAACTTAAAACACAAAAACTGTAATATTGTTGTTGAGGCAGACTTGTACATACTTGTACACTTCTGGGCCACAAGACTTTTTTTTGTTTGTTTTTTGTTTTTGTTAGGAAGATCATGGGGTTTGGAATTAGGAGACTTAAATTCAAGTTCAAGTCTGCCATTTATCAGGTGTCTCCTTGAATAATCCAGTAAAATCTGACCTTTAAGCTCCTTATCTGTTTGAAATAACAACAACAACAACGACAAACAGGTTCGTGGTAAGGAAAAAATGAGATGATGTGTGTAAATCCCTTTACTAAGGGGCCATAGACAGACTAGCTATTGTTATCAGGAGTTCTAAATGGAAATCTTTTGTAACAAGTGACTAATTCGGCATACAGTAGAAAGCATTCAGAGAGAGGGGAAATCACTATGGCTGGAATAATCTTAGGGACTCTTATGGAAGAAATGGACCTAAAGCTACACATCAAAGGAGGGATAAAGTTTAGAAAAAAACACAGGGGAGTAAATTTTCTACTGGGGAAAAGGGCCGGAGCAAAGGCATAGAAATGGAAACAGAAAGGCAAGGTACATGGAGAGCAACTCTGAGTAGACCAGTCCAGCTGGGATGTAGAATTCAAATAGGAGAGGTTCAGCAGCCATGGTTGCATAGTTTCCGTAAAGTGAGGTGGTCAGGAATGATTGATGTGAAGTCAGATGCTCCAGAACTTGGTTCTGGGCTTCGTTACTTGTAAGCTGTGTAATATTAAGCAAAGCAAATTTTCTTCATGGAAATGTGCCTATCTCTAAGGATTGTTGTAAATATTAAGTGGGTCAATACATATAAAGCCATATAGCCCTGTGCCTGGTATTAGCAATCACTTAGAAAATGCTAGATATTATCCAGTGGCATTTTATCATGTTTGCCCCTTTTCACATTGTTCTTTGTTAGTTTTTATCAGACAACCAAAACCAGGAAATTTTTACTCATGGCATAAATAACAATAATGGAAAACACAATTCCATCAGCCAAATAAATCAACCCCTCACTTTTTCAGATTCCCTTTTGACCACATAGATAGCAATTTGTTTTTCATAGTTTTAACCATAGTCTAGATAAAAGTTTGATAGTGAATGCTATTTATAATTTTTTTTTTTTTTAGTATTGTGTCTACTGGAATTTTGGTAACTTCAACACTTGAAGTTATCTTTAAAGCTTCAGATCACTTCTATCTTTTTTTTTTTTTTTTTTGAGATGGAGTCTCGCTCTGTCATCCAGGCTGGAGTGCAGTGGTGCAATCTCGACTCACTGCAACCTCCGCCTCCCAGGTTGAAGTGATTCTCCTGCCTCAGCCTCCGAAGTAGCTGGGACTACAGGCCTGTGCCACCACGCCTGGCTAATTTTTTGTGTTTTTAGTAGAGATGGGGTTTCACCATGTTAGCCAGGATGGTCTTGATCTCCTGACCTCATGATCCACCTGCCTCGGCCTCCCAAAGTGCTGGGATTACAGGTGTGAGCCACCATGACCAGCCTCACTTCTATTATTTTAAAGGAAGGTCTTATGAATTATGTATACTTTTTGCACATATTCATCTGTATTTCTCATTCAAATTTTTGGAAGTATTGTAGAATGGGAAAAGACCTAGAGCAGTGGTTCACAACAAAGATGATTTTACCCTCCAGAGATATTTGGCAATGGCTGGAGACATTTTTGGTTTCAAAGCTGGTGGGGGTGGGGGTGGGACATGGTGCTACTGGCATCTAGTGGGTAGAGGTCGTGGATGCTACTAAACATCCTACAATGAACAGGGAAATCTCTGCACTCCCAATAAATGATTATCTAGTCCAAAATATCAATAGTGTTGAGGTTGGAAAACTTACAGAATAATGTTCCTCATTCTCCTAAGAGTCCATGACATGGTCAAAGGTAGTCGAAATAGGTGAAACTCAGTCTTAGAAGATGTAACTTGGTAATATTTTCTCCTTTAGTCCTTCATGTCTGTGTCAACCCAGACTAAGCCTATTTTTACTGGCCACAGTACAACCTAAGCCATTGGAAAACCTTGTTTCACCATCAGCAGCCATAGTCAACCATGTTTCTGTTTAACTTGGTACAACTGAGTGGATCACCCGAGTGGTAGTACCAAGTTACTATTGCCACTTGATAGTAAGTTGCAGAATAAGAGATCAATTTAAACTTTCAATTAGATCCTATTCAACTGCACACAAATATCATCTACCAGACATCTACTTTCTCCTGGGTGCGGGGTGCTGTTTCAAGAGCTCATCTCATCACTAACATTTTTGGTGCCTTTTCTAATACTGTATTTCATCACATTTAAGAAGGCATAAATTCTGAGATACATCATTATTTCTTTTGCAGCATTGAGAGTGCTGAGAAACAGCCAAAAAGTTGCAAATTTTAATTGCAAGGTGCCATTTTTGGTAAGATAATTGCAAATTTCCGATGTATTACAATGTGAAAAAAAGCTTTTTCTAAAATTGATGAAGCATGGTCATTATTGTCGATGTTATTGAATCATGTTAAACTTATTTTCCTTTGAAAATGCCATATCTTTAAAATGTTTAGATTTTACTTTGAATAACTTCAGTACTTCAAAACCGTAGTGCTCTAAAATGTGACCATAGTAAACATGAGTAAAAATTGTGTTTGGTAATTATTGATTGCCATTGTGTAATATTCTGGGTAGAGATGCACATACTCAGCAGTTCTTGTATCTGAGAGAATACCATGCAAAGGAGAAAATATTTTGAAACCTGTGTAAAAATTATAGAATTCTATAATTTAGTGATGTGTGTGTGGATACACACAGAAATATCTACACACACATATATATACACACATATATATAGATATATGATTTTCTGTTTTTGTCCTTTTATGTATATTCTTCCATCAGAGTTAGGCTATGACTCTTCTCTCATTTGACTTTCAAAATTCTATTCAGCTATTTGGTGACAATTCCTCAATTTTCCATAATCATAGTTATCTGTTCCTAAAGGTTTGCTAACCTCTACTTAATCTGCCCTAAATCGAAGGCATGACTTATCTTGGCTACGGTGAGAAGCAGGGATCACTCCATCTAATTTACTTGTTCTTTGCAGCTATCAGAAAAGTCACAAAGGAGAGCCAGCAATATCAGGTGGGTAACAGGTAGTCATTGAAAACAAGGTCAAAGTCCACTGATGGGTGGCCCTGGCTGGCAGTAGAAAGGGAAGCTTGTGTTGCTTGTGATTCAGCCCTTGGTTAAATCTGGAAATCCGAAAACCATGATCATTATGAAACAGCAGTGTTCCTCAATGTGTCATTTAAGATGCTTATCAGAATCTAGACCCATCAGGCCCACAGCAATTGGCAGTTTATACATAGTAAGAGTTTAGTTTGGATGTCCATCTTTCAAACTAACCAGGGGAATGTTATTTTGAATAAGTTACCACCTGAATGAAAACATGCAAAACCTTTCTCTGCATAGCTATTTGCTATATTCAAGATTGCTTTCATCAAGTCTTCTCCTTAAAGTGAAGAAAAATACTTTCTATTATAAATTCAAGTGAAAGAGTAAGGTGAGAGTATAGCTTATACCCAGAATGGCTGTGCATCTTTTTTTCTTTTTTCTTTTCTTTTCTTTTTTTTTTTTTTGAGACAGAGTCTCGTTCTGTTGCCCAGGCTGGAGTACAGTGAGGTGATCTCTACTCACTGCAACCTCTGCCTCCCAGGTTCAAGTGATTCTTGTGCCTTAGAATCCCCCAGTAGCTAGGATTACAGGTGCACACTACCACGCCTGGCTAATTTTTGTATTTTTAGTAGAGACAGAGTTTCACCATGTTGGCCAGGTTGATCTCAAACTCCTGACCTCAAGTGATCTGCCCACCTCGGCCTCCCAAAATGTTGGGAGTACAGGCATGAGCCACCATGCCTGGCCCTATTTTTTTTTTTTTTTTTTTTGAGACTGAGTCTTGCTCTGTCGCCCAGTCTGCAGTGCAATGGCGTGAACTTGGCTCACTGCAACCTCTGCCTCCTGGGTTCAAGTGATTCTTGTGCTGCAGCCTCCTGAGTAGCTGGGATTACAGGGGTGTGCCAGCACACCCAGCTAATTTTTGTATTTTTAGTAGAGACAGGGTTTCACCATATTGGCCAGGCTGGTCTTGAACCTCTGACCTCAGATGATCCACCTGCCTCGGCTTCCCAAAGTGCTGAGATTACAGGAGTGAGCCACTACACCCGGCCAGCTGTGCATCTTTTTTATAGCTCCTTGGTCTTTTCCTCAGAAATTCAGTATATTCTCTCTGTACAAAGAATTGCGAAAAGATAGAAAATGAATAATTTAATATATTTACATCTAATTAAGGAAAAATGTATTTTGTGAATATCATGCAAATATATATTTGTAGCTGCTCAGCTTGAAATATGGAACCAGAAGATAAAAAACATTCGTAAGAAAAAGACCAAATCATGGTAAGACAGTTTAATAGAATGACTGAAAAATAAGCTTGTCTGAATTAATTACTGACTTAGCTAGGGATATAGAGCGTCGAGAGTGGCAAATTTCCAAATTGAGATGAGAACTTTAAAGTGTCAGCTGTAAAAAGAGCTTCTTTTTGACAAGGGCAAAATTAAGCCATAGTCAGCCCTCTTGTGGCAAATGTAGATACTGACAGAAATGATAATCTTAAAAAGTACTATATAAAGACAGACTTTTCATTGAGCAAGAATTATTCTTCTCTGACACCAAATTTAAGTGTGTTTACTTTTAAAAAATCATCATAGCTCTTTGAGATTGCAAAGCATGGTGTAAGTGCCTAGACTTTGGAGTCAAAAAACTTGTTGGCAAATCTCATCTTTGCCTCTTAACAGCTGCTGCCAGACCTCTTGGCCTAGGTTCTCAACTTGCAGAAACCTCTGTTTTCATAAGCATGTAATGAGGATGGGAGGCTTGTCTGATTAATCCAATAAGGTCATTTGCAGGGTCAAATGAAATAATGCACATGGAAACATTTTTCAACCGTAACATGCCACAACTGCAATGTATTATTCAAAGAGGCAGAGTGCTTAGTCATAAACACCTTGGAAACACTCCTAGACATTGAGCTGAAATGTAGAATATTTTACTACTCCTTTCTGATGTTAAAAGCTTTTCAATTCTTAAACATCTATATTTCAAAATGAACTCTTCTTTTCTTTGCAGTTTTTCCTCTAGTGTTTTATTTCTAACTTGTACCAGTTTCCTTTCACCTTTTTATTGGCTCTGAGAATAAATATTTATCTTTTACATTGTTAAAAAATTTTGCTGCTCCTCCTTCTGATGATATTGTTTCTATTCTCATCTTGTTTCAATCATTTATAGATTCTTTGGTCACCTTGTAACTGAGTGCTTCCTATGTGACAATTACTGTTTTATGTGCTGGGAATACAGTGGTATAAAAAGTGTTCCTCCTCCCCCCATGGATCTTATGAAAAATAAATAAGTTACATGTTACCTATATTAAGCATTACATATATACATAGGTAATGTTAAATGCTATGAAGAAAGAGAAAGCAGCGGCTCGAAAGCAAAAGGTAGAATGAAAGAAAAATCATTGCAGACTGAAGAAAGAGCAAGTGCCAATGTCCTGAGGCAGAAACAGCAAGGAGGCCAGGGTGATTGGAGTGAGCATTAGAGAGATGACATGATGCTGAGGAAAGACTGGCCATTGCAGGTCATGAATAACTTTGCTGGCCGTTGAAAGGGGTGTGGGTTTTATTCTAAGTGTGATGGAAGCTGCTGGGGAATTGAGAGCAGGATGATGATCTAAACCCACTCATATCTCCCCAGATCCCACAGCTGCTGTACAGAGGATTGACAACTGGGAGCCAGCTGTGAGGAGGCTTTTGCTGTGCTCCCTGAGAGGTGATGGCTGCTTGGACCGGATGGTAGTGGAGGTGATACGCAGAGGTCAGATTCAAGACACATTTTGGAAGATTATGGGGAGTGAGTAGCAAAGAGAGACTTCCAAGACAATCTTGAGATTTTGACCTGTGAAACTTTGTGAACTGTGGTGTAATTTACAGCTGGAGGAGACTGAAGAAAAAATAGATTTGTGTGTGTGTGTGTGTGTGTGTGTGTGTGTGTGGTAGTGGTGGTGAAAAGGAACTCAATAGTTTTGTTGTAGATGTGTCAAGTTTGAGGTGTTGCATAGACAGATGGTTGAATCTGAAGTTTGGGGGAGTGTGGGATAGAGATATAAAATTGAGATTCTGCAGTTTATGGATAGTATTTGATCCCATAACACTGGGAAATGAGTCTTGATAAAAACCAAAAGTTCTCAGGATAGAGACCTACAGCACTTAAACATGTAGAGGTTGAGAAGAGCAAGAACTAGCCAAGGAGGGTAAGAAGGAAGATCTGGAAGGTGGGTGAAACATCAGAAAAGAGCAGTACTTGGAAACCAAGTGAAGAAGGGTTTCAAAGTAAGCGAGTGTCAGACTTTCAAGAAAGGAGGAATAAACTGAGAATGAGAGTGGACCATTGGAAGATGCAAGAGGAGGTCATGGCAATGATACTGGATACCCCTATGCACCACTTCAGAATCCTCTCTGTCCCATCAATGCCCACTCCAGCTTCAACCATCATCTCCCACATGCAATCAGATGGTGCCTTGCCTCTGGTCCATCTTGTGTGCCTCTGTCTTCTGCCCTGATGAGTCTTCCCTGGGAACTTGCTCTGCACGTGCACAGATACAGCCTGCAGGTGCAGGAAATTTACTGTGGCCAGGGCCACCCTTAACCAGCGGGGAGCAGGAGCCTGTGGATGAATGCTTCCCACTCTTATTCCCTCGCAAACAGTTCTGAGATGCATCTTTTAAGTCTCCTCAGAAGGTGTCAGAGGGACTGAGCACCAGTCACCTCTAATGGCAGCCAAACTAATATATCATTCTATTTTCTTCCCTCTTTCTCTGTTCACACCTACCATCCTTTACTCTTGTTCACATTCCAATATATACTTCTTCAAGCCAGTCTTTCTTTTCTTGCCAGAAGGTTACACTTGGCCTTCTTAATGATATGGCCCTGTTACTCTCATTCCTTCCAGGCCAATCTGGGTCATGTCTGAACACAGTCCAACTGGGCTGCAGAGCATCTGTGTCTGGTGCACACCGAATAAGTTGTTAATATGTATTGGTAGGAATTCGGGGAACATGTGTAGAGGTGGTTCTTCAGCATATCAGGCCATCTGGCAGGGTGGCTGAATGATGGAATGGGATGGTAAAGTGAAATATCAAGTGGTATAGGAAAATACTTTTTAATGTGAGAGCACTTTCTTTTGACTTGGAGTTCAACATTCTAGCCAGAGGAGATGGTGGTAATTCTAGAACACTGCTGGGATAGCTCCACAAAGTTTGATTGAAATGACGGCCTTCAATGAGTTAGCTGGAGCTGCCAGAACTGTTATGGCATGGTATTGAGGATGGGATTAGAGGGCTTAGGGAAGAGAGAATGTTGGGATGGTTTTATCATGTGAGCTCAAGAACCCAGGAGGGCACAGAGGACATTTCCTTCAACAAAGGGTGAGGGGCAGCACTGACATGTTGAGAAGCTCAGAAAGCTGTTGTCCTCTGCAGAGCAGGACTGACAGTGAGAGGTGGTGTCACTGGCCCGGGATCTCCAGCAGAATTAGGAATGATGGGATTCTGGGGTTGTGGGGGTGAGAGGCAACTCGGACATAAGTACTACAATGGGTGGCAAGCCTGGAGGGTGGTCATGGGGCCTTGACCTTAGGGCTTTGTGGAGATGGCTTCTAATCATGGTTTCTGAAGGGGATCCAAATGGATAGCTTATTGGGCTGCTAATTAATGTAGTGAGAAAACCTGTGAGTTAGTAAGACAGTAAGTCTGTCAGCTGCTTCAATGGAGCTTCGTTCCAGACCCATTCTGGAAAAAGATAGCCTTTATTTTATCAAACTGTAAATGATTCCTTGGCACCGTGAGGTAGGTACTGTGAACTGTGCTCCTGGTTTACTACACTTACATACTTTGTCTCACAAGTCACTTAACTCTTCCATCTCACAACGTCCTCTGCATTTTGGTTACACACCAGTAATCATTAGCTCCTAGAAAGAGAATGGGCCAGGTGCAGTGGCTCACGCCTGTAATTCCAGCACTTTGGGAGGCCAAGGTGGGCGGATCACCTGAGGTCAGGAGTTAGAGACCAGCCTGGCCAACATGGTGAAACCCCGTCTCTACAAAAATATAAAAATTAGCCGAGGCCGGGCGCGGTGGGTCACGCCTGTAATCCCAGCACTTTGGAAGGCTGAGGCGGGTGGATCACGAGCTCAGGAGATCGAGACCATCCTGGCTAACACAGTGAAACCCCGTCTGCACTAAAAATACAAAAAAATTAGCTGGGCATGGTGGTGGGCGCCTGTAGTCCCAGCTACACGGGAGGCTGAGGCAGGAGAATGGCATGAACCCAAGAGGCAGAGCTTGCAGTGAGCGGAGATCGCGCCACTGCACTCCAACCTGGGCGATAGAGTGAGACTCCGTCTCAAAAAAAAAAAAAAAAAAAAAAAAAATTAGCCGAGCATGATTGCAGGTGCCTGTAATCCCAGCTACTTGGGAGGCTGAGGCAGGAGAATCGCTTGAAATCGGGAGGCAGAGGTTGCAATGAGCCTAGAGCATGCCATTGTACACCAGGCTGGGCAACAGGGTGAGACTCTGTCTCAAAAATATAAAAATAAAATAAAATAAACAAGGAAAAGAAAAAGAAAAAGAGAATGAAGACTACCCTCATTGGGCCTCTTCCTTGCTGTTCAGCTCAAAAATCTAAGACAAAATACACTGGAAGAAAGAGCAGGCGTCATTACTTCTTGCTGCCAGGTGACTCTGCGCAGGTGTTGCTTTCCTGAAGCCTTTGGTTTCATAATGCTTTGTCACACCCAGCATTATGTGAGGGTGTGACAGGCAGGGCCTGGGTAAGGAGAATTCTGTACTGTGTGTTCCTTGTTTGTTTTCTCTGAGTATCCACATCTTGAGTTCAGTCCTCAAGTGGGCCTCAGGTACCACTGCTTAATAATACCGCAAGGTGTTCTGTAGAGAGGGATTAGTTAGGCCAAACAGAAACCACTCCATGGAATGAGTTTCCATACATAATTTGTACCAGCATAATTTATATATGCTATATTCAGATATCCTTCAAATGTATATTTTAAGTATATATTAAACTATATAAAATATAAATATATATCATATATTTATTTGCTATTTGTGTATGACACATGATACAATGCATACTGCAAAACAGGGGTGATACTCGTGTTAACTCTCCACAAAGTACTGATGAATCTTTAAGCCTGGAGGAGCTAAAAGGTGAGTGTGTCTCTGTTCTGTGTCTATTCAGATCATTTCCTTCTGCTTGTCTTTTAATCTGCTTTGGTGTCACTCTCTGATTTGTACTGCAGCGTGACTCATGCAGATAATTTAGCCTCTTGATATTACTCAAAGTTTACACTATAAGGTACAGATTTCAGCACTGTTCTTTTCCCATGGGCTTCTGTGTAGGTCATTGCAACACTGAAATACCAAAAGGTGTGGGTGTCCTTCAATGCATTCTGAAAAATTATCCCAGTTGTTGCATTCTCAAAACAGCCCAAAAATGGCCTCTCTCCACTCTGCCTGCAAAGACAAAAAGGTGCCCTAAACCCTCTTTGCCAGAGCAGGCAGTTGCTTCACTTGGTATAGACTGGTTGCTGGCTGAGAAAGTCAGGCTCCCTACGGTGAAGGAGAGACAGAGAGCTGGCATGCATTGAGGGCTTACGATGTACCAGGCCCTGGGCTCAGGGTTGTCAAAATGCTGCCTCCTTGTACTACAGTCTCTTTCTGTAATGCCATGCGTGCTCCTCCATAACCTCCAACCTAAATTGTGGCTTAAGCATTTTAGTTGTTGCGTTTCTTGGGTTTCACTGTGAACTTTGCTGTGTGTAAATTATAGTGTGTGTGTTTTCCCGATGTTTCCTAGAGAGAAGTTACAGTAGCCCAATGCAGTGCATTTTAGCATTCTAAGAAAGCAAATGCCATGCACTTTGTGTTCATTTTAACTCTGAGCTCTGAGGCTGACTGCTCATTTTTTGGAGACCCTGGGTATCTTCTGAGTGTTGGGATGGGGCACTAGAATCTGTCTTGCGTTTCTCTTCCACCATCCCACTTTGGCCAAGGCCCTTCCACATGTATTTTTTCTTTATATCTGCTAATGCTTGAAAGCTTCAAGCCCTCTCCCCAACTTCACGTGGGGACCCCTATACTTCCCTGTAATTTAATGTCTCATTCTCAGTGCCAAGAGCTTAGGGCAATCTTTTCTTCATTATGGGGATATTTTGTAGGTTCTTGTCTTTGCATTAGAGGAATCTGCCACCATCTCTGTCCTGCTTGTGCTCAGTGTTAGATTGCCTTCTAAACATCCAGGGGGAGGAGGGGCTAGGTGACACACAGGGGCCAGAGAGTGGCCCGGAACTAAAGAATAAAGTTCTTACATGTCTTCTGCCCTGGAAGAAAGTAGGTAAGTTACATTTGACTCAGCAACCCCATTACTGGGTATATACCCAAAGGATTATAAATCATTCAACTATAAAGACACATGCACGCATATGTTTATTGTGGCACTGTTCACAATAGCAAAGACTTGGAACCAATCCAAATGCCCATCAATGATAGACTGGATAAAGAAAGTGTGGCACATATACATCATGGAATACTCTGCAGCCACAAAAAAGAATGAGTTCATATCCTTTGCAGGGACATGGATGAAGCTGGAAACCATCATTCTCAGTAAACTAACACAGGAACAGAAAACCAAACACCATATGTTCTCACTCATAAGTGGGAGTTGAACAATGAGAACACATGGACACAGGGAGGGGAACATCACACACCCCCACAGGTCGGGGGTGGGGGAGCTAGGAGAGGAATAGCATTAGGAGAAATACCTAATTTATGATGGGTTGGTGGGTGCAGCAAACCACCATGGCACGTGTATACCTATGTAACCAACCTGCACGTTCTGCACATGTAACCCAGAACTTAAAGTATAATTTAAAAAAAAAGAAAAAAGAAAAGGAAAGTAGGTAAGTGTGGTAAGTTACTACCTATAGGTTATAGGCAAGTTCCTTTTGTTGATTTTTAGTTAAGTTGCTTCAGCAGGTGCTGTAAGTGACTGTGTGTGTGTGTTTGTGTGAAAGAGATTTTAAATAGAAAAATATAAACAGACTGGAAAAGAAACAATGAAAAATAGTAAAGGAAAGCAATAATATTCTATCCTGGGACCTCCAAAAAGTTTGAGGCCCCAGGATAGAATATTCTTGCTTTCTTTTACTATTTTATTTTAAGTTTTACTTTTATTCATTCTGTGGCCGTCTCTTGGGATTTTCCCCCATTTAAATATGTCTGGTCTGAGGCGGGCGGATCACGAGGTCAGGAGATCGAGACCACGGTGAAACCCCGTCTCTACTAAAAATACAAAAAATTAGCTGGGCGCGGTGGCGGGCGCCTGGAGTCCCAGCTACTCAGGAGGCTGAGGCCAGAGAATGGCGTGAACCCGGGAGGCAGAGCTTGCAGTGAATCGAGATCGCAACACTGCACTCCAGCCTGGGGCGACAGAGGGAGACTCCGTCTCAAAAAAAAAAAAAAAAAAAGTCTGGCTTGCCTTGTCTGAAAATTCCTAGACATGGGGGCATTTTGGGACTGTAGGATAGCCAGATTTCTCCATGGCTTTGAGGGTAGTGATGCTGGTGTGAAGAGAAATGTCAACATAAAACAACAGCAACAACAAGAACTAAAGAAACAACAACTAAAGAATTGGAAGACAAAAGTGAAAGGGCCTGAGTGCAAGACAGTAATATTTGTGTGAGATGATTTCTTTCTCCTCCGGAAGCTACATGTGCTGGGGGAGACAGGTTTCCTTTCTCAGGCTTTCTCACCTGGCCTCCACCTATGAGAGAGTTGGGTGACAGATGAGATCCAGGAGCACTGATTCTTCTCCAGCCAGGAAAGAAGCCAGAGCATTGGCCTGGGAAGTCACTTTGGCTACCAGTGCTGCCCAAGAGGACTTAATTTAGTTCAATCAAAATATATGAAGACACCATTGTGTGCCAGATCCTGTGCTAGGCTCTGGCTTCCTAAGCGATAGACAGGAAATAATCGGCAGGATTTGGACCTCCACTGGGACTGGTAAATTGGAGCAAGGGTTGGGTGGAGGATGATAGCTAGGTATCTGGCTTGGGCAATTAGGAGGAAGGTGATGATATTAGCGAACAGACTCTCAGAGGAGCAGGTTTAAGCAAGGTGGGGCAGAGAGAGGGCGGAAAATGATACGTTTGGTTTGGTAGGTGTTGAGTGGGGCCTACCATTTAGGCATTCAAGTGGAGATTCCAGAAAGGGGTGGATATATAGGTCAAAGGTTCAATAAATACATGAACAAATAAATGAATACATAAATACATAGAGAGTAAATGATTTTCTTTTTCAATTTCAGAATTAGAAACCTCCATCTAGAAGTCACAAGTGTAAGTAGAGGCGGTTATTAAACGTTGCTCTAATTTTTGGTTTCCTAATCTGGAGAAAGAGAATAAATACCTGCCCTGAAAACCCATGGGATTATTGTAATCATCAGATGAGACAATTTATATAAGTGTGTTTTTAACATGCAAAGGGATGCAATTATAAGACCATAGTATTATTGATTGATCTCTGTGTGTGTAATATGACCCTTAGCAGTGTGGGATGCAAAAGGCTAGAAAATGCAACTCTTTTCTCAAGGAGTTTGCAATCAGTAAAGGCTGTGGAAAGATTATCTATCCTTTTAAAACAAAAAGGAAGGTGAAATTTTTGGGAACTCTCCTAAGACTTGGGTGGAAGAGAAGGGTACAACATGGGAAAAAATTCATGGTGGGAAAATTGTAAAGCATTTAAGCTCTTCATCATTAAAAGATTCTCACCAGGATTGTAGGACTGTTGCAAGAAGACTGTCTAATCTAAGAAACACATTTTTATTTCAGGCTGTCTTTTATTGTACAGGCAATTCATAGGATGCCTCTTCTATTTGGAAAATGGGTACTTGTCAAAAACTCTGAAACACCCTGTCAGTACCTTCACAGGGCGTGATAGTATCTGCTGGCAAAACATAACAGCTACAGCCAGGGATGGCTGCATAATTTGTGCGGTCAGTGCAAAATGAAAACGCAGGCCTCCTGTTCACAAATTAACAAAAATTTCAAGATGGCGGCAGCAGGTTACTAAACTAAGTGCAGGGCCTTCTAAGCCGGGGGCCTGGGCAAGTGCTGATGTCACCTACGATGCTAACTCTACCTGCAACCTCTCCAGAATCTGCCACAGGACATCATCTGGGTCACCATTTAAATCAGGTAGAGCTTGATGAGCATTCAGTGAACACTTGTTGAATCACAGCACTGAGCATCTATCCTGTGCTAGGCCAGTCTAGAAGTGAGCACAGAGATTAAGAGGATAGGTAAAGCCCTCTTCCCTTGAGGAACACTGTTGCTTGCTTAGTGAAAAATAACATATGTTTTATTTTTTGAAGGTTCAGTTTAAATACTACCTCCCAAATGTCTCCATTAGTTTTCGCTTTCTTCTGTGTTCCACAGTGTTCTGTACTTTGACTGTGTTCTTTCTTAGAGAAAATGGCTGACCAAAGGTAGCCTTGAACCCAAGTCTTCTTGTTCAGTGGTTGTGTAATCAGGTGATGGGTTATTCCTGTGTGCTGCACAGACAAAACCAGTTCACTGAGACTGTGATCTTGCAGTAAAGCAAGAGTTGAATTAACGGGAGTCTGCCCATGTGGAAGACAGTTATTACCCAAATCAGTCTCCCGAAGGCTCAGAGGTTAGGGTTTTTCAAGGATAGTTTGGTGGGCAGGGGACTAGGTAATGGGTGCTGCTGATTGGTTGAGAATCATACGAGTGTGGGAAACGGTCCTTATACACTAAGTCCACCTTTGTGTGGTGGGGGGTGCACAGGACTGGTTAAGTCGTGAGTCACAAGTCTAGGTGGGGTCAGTCTGAAAAACATCTGAAAAGGCCAATCTTATGTTCTGTAATAGTGATGTTATTTATATGAACAACTGAGAAAGTCACAAATCTTGTGACCTCTGGCCATGTGACTCCTCTACAGTAAGGGATTATAGAAATTAAGCCTACAGTGTAGCAGAATTCAGGCCCCTACCAGAATCCTAATCTTGTGGCTCTTCATTAGTCTTACAAAGGTGTTTTCAGCCACTGAACAAGGAGGAGTTAGTTTTAGGGTGAGACTATTATCATCCTTGCTTTAAAGTTAGACTATAAATTCCTCCCCTGAGTAGCTTGGCCTATGCCCAGGGATAAGTGAGGGCAGCCAGCCTGTGAGGCTAGAAGCGAGATGGAGTGAGCCCAGGCCAGACTTATCTCACTGTCATAATCTTTGCGAAGTCAGTTTTAGTCAGGGGCAGTCGTTCCATTAGCAAGACTTCCTACAGTACCACATTAAAATGGGGTCACAGTACTGATCCCCAGGGAGCAGCCAGGTGGTGCCCATAGCAGCTGAGGCCTCCTAGCTGGTCTCCCGGCTGTGAACACTGTGTGTTCTGTGCAAAGCACTGGAACAGAGTACGTCGGAAAAATGTCAGGAAGCCCCATGTATCAGCACAGTTCCTCTTAGACACCAAGGTTGTTTAACTACTGGATATCCACTTATACCCTTCCTCCTGGGTTTTCATGTAAATTCCAGGTATTGTCCTCTTCTTGACTTTTTATTTATTTATTTATTTATTTAGTTAGTTAGTTAGTCGGTTAGAGACAGGGTCTTGCTGTGTTGCCTAGGCTGGAGTGTAGTGGCGCGATCATGGCTCACTGCAGCCCCAACCTCCTGGGCCCAAGCGATCCTCCCACCTTAGCCTCCCAAGTAGCTGGGACCACAGGCATGCACCACCACACCTGGCTATTTTTTTTTTTTACTTTTGTAGCGAGGAAATATCCTTATGTTGCCCAGACTGGTCTCGAACTCCTGGGGTCAAGCACTCCTCCTGCCTTGGCCTCCCAAGTGTTGGGATTATTGGTGTGAGCCACCATGCCCTGCCTCTTGACCTTTTATTATGGTATTTTTTGTCTGCAACAAGGCCAGGACTCAGGAGTGTTAGGACATGCCTGAAGAAGAGGATGGTGGCAAGGCCACAGGTCTCTCTAGGCTTAAGCTTCCTTTCTCCTCCTCAAGCATCTGGAAGATGTAATTCTGCCCTGCATGCCTACTGCACTTATTTCCTCTCTCTTCCTCCGTTTGCACCCCCTCTACCTGCATGACATTGCTTAGCCTCTACTGTGCACTTTTTTATTATTTTATTTTATTTTATTTTTTTGAGATAGAGTCTCGCTCTGTTACCCAGGCTGGAGTGCAGTGGTGCAATCTTGGCTCACTGAAACCTCTGCCTCCCGGGTTCAAGTGATTCTCCTGCCTCAGCCTCCCTAGTAGCTGGGATTACAAGTGTGCGCCACCACACCCGGCTAATTTTTGTATTTTTAGTAGAGACAGGGTTTCACCATGTTGGTCAGGCTGGTCTCGAATTCCTGACCTTGTGATCTGCCTGCGGCAGCCTCCCAAACTGCTAGGATTACAGGCATGAGCCACCACACCCGGCCTACATTGCTTTTATCCCTAACATACCTCCTGTCTTAGGCTGGGGTTTGTTCTTGAGCCATTTGTCTATTTTGAGAGAATTTATAAGCCACTGGCCCCCAAATCTGCTGTTGAATTTATTGTTAGGGGTGGCGTTGCCCACAAGTTGAGAATAGAGGGAAAAAATTTATCAGAGGCTAGCTGAGACAAAAATGCCTCTCTTAAAGAGCTAGCTGATCTGCTTTGTAATCTGATGTAAATTGTGCGACATACCTTGTTTCTCCTTTTTGAATGGATTTCTGAGAACTGAACCCATTCTGGATTTTTAAAACCTGCCTGGATTTTCAAAGATCAAGGTGCTGTAGAAATATTTTGGCAGAACTCTACCAAATGTATTATTGCATGTTATTGAAATACCATTATTTCCCTTATCTTAATTTCCTTTTCTCTCCTTCCCTCTGGTTTTCTATTTTTATATTGACATTCTATTTTATAATATCATTTGCTGCTGCAAATTTCTTTTTAGAATGAGGCGATAAATAAATACATACACAAATACATAATCAAATAAGTAGAAAGTAAATAAATTTCTAACCTGTCCTCAGAAACCTCTGTTTTTCTTTTTTTTTTTTTTTAAAGACAGGGTCCACTCTGTCACCCAGGATAGAGTGCAGTGACACAATCATGGCTCACTGCAGCCTCAAATTCCTGGGCTCAAGCAATCCTCCCACTTCAGCCTCCTGAGTAGGTGGGACCACAGGTATGTCACCACACCTGGCTAATTTTTTAACGTTTTGTAGAGACAGGGTCTCATTATATTGCCCAGGCTGTTCTCAGACTCCTGGGCTCAAGTGGTCCTCCCCGCTCAGCCTCCAAAATTGCTGGGATTGCAGGAGTAAGCCACTGCACTGAGCCACTTGTCTGTTCTTTTTTTTTTTTTTCCCTCACTTCCTTTCCCACGTACCTGTCCACAAACCCTCTACAAAGAGGGGAAACAAAACACAATGCCTAATATGCCCCTGAGTATTTGCAGAAGAGAAACAGAGGAACACGTTATTAAATCATTCGATCTCACCTGTCGTTTTTCAGCTGTTATTGGTGGCTTGAGAAGGCACATGTGCATTCCCTTTTCATCAGGGGAATTTAAAGTCCATGAAGCGGGAGACTGTCTTTTCTTTAATCAGCTTCAGGCACCTGCTACACTTTGGGTCACATGCGGAATGTGCTGATGAGGAGGAGAATGGGGACTTCTGTGGGAAGCTGTGGAAATTTCCGACAACTTTAATAGCAGGATCAATACCTCGGCAACTGGGAGCAAGAGAAGGAACCAGAAGAACCTGGAGAATCATTTCCGCCTCCTGATTTGTGAGCTAACAGAGGGCTGGAGGTGGATTCAAGCTCAACCATAGATAGATGTTCTCCCGCCTGGTATTTTCTATATATTTAAATCTTCCTGCTAACACAAAGTACAGTGCAGATGCCTTTCACTTTGTGTGACAGCTCTGTTTCTGGGCATTTCTATGTAAATTGAGCCCTTGTACTGTAAATGGGCTCATTTAACATACAGCTGGGCAGCTCTCAGTTCAAAGGAACCCTGGAGCGAATCCTTTTGAAAGCAAGGGACCTTCTGTGACTTAGGTAATCACATTCTAATTTATATTTTCTCTTAATTTGGATTGTAACTTAAAGAGCTTCTTTATAAATCTTTACTTAATGTAAGTAAATAAATTAGTGCATATCCTATAATATTTTTTCCAGGGGCAAAATAATCAAATGTGTCATACTTGCAATATTTTAAGTCAATGATTTAATCATAGCCTTAGGAGAGTACAGATGTCATGGAAAGTTTCTGCTCATTAGCTCTTCTTACAAAGTGGGGATAGCCAGAGTCTAGTTTGTTCATCTGAGAATGTCGAGCTGGGCTGTTGCCCTGGGATGTCCTGAGTTTTTTCATGAAAAGCTACAGTTCTTCAAGTCTGGCTCATTGCATATGCCACAGACCTTGGGTCTTCAATGAGCCAAACTTTAAGAAAGAAGAAATTAGTTCAAATCATAACTAGATTCGGTTGCTTGCCTTAAACCGGTTTGACCTTGAGCGAGTCTCTTGAAACCACTGAGCTTCAATTTTCTCAGCTTCTCAGCTTGAAAATGGACTAAAATATTACATATGGTCTCTGAGAGAATGTGGAGAGACAATATTCATAACACACTTTATAAAGTGCAAGGTATAAAACGTATTAGTAATTGATAGAGGACAGGGGTTTTTGTTTTCTGTTTTCCTTTCATTTTGCTTTAAACTGTCCTCTGCTTTGTAAATAAGCTCTCTCCTGGAGTCCGCTAATTCTGATTGTTTTAACTGAACCTACTTGATTGTCTTTAAGATTTCCTGGAGATTAACAACCTTCCTTAGAAAAATGCGTCCCTTTGAAAGGACACAGGTTAGGAAGATTTCTAGAGAAGGGAAAGTTCGCCCTCTAGTGTGGCCCAGGAGAAACATAGTATAGGAATTTATAAAGTAGGTCAAAAATGTGCTTTCAAAAGAAGCTGCTATTACTTTATTATCTTCCTCACAAATTTTGGATGGAACCCCCCCATTTCTTCAGCAATTTAGCTTGACAACTAGATATTTACTCTATAGATCTTCAAAGGAAATGTTTACATCTTATAATACCGTATATTCCTCTGACCCTTTGAAAGCCATTGAAGACAAGTAAAATTTTCAGAGTTAGTTCCATTTATTCTTACCGGGTGGTATTTGTATAGTCATAGTTGTAATGTACATGCTCAGTAGAATCTTGCCTTTATTTATTTTGCTTGATTTAATTTCAAATTAAATGACCTCAATCAAGATTATAAACTAAGCAGCTGATGCTGTAAATTGTAGACTCTGCTCCTGGCAAGTAGAGAATGGGCAGAGAAATGAATACTGTCTAATAATTTCAAAATGATAGTAGGCATTTCATCACACCAGCAAACAATACACTAATACACAAGATTTTTTTTTTCTCATGGAATTACTGGTTGTTTATATTGTTTTAAATTGACAAGGGCACATCTTACCAAGCTTCGAGCTTTAAGCCAGCAATTTTTATTCTATTTTGGGACACCTTGATAAAGAAATGTAGCAAGTGTAACTTCCACAAGCCACTCAGTTATAGGTTCCAATAATTCACGATCTTTATTTTCCTATTATGTGATGTAACTCATATCTTGATTCTTATTTCTGCCTCTTAGCAAAAAACTTAACCAAGTTATTTTCAGGCCTACTGGTGTACTGGAGCCAGCTCGTGTCAGCATGCAAGAGCTAATTGTTAAATTTTCAGAGAATTTTCATGCCAGTTATTATTACTTTGTGAAATAATACATAATTCTCAGAGACATTTGGAAAATGTAGAAAAGTTTTAAAGAAAACAAAATTATTCACATCTCCACCACTCAGAGACAACTACAGTTAATATTTTATTGTGCATTTTCTCTATTTTTTGTGTACTATATATAGTTTTCTTTCGAAAATTTATTTCTTTTTCTATTTTGCAGTGAGCTTTTCTCTGTCATTAAATAGGCTTTCATAATGAGGGTTTTTTTTTTTAATTATTTCAACTTTTCTTTTAGATTCAGGAGGTACATGTGCAGGTTTGCTACATGGAAACATTGTGTGATGCTGAGGTTTGAGGTATGGATGAACCCATCACCCAGGCAGCAAGCACAGTAACTAATAAGAGTTTTTCAGCCCTTGTCCCACTCCCTTCTTCCCCTCTGGTGGTCTCCAGTACCCATTGTTCCCTCTTTATGCTGATGTATGCTCAATGTTTAGCTCCCATTTATAGGTAAGAACATGGCAGTATTTATTTTTCTGTTCCCGTGTTAATTCGCTTAGGATAATGAACCCCAGCTGCATCCACATTGCTGCAAAAGACATGATTTCATTCTTTTTCATGACTGCATAGTATCCTATGGTATTTATGTACCACATTTTCTTTATCTAATCCACTGTTCACGGGCATCTCAGTTGATTCCCTGTCTTTGCTATTGTGAATACTGTTGTGATGAACATGAGTTCATGTATCTTTTTGGTAGAATGATTTATTTTCCTTTGAATATATACCCAGGAATGAGATTGCTGGGTCATAGTTCTGTTTTAACCCATTTAGGCCTGAGGTTGCAATTTTTTGAATTTTTGTAATGAGACCTTGGAGGTGACCTTGAGCAGTAGGATATAAATAACTCCCACGTGCTTAGTGTTCCAATAATGGAACACTAGGCATATTAAGTTCTTTGAGAAATCTCCACACTGCTTTCCAGAGTGTCTGAACTAATTTACACTTTCACCAACAGTATAAAAGCATTCTCTTGTCTTCGTAGACATGCCAGCATCTGTTATCTTTTGACTTTTTTTTTTTGAGACAAAGTCTCACTCTTGTTGCCCAGGCCGGAGTTCAATGGCACGATCTTGGCTCACCGCAACCTCCGTCTCCCGGGTTCAAGCGATTCTGCTGCCTCAGCCTCCTGAATAGCTGGGATTATAGGCACCTGCCACCACACCCACTAATTTGTTGTATTTTTAGTACAGACAGGGTTTCCCCATGTTGGCTGGGCTAGTCTCGAACTCCTGACCTCAGGTGATCCACCCGCCTTGGCCTCCCAAAGTGTTGTGGGATTATAGGTGCAAGCCACTGCACCTGGCCATCATTTGACTTTTTAATGATAAGCTGTTCTGTCTGGTGTGAGATGGTGTCTCACTGTGGTTTTGATTTGCATTTCTCTGATGATTAGTGATGATGAGCATTTTTTCGTAAGTTTCTTGGACACTTGCATGTCTTCTTTTGAGAAGTGTCTATCCTTTGCCCATGTTTTAATGGGGTTATTTGCTTTTGCTTGTTGATTTGTTTAAGTTCCCTATAGGTTCTGAATATTAGGTCTTTGTTGGATGCATAGTTTGTGAATATTTTCTTCTATTCTGTAGGTTGCTTGTTTACTCTGCTGATATTATCTTTTGTTGTGCAGAAACTCTTTAGTTTAATTAGGCCCCGTTTGTCAATTTTTTGTTTTTGTTGCCATTGCTTTTGAGGACTTAGCCATAAATTATTTGCCAAGGCCAGTGTTGAGAAGGGTATTTCCTAGATTTTCTTCTAGGATTTTTATAGCTTGAGGTCTTATACTTAAATCTTTCATTCATCTTGACTTAATTTATATATGATGAAAAGTAGAGATCCAGGTTCCCTCTTCCACATATGGCTAGCCCAGTTATTCCAGCACAACTATTCTAATAAGGAGTCCTTTTCCCATTGTTTATTTTTGTCAACTTTGTTGCAGATCAGATGGTTGTAGGTGTGTGGTTTTGTTTTTGAGTTCTCCATTCTACACCATTGATCTATGTGTCTGTTCTTGTACCAGTACCATGATGTTTTGGCTACTGTAGCCTTATAGTATAGTTTGAAGTTGGGTAATGTGATGCCTCAGGCTCTATTCTCTTGGCTTGGTTGCTTTGGATCTTCAGGCTCTTTTGTGCTTCCATATAAATTTTAGAATAGTTTTCTGTAATTCTGTGAAGAATGATGTTGGTACTTTGGTAGGTATAAGATTGAGTCTGTAGATTACTTTGGGTAGTATGGTCATTTTAACAATATTAATTCTTCTGATCTATGAGCATGGAGTGTTTTTCCATTTGTTTGTGTCATCTAGAATTTTTTTCGGCAATGTTTTGTAGTTTTCCTTATAAAGATCTTTCACCTCCTTGGTTAGAGGTATTCCTATGTATTTTATTTATTTATTTTTATATGGATGCCAGTTGTTAAGAACTCATTATTAAAAATTAAATTGTATAAACTTACAGCTAAATAAAGTATAGTAAAATTAAGGATTATAAGACTCATCTTTCCTAATTGGTTTTGGTGGGCACTGTAATGTAATACCAAGGTCTTCATACTCCCTGCCAATTCCCATAGGTCCAGGCCCACATTTCCCTTTTTGGCGCTGAACTTTTAGTCTTGGTCCTTCCAGGTCTCCCTCCAGCACGCCAGACCATTCACCACTGCCTATGAGTCAAGCCCTTTCTCTTTCCCCACAAAGTGGATGATCAAGTGTCATACCTAACCCACTGCCTACAAGGAGGATTTTCTCCCACCTTTTTTTTTTTTTGAGACAGAGTCTCACTCTGTTGGGCAGGCTGGAGTGCAGTGGCATGATCTTGGCTCACTGTAACTTCCACCTCTTAGGTTCAAGCAATTCTCGTGCCTCAGCCTCCCGAGTAGCTGGAATTACAGGCGCATGCCACCATGTCTGGCTAATTTTTTTGTGTTTTTAATGGAGATGGGGTTTCACCGTGTTGGCCAGGCTGGTCTTAAACTTCTGACCTCAGGTGATCTGCCTGCCTCAACCTCTCAAATTACTGAAATTACAGGTGTGAGCCACTGCACCTGGCCCACCCTTGTCTTAGAAGGCCACCCCAAGAAAAACTACATTTTCATCTTGTAATCACAAAACAGAGCTACCATTGGAAATCACACTCTGACTTTCACTTCCAGCTTGCATGCAGGAGTCTCCATATGGCAAGAGCTGTGAGCCGAGGAAGGGTGCTGGTGGGATATAGGTGGGGGCCATGAGGGTCTGGGCTATGCTCACGGAATATGCTGTCCCTTCTGGTTCTGCTAGGCTTAATCTTTGATGCAACATTTTCATCTTATAATGAATTCCTGATGGGCCTCTGTTATGACTTGATGAGGCTGAGGGGACTAGTAATTCTAGTCGAATGGTCATTTGTCATCTCAGCTCTACCAGGGCCAAACAACGTGACAAGATTGTCTTTCAAAAGGTGTATAATTCTCCGCTGCAGAAGACATGGCATGCTCCAGTCCCCAAAGGGTTTATATTGGGGTTCTCACACTGGGATGTTCCAGACTGCACAAAGCATCTTTTCTCTCTACTGCTGTTTCCAGAACCATTGCATTTGTTGAGTTGTTTTCCCCAGTGGCAGGCTGCTTGCACTGCCTTAGGCTGCTTCAGGGCCCTTTCCTGCTCCAGGCCCCACTCAAGATCCAAGCTCTTCATATTTCCCGGTATATAGATAAAGCAGTAATTCCAGGTGTGGAATATGCTGCCCCAGAACCCAAAAAGGCCTTTCCTTTCTGTGCCTTCTTTGTTATAACAGGGCACAATGCAATGAGCTGCTTCTACTTTGGAATGGATGTCCTGACCACTGGATTTCTAAACATTTTACAGATGTGGCAGGTTCTGATTCTTTGTGAGTTTTACTTCCCACCCTCTGTAGCACATGTGTGGCCCACAGCATGCAAGCCACCTCTAGCTCATTCAGCCCCACCAACATAATACTTTTCATGTAACAGATCAATGTGCTGTTTTCTAGGATGTTCAGATGGTTCAGATCTCTCTAACCTTTCTATGTTAAAGGGTAGGAGAATTAACGTAGCCCTGGGGCAAACCTTCAAATGTTTCCTGTTCTTTATTCCATGTTAATGCAAACTTTTTTATTCTCTTTTCTGATAATGATAGAAATGAACACCTTCACCAAATCAATGGCCACACACCATGTGTCTGAGGCTAAGATACCACAGTGAGCATGGTGACTGCAATCTGGGTTGAACTTGCATCCCAGGCATACTGCAGGATTCATCCTCCAGTTTCCAGGGACCAGACTGGTGAATTTAATGAAGGTATGATAGGGACTATCTATGGCCTTTGCATCCTTTAGACTCTTAAGGAGATCACTCATGTGGATCTCCCCCAGGAGATGCAATATTGCTTTTGATTTATTATCTTGGCCAGAAAGGGTCAGTTTCAGAGACCTCCATGTTGCCTTCTCCGCTCTGATAATTCTTACCCTGCAGAATAAGGCATCAACTGCGAAGTATATTGATCTCAGTTATATATTTTGAGACTGAACAAATGGCACTGAGTGGGTCTGGTGACCCAGTATGACCCACTGTATGCCAAATGTTTCAGGATTACATGGATTACATAGATTCTATATGCCCCCATTCTAATATGAAGAGAGGCCTGATGATGCTCCAGGTATTACAGTATTAATGTCAATCAGATCCTGTGTCCAATAATTGAGATGTCTGGTGGTCCATTTTCTCCAGTGTTCAGTTACTCATGCAAAAGGCTGTAGGTTCCTTTGTGGAAGAATTAGGAAATTGCCACGGTGTGATTGGCATGATGGTGCAGGATCCTTTCTCCTAGAGAGCTGGTCACCTCATCAGCCAGTGGGCTCCAGGTCTGAAAACTGGCTCAGGTCTGGAATCTGGGAAAGGGGTGACTTCCCCTCAGCCTCCTGGCCATCCATTCTTGATATCTTCCACTGGTATAAACTGAGTAATATCCATGTCAATTGTCCATCTATTTTGTCCCCAGAGCTGCTACATTCTCTCAACCATCTCCATAACTTGTGTATGTGCCCCCCCCCCGCCCACCCAGCTGCCACTCCAACTCATTCAGACCCCAGGCTTCCAACGGTGAAGTCTTACTGCCTGACCTCTGTTGTTCAGGCATTCTAGCCTATCATCTGATTGCTATTGATGAACCAGATTCCGTAGCAGGTTCTCCCACTGTCAGCCCAGGCCTGCAGGGGACAGCCACCACTCACCTTCTTAGTGATGCCGGTGCCTGCTCACCAGCACATTCCAGTAGCCTTGGTGTGTGTCATGTCACCTGGACCCTCTGGTGGAACCTAATCTGGATGTCTTTTGGCTGTATGCAGTATATCCATTCCAGCAGGTTCCACTTTCCAGAGACTTTTAATCTCTTGCTCCACCATTCTGCCACCTCAATTCTGTCTTTTCAGCATGAGCTATTGCTTTTTTGATGCCTCTAGGAGCCACATTAGCAATGATTTAGTTAGCACCCTTGCCTAGGGTCATTGCTGGAGTGTTAAATCCTGTCTCTTGGGATGGTGCCCTCAAATGAGTCAACAAACTCTTCCGTATCCAGTTTTATGT
This sequence comes from Homo sapiens, assembly GCF_000001405.40. Taxonomy (NCBI): domain Eukaryota; kingdom Metazoa; phylum Chordata; class Mammalia; order Primates; family Hominidae; genus Homo; species Homo sapiens. The sequence goes on along the minus strand of NC_000002.12, from coordinate 222,018,623 downwards.
TTTGCCTCCCTTAATCAAACATTCTCAGTATTCAGCCCCCCGTGTACTTTCCCAGTTAGTGCATGCTGGTCTAGCCTTAAGACTCCTTTGGGATATAGTCCTTTCCTTCTTTATCCATAGCTGGGTTATGCTATGGCTTAATCCTTTTTGTAAAACTAGTGGCCAGGAGAATCCTAGGGGGGCACTCACTGGTTCTGCTTATAATACACTCTGTGTAGGACTTTCTTTAATTCCCAGACTTGTTAGGGGCCTGGCTCTCCCTTTCCATAGGAATTTTGCATCCTCTCCTGGAATATTTGTTATATTATACAGTCTTCCCCACTAGACTATAAGTGCCATGAGATGGGTGAGTATTCTCCCTGCCTAGTACCATGCCTGACATAAATATTTAATCACGTGTGGCTTGAACACATGTGGCCTTGTAATAAAGGCCAACATGCACTGAGTGTTCACCATGGGCCAGGTCGCTTTAAGCTTTTCCATACACCCTCACTCGTTTAATCTTCACATTAATTCTCTGGATTAGGAACTATCATTAGTTCCTGTCTTGCAGATGAGGCAGTCTGTCCTTCACCTAGGTCCCCATAGCATCCTATACATTCTATTCTCATAGTAATTAATGTATTGTGTACCTTGAATTATTTTCTACCTTAGAATTAGAACTGCACTTGAGTAGGGAATCATAGAAATTCAATATACTTTTGTGTGTATCCATAACTGAATGAGTGAATAAATTAATTCCCAGAAATTAACCAGAGAGGCTTAAGCATTTTGTAATTTCCCTCTTTCTGTTACAGGCATATTGCATTATATATTGTTCTTAATTCATGTACGCTGTTGAAGAAAGGCCAGATCTTTTAATTTGAAGTTCATAAGCCATTACTGCATTCGCCTTCATAATCATCTGTGACTAGTCAACAAGCAATATATTTTATGAAACAGGATATGCAAAACTTTATTTCACATGAGGAACATGCTTCTTTTATGCATGTCCTCCTCCTCTTCCAAATGTAAATCAGTTTTTATGTCTGTCAAATATGAGCACACATTCCGGTGATTAACAGCCCAGTGTTAATGTGATGAAAGAAATTAATTTTAGATATGTTTGGAGTTTAGAAGTAATTTGTGTAAAAATAAGATCCTGCTGTGATTCAACTATTTCCTACCCATCTGAAATATGCTGCCCTGGAAAATGTGTTATTGGCACATTTATCATAGATCACAGCTCATTATTTCAAGGGCTGACAAGTGTTTCATTGCACATTTATTAGGGAACTGAGCCTTAATCATATCTGTGGTTTTAAGAGTTCCTGTCCTATTAGATTTGTGACTTTTTTTTTTGCGGAAGAATTTTAAAAGGGAAAAATCTCCTAGACCTGGAACTGAAAGGATGATAATTTTATAGAGTATTAAAAAAGAGTTATAAGGACTCACCTATATTAAAAAGATGGCTCCTATTTTATTTTTATGTTCTGATGAGCAAACTCAATTTTTGAATTCCATTCAGTAGTTCTAAGCACAGTTATATTCTGAGCCAGTAAAACCTCTGCCTTCTAGAAATTTCACGACACTTTCTTTTTCATTTTCTTTTTTTTCTTTTTGGATTTTTGTAAGAGCCAAATAGGTAAAATAATACTAATACTAATAGTCGTAATAATAATAATGTGATCATAATTTAGAAACACAAATCAAATCAAATCTACATGACCAAAAACAGTACTTTCAAAATGCTGTGTTTCTTAAAACATTTTTCTTCAATTATTTCAACAAATATTTTAGCCTCTGCCGTGTGCCTGTCACTGTTGTTAGTGTCTTGGATGAAGAAAACAGCTACAATTATGTGCCTAGGGAGAGCTTACCTTCTATTAGGAGTGGACATTGAACAATAAGCACAATACGTATTTCCGTTATGACGTGTGTTCGAAAAGGACTAAATCCTTTGGGAAAGACAGAATAAGTGAGAAGTGTTGGAGAAGGTCTGAGGAGTGTTGGGGAAGGTCTGCAATTTTATGTGGTGTTGTCGTTCTTAATGAGATGATGAGACTTGAGCAAAGACTGAAAGGGGAGGGAGTAGACCTTGAAGGGGTCTGGAGGAGACGCATTTGAGGTGTAAGGAGCAGCTAGATCCAAGGCGCTGGCTTGGGTCTATGTCTGGAATGTTCAAGGAACAGCCAGAAGGTCATTGTGGGGTGAGGGATATAGGAAGTGAATTCAGGGAGGGACCGTAGAACCAAGAAACAGCTAGGGGTTTGTGGCATTAAAAGAACTTTGGATTTTCCTCTGAAAGAAATGGGGAGCCAATGCATTTAAGCAGAAGAATGACATGATCCCTCACGATGATCACACAGCAAGGCTGAGAACATACTGCATGGGTCAGCGTAGGGAGGACCAGGTAGGAAACTATGGCAGTAATTCAGGTAAGAGAGGATGGTGGCTCAGACCAAAGTAATAATGGTGAGGTGATTAGAAGGGGTTAAATTTTGAAAATGGGTTGAAGGTAAAGACAATAGATTTTCTGACAGATTGGGTGTGAAGTGTGAAAGAGAGGAAGAAATCAAAGATAAATCCAGGGCTTTTTGCCTGAGCACGTAGCAGGATGGAGTTACCATTGCCTAAGATGAGTGAGACCACAGGTAGAGCAGGTATAGGATGGTGGTGGAAGTGGCACAAGTCAGGAGCTCACTTGAGAGCCCATTAAAATAGGATACATATTAGATATTCAAGGGAGGATGTCAAGGAGTGATCTAGACTGGAGATATATCTTTAAGAATTGTAAATATGGGCCAGAGGCGGTGGCTCATGCCTGTAATCCCAGCTCTTTGGGAGGCCGAGGTGGGTGGATAATCTGAGGTCAGGAGTTCTTAACCAACCTGGCTAACATGGTGAAACTCCGTTTCTACTAAAAATACAAAAAATTAGCTGGGCGTGGTGGCACACACCTGTAATCCCAGCTACTCGGAAGGCTGAGGCAGGAGAATCGGTTGAACCTGGGAGGCGGAGGTTGCAATGAGCCGAGATTGCACCATTGCACTCCAGCTTGGGCAACAACAGCAAAACTCCGTCTCAAAAAAAAAAAAAAAAAAAAAAAAAAGAATTGTAAATATGTAAAAGTGATTAAAGTCACGAGACTGGTTGGGATCACCTACAGAGTGAATACCTATTAAGGGGAGAGGAAGTTTAAGGACTTATTTTCTTTTGCACTTATACTTTGTAGTTGACCTAATGACTAGGTGAATAGGTAGCATAAAACAATAGCAAGTACAACTGGCATAAGCAGGTTTGGAAGGAAATATGATTTTTGGGAAGTCACCAACTCAACTGGGAGAGCAGAACTGAATTGAGAGGTCACTGGGTATGTCAGGATGTTGTGTTAAGGAAGGCTTAGTTAAGAGTCAATTATTGAAGAAGGTTTTTACTTTATTGAAGTAAATTGGTAAAGAAAGAGAAGCCATAGTCAACTCCTTCATGGGACTGCTTCTTCCAATCTCTACTCCACGACAGACCCAGTCAGAGTCAAAGGGTTGACTTGGTATCACCCATTTGGCTTCCCATTTTCTGTTCTCCCTGCCCTGTTCTGGCCCATGGGTGTCTGAAGGGAAGGAAGTGGGAAGGCTGGAGAAGGTATTCCTCTTGCCTTATTGCAGTTCAGATAACAGCTACATCTTTTCATGACCACAGCTTCTGTTGAGCAGTGGTTTCAACTCTCACTCATGCTCCTGTTGCCTGTTCCACCATGTCCTCCTCTTCTTGCTCCAGCAGGCATTCTCTCCCTACTGTTGATAGTTCTTGGGGGTCTCAACATCCTAGGTCCCCATCTGTATACCTTTCACTACATAATATAACAAGCTAATAAATACAACTCCCCACTTGCTCACTTCTTCTTTTCTCCTTATCTTTCCATTCTGACTCACCTCACAGGAGTTTCATGAGAACTATCTGGGAAAATGCACATTAACTTAAGAAAAAATACCAGCCTGGGCAACATGGTGAGGCCACATCTCTATACAAATTAGCTGGGTGTGGTGGTGCACATCTGTAGTCCCAGCTACTCAGGAGGCTGAGGTGAGAGGATCACTTGAGCCTGGGAGGTCAAGGCTGCAGTGAGCCATGATCATGCCACTGCACTCCATACTGGGTAATGAGCAAGACCCTCTCTCAAAAAAATATTTGACACAAATGTATTCTTATTATTATACAGAAAAACATAAAGACATATATATCAATAATACATATAAAATATTTATAATTTGAGTTGAACAGTAAATGTAATCGAGGTATGCATTATTGCAGGAAGAAACATTTATTAAAAATGAGGCTCTCAAATGCCCTCCCAGCCTATACATTTATGAGAAAGAAATTCTAGAATGGTGTACCGCCGTGTTACCTCACCAAATAGTCCAGTGTACAGGGAGTCTGCAATGATCAGCAGCCACCATTCTTTTATTACTTTAGCAAACCTTTATTGAATAACTTTTATATGCCAGTGACAAAGATAAATGTAGCATAGTTACTGCCTCAAAGCTTTTACAGTCTTGAGAAAGAGCTGTATAAACAGATAGTTTCTATACAGTGTGATAACTGCTTTGATCGAGGTGACTATAATATACTGCAACACAGAGAAATACCAAACAGGGAAATTAGGAAAGGCTTCCTGGAAGAGGTGATGCCTGAAGTGAATCCTGAGGGATGAGTAGGAGTTAGTTGAGTGATGGGAGGTGTTGGAGGGCAAGAGTCTAAGAAAGACACATGAAAGGCTAGAAATAGAGATTTGGAATTAATAACATATAAAGAGAAGCGAGTAAAGCCGAGGAGATGAATGAGAACTCCCAGGGAAGGAGGATTGAGAGAACAATGAAGAAGGGCTCCAGTATTTGTAGGTTGTGATAATATAAAGAGAAGTCAATGAAAGAAAAGGCTGAAAAAAAGCTAACAGAGGGGCTGAGGATAACCAGAATAGAATAGCATGATAGAAGCTAAGGGAGGATTTAAAGACTGAACAACGTCAAATATGAGCAGAAGATCACGGAGAGAGAACTCAGGTTGGGGGAAGTCCGTTGTCCTTGTAGGTGGTCTGTATTCACCTTTTGAAGGGAAGGGTGAAATTTATGAAGTTGAAGAGAGGGATACATTATTTGTAAATCACTATTTTGAGGGGATTGACTGTGAAGAAAATGAGAGAGACAAAGGATAGGTAGGAGAGAACACCAGGTCTTTTGGGAGCTTTCTGTCTCTGTGTTTGGAAAAATGTATGTTTAAGCATAACAAGAAGTAAGCCAGTAGAGAGGGAGAGAGTAAAATACAGGATAAGGAGGGAATTATCATAAGAGAAAATCTGTTCCCACCCTGAAGGAGGAGGAAAGAAATGATATCACATGCCCCATAGAAGAACTCTCTCAGTTGCAGGAGACAGAAACCTAACTCAACCTAGCACAATCAAAAGAAGTAATCTCTAGGGTTACCTAACTGGGAAGTCTCAGGATAAGATCCAGGGGTTTATTAAATAGGATTACCTCTATCTATCAGTTATATTTGACTTAATTATCAGATATCCTGTCTCCACATGGGAGCAAGTTGCCACTGGGAGAGAAAAGACTAAATTATCCTTACAATGTATTTTCTCTGCAGATGAAAATATATCTTTCTAGTTTGTTCTATCAAAATTCTCAAGAAGAAATGCAATTAACCTGGTTTGGGTCACTCCATAACCTTGAACTAATTATTGTGGCTCAGGGGAGAGATTATTCTAATTTTCCAGATAAAAATCAGGTGCCGATACTCAACCAGGTCAAGGGTGAAGATGGGATCAGCCTCAGCTGAACCACACCAAATGAGTGGGATTATATGGAATTAAGGAAAGGTGTTTCTTAAATTTGGCTGCACATTAGAATCTAATGAGGAATTTAAAAATTAAAAAAAAAAAAGCTGCTCTCCCAAAGGTGTTGATTTATGGTTTCAAGTGGGAACCAGGAAAGAGAACGTTAAAGGTATCTATTACAGGAAATTTACAGTTTCAGTTCTTATGTGTGAATCTTCAACTTACTTTAAGTTGATTTTGTGAATGGTATAAGGTAAGGGTCCAATTTCGTTTTTCTTTTTTTCTTTTTTGCCTGAGGGTATCCAGTTTTCTCAGCACTGTTTGTTGAATAAACCATCCTTTTCATATTGTGTACTGTTGGTTAAAGATCAGTTGACCTATATGAGTAGGCTTATTTCTGGATTTTATTCTGTTCTATTGGTCTATATGTTTGTCTTTATGCCAGTACTATACTGCTTTAATTACTGTAGCTTTTCAACATATTTTAAAATCAGGAAATTTTATGATTCTAGCTTTGTTCTTTCTCAAGATCACTTTGGCTATTCTGGGTCTTTTGTAGTTCCATTTGAATTAGCATTGTTTTCCTATTTCCATAAAAAAGATGCCCAATCTCCCTTCTTGATATATATCCAAAGGAAACCAGGGTCTTGAAGATATATATACGTATAGATATATATAGATATATCTTGAAGCTATCTATCTATCTATCTAACAATTATCCTGACAATTAAGGTAACTTAAGATTTACTGTATTTGTAAATGTAATTTACCAGGCTTTTTCAAATTTTTAGGTACTTAAGAAGGTGTGTTGTAAAACTGAAGTCTTCAAAAAAGAAAATCAAATATAGTGCATTTATAATGCAGTTAAACATGTTTGAAGGTATATAATTAAGTTTGCAAATTGAACTGAAAGTATTTACAACCTTTAAATTTTGTGAAATTTATAAATAAGAATAGTAAACTGAGCTGAAAGCTTAAGAAACAATATGTAAATTTAATGCATTGAATATTAATTGGTTTGTTAACCAAAACACACCTCAGAGATGGTCTTTTCTGGACACAAAGCCTGCTCTTGAGGGCCTGAGGGATTCATTTTGTATCCAGAAGTTGGTTGCTGCCAGGATCCCAGCCATTCCATTGACAATGTCAGCCTATCTCTAGATTTCCTGTTAGGAAAGAAAAAAATAAGACTCAGTTTATTGAAGCCACTGTAAATTGAGTTTTTATTATGCTGGCTCTTTCTTGATATTCTTTAATTTTCAGATATGAGCTATTAATCTCTGAGGTCCAGAATATCATAACAGACAACTTTAAACATTTTAAAATTTTAAAGGTAGGACTGAAGAAATTCCAGAAACACCTAGCTCCGTGCCCAAGCTTAGCATACAAATTCCCTTAACAGCATCTCAGGCAAGAGGTTGTCTAGTCTCTGTTTGAACAGCTTTGGTAATGGGAAGTATAACTCCTTGATGGAATCTTCTTATTTTTAGACAACTCCAAAAGTTAGAAAGCTCTTCCTCAGGTTATGCTGAAATATGCCTTCCTGTCTTTTCCCTGCAATGGTCTTCATTTTTCCTTGAGTCTTTATTTTTCCTGCAATAGTGGCTTTGGAGTCCATGATTGTTTTCCTCTCTGTTCCCTCAATGTTTAATATGCGCTCTCCCTTTCATTGCTTTTTATGTGACGCTGGTCAGACCCTTCTTGATGTGTAGTGTTCAGAACTGAACACAATACCCCCTGTGTGATCTGAACAGTCAATCTATAGCCAACTATTTTCTTCCTCCCCTTCCTTCTGCTCCCCACCCTCTCAGCTTCTGTTCTCTCTCCTTTGGATACTCTATTTCCTTTAAACCCCATCATTCTCCTTTCCTGTCTAAAACTCTCAGCTTGGAAACTTTAGAATCTTATACAAACCAAATAGGTTAATTCCCCACATTTCCAATGTGGACCATTTGGCCATTTAAGCTGGGTTTTGTACCAACTTCTGTCATTATTTGTATGCAGAATTTATGGTTAAGCTGAGATCAAATCTGTCAAAACAATAGATCAGTGAGCTGTTTAGGGTTGAGTCTCTACAGGTCTTAAAATTTAGGGCAGGAAAAAAAAAAAGAAAACACTGTCTTTTCCATCGTCTTAGGCATAAAAACTCAGAAGTATTTTTGTTGCTGTATTAAAAATTCCCTGCTTTGAAAAGGAGTGATTGAGACCTAAGCATCACTTGAGGAATCTTTGCAAAGTGGCTAGTTCTGTTAAAAGAATAGATTTGCCATGTCTCAGAGCATTTGCAAACTCAATTACAACCAGAAGGAGTCACACTAATGTAAAAAAATAAATAGGAAAAAATTAAATGAACAATGGAAATTTGAATGAAGTTTAACTTTCAAAAGAATGCAGATGATGCACCATGGAGTGGTTATATGTTTTATCTATTTCTTTTGAGTAAAATATGTTAAATGTGGTAGGGAAAATCCTCAAGGAAGAGATGTTGGTGAGTCTACTCTGGATTGACTCTCCTTATATTTGGTTAAGGTTTTGTCTTTATCTGTTTTAATTGTCCCTCTCACCTCATCATTGTTCAGGTCCTTCAGGAAATGAGATCTTCTTAAGAAGGGATGTAATGACCACATTCACTAAAGGAAAAGCAATAGAATTTTCGCTGACTGTTTTTTTTCTTCTCACCATTAATGCTTCCTTATGATCATAATGAAAACCTTGAAATATTAACTCGATTAAATGTTTTATAGTGAAGAAAGAACTACCATTTTATAGAAGTTGAATTTCTGGCCCGACAAAGGTTTTAGTGGGTTGGCAAAAGCAGGAGAGATGGTAAAAGAATCAATGAATGAAACACAAATCTCCAAGTGTGGGCTTTGGAAGGATTTTTAACAGCCATATTTTGTTCTGATTAACTCTCCTTTTCCCAGAAGCGAGAGGATGTCCTCTGTCGGAGCAATGCATCTAGGACAATCTGTCATCTTTAATAGTACCACTAATAATAAGAAAGCCATTTTCAGGCTCTTTCATTTTAATTAGATGCTGGATAGCTACCCTAATAGCTCATTCTATTCTTTCTTCAAGAGCTTGTATATTATAGCTTTTGTGGAAGTAGAAGCCTTACGTTATAGACAACTGTTTAAAGTTTTTTTCTGGCTAAAGCATGTAGCTTTTCTATATTATTCATTGGAGGAGAAATTTATTTTTTTAAATTTTGATATGAATGAATCTGAATAGGTGATGAGTGGGAAGAGACCTACACTAACCTGGCCAGTCACAAGGAGATGGTTTATTTTGGTAGATATTAGAAGCGTTCTATAGTTTGAGGTAGGTAAAGGCTATAGGTTTCCTTCCCTACCGTCTTGCTCCCAGGTGACATATTATAATGAAAACATATCTCATGCTGAAATTTTCCACTCATGTGAGCAATTATCAGCAAGCAACCACAAAATAACCATCCAGCTTGCTCCTGTAAAGTCAGTGAGGTCCCATTCTCTGTTCTTTAGTCCCTGCCTTTCATTATATCACCACCTGGTAGCAAGTTCTCTGCATGAAAGGTTCTTTGGAGGCAGTTTCAATGCTATTGCGATAGCAGGATTCAGCTAAATCTCTAGTTGGAATAAGGTGACAGAATCATCCGTTAAGTTGTGGGACTCAGGACTGAATTGGAGGCTAAGAATACCACATGGGTCAGGCTGCTGGGCTTGCTAGATTACTATATTCAATCCACTGTACTTAAATATTATTCATTTCATCCATGAAATATTATTTCTAATATTCCTTATGCAAATAAGCAAATTCTATAGTGCTGATCTAGGTGAAGATAGTTCAAGTGTTTGTGGTTCAAATGCTATGCAACTATCATGGGTTATTCATGATTACAGAGGTACCCTCAAATATTAACCAAATATATATACACAAATATATATACTGTGTATAAAGTAAATTATAGGTAATATGATTCATGAGATATTAAATCTCCATGCAGCTTCCATTTCCCTCATGTTTCATTTCCCTCCCTCCCTCCTTTCCTTCCTTCTTTCTTTCCTTCCTTCCTTCCTTCTTTCTTTCCTTTTTCTTTCCTGCAATCTTTCTTTCTCTCTCCTCCCCCATACCCACTCCCCTTATTCAGCAAGTGTTCATTGAGTGGCCACCTAATCTGTCAGAAAACCTGGATTGAGAATCAACCATTACTATTTTACTAGCCTGGGATATGGTTTATTTTACTGGCTTGGGATAGAGGTTTTTCCCAGGACCTGAAACTTCCCATATTTAAAATGGGGTCAGTCTCAGGCAATCTGAGATGGTTGGTTACCCTAGTTACCCTAGTTATAATTCTGGGGAAATTTAAATCCTGAAACTCAGGCCTCTCATCTTTAAAATGGTAAGTGATAATATAATAGGTACCTAATAGTGTCATTGTAAAAAAATTAATAACTTGGTTCATACAAAGTACATGAAACATGATGTAACAATGTGGAGGACACTTTATTTCCTTGACAACAGATTTCGCTCCCCCACCTGCCACACAAAAAAAGACTTATTGGTTAGGTGAATACTTAGGAAAGCAGGTAGAGGTGATGGTCTGGGGATATGGGTGAGAGAGAGTACGTGGTCCCTAAACTGCTTTCTAAGGAGGATTAGGTGTGGCAGCTGGCTGATTGTGTCTTGCTGAATGGACACAAAGCTGAGGACCTAGATAAGGGAATAACTTCTAGAAGCTCTGTGTGTAAAGGGAGTGGTATGATGAGAAGCAAAATGTTGAATATAGAAAAGGATGAGGCTTTCTGTCATATGTGATATATTCTTCTATGTCCCTGTGAAATTCTTTCTAAAAAATATACATGACTGCACTATGAATTTGCAGCTACATCTTCTTTTAGGGTGTGCTGATGAACAGTTCAACATCAATAAAGGCACAGGGTAAGAAGAGAAGCTGCCTTCTGAATGATAATAACAGTACTTACCTCATAGGCTTGTGGTTAGGATTAAATGAACTTATGTGTCTTATGTGACATGATGTCTATAGAAACTCATAGAACAATGCCTGACACATTTTAAGTACCCTGTAAATGTTAGTTATTATGATATTATTATTAGAATAGCGTATTCCCAACGAGCACTAATTTCCTTTCACCTCCTTTATGCTTGAGGCTTTCTCCTATACTTTATGCTTCCTTTTTTTTTTTTTTTGGTTTGGTCTTTTTTGAGACAAGGTCTGGCTCTGTTGCCCAGGCTGGAGTGCCTTGGTGCAATGACAACTCACTACAGCCTCAACCTCCTGGGCTCAAGTGATCTTCCCACCTCACAGCCTCCTGAGGAGCTGGAACTACAGGTGTTTGCCGCCACACCCGGCTAATTTTTTCTATTTTTTGTAGAGAAGGGATTTTGCCATGTAGCCCAGGCTGCTCCCAAACTCCTGAGCTCAAGCAATCCTCCTGCCTCGGCCTCTGAAAGTTCTGGGATTACTAGCGTGAGCCACTGTGCCCAGCCACTTCCCTGTTTTTAACTAGCTCTCAGTTTTGGATTAAAATCTAGACCCTGGTGTTGCAAAAACCTCAAAAGTCCTGTGTAATGTAACCCTTGTCTATGCTGGAGATATTGTCTCTCCTTGGCTCAGCAGGGTCCTGAGAAAGTCTTTTTCCCCCACACAGACCAAGGTTGGTTATTTTTAGAGGTCCCATTTTCACCTCAGGATTCCCAAGGCTTGGTCTCAGAGGTGGTTGATTCTAACTACTTGATTCTTTCTTTCTGCATTTGAGGAGAGGAGGTTAAAAAAAAAAGTTCAGGAAAATCATCCTTAGCTGACATATAGAGCAGGAAAAAGAAGTAATTTTTGGTGCTTATTGGAGTCTTGCATAGAAGCAGTCATTTGACCTACAAGATTTCACAGGTCAAGCTTCCACATTCAAGGCTTCATGAATAATTGAAGTATACGGATCTTTCCGTTAGAAAACCCACTTGATTTATTCAGCTTCAGGTTGTCTCACTTCTAGGTTATTCATTCAGGACTGCTTCCAGGTAAACCTGATAGCTTCAATTACCCAAACCCCACATCTGTGTGTTGGTGCCTATATATTTGAGTAATTTAAGGGGGGGCTCTTTGATTGAAACTCAGAATATCTTGAGATCATGTAAGAATCTTAAGTGTCTTGATATCCTACCTAAAACTACCTTTGTACAATGGCTAAATTATCACTAGACAGTTCCAGGATGCCTGCTGTTCAGAGCCCAAATACTGGTGAGTAAATCACACACAGTCAACAATGAAAACTCAAGCTAGACCTTTCGTGAGACCTCATGTCTACATTGGTGGATATGACCTCTAGGGACAGCCGGCACACACTTTTTGGAAAAAATAAACTTAAGATAACATTAGAAAGGAAATCTATCTAAACAATTGCCTCTACTGAATACTCTTTTTTTTTTCTTTTCTTTGTAGCACAATAGCTATCTAAAGATCCTTGCATAAGATTAGATGAGGTTACCCATTAATTCATGCTATTCAGTGTTTAATGTAGATAAAGTATTTTGGAGCCATAAAAATTCTCTTTAAATAGTAAACCTAATTCAACCATCAGGATCGTTTCCTCTGCTGTGTTAAAAATCAACCTGACTATTCATGCATGCTGAAAGTCAGAATTTATGACATCCCAGATAAACATGGAGATACAGAGGAATCTGTTAAAGACTTCCTTAGCTTGTACATAATAATATCAGAAATAAGTTTTGATAAATTTTAGTTATATAAAGTTATATGAAGAGTGAGACTAATGTTTTTCATGTGAGAAATATATCTATATCCAAATAGAAGTATTTATATACTATTCTTAATTACTTTCTGGTAAAGTCAGCCTAGCAGGTTTGCCTTACACAATAGTTCTATGGCTGATCTCTTTTTATTTTTTTAAAAACATATTTAGTTTGCATACCCCTTCTTCCTCAAAAAGGCAAACAATTTGTGTGTAATGAAATTTCACTTGCTATGGGAAGTTAAAGTTCTATTAAAAAGCAAACTGGAGAAGATAACAAAATGTATTTTCTGAGACTACATTTCATTTCTAAAAGGAACATGATTTTATCAAAAGCTCCATAATCAATTTTGATAAAAATAAAACACTAGAGATTAATTCACCTGGCACTTAAATCTGGAAATCAAATACATTTTTCCTTTTTCATTAGGACTCTGCATAGCTCAACATGTTTGGGAATACTAAATACTACTAAGCATTAAGAGAATGAGAAGACAAACCATAGAATGGGAGAAAATACTTGCAAAAGACACATCTGATAAAAAAACTGTTATCCAAAATATACAAAGAACATTTAAAACTCAACAATAAGAAAATGAACAACTTATTTAGAAAATGTGCAAAAGACCTGAGCAGGCACCTCGCTAAAGAAAATATACAAATGGCAAAGTGAGCGTATGAAAAGATGTTCAATATCATATGTCATTAGGGAATTGCAAATTAAGACAATAATATGATATAACCACATATCTATTAGAATGGTCAAAATCCAAAACATTGACAATACTGTGATGGTTAATACCGAGTGTCAACTTGATTGGATTGAAGGATACAAAGTATTGATCCTGGGTGTGTCTGTGAGGGTGTTGCCAAAGGAGATTAACATTTGTCAATGGGCAATGCGAAAGGCAGACACATCCTTAATCTGAGTGGGCACAATCTAATCAGCTGTCAGAGAGGCCAGGATATAAGCAGGCAGAAAAACGTGAAATGAGAAACTGGTCTAGCCTCCCAGCCTACATCTTTCTCCCATGCCAGATGCTTCCTGCCCTTGAACATCGGATTCCAGTTTCTTTAGTTTTGGAAGGTGGACTTGCTCACCTTGTTCCTCAACCTGCAGATGGCCTATTGTGGGACCTTGTGATTGTGTGAGTTAATACTTAATAAACTCATATATATATATATATATATATATATATAAATATATATATATATGAGTTTAATATATATACATAAATATATCTATGTATATTAAATACATAAATACATGTATAGATACATAAATCTATCTATATATATTAAATTTATCTATCTATCTATCTATCTATCTATCTATCTATCTATCTATCCCATTAGCTCTGTCCCTCTAGAGAACCCTGACTAATACAAATACCAAATGCTGTCAAGTAAGTAGAGCAATAGGAATTCTCATATTGCTGATGGGAACCCGGAATGGTGCAGCACTTTGGAAGACACTTCGGCAGTTTCTTACAAAACTAAACATACTCTTATTATACTGTCTAGCAATCATGCTCTCTGGTATTTACTCAAATGAATTGAAAACTTATGTCTACACAAAAACCTGTACATGCATGTTTATCGTATTTATAGCAGCTTGATTCATAATTGCTAAACTTGGAAGCAACCAAGATGTCCTTCCATAGGTGAATATAGAAATTGTGGTACATCCAGATAATGGAATATGATTTAGTGCTGAAAAGAAATGAGCTATCAAGTAATGAAAAGACATGAAGGAGACTTAAATGCACATTACTATATGAAAGAAGCCAATCTAAAAAGGTTCTGTACTGTGTGATTCCAACCATATGACATTCTGAAGAAGGCAAACCTATGGAGATAGTAAAAAGATCAGTGTTTGCAAGGTGTGAGTTAGAGGAAGAAATGAATAGGCAGAGCACAGAGGTTTAGTGCCCCCAAAACATTAATTTTAGGGCAGTGAAACTGTTTTGTATGACATGACTATAGTGGATACATCACTATACATTTGTCCAAGTCTACAGAATGTAGAACACCAAGAGTAAACCCTAATATAAACTACAGGCTTTGGATGATGATGTGTCAATGTAGGCTCATCAGTGGTGACAAATGTACCACTCTGGTGTGGAACGTCAATAGTGGGAGGTTGTATGTGTATGGGGACAGGAATAGGGTATGTGGGAACTTCCCGTACTTTCTTCTCAGTTTTGTTGTGAATCTAGACCATCCTGGCTAACATCGTGAAACCCCATCTCTACTAAAAATACAAAAATTAGCCAGCTGTGTTGGCGGGTGCCTGTAGTCCCAGCTACTCGGGAGGCTGAGGCAGGAGAATGGCGTGAACCTGGAAGGCAGAGCTTGCAGTGAGCCGAGATTGCGCCACTGCACTCCAGCCTGGGGGACAGAGCGAGACTCCATCTCAAAAAAAAAACAAAAAACAAAAAACAAAACTGCTCTACAAATAAAATTTATTAATTAAAAACAAAACTACTAAGCTTATTTTATTTAAAAACCTTTCTTATGTACATCTATTATGTATCCATAATAATTAAAAATAAAAACGCCTTCTCTTGTTGAGAAAAAAGAGTTTATAAAGCAAAGAGCAGTGTGTAAACATCATGAATTCTACTTGTAAGTTAAAAATAGCATTTTTTTTCTTTTTTTTATTATACTTTAAGTTTTAGGGTACATGTGCACAACGTGCAGGTTTGTTACATATGTATACGTGTGCCATGTTGGTGTGCTGCACCCATTAACTCGTCATTTAGCATTAGGTATATCTCCTAATGCTATCCCTCCCCACTCCCCCCACCCTACAACAGGCCCCAGTGTGTGATGTTCCCCTTCCTGTGTCCATGTGTTCTCATTGTTCAATTCCCACCTATGAGTGAGAACATGCGGTGTTTGGTTTTTTGTCCTTGCGATAGTTTGCTGAGAATGATGGTTTCCAGCTTCATCCGTGTCCCTACAAAGGACAAGAACTCATCATTTTTTATGGCTGCATAGTATTCCATGGTGTATATGTGCCATATTTTCTTAATCCAGTCTATCATTGTTGGACATTTGGGTTGGTTCCAAGTCTTTGCTATTGTGAACCATGCCGCAATAAACATACGTGTGAATGTGTCTTTATAGCAGCATGATTTATAATCCTTTGGGTATATACCCAGTAATGGGATGGCTGGGTCAAATGGTATTTCTAGTTCTAGATCCCTGAGGAATCGCCACACTGACTTCCACAATGGTTGAACTAGTTTACAGTCCCACCAACAGTGTAAAACTGTTCCTATTTCTCTACATCCTCTCCAGCACCTGTTGTTTCCTGACTTTTTAATGATCTCCATTCTAACTGGTGTGAGATGATATCTCATTGTGGTTTTGATTTGCATTTCTCTGATGGCCAGTGATGATGAGCATTTTTTCATGTGTCTTTTGGCTGCATGAATGTCTTCTCTTGAGAAGTGTCTGTTCACATCCTTCTCCCACTTGTTGATGTGGTTGTTTTTTCTTGTAAATTTGTTTGTGTTCTTTGTAGATTCTGGATATTAGCCCTTTGTCAGATGAATAGTTTGCAAAAATTTTCTCCCATTCTGTAGGTTGCCTGTTCACTCTGATGGCAGTTTCTTTTGCTGTGCAGAAGCTCTTTAGTTTAATTAGATCCCATTTGTCAATTTTGGCTTTTGTTGCCATTGCTTTTGGTGTTTTAGGTATGAAGTCCTTGCCCATGACTATGTCCTGAATGGTATTGCCTAGGTTTTCTTCTAGGGTTTTTATGGTTTTAGGTCTAACATTTAAGTCTTTAATCCATCTTGAATTAATTTTAGTATAAGATGTAAGGAAGGGATCCAGTTTCAGCTTTCTACATATGGCTAGCCAGTTTTCCCAGCACCATTTATTAAATAGGGAATCCTTTCCCCATTTCTTGTTTTTGTCAGGTTTGTCAAAGATCAGATAGTTGTAGATATGAGGCATTATTTCTGAGAGCTCTGTTCTTTTCCATTGGTCTATATCTCTGTTTTGATACCAGTACCATGCTGTTTTGGTTACTGTAGACTTGTAGTATAGTTCAAAGTCAGGTAGTGTGATGCCTCCAGCTTTGTTCTTTTGGCTTAGGATTGACTTTGCAATGCAGGCTCTTTTTTGGTTCCATATGAATTTTAAAGTAGTTTTTTCCAATTCTGTGAAGAAAGTCATTGGTAGCTTGATGGGGATGGCATTGAATCTATAAATTACCTTGGGCAGTATGGCCATTTTCACAATATTGATTCTTCCTACCCATGAGCATGGAATGTTCTTCTGTTTGTTTGTATCCTCTTTTATTTCATTGAGCAGTGGTTTGTAGTTCTCCTTGAAGAGGTCCTTCACATCCCTTGTAAGTTGGATTCCTAGGTATTTTATTCTCTTTGAAGCAATTGTGAATGGGAGTTCACTCATGATTTGGCTCTCTGTTTGTCTGTTATTGGTGTATAAGAATAAAAATAGCATTCTTTTAAGTAAGTTTTGACTATCATTATCCTATAAACTTAGGATATTTGATTAATATTAATTACCAACTATATTGAAAGAGATTTACAGGCAACAAACTTAAATCTGGATACTTTCTCCTCCAATTTTTCTCCTCCTTTTTTCTTCTTTCTCATTGCCTTCTTGTTTTTCTTTTTCCCTTCTTTGTCATAAAGTGACTTTTTAATCTTATAAAAAGAAGAATATGCATGTTTGCATTTTCTGTTAAGAAATGAACCCATCCAAAATCTCAAGAGAAAAATCTGCCTGTTCAAGATTTTTTAACCAGAAGTACATGTAAATATGCATAATTTTCAGAAGCCTCATGTTTTCTGGTTTTTGTATTCCTAAAATAATGTGACATATGGAGAATGAATGTGAGTAGCTCATCTAATGTGCAGCTTTATTCTGTCTTGAGTACCATAAGGCTAATCAGGAAAGTGACCAATAATCTTGAATTAATATTATTTACTCTGAAAAGAACAAATAGTTTTTGAGAATATGTGCGCACATATTTATTGGGAGAGGGAAATACATATGACCTGAGGTTAATTTGTCTTGTATTAAAGGATATAAATAGATTTTAGACTTTCAATAGTGTTTTACAAACTACAAGTTTTGACTTGTTAGTGGGTCAAAAAATCAATTGAGTAAATTGCAACCAGTATTTTTTTTTAAGATGAAATAGAATAGAAACTATCTGAGTATACAGTACTTAGGAAGAATAAGTACTATTACACAAAACTTTAGTTTCAGGGTTACTTGCTAGGTTAAGTTATCAACTTTATTTTATTTTTTAATTGTAGGTTACAAGCACAATAGCTTGAAAGTCACTGCATTAGACCACTCATTTTTCCCTGTAGCCATTAAGATTAAAAAGTAGTGACAATACCAAGTACCTTAAATTTACCCAATGCCCTTTCCTCTTAAGCATTCCAAGTACTTCATAAATGATGTGATCTCCTTTATAACAACAATGGTCTTGTGAACCATGTGGACAGCAGCTGCTGCAGATGGGAAATGAAAGCTCAGGAGTGACTCATGGAGGACTGCAGGAGAGCTGGCCACAAAACCTTTAAAGGTGGAAGATCATGAGAGCTAAGGTGAAGATGGAGTGAATCATCTCATCTCCTCCTTAATTGCATTCAGCGCTCTCCACCACCTGTCCAAAGGATGTGTTCAACGTTTTAAATAAATTCGAACACTAAGGTGAAGATGGAGTGAATCATCTCACCTCCTCCTTAATTGCATTCAGTGCTCTCCACCACCTGTCCAAAGGATGTGTTCAATGTTTTAAATAAATTCGAACATCTGGTACAAAGAAGAAATATCTAACCGTCTAGAGACCACAGAGAAGGCTGGAGAATCAAGTATGTGTGAGTACCTGGCCAATTTGGATTCTGCGCCAGTCGTTCTTAGAATGGTCTTTCCCTTTGAAACTTCTGGGAAGCATCACTAATGCATAAGTGGGTGTTATCTTCCTGGGAGGCTAGTTTAGCAAGTGAGAAGAATGATAACTGGGTGGAATTTGACAGACTATGGATTGGAATGTCCTTCTGGGACTCAGGCTGTCTAGCAAAAACCAGGAGGTTATTTCAAACAAACATGCACACACTTACAAGGATAACTGTTTTTCAGATGCCTGAGTGACTCATCTCCTCGTTCTGACTTACCCTGTGAACGTTTGTGTTGAATCCCTGATGGGCGGTTTGCCTTACGGTTTCATAGCTTATAGTTCGTTTGTCACACCCTTATTTGATAAGCTCTGGCAGATTGTTAAATAGGCAATGGGTGACTTGTGGCGAAAGAGTACTTAGGATGGATAAGCAACTTGGACTCCATGATAGATGTTGAAAAGAAGAGAGAGGCAGAGCAAAGCAAGCATAATGCAACCAGCTAATATTTGTTGAGTTCTTGTTAAATTCCAGGCACCTGACATGCATTATTTCTCAACAATCCCTTAAGTGGGTATTACAATTATCTCCACTTTTCAGAGATGAAAACTGAGGCTCAGAGGAATAAAGTAATTCTCCTAAAGCCACACAGTGGCACAATGACCAGGGTGGGATTCTAGGCATATCTTGCCACAGAGCTGAGTACTTAATTCTTCATGCAAATGTCAGACCAGTGGCCATATTCCATCTGCAGAGGCAGACAACATAGGTCCTGCAAAGAAATCCACCACTTATCAACACGGGACTTATGGCAAATACTTCCTCTTTTTGAACTTTGGTTTTTCCTTTTAAATGGAGATAATGATACCTCAGTCATTGACTTGTGAGAATTCACTAGTGCGAAGAAATGCACAGAAAGCCTCCAGTCTGTGTCTGGCACACTAGCAAATCCATAGGTGAGTTGCTGCTGAGAGCAAATCTTGTCAACAGGAAGCATGGCAGTTAGTAGTTACAGACGGTGCAACATGACCCCGGCGTCATCCAGCAACTTGCTGGATGGAGATGTGGATTAAGTGCTTTTGCTCATTTGCTAGTAACAGCAGACACTTGTAGACCAGCTGTGTGTACTGCGACAAGCCATTCACTTTGCTGCAGCGACCCCAACCCTGAGAGGGCACTTTCTCAAGACATCTCATTTCAATGGCTGTGTTTATTGGAAGAGCCCATGGCACAGCCTGATGAACTGAACCAGGATAAGACAGAGCCCTGGACACTTCAGTGACTTTCACTGCTTTCCTGCTGTTATCTTTCTTTGTTGACTGCCTGAGACCTTCACAAAACACAGGAATTAGGGACTCAGATGTAAGGCATAGTGGATAAAACCTCAGTTGCCTCCCTCTCTGTCTACACAGCAACACTCACCATCTTGTTTATAATGCTCCAGCCACATGTTTTTTTCCCATTCCATGAACTCCCCAGGTTTTTTCCTCCTGGTATTTGCTCCCACTCTTCCTTCCATATGAACACTCTTTTCTTGGCTGTTTGCACTCTCAAATCCTTCTATCCTATAAATCCCGTTAGAGATGTCTTCCTAAGAACCTCAGTTATGGGGCCAGTGCCCCTCATTTGTTATTCTCTAACATTTCACCCCTTTTAAATTTCTTTCTTTACCTTTATTAATATCTGAAATTATCTTCATGAGGCCAGGGATTCATGTCTGTTTTGTAAACCACCCCAAATGCCAGGGGGCAGTGTTTGGCAATTGATAATTGTTGTGTAAATGAATGAATGGATGGATGAATGCATTGGTTTACCTAGACTACTCAACTTATTTTCTCTCACTTGAATGTAAGCTCCTAGGCAGCAGGACCTTATCTGTCCAGTTCACTGCTGTCCCTGAAAGCCTAAAACAATGCCTAGCACAAGGTAGAAATGTAATAAATATTTTTAATAAATCAATTAAGCTTGGACTCCAAAACCTAGCAGGCTTACAGTTCACATTATTGGGGTCCATGGTAAAAGCACAAATGGATACCTATGTATCATACATCTAAATATTTATAAATCAAGCTAACATATTAAATAAAGTATGGTTTATTCTCCTATCTTGAATGATAATCTTTTGTAATAATCTAGAAAAGCTTAATTTTGGATTTTGGGACTCCTCAGAGTTCCAGAGTTATGTGCTAGAATGCAGTGGCCAGGGCAGTGTTGGCCTAGCCTGCCATCCATGCTTGTAGCCCACACTCTCCACCCCCTGCTCCATCTCACACCTCATGGAGCTTAAATAAGCACACGTTTGCACATTTTAGCCTATATGTTTGAGCTCTGTGTCTATCCTTCCTGCAAATCATTGCCTTTTGGATATTCCTCAGGCCTGAAGTTTTGCCAACAGAAGCATGGATGCAGAGAAGAATCCTTGCACAGATCCTGGAACTAGACTTAGGACTATGTTTGAGCAGTAAACTCTAGATTCCTGGACACCCAGAGCATGGTCTACAGGTGGTGGTTCCAGGCTCTGGGTGGGCAAAATCTCTTCACTCCATGGACTCTCCAGCTGGGCAGAGGGGCATAGCTGGAAGGACAGAGCAAGACTGTCTAAAACTCCTGGCTTTGATCATTGGGCAGCAATGTATGTGAGGGTAGAGGATACACTGATCTAAATTTCAGCAGGTACAGAGAATGGTAGGGAGGGAAGAAAGAGGAGAGGTTGTCTAGGATGGATGTGTGGCTACTTAGGCTGCTATGCCCATCTCCGTGTGTTTATCATTCCTGTCTACGGCTAGAAGACAAATGTGAGGGAACATAATCACCGAGAGTAGAAAGAGGCAAGATGACAGGTTGTGAGCTGAAAGGTGATTGGCTGGTTCAGGAGCATCATTCCATTAACATTATTCAAGTCATTCCAGAGAGGTGAGTAATGCTGGTGAATCTCCTCAGTTTATTTCTCAGTAAAAAGAAATGGATGTTAAAAAGAGCTCTGTATTATATGATGTTTAGTGAACACTTGAGGGAAGAAAGCTCATGTAAAAAGTGAACTATGCAATTGAATGTAAAACTGAAAACAAATATTCATAGTGCACTTTTGCAGGCCCATTCTACTTAAGAGTTTTAATCAGAAGACTTTACACAAAGCTAATTCAGTATCTTAATTTAAGTCCACAGTTTTTTTTTGTTTTTTTGTTTTTTCACCTTCTAAGTGTCGTCACATGCTGGGCACTGGAAGGCCAAAGAGGAACAACTGGGGAATCTAGCTTTTAAAGAAGGAACATTAAGATGATCTAAATTAAGATTTGCTGGCCAGGTGCAGTGTCTCAAGCCTATAATCCCAGCACTTTGGGAGGCCAAGGCAGGTGGATTGCTTGAGTCCAGGAGTTAGAGACCAGCCTGGGCAACATAGCGAAACCCTGTATCTACTAAGAATTTAAAAAATTAGCTGGGCATGGTGGCACATGCCTGTAATCCCAGCTACTCAGGAGGCTGAGGCAGGAGAATTGCTTGAAACCGGGAGGCCAAGGAGGCTGAAGTTGCAGTGAGCCAAGACTGCGCCACTGAATTCCAGCCTGAGTGACAGAGTGAGACTCTGTCCCAAAACCAAAACAAATTTGCTGCGTGCCCTTCTAGATGTATGCCTGCATCCTTTGCTACTTATTATTTTATAAATAAAATTTTAAAAACGTTTTTCTTTACCTCCTAAAAGCTTTTAGGTATCAAAGAATAGGTGGAAGTTTAGCTCAATGAAATAATTTAACTTTTTAAATAAAAGTCCTACCAATGCAAATATTGAGTCTCTTTCATTTTTATTAATTTGACTTAAAGGGTCTTAAAAAATGCATTAAGGTTCCACAACGTTTCACTCTAATTGTAATTTATGTTTCTTTCCTTCTTTAACCTTTATCTTTTAGGCTTTCTTTTCACCCTTTATTTTCATTTTACCTCATTGCAGTGTTACAAGCCATCACCTTTCTCGGTAACAGGGTCTGTGACAGTCAATAATTATGTGATTTTAAAAAATGATAAGTTCTTCTAATTGCTTTAGCTAATAAAATGGCATAGGACTGATAAGCTTGAATAATGCTACTTAATTGCTTTTGCTAAAGATAGAGTTGGCTGACATTAGTTATAGTCTTTTAACTTTGAAGAAGCAATACATATATTAAAGAAAATGACTACACATCCTTGGGGAAAATGGTGGTTGAATTCTCTTTTTGTTGGTAGGAAAAAAATGTAAAAGAATCTTAGATACAACTCAGTGATATGACTCCATAGTTTCATAAGAGGTTATTCTTTTCTAAAAGATAATAAAACCCAACCATAAAATAAAAAATAGATAATCAGATATAATCAAAATGAAAAAAAGTCTTTTGTACTTTGAAGTACACCATCAAAAACGTGAAAAGACAACACACAGAATGGAAGAAAAAATTTGTAAATCATTTTTCTGATAACATACTTTCATCTAGAATGTAAAAAGAACACTTATAACTCAACAATAAAAGGCCAATAATCACATTTTAAAATGGGCGGTGGATCTGGACAGACATCTTTCTCTGAAGGAAATGTACAAATGGCTTGTTAGTGCATGGAAAGATACTCATCACCATTAGCCACCAGGGAAATGCAAATCAAAAACCAAAATGGGACACCAATTCACACCCGCTAGGCTGGCTAGAATTAAAACAAAAAAACAAACAAAAAAACCCCAGATAATAACACGTGTTGATGAGAATGTGGAGAGATTGGAAACCTCATACACTGCTGATGGAAATGTGAAATGGAGAAGCTGCTTTGGGAAATAGTCGGGCAGTTCTTCAAATTACAAAATAAGACAAATGATTAAACATGTAGTTAGCACGTGACCCAGCAATTCCACTCCTGGGAGTATATAACCAATAGAAATGAAAACAGATGTCCACGTAAGTTATACATAACTGTTTATAGTAGCATTATTCATGATGGCCAAAACCTGAAAACAACCTAAATGTCTATCAACTGCTGAATGGATAAGTAGATGTGATATATCCATACAATGGGGTATTTCGTAATAGAAAGCAATGAAGTTCTGATATATGTAACAACATGGATCAACCTGGAAAACATTATGCTAAGTGAAAGATGCCAGTAACAGATGGTCAGAAATCGTATGATTAGATTTATTTATTTATTGAGACAGAGTTTCCCTGTGTCACTCAGGCTGGAGTACAGTGGTACGATCTCGATTCACTGCAACCTCCGTCTCCCTGGTTCAAGCGATTCTTGGGCTTCAGCGTCCTGAGTAGCTGGGATTACAGATATGTGCCATCATGCCCAGTTAATTTTTGTATTTTTAGTAGAGATGGGGTTTCTCCATGTTGGCCAGGCTGGTCTCGAACTCCTGACCTCAAGTGACCCACCTACCTCGGCCTCCCGAAGTGTTGGGATTACAGGCGTGAGCCACCACACTTGGCTGTATGATTCTACTGAAATAAAATGTCCAGAGTAGGCAGATTCATAGAAACATGAAGTAGACTAGTGGTTGCCCAGGCCTAGAGCAGTTGGGGAGAAATAGGCAGTAATTAATAATGGGGATGGGGTTTCCTTTTGGAGTAACAAAAATGTTGTAGAATTAGATATGGCAATGATTACACAACTCTGTGAATAACTAAGAACTATCAAATTTCATATTTAATTGTGTAAGTTGTATAGTACATAAAGTATATCCCCAAAAACCATTACAAAATAAGACAATAGTCTGCTGTTAAAATTTTGTAATCTTGATTTCTGTGATTCAGAGCCTCCTTGGAGCTTTCTAAGGTAACAGATGCTCTTTTAACTAGACAGCTTAACATAGTTTTACTATTTCTACTGTAGTGTATGTTTATATTTTTTACCCTTTGCTTTCTTCTAAATAGCAAAATATAATTGATTCTATTTTAACTATTTTACGATAAGGTCCATAAAGTAATCATAACTCTAAGATGACACCTTTTTAAATGCCACCTGAGTATTTAATGTGAGTGCTTATTCTGTTCGGTTTGTAGAAGTTCTGGTAAGAATTTCAATTTCAAGCCATCCAAATTCTCCCCATCTGCTCCGCCACTCCCTATTCCAGCTTCCATTATCTTTTTCCTGTATGTAATAGCCTCCTAATAGACCCCCACATCCTCTCTGGCCTCCTTCCAATCACTTTTCCACACCGAAGCTAGAATTTTTTCAAAATGCAAATAGTATGTCATCCCCATTAAGAAAGCTCTTCAATGCCTCTTGATTGTTCTTAAGACAAAGACTAAAGTCTTCTGGGGGCCCACAGGCTCTGCAGGCTGGAGTCCTACCTACCTTTCCAGCCACATCTCACACCATTTTCCTCCTTGCTCATCCACTCCAGCCACATGGGCCTCTTTCTGTTCTCAGAAAACACACACCCTGCCATGAAGCTGCTGTGCATGGCGCTCCCTGCCCCAGGGGTCCTGTTCCTCCCTCCGCCTCTCCTACCGTGTGTCAGGTCTCAGTGCCATCTCATTTCTGTTTCTTGGCACTGTGTTCCTTTCTGCCGTGGTCCGTATCATTATTTGTAATTACACATTCATCACTGAACGAGTAGCTGGCAGTCCAAGACAGAGACTACACCCCACCCATCACACTACACCATGTCCTCAGCACATCCAAGTATGCCCTAAACAACGGAAGACGGCAGAGTGGGTAGTGACTGACTTGGGTTGTGGAGAATGGGAAGGTTCCTTAGGGGAGAGGACATGTTGGCAGCATTCTGGAGGGTGGGTTTTACTAACCGGGGAATGGGATGAGAGAACCTGGGCCAACGGGCACCAGCACAGAAAACAGTGTGTTTAGGGAAAAGCCAGAATTCATCATGGCTGCCACCTGGACACCAGGGCAATGGGTGAGCGCTCGGTGAGGTGAGAGACAGGGCAGAGCAGCAGTTGGAATCTGAGGTTAAGCCCACATTGCAAAAGGTCTTATGGACAATAGAAAGTCACTGAGTATTTCTAACAAGAAAGTGATTTGAATAGGCCTTTGTGCTTGTAGGATGACTGTGGAAGAAGGGTAGGGGATAGATAAAAGAAAAAAAAGCCCCAAAGTGGGGCGACTGTTTCCAACAGGGGAACAATTGGGAACCAAAAGACCCCACCTAGGACTGCTGGTAGCCATGGGAGGCAGGAACGATCAGGGCCTGGCTGTGCAAGAACAAAGTGAATTCACCTTCAGAGTGCGGTCAGACCTGTGGGTGAATGTCCAAATGCCTTTTAGCTATCCTATGAAAAAAGAAGGAAAATGTCTCCTTCTATTGTTAGGTTTTGAGAAATGTCTGTCTTGATTTTTACAATGCAAAAACAGTATAGTACTTGCAGATAAGGATTAAATTATACAGTTCAATTTTCTTTGTCATTTTATCTTTCTTTCCAAGAGCACTGTAAGACAAGGTGATGGAATTAATCTATTAAATCTATGCAAAGGTTTTTTCACAAGTCACCTTGCTGGTGGTCATTACAATGATAATCTAATTCATATATGTATATAATTAATCTGTGTTCATTCATACATGTATATATGAATCCATTAATATATGTATATAATTATTTTGAAAAGTCTCAAGTCACAAGGTAAAGCATGAAATGTTTGTCCCCCTTAATAATTGCCTGCAATAGTCTTTGTTTAATCCACCTTTCCCACTGGGTAAAAAGTACTTCTAAGGTCATATTAATATAATACCATACTTTTAATCATTTCAATTATTAAAATAGTCTACTCTCAGATATTAAGACTTGGTTCTAGTCAACTTCCAACCCTTTGCTCTGTTTTTCCAACACAGGCTGGATATGTGGTTACAGATGGCAGCTAAGGAGCCAGAGTTGGTGAGTGGCCCTTCAGTCCTCATTTCAGAACTCCTTTGGCTTTTCTGGTGCTGGAGATGAGAGGAGGGAAAGGGATGGGGATCACCACTGATATACCTCATGGTCTATAGGCTCATTGTGGATGAGTGCAGGACCAAAAGACTTCACAGAAGAGGGATGCAGCTCCAAGAATTTTCCCTGGGTTGCTTGTTGAACTCAGTCATATCTTTCTTTTGACACCCAAGTTGGCCTCCCACCACAGCCCTGAGCTGCCCTAAATTCTTTGATTCCAGGTTGTGGTGGTCCTCATCAAATTTACCCCATTTGATCCAATTATGGAAGCTAAAGGTATCTCTGAAGTGAAAAGATGGCCCTGGATCCCTCTGTAACAGACTGTACCCTAGCGCCATCTTGGCCTGTGATCTTTCGTTTTCTTCCATAAAGCCAGTGCAGGAGATGTAAGCCTAGTATTGAGTAAACTTCTCAAGAAACAAAAGGTCAAGTCCTTTTCTTGCAGGTACAAACAGATTTTAAAAAAGATGAGTGTGGGGGCCCTCTCTCCTGGCACTGGGTAAAGAAGTGTCCTCACCCTCCTGGGAGAGAGAAGTCTCATTGCAAGAGCCATTGTGTTTTGACATATTGTGGTCATTGTCTTATATCTCTCATGGTAAAGCTGTCAAATTGTGTGCCTCACACCAAGGCATGTGGGAATCTCAGGCAGAGAATGGGGATCTTTTTTGAATTAGATTCTTCAGAATTTAATAACTTCACTCATGAGGAGAAGCATCCCCACTATAGCCCTACCGTGTTTAGTAACCTCAGAGGAACAGACAGAGGTCTGAATCAATGTCTCACACTGTGTGTATATATACCCACTCCCACTCCTTTCTGTAGAGATGCCATTTCTCTGATCTAATGCTAATCTTTCCAAATTGCTCTTTTGAGCAGGTGGATTCCTAAATATTTCAGAACTAGAGTGAGGTCTTGTTCCGTCTGTTAGTCCTTCCTCTTTTATTTTCAGCTTCCATCTTTCCTACAGCTTATAGTATACTCAAGTCACTTTCAGCTTAAAAAGGAAAGAGAGAGAGAGAGAAAGTCCCTTTCTTGACTCTGCATCTCCTTCTACCTGCTTTGTATTTTATTTCTTCCCTTCAAAGCAGAGTTCCTAGAAATAATAATAGTCTATATTTTCTGCCTTCACTTTCTTCTCACTTGCTTTAAAAAACTGTATTATCGTTTAATATATTATGTTTTATTCTTTAATACATTTTCAGCTATATAAAATATTTTCATTGAGAAGTTTTGAGAAATACAGAAAAGCATAAAGAAAAATAAAAATTTCCCAGAATTCCAGCATCATAGATCATCACTTTTTACCATTTTGAAATATTTCCTGCTAGTCTTTTTTGGGGTCACCTTCCAAGATTCACCCTCTCCAGGAAGTCTGTCTTTGAACCATTCCTTCTGGTCTCTGGCTTGATCCAGCACACATTCTACCTGTACACATACTGACCTCACCTAGTTCTCTATCTACTTCCCTCACCTGTTTACAAACTTGTTTGGGGAAAAAACTATGTTTAACTCATCTTTGTATCCCCCTCATTTAGCACAGTGCCTGAAACACAATAAATGCTTAAATTTTCAAAATGTTAAAGATAAGCTGATGTATTTATTATTTAAGAAATATGCTGATTTAATAAAAACATTAAATTTTAATAATTTTATTTGCAATTAAAAATTGTGTTCATTCTTATTTTTTTTTACTATACTTTAAGTTTTAGGGTACATGTGCACATTGTGCAGGTTAGTTACATATGTATACATGTGCCATGCTGGTGCGCTGCACCCACTAACTCGTCATCTAATATTAGGTATATCTCCCAATGCTATCCCTCCCCCCTCCCCCCACCCCACCACAGTCCCCAGAGTGTGATATTCCCCTTCCTGTGTCCATGTGATCTCATTGTTCAGTTCCCACCTATGAGTGAGAATATGTGGTGTTTGGTTTTTTGTTCTTGCGATAGTTTACTGAGAATGATGATTTCCAATTTCATCCATGTCCCTACAAAGGACATGAACACATCATTTTTTATGGCTGCATAGTATTCCATGGTGTATATGTGCCACATTTTCTTAATCCAGTCTATCACTGTTGGACATTTGGGTTGGTTCCAAGTCTTTGCTATTGTGAATAATGCCGCAATAAACATACGTGTGCATGTGTCTTTATAGCAGCATGATTTATAGTCCTTTGGGTATATACCCAGTAATGGGATGGCTGGGTCAAATGGTATTTCTAGTTCTAGATCCCTGAGGAATCGCCACACTGACTTCCACAATGGTTGAACTAGTTTAGAGTCCCACCAACAGTGTAAAAGTGTTCCTATTTCTCCACATCCTCTCCAGCACCTGTTGTTTCCTGACTTTTTAATGATTGCCATTCTAACTGGTGTGAGATGGTATCTCATTGTGGTTTTGATTTGCATTTCTCTGATGGCCAGTGATGATGAGCATTTTTTCATGTGTTTTTTGGCTGCATAAATGTCTTCTTTTGAGAAGTGTCTGTTCATGTCCTTTGCCCACTTTTTGATGGGGTTGTTTTTTTCTTGTAAATTTGTTTGAGTTCATTGTAGATTCTGGATATTAGCCCTTTGTCAGATGAGTAGGTTGTGAAAATTTTCTCCCATTTTGTAGGTTGCCTGTTGAATCTGATGGTAGTTTCTTTTGCTGTGCAGAAGCTCTTTAGTTTAATTAGATCCCATTTGTCAATTTTGTCTTTTATTGCCATTGCTTTTGGTGTTTTGGACATGAAGTCCTTGCCCATGCCTATGTCCTGAATGGTAATGCCTAGGTTTTCTTCTAGGGTTTTTATGGTTTTAGGTCTAACATTTAAGTCTTTAATCCATCTTGAATTGATTTTTGTATAAGGTGTAAGGAAGGGATCCAGTTTCAGCTTTCTACATAAGGCTAGACAGTTTTCCCAGCACCATTTATTAAATAGGGAATCCTTTCTCCATTGCTTGTTTTTCTCAGGTTTGTCAAAGATCAGATAGTTGTAGATATGCGGCATTATTTCTGAGGTCTCTGTTCTGTTCTATTGATCTATATCTCTGTTTTGGTACCAGTACCATGCTGTTTTGGTTACTGTAGACTTGTAGTATAGTTTGAAGTCAGGTAGTATGATGCCTCCAGCTTTGTTCTTTTGGCTTAGGATTGCCTTGGCGATGCGGGCTCTTTTTTGGTTCCATATGAACTTTAAAGTAGTTTTTTCCAATTCTGTGAAGAAAGTCATTGGTAGCTTGATGGGGATGGCACTGAATCTGTAAATTACCTTGGACAGTATGGCCATTTTCACGATATTGATTCTTCCTACCCATGAGCATGGAATGTTCTTCCATTTGTTTGTATCCTCTTTTATTTCCTCGAGCAGTGGTTTGTAGTTCTCCTTGAAGAGGTCCTTCGCATCCCTTGTAAGTTGGATTCCTAGGTATTTTATTCTCTTTGAAGCAATTGTGAATGGGAGTTCACTCATGATTTGGCTCTCTGTTTGTCTGTTGTTGGTGTATGAGAATGCTTGTGATTTTTGTACATTGATTTTGTATCCTGAGACTTTGCTGAAGTTGCTTATCAGCTGAAGGAGATTTTGGGCTGAGACAATGGGGTTTTCTAGATATACAATCATGTCATCTGCAAACAGGGACAATTTGACTTCCTCTTTTCCTAATTGAATACCCTTTGTTCCCTTCTCCTGCCTAATTGCCCTGGCCAGAACTTCCAACACTATGTTGAATAGGAGTGGTGAGAGAGGGCATCCCTGTCTTGTGCCAGTTTTCAAAGGGAATGCTTCCAGTTTTTGCCCATTCAGTATGATATTGGCTGTGGGTTTGTCATAGATAGCTCTTATTATTTTGAAATACGTCCCATCAATACCTAATTTATTGAGAGTTTTTAGCATGAAGGGTTGTTGAATTTTGTCAAAGGCCTTTTCTGCATCTATTGAGATAATCATGTGGTTTTCGTCTTTGGCTCTGTTTATATGCTGGATTACATTTATTGATTTGCATATATTGAACCAGCCTTGCATCCCAGGGATGAAGCCCACTTGATCATGGTGGATAAGCTTTTTGATGTGCTGCTGGATTTGTTTTGCCAGTATTTTATTGAGGATTTTTGCATCAATGTTCATCAAGGATATTAGTCTAAAATTCTCTTTTTTGGTTGTGTCTCTGCCCGGCTTTAGTATCAGAATGATGCTGGCCTCATAAAATGAGTTAGGGAGGATTCCCTCTTTTTCTATTGATTGGAATAGTTTCAGAAGGAATGGTACCAGTTCCTCCTTGTACCTCTGGTAGAATTCGGCTGTGAATCCATCTGGTCCTGGACTCTTTTTGGTTGGTAAACTATTGATTATTGCCACAATTTCAGCTCCTGTTATTGGTCTATTCAGAGATTCAACTTCTTCCTGGTTTAGTCTTGGGAGAGTGTATGTGTCGAGGAATTTATCCATTTCTTCTGGATTTTCTAGTTTATTTGCGTAGAGGTGTTTGTAGTATTCTCTGATGGTAGTTTGTATTTCTGTGGGATCGGTGGTGATATCCCCTTTATCATTTTTTATTGTGTCTATTTGATTCTTCTCTCTTTTTTTCTTTATTAGTCTTGCTAGCGGTCTATCAATTTTGTTGATGCTTTCAAAAAACCAGCTCCTGGATTCATTAATTTTTTGAAGGGTTTTTTGTGTCTCTATTTCCTTCAGTTCTGCTCTGATTTTAGTTATTTCTTGCCTTCTGCTAGCTTTTGAATGTGTTTGCTCTTGCTTTTCTAGTTCTTTTAATTGTGATGTTAGGGTGTCAATTTTGGATCTTTCCTGCTTTCTCTTGTGGGCATTTAGTGCTATACATTTCCCTCTAAACACTGCTTTGAATGCGTCCCAGAGATTCTGGTATGTTGTGTCTTTGTTCTCGTTGGTTTCAAAGAACATCTTTATTTTTGCCTTCATTTCGTTATGTATCCAGTAGTCATTCAGGAGCAGGTTGTTCAGTTTCCATGTAGTTGAGCGGTTTTGAGTGAGATTCTTAATTCTGAGTTCTAGTTTGATTGCACTGTGCTCTGAGAGATAGTTTGTTATAATCTCTGTTCTTTTACATTTGCTGAGGAGAGCTTTACTTCCAACTATGTGGTCAATTTTGGAATAGGTGTGGTGTGGTGCTGAAAAAAATGTATATTCTGTTGATTTGGGGTGGAGAGTTCTGTAGATGTCTATTAGGTCCACTTGGTGCAGAGCTGAGTTCAATTCCTGGGTATCCTTGTTGACTTTCTGTCTCATTGATCTGTCTAATGTTGACAGTGGGGTGTTAAAGTCTCCCATTATTAATGTGTGGGAGTCTAAGTCTCTTTGTAGGTCACTCAGGACTTGCTTTATGAATCTGGGTGCTCCTCTATTGGGTGCATATATATTTAGGATAGTTAGCTCCTCTTGTTGAATTGATCCCTTTACCATTATGTAATGGCCTTCTTTGTCTCTTTTGATCTTTGTTGGTTTAAAGTCTGTTTTATCAGAGACTAGGATTGCAACCCCTGCCTTTTTTTGTTTTCCATTTGCTTGGTAGATCTTCCTCCATCCTTTTATTTTGAGCCT
Source organism: Homo sapiens (assembly GCF_000001405.40). Classification (NCBI taxonomy): domain Eukaryota; kingdom Metazoa; phylum Chordata; class Mammalia; order Primates; family Hominidae; genus Homo; species Homo sapiens. Next base: position 221,986,704 of record NC_000002.12, on the reverse strand, counting down.
ATGTGTGTCTCTGCACATGAGATGGGTTTCCTGAATACAGCACACTGATGGGTCTTGACTCTTTATCCAATTTGCCAGTCTGTGTCTTTTAATTGGAGCATTTAGTCCATTTACATTTAAAGTTAATATGGTTATGTGTGAATTTGATCCTGTCATTATGATGTTAGCTGGTGATTTTGCTCGTTAGTTGATGCAGTTTCTTCCTAGTCTCGATGGTCTTTACATTTTGGCATGATTTTGCAGCGGCTGGTACCGGTTGTTCCTTTTCATGTTTAGCTCTTCCTTCAGGAGCTCTTTTAGGGCAGGCCTGGTGGTGACAAAATCTCTCAGCATTTGCTTGTCTGTAAAGTATTTTATTTCTCCTTCACTTATGAAGCTTAGTTTGGCTGGATATGAAATTCTGGGTTGAAAATTCTTTTCTTTAAGAATGTTGAATATTGGCCCCCACTCTCTTCTGGCTTGTAGGGTTTCTGCCGAGAGATCCACTGTTAGTCTGATGGGCTTCCCTTTGAGGGTAACCCGACCTTTCTCTCTGGCTGCCCTTAACATTTTTTCCTTCATTTCAACTTTGGTGAATCTGACAATTATGTGTCTTGGAGTTGCTCTTCTCGAGGAGTATCTTTGTGGCGTTCTCTGTATTTCCTGAATCTGAACGTTGGCCTGCCTTGCTAGATTGGGGAAGTTCTCCTGGATAATATCCTGCAGAGTGTTTTCCAACTTGGTTCCATTCTCCCCATCACTTTCAGGTACACCAATCAGACGTAGATTTGGTCTTTTCACATAGTCCCATATTTCTTGGAGGCTTTGCTCATTTCTTTTTATTCTTTTGTCTCTAAACTTCCCTTCTCGCTTCATTTCATTCATTTCATCTTCCATCGCTGATACCCTTTCTTCCAGTTGATCGCATCGGCTCCTGAGGCTTCGGCATTCTTCACGTAGTTCTCGAGCCTTGGTTTTCAGCTCCATCAGCTCCTTTAAGCACTTCTCTGTATTGGTTATTCTAGTTATACATTCTTCTAAATTTTTTTTCAAAGTTTTCAACTTCTTTGCCTTTGGTTTGAACGTCCTCCCGTAGCTCAGAGTAATTTGATCGTCTGAAGCCTTCTTCTCTCAGCTCGTCAAAGTCATTCTCCATCCAGCTTTGTTCCGTTGCTGGTGAGGAACTGCGTTCCTTTGGAGGAGGAGAAGCGCTCTGCGTTTTAGAGTTTCCAGTTTCTCTGTTCTGTTTTTTCCCCATCTTTGTGGTTTTATCTACTTTTGGTCTTTGATGATGGTGATGTACAGATGGGTTTTCGGTGTGGATGTCCTTTCTGTTTGTTAGTTTTCCTTCTAACAGATAGGACCCTCAGCTGCAGGTCTGTTGGAATACCCTGCCGTGTGAGGTGTCAGTGTGCCCCTGCTGGGGATTGCCTCCCAGTTAGGCTGCTTGGGGGTCAGGGGTCAGGGACCCACTTGAGGAGGCAGTCTGCCCGTTCTCAGATCTCCAGCTGCGTGCTGGGAGAACCACTGCTCTCTTCAAAGCTGTCAGACAGGGACATTTAAGTCTGCAGAGGTTACTGCTGTCTTTTTGTTTGTCTGTGCCCTGCCCCCAGAGGTGGAGCCTACAGAGGCAGGCAGGCCTCGTTGAGCTGTGGTGGGCTCCACCCAGTTCGAGCTTCCCAGCTGCTTTGTTTACCTAAGCAAGCCTGGGCAATGGCGGGCGCCCCTCCCCCGGCCTCGCTGCTGCCTTGCAGTTTGATCTCAGACTGCTGTGCTAGCAATCAGCGAGATTCCGTGGGCGTAGGACCCTCCGAGCCAGGTGTGGGATATAATCTCGTGGTGCGCCGTTTTTTAAGCCGGTCCGAAAAGCGCAATATTCGGGTGGGAGTGACCCGATTTTCCAGGTGAGTCCGTCACCCCTTTCTTTGACTGGGAAAGGGAACTCCCTGACCCCTTGCAATTCCCAGGTGAGGCAATGCTCGCCCTGCTTCGGCTCGCGCACGGTGCACGCACCCACTGACCTGCGCCCACTGTCTGGCACTCCCTAGTGAGATGAACCCGGTACCTCAGATGGAAATGCAGAAATCACCTGTCTTCTGCGTCACTCACGCTGGGAGCTGTAGACAGGAGCTGTTCCTATTCGGCCATCTTGGCTCCTCCTTCCGAAAAATTGTGTTCATTCTGATGTAGTAGGGAAGGAAGTATAAACAGTCATCATTTTGTGATGGCTTCACGAGACAGCTGTGTTGAGAGGCACTGGTGCCAGTCTTTGAGAGTGATTAGCAGTCTGAATTCAGAGGGTTGGGAGATCTCAAATAGCAGCAAAGTAGAACTTAATACTATTCTTAAAAATATGCCATTTTGACCCATGCAGTGGCTCATGCCTGTAATCCCAGCACTTTGGAAGGCCAAGGTAGGTGGATCACTTGAGGTCAGGAGTTTGACACCAGCCTGGCCAACATGGTGAAATCCCATCTCTACTAAAAATACAAAAATTAGCCAGGCATGGTGGTGCCTGCCTGTAATCCTGGCTACTCAGGAGGCTGAGGCAGGAGGATCACTTGAGCCTGGGAGATAGAGGTTGCAGTGAGCCAAGCTCACGCCACTGCACTCCAGTCTGGGCAACAGAGCAAGACTCTGTCTCAAAAAAAAAAAAAAAAAGCCATTTTGTTATTTTCAAGTGGACACTCTCCCTGTACATAGGCGAAGTGTGGCCCATTAGAGGATCTCCTTCAATAGCTAGATGAACCATTTGTGCTGGGTATCCAAGTAGCGTTGGTCTTTACATGGATGGTAACTGGGCTGTGTAGAAGTGGGTGTCTGCATGTTTTCTGGAGTGCTTAGGCACTCCTTTGGAAACCCTATGTATACTGTCACTTCACAGATTTGTGTGAGTGTGTGTGTGTGTAAATAGTAGAAAAGTCAACAATGGTCCAGCTCCTTCTTGAATTATAGCAAATTCTAAATAGAATTAATGAGGTTTATTATGTATCATTTATTTATAGAATTTTGTCTCCTTTTGATTTGTTGAACAAATCTCTGTACTTGGTGCTTATTTTCTTCATAAATGCCTGTGTTAGTGTTTCTTGTTTTAGAGTGAAAATTCCTAGGAGTCATGAAGATCACTGTTTTAACTTTATACACTGCCATGGGAGGTGATTGACAGCAGTGGTTAAACATAGGGGTTTGGGAGTTTCACTGGGTGTGAAACTCCACTCCATCCCTGACTACCTTGGGCAAGTCTTTTAATCTTTCCAAGCTTGATTCTTTTTTATCTATAAAAATGTTAGTAAGGGTGACTAAGATCAAATATGTAAGGTGTTTTTTCATCTTAAAAAATTATAGTACTGACATCTAGTAAATGTTAGATGTGTTTGAATAGCAGCATTAGGTCAACCTGTTATACTAATGTACATATAAGCACTTGCTAGGTATTGTATGATTAGGATGAAGTAGAAGTAAAATAGCAATTCTCAACCGGGGTTGATTTTCCCCACGGGGGGATATTTTTCAATGTGGAGAAATTTTGATTGTCACAACTAGGAGGCTAGAGAGCTGCTACTCACATCTAGTAGGTTAGAGGCCAAGGATCCTATTAAACAGCTTGCAATATACAGCATAGTGACCAATAACAAAGCATTGTCCTGCCCAAATGTAGATAGTGAGAAATGCGGTAGTGAAGGTATGGCATCACTTATAGAAGCCTGTAGGAGTCCTGAAATATACAAACGTATCTAAAAGTAAGGTGTTTTGTTTTTCTTGATTAGTAATAAAGGTTAACAGATTATTACTGCAAATATGTATATATGTATTTACTATGTATACATATATACTGCATATACATATACTGCATGTTATGTATATAGATATTTCTGCTAGTAGGCACTATATATTTCTAGATGTCTCTGTACCAAAGACTCATTTTATCCTATTGCTTTCTGGGTATACAATGTGTTTCTCAGCCATTCTGGTGGACTCATCCATATGGAGCAATATTTTTAAATAAAGTCGCTAGGCCTAGAAAATTTACTTTATTTGATATTATTCATATTTGTTGTGAAATTTTGATAACTACCAAATTGCCCACTTCCAGGCAATTAAAGAAGAGAGAAAATTATTTGTTTATGCCTATTTGTTTTAAAGCAGGCCCAAGTCACATAAAAAGTAGAATCAGATTTCTTAAAGTGTGAGGCAAAGTCTCCTTGCTCGGAATTACCAAAAATCCCAGTCCCAAGAGAATTCCTGTGTTCCACTTCAGATATAATGAGTCAGAATCTTCAGGGGTAAGGACAGGGAATCTGAATCTGTATTTTCCAAGTGTTTCAAAGTGATTCAAAGCATTCTAAGGTTTGAGAAGCAGTGGAGTACAATATATAAGTGTCAAAGGGTAGCAGGCAAGGCTGTGGTCCTGGGGTTTTATATTTTGGATCAGATTGTCTGTGAGCCTGGATTAGAATGGATAGATCCCCAGAGCTCTTTGGTTTCACATTTTCTTTTATTTTGCCTTGAAAAGGCCTTCAAAATACTCTGCACCCGAAGATATAGTTCCACTTTCAATAAAGGAACCTACTGTTTGCGCCCTTGGTAAAACTATTAGAATGGAACAGCTGTGAACAAAGGCAAGCAGATTCTATATTTAGAAGGTTTTGTGGGGCTGAGTCTATGACAAATTCATTCTTGTTCCTCTTAGAATGGCCCTGGTTTGTAAAGGAGAGAGCGGTTTACAATATACTAGCTTTTCAAGCTGGGTGAAATTTAGGGTAATTTATGTGTCCCTTAGGAAGAACGATATATCTAAAAGCACATTTCTCTTCCTTCTTCACACATCGATTTTTAAGTTAAAATAACATCACACTTTCAGTTCTTATTTTATGAGTTGGTACACCTTTCCAAGTGCCAGTGTAAAGTCTACTGATGCTAATTGCTAATAGGAATTACATGTTTTGGGGAAGAATGGGAGAAGGAAGCAAATTAATTCAAACCTAATTTGCTTTCCCTTGCCAAGTTTGAATTGGGACTAATTTGCAAACTGAATTATCTTTCTAGCCTTTATAGAGTTTATAATAATGCTGAAAGTTTCTTAACTCATGGTAGTGCCTTTTTAATAAAGACACATTCACAGCTGCAGTCTTGGTGCCTTGTAACATATTGCTAATAATTGGGCTAATAAGATTTTAAAGTTAATTAAAAGGAGAGGGAAACCCATAAAGTCTGATGCAGCTCAAACTGGTTGGTGTGTAACAGGCTGACCAAGCAAAACTGCAAAGAGAGGATAATAAAACTTATTCATCAGTGATTTACTAATGATGATTTTTTGGGTAAAGTTTGCACTTTTGCATTTCTCTTAAAACAACTGATAACCTTTTAACAAGAATTATTTGGTGCCCTTTATCTTGTTTCTTCTTATGGAGTTCCCTAAGACAGCTAAGGAGGTGACTCCTAGGAATTTTCATTTCGTAATGTTGATGGTCCATGGTAATCTGGGGTGGGTCCAGTACCATCTCCTAGGCCAGAGGGAACTTGAATGTTCTAGCCTGGCTCTCATGGAACAGTTTCAGTGCTCACAGAATCTCTTCATACTAGGACTCCAGGAGAAACAAGAGGAACGTTATTGTGATTTCTGTCTGATTTTTCTAAGGCTCTTCAAGCTTCTCCTTTACAAGCCTGCCTTCTTGCATTTCTTGTGTGTCCTTTTTCAAAGAGCAATTCTTCCTGCAGCTTTACACAGAGTGGTAACCCTGGTCATGCTGGTGTGCTGAGGTGCAGGTGTTCTGTAGCGTTAGGAGGTTAGAGCCTTTGCAATGCGTGCTGTTTTCAATATGGGATCTGGAAGCCAGATAACAGAAGGGACACATCCCAACTGCTGTGCTGCCTACCCATTTGTAAATGGTAAATTTCTGGTGCCTCTGCCTGGAGTTTGAGCTGATTTAAATGGATATCGGTCTTAGAGTCCCTCAGAATATTATATTTTAGTCTGTTATAAACGAGTATATGATTTGGGATTTTGAAGTTCTTTTCTTTTTGGAATGTTCGAGGTAATTCTTCTGAGCACTACACCCAGGCTCTTCTCCCATGAGTCACACTAGATTCAGTTCTGATAATTTCTAGTTTTAGTATTCTTCTTTGATGACTGGTATCATCAAAAGAAGCATACACATAACACAGTAGTATGAGCTTTACTTGAACTTAGAGATCATCTACATGTAAAACTCCCATCTTCATTCCCTGCCCCCATTGTCATCCTATGACCATGAAATTGTTAGTGGGTCAATAAAGACATTTGCATGATAATCCATACCCACTTCTCACTTACTGTGGCCACATTCTGTTTCCTAACATCAGATTCTGATTTGGGCAGCTTTTGGTGCCATTCTAGTGACATGATAGTTGTAACAGAGGCAGCTAATTGTCTACCTATGACCACTCTCCTCTAATATAGAAATATTTGTAATAGAACCTCTCATTTTAACCTGGCTTAGGCCTGCCTGAAATAAAACCTCCCCTACAGCTAAGGATTGCCATGGGACTAAGTTCTAATCAATATAGTGTAAGTTGAGGCAGGCTGTTTAACTTCTGGAAAGTGTCTTTAAAGGGAAGCAGCATTCCTTCCCCTGTCTCTTTTTTTCTTCCTGCCACCTGGAATGTGGATGTGATGGCGTGGATTTGGAGCAATAAACTCAGATGGAGGTAACCGAGGGAATAGAATAATGAACTGAGGAGCTAACAAGGGAGAAGGAACCTGAGTTCCTGACACTGCAGAGTGCCCTACCAGCTGTGGACCACCCAATGCCGGCTTTTTGAAAGAAATAAGTAGTATCTTGCTTATTTTGGGTCTTCTGTTACTGCCAGCCAAATTGAATACTAAGTAATTCATTAGTGTTCCTCAATTCTAAAAAATTCCTTCACAAACCTGCTCCTTAATGTTCAGGATTCATTCAAAAGGCCTAAAGCCCACTGTCTCACAATTTGTTAAAAGAATTAGTGAAGAGGAGACTCTTAGGCATTATAGTAGATTGACTAAATATCACCAAAGGGTGAATGATAACCCCAGATAGTGCGACCTTCTTCTTTATACCTGAGGCTGGGAAGAAAATAGATCGGAAATTTGTCAGGTTCTAGACCTGTTTTATGGGTACTAGGTATGAAGGGGAGAGAGGACAAAAGCAAAAGTGCTTAAATCTTTCTCAATTTTGGTCAAATCACTTAAAAGTTCTATTACTCAATGGATTTCAGATAGTTATCGAGTATTTTCCCATTCAAGAGTTCATGCAAGGTTCTGTATGGGGCAGGAAGACAGAAGATCTCTTTTCGAGGAAGTAAAATTTTCATCAGGGAATGTCTTCATTTGAGTCCTCCAAAAAGCAGGCCCCAAGATAAGGATTTAGGGACTAGTAGTTTATTTCTGAGATAATCCTAGGAAACATGGAGAGGGAGGTATCTTAGTTTATTCCTGCAGATATAACAAAATATCATAAGCTGGGTAATTTACAAGTAATAGAAATTTATTTCTCACAGTTCTAGAGGCTGGAAAGTCTAAGATCAAGGCTCTGGCACATCTAGTCTCTGGTAAGGGCTTGCTCTCTGCTTCCAAGATGGTGCCTTGTTGCTGTGTCTACTGGAGAGGACAAATGCCATGTCCTCACATGGTGGTGGGGATAGAAGGGCAAAAAGGACTAGGGCACTAATAATAAGGTCACTAATACCATTCATAAAGGTTCCACCCTCCAGTCTTAATCACCTCCTAGAAGCCCCACCTCTTAATACTATCACATTCATGATTACATTTCCACATATGAATTTTGGAGGGGACACATTCAGACCATAGCAGAAGGGAAGGGAGATGACCAAACAAGTCCTTATCCTGGGCAACTGGGCTCAATCCTGTTAAGGATTTTCTGGGTACTATGTGGAGCACAGCTCAGGATTTTTGCACCAAGAGGTGAGGAAGCTGGGGTATTAATCCACCAACTCTCATCCTTCACTGAAGTTTGCTTCTGAGGGTGTTAACTCACTGACATTTCCATGCATGGGCTGAAAGATAAGAAACCATTAACATATGGGAACTGGCCTGTCAAGCTGAAAGTGACCTCCAAAGTCAGTCAAAGGGCTATGAGGAAGGCACCAACATTTGATACAGTCCATTCCTTGCACTGCTCAGATGTACTCCTGTGTTTAGCTCTCTTTGTCCTGTTACGTGAAGAGATAGCTGCCCACCAAAGCCACATCACAAACACTTGATACTGGCATAATCTTAGACTCTCTGAGGCAGGACAGATCTCCGTGGGCCATCGTGGTGAAGGAAGAGCTTATATTTGAAATGAAAATCATTCTAGCCTTGCAGGCTAGCCATGGTTTAAATAAGAGGAGAGAAGAAGAGAAAATGGACGCCAGGAGTGAGGCATACCATGGGCAAGGGCTTGGATGTAAAAGCGTGAAAGGTACAATCTGGTAGTTGGTGGCGGAAATCAAAGGTCTACAGTGGGAGGTTAAGTTGAAAAAGTATTAAGGGATTTTTTTTTTCAGGCACATTATAGTTCAGACTAAGTGTTCTGGCTTGACTTCCTGCCAAGGCATTCCTTTCTATTTAATGGGACTAAATTCATATATAATTAAAATTTTGAGTCCCAATTTAATGGAAAATATTACACGCTCTTACGGGGTAATTTTAAAGTAACGGTTCTCAAACTTCTAAATTCTATCATGGTAGACATAAAAAATGATGTTAGCATGCAGCACAAACCCCATAGATAGGATAGTTTTAATTTTCTATGTGTTAACTTTACCTTTTTTTCTCTCCAGTTCAAAGATCAAAGATGCATATCAGAATGCAAGTACACAACACTAAAGGCATGATCACGATCAAAAACAATGTAATTAGCTAAGAAGAAAATAATTGGCAAATGTTGGTCCTTTAATGTTGGTGGAATAACAAATCATTTGTGATACACTTCAAAACTGGTTGTGGCATAGCAGTGTCTCTAACAGATGGCTGACAGCTATTGCTTTAAACCCAAGCTTGCAAATGGGTGACCTTCAGGCAGAAACCACAGGCTGACTTGTGATTGTCCCACTGTGTTAGCCTCAAAGGGTGAGGATGAGAGGAGCTCCCTTTGATACAGGCAAAGGACAGCAAACTCACTCCTTAGAATCAGGAGTCAAGAGATGAGTCAAAACCCAGGGAGTTTTGTTAACTAAGCTGCCAATATGGTAATATCCCTTCACCCCAATATCCCCACATGGAAATGAGCTGGAGCTGAGTGGCTGCCCCCTTGGAAAAGGGCCTGCTGTCTCCAGTTTATTCTTCCAGGCCTTCTTTCTGCTTTACTCTAATGGTCTGTAGGCATTTGAGTATGAAATACCACCTTCAAGGCATAAAAGGAACATGTGGCTGCTGGAGGTTCCCAAGGCCAGTTGATGCTTGGCTTTGGGGAACCTGCCTCCTTTACTCAATTGCTGGCTAATCTTAATTATAACTTCTCTAACTGCAATGGTGTTTGTCTCTTAGTGAAGACTAGTGAGTTTATATTCTTGTTGGAGAAGCATGACAATGAGCATATCAATACCTAATGTGCTAAATGGTGAAAGTACTAGGAAGAAAACAAAGTAGGGTGAGAGGCGGGTGGGGAGATGTGCTGCCTCATAGAGGATGGGAGAAGGCTTTTTTGAAAAGGTGATGGGTCAGAGCCCCAAAGGCTGAGGGAGAAGAGTATGCAGAGGTTTGAGAGAAGAATGTCTCAGGCACAGAAAGTGCAGTCTTGAATTGGGAGTGTGTGCATGGAATTTTTTTTTTTTTTTGAGATGGAGTCTCGCTATGTCACCCAGGCTGGAGTGCAGTGGCACGATCTCAGCTCACTGCAACCTCCACCTCCCGGGTTCAAGCAACTCTCCTGCCTCAGCCTCCCAAATAGCTGGGACTACCGGCACGTGCCACCACACCCAGCTAATTTTTTGTATTTTTCGTAGAGACGGGGTTTCACCGTGTTAGCCAGGGTGGTCTTGAGCTCCTGACCTTGTGATCCACCCGCCTCGGCCTCCCAAACTGCTGAGAATACAGGCGTGAGCCACCGTCCCCGGCTGGATATTTTTTTTTATTTTATTTTGTTAAGAACTAGCAAGAAGGCCAGTGTGAGTGGGGCTCACTGAAAATTAATAGGAAATTATATTGGAAAATTGCCTAAGGGTCAGATAACATAGGTTTTGAAGGCAAGAATAATGATTTTGGTTTATATTCTAAGTGGGTGGGTTTTGAGTACAGGAATGACATACTCTGATTATTTAAAAGGATTACTCAGACTTCTATAAGGGGATAGTTCGATGAGAGTGGATATAAAGGGACCAGCATAAAAGCAACTGCAATATGATGGCCTGGATTAGGGTAACAATGGAAGTAGTGGGAAGTGGGCAGATTGAACATAGAGGAACAGCTGATTGATTTACCGATGTGATGTGTGACATAGACAGAAGCATCAAAGATGACTCCAAGTTTTTGGCTGAGTATCTGCATGGCTAGACTCTAAGACCAAAAGGACTGCAGGAGGAGTTTTAGGTGTGTGGGCAGTGGTAAAAAACAAAGAGATCGTTTCAGATGCATTAACTTTGAGATGTCCATTCAACTTCCAAATAGAGATGTTAGGTGGACATTATGATATATGCATCTGGTGTTCAGGAGAGAGTTTGGGCATGAAGAATTAAATTGGGGAGACTTTAACATATTTAAAGCCTATGGGCTAAACAAGATTATTTTTAAAGTGAGTATGCATAGAGAAGAAATCCAAATACTGTCCCGGAGTGCTCGAGATGTCAGGGAAATGGCACCTTGATGTCATTTGAGCAAAGATGAGGATGCACGTCAGTGAGTGGGTTGAGAGTGGTGTCTTGGAGAATGAATGAAGAAAGCTTATTAAGAAAGAGAGAGGACCTATTGTGACAAACAGGGCTGAGACGGGAGGAAGGTAAGGACTGGGAAGTGACCACTGGGTTTGACCCATGGCTGGCTGAGATGGACAAGAGCAGTTTCAGTGGACAGAGACAGCCTAATTGGAGAGGAAAATTGAGAATGGGAGAGGAGGATGTGGAAACAGTGACTATAGACCATTTTATAATAGGGGACACAAAAATGGGAAAGAGAGAGAGATGGCCACATGTCCCATGATACAACTTCAGGGCTTCCCCCTCCTTATGTTCTCTTGCAGACCCTAAGGTGTGGTTGGGGGAAGATGGTATGCTGCCTCATGTGGAAATCACACTTCTGCTTCCTTATTTGCCCCTTTTCTGCTGGTGGTCAGGCTTGCTCTTCTGAATCGAGGTTCTTGTTCCTCAGCCAGCCTACTTGTGTCACCCACATGCTAGCACTGACTCCCCTTGGGCAGTGATACTCCGTGAGCATCTGTCTCTGTCTGTCTTTCCACCACTGTTGCCTAGAGCTTCCCATCATGAGGCTGTGCCTGCATTGCACATGCCAATTGTGTTCTTATGCTATGACAAAATGACTGTTTTATCTTGCCTTCCATTCCTATGTGCCATATCTCACATCTTGCAGTGGGGTATTGTGTGTATGTAGAGGGGAAGGGACAATAGAAAGTAAAGAAGGTCCCCTTGCATGTTAGAAAATGTAACTGGATATGGGAGGCGGGGCATGTCGTCTACCCTTGGCAACATGCTGGTATATTAACTCTTGGCTCCATCCAAGCCAGTTCCCTTGAAAGAGTCGAAACTTGTTAGTTTTGTAAATTTAGCAAATCAAATCAGCTTAAAATATCAGTTAAAATGTTTGTATTTTGAGGCAAATAATTTTCTCTTGTTGGATTCATTAGGGACTCTGAGTCTTTTTGGTTTGGTTATGTAAGTCTTTAATTTCTGAAAAGGAGAAACATGCATATCTGTGAAATGACCTTGGGACAGATCATTTAACTTGTGTATCTTGGTCCTCCTTCCCTAGTTTTTAACTATGTCTGTCCTTGGAAATAGAGTCTTCTAAGCAAGAATATCAGAAGAAATACTGTTGGCTAACTCAGATGTCTAGTCTTTTTCTCTCTCCCTATTTCTTTCCTGTATTAATCTGTTTTCACACTGCTGATAAAGACATACCCGAGACTGGGCAATTTACAAAAGAAAGAGGTTTAATTGGACTTACAGTTTCACATGGCTGAGGAAGCCTCACAATCATGGCAGAAGGCAAGGAGGGGTAACTTCTGTCTTAAATGGATGGCAGCAGGCAAAGAGAAAATGAGGAAGATGCAAAAGCGGAAAACCCTGATAAAACCTCACATCTTATGAGACTTACTCACTACCGCGAGAACAACATGGGGGAAACTGCCCCATGATTCAATTTTCTCCTACTGGATCCCTCCTACAACACATGGGAATTATGGGAGTACAATTCAAGATAAGATTTGGGTGGGGACACAAAGCCAAACCATATCACTTCCTCTCCAGATAATGTTCTTAGAAGGTAGTTCCAGGTTTCAGGCAGAAAACAGAGAGGATTTTCTCCATTTCTCATGTGGATCAGATTCACGGAAGTAATTTACTCTCAAAAGTGGTTGGGTCTTCAAGTGTAGATAAAGTGGGTACTTTAGTAAGGGTAGCATTTTAGACTCTCTTAGGGGGCACAGGCAAGAGTTTTCAATGTAGTTCTTGCGCAATTTGCTGAATTCTGAATTTGAAGGTGGGGGAAGCTGTATCTGTCACCCTTTCACTGTGATTTATAATTTATCTCTTAGGTCTCCTTGTTTTGAAGGTTCCTTTTGATCATTAGTTAAAATTTTGCCCCACCTGACAGAAGTGCTCTGATGAGTTAAGAAATCTGTAGCTTATTAATTAAAATTTATAGAGTCTTTAAATAATTTTTCTTAGTGACATTATGGTAATTTTGATTATAGCCTTTGGACAAAGAATATACAAAGAATCAGGTTATCAAGTTCCTTTAGGACTGTAGATTAAATTGTAAATTCAGCTACTCTTTGCAAGTTATACTAGTCCTTTTAAGGCCTATGTATGCACGTAGTAGTTTAGCCTACTCATCAAAATTTAAAAAAAAAAAAAGGAAATTTAAGAAGTGGGCACTGTGTTCTAGAAGCAAATCAAAGCATAATTTTTTGCTTTTCAGAAACACTATTTCAACTTTTCTTTCCCTTTCATTTTCCTTTCAATTTCCCATTTATACTTACCTTAGAATGTTCTGTGATTATCGTCTTTCTTACTGTTAGACTACGGTTTACTTGAAATGTGCACATTAAGATTAACACTGTTACCTTTGTCTCTGGTTTCCCACTCACTTATATTTAAAAACTGGCATTGCCAAGGGAAAAATACACACAGAGTACATATAATATCAAGATAAGTGAGCCAACCTAGGACAGATATACCAGGTCACTGTGCAGTGTCCGAGTGGAAAGGTGAGTGCCTTCAACGAGATGGTGAATCACGAGAGAGCCTGTTTTGACAGCGAAGTGAGGAAGAGTTGGGTCACCCACTAAGGCAGAGGGTTACCACAACTCTAGAAGTTCTTCTCTCTACCCTTAGGAGGCTTAAGAGGATAATATCCTAAACCAGTGGAGAAGCAGTCACTACATACTGCTCAGGAGAAAAAGCATTAACATGTTTCTGAGGTTTTGATAAGAAACACAATTTAATAAACAGATAATAATTAAAGGAAAGCACCTACTCTCAACCCATACTTGAAGGAACTTGAACCAGTCTGGCCAGTTTACAATTATAATGTGTGTTGTAACCAGATGAGTGATTTATCAGAACCTTACAAAATCTAAGTCTTGGTTCAGAGGCTTAAGGAAAGAGAAAATTTTCGAATCTTTGGATGACTGACTTAATTTTCCTTGCTGAATTTCATTTATGTTCTGGGCATGAACGAACAAAAATAATGTTTTCATTCTCTCCTTTCCAGATAAAGTGATTAGTAAGGGATGAACCACATTTGGCTTTGATATAAATCAAACGCATTGGAAACCAAGGTCATGGAGCTCATTGTATTTTCCTCATGTTTGCTTTGTTTCTACCTCTGTAGTCTGTGTAGAATTCCACCTGACCCAGCACCTCATTTTTAGTAACATTTTCATTACTCATGACAATTTTCTTTTCCTTTTTTGAAAATATACAGGTATTTTCTATTTAGTATTATGAAAGAGTGCAAATATTTTATGCTAAATGCCACCTTGAAGACATTTTATGCTAAATGCCACCTAGAAGGTGGAAAACCATAATGAAGTTAGATAATTGGTATGGGAGAGTGTTTGAGGCTTGAAACATTTTCCAGTTTGTAGTGTCTGTGGTATAAACTATTATTTTGGGTAATTCTTCAGGGCATTTCCAGGCACTTTATCAAGATTGACAGATTAGCTAATCGGTCTTCTTGGTATATGTGGGATGTGTGCCACAAACAATGTAGGAATGGACAGAAAAATGGAGCAACATACGTCTGGGATCATAAACCCTCACTAACATCATGCAAAAGACAGAATCCCTACAATAAAGAGTTCATACCCCACCGTGGGGAAGATTAGCCCTATTTTCAAATTCAAAACTAGGAAGATTTTATGAAGAGATCAAAGTGGAAGTTAGGAACTGACGTGTCCTAAGTGAAGTTCATTCTAATTGAAACTTATTTTAGCAAAGATGTCATGTGAAATCTCTAAACATAACGTTAGATGCAAGTTTCATTCTAGGATAAGGGATTATTTTAAAATAATCTCAATGAGACAATATAATAATATTAAAATGTAAAACACAACTTGTAAGTGAGGTGATTAACTTATAATAATTAAATAACACACCTTTGCTATGGGGACTCACGTGAAGTCCATTCAATGTACTTGTAAAGAGATTTGTCTAAACTATTTTCTAGGATTTCTCTTTTCTAGACTTTCTCTGTGACTCTTTTGGTAAATCTTTCTTTTCACCTAGAATGAATGCATTTATCTGCTTGCTGTAAATTCTGGGAAATACCAATAAAGTATAAAGCACAGATTCTGCCCTCCTGACATTTACATTTTGGTTGGAGAGATAAAACATATACACAAAAAGCACTTGAAGTGAGTGTGGGTGTCTGAGTTGTTCCTATAGGGTCTAGGAGGTCAGAAGTGCATGTGCTTGGAATGTTTGAGAAATAATTTGTTGGATACATAATTTCTTTCTTTCTTTCTCTTTCTTCCTTTTTTTTTTTTTTTTTTTTTTGAGACAGAGTCTTTCTCTGTCGCCTAGGCTGGAGTGTGGAGCACAGTGGCAAAATCTCGGCTCACTGCAGCCTCTGCCTCCTGGGTTCAAGTTATTCTCCTGCCTCAGCCTCCCAAATAGCTGGAATTACAGGCGCATGCCACCACCCTCAGCTAATTTTTGTATTTTTAGTAGAGACAGGGTTTCTCCATGTTGACCAGGCTGGTCTCAAACTCCTGGCCTCAGGTGATCCACATGCCTCGGCCTCCCAAAGTGTTGGGATTACAGGCATGAGCCACGGCACCCAGCTGGATAAATAATATCTAAAAAGGAGAAAAGGAGGAGAGAAGGCAAGGTGGATTGGAGATCTGTCATAAATAAAAGTGAGAATAAGGAAATGAGCTCAGAACTTATTTACTTAATAATTATTTATTGAGTGTGTACTAGAAATATACATCAGTAAATATCATGAGGGCTTGGCTCTCATAAAGCTTACATTCCAATATGATGAGGCAGATGATAGAAAGGAAAATAAATTAACAAGATAATTTTAGATTGTGAATGTAAAATTAAGGAAATACATAGATGAAGTGAGAGAAAAACAGGGAGGTTGGGGGTGTGTGTATTCTGTATTCCTTAAACTTTCACATGCATATGAATTTCCCAGGGATCTTGTTGAGATTTAGATTCTGATTCTGATTCAAAATTCTGGGGTGGAAACTGGAAGTCTGGATTTTCAAAAAGATCCCGGGTAATGCCAATATCCCTTGATTCACAGACCACACTTTTGAGTTACAAGTCTTTAGTTGGCATGATCTGAGAATCTCACTGAAATAAAATTGCTTGGAACACAGGAATCCCGGCAGGGCAGGGTGGGAAAGAAGAATGAAAAAGATTAACAGGAAGATTTGGGCCTTACAGCAATGAGGCCAGTGTTGAAGACGTCTGATTTGGCAGGCACATGCAGGGTGGAGTTGAGTGGGGCTTAGCAACCATTCTCACCTCGGGGCATACATAGAAAATGATGCTGTTGCACAGTGGGGAAAAGTGGGTTTCTGCCTGGGGAAGATCTGGATTAAAAGAGCAAAGGACTAAAGAGATGGCATTACCATGGTCCATGTATGCCACAAAGAGTCCCTTGTGGACAGAAAGGAAGCAGTGAGCAGGAGAAACAGCTACACAAAAAACCGTCAGGATTTTGTGAGTGTTCGGTTATACACGGTGAAGAAGGAAGATGGTTTTAGGGACGGGACATCAAACATTCCAGCAGACAGCTGAACACCCATCACTGGCACTCAAGTGAAAATTCTGCCCAGGAGTTAAAGATTTTTCAATCAAACCCTAAGAGTTTAAGATGTGCAAAGAAAACAATTCCTTTGAAGGCAAAAGCATGAGGAGAGAAGAGCAGAGAGACTATGCTTTGAAAAATATTTACAGCTTATAGAAGAATGAAGGGGGGCTTGTGTCCCCCATGAAGAAGGCAGAAGGCCAGCCGGTGAGAAATTTCGGAAGATCAGGAAGCTGTCGTGAGTAGTCCATGTTGTATGGGCACTGGACACTGTATGATAATAGGACTTGGACTATTGTTACTGTTATTGTAGACAGGCTGATTGGGAAGGCAGGTCCTTTATCCTCACCTCTTTGTCCCTCTCTAAAGCTCTCCAACGAGACCAGAAGCATGGTCAAGCAGGCATGTGGTCAAGCATTTGCACCCGAGAAAGTGCTCTCCGTCTCCGGGGGAAGGGGTGAGATGAAGGGGAGGGTGACCAGGAAGAGGCCAAGTTTGCAAGCAACCCCATATCCGACCTTACACAGCTCCTACAGCCCCAGAAGCATACAGTCCTCTCTGAGATGCACCACTAATCTGCACCCTTGCAGAGTGCGAGGAACAAGACAGCTTTCCTTTGTCTTCCTTACATTTTGTGGAAAAACGGAGTCCTGAGGAGGCTCATTGTGCTGTGAAAGATGACTACATCTGTTAGCAGTAAGTTTTGAATGAGGACTCAAGTTTTCTTGACTTTCAGAGTAGTGTTCCTATTTCAATTAAGGTAAACAGTGACAAGTGTTAAATACAGAGGATATGTATATATGGAATACCTTGTCCCTGAGTCTATGGGAGTCCTAGTTTTTGCATTCATTGACATTAGTTTTTAGCCTTTCTGGATTCAGGACATAAGGTGACATTTTTGTGTTTACTGTATTCGATATGCTCTGAATATGAGAAAACCTTCAATGGGTGTTTTGGGCTGTTCCACACCGAAGTGCTAGGTGGCAGCCTAACACTATCTTAAGATATTTCAAATGCCTGTCTGGTGCTCTCAATGGCATTTTAACAAAAAATTTTTAGAGATATTTTAAAAGGAATAACTTTAAGGAGAAGATTTAAATAAATAATTAAATGATGGTGATGACACATATTATTTGTAAACCTCCTTTCACTGAACCCTATTTTAAATTACAAATTACACATGCAGTCGAATGTGGTATTGAAAACGTAAGACTTAGAAAAATAAGCAAAAGATGTAAACAGATATTTCACAAGAGAAGAAATACATAGGGCAAAGACTGTGTGCACAATTTCTAACCTCTAATAAGAAGGAAAATTCAAATTAAAATAAGGACATTTTTACTATCTCTCAATTTGACAGCATTATTTTCTAAAGTTCTATCCTGAAGAAAAATTAATTAGAGATGTGGTCAAAGATTTATGCACAAGCATCTTCCTTGATGTTTTATTTATGGTAGTCTAAAGACATTAATGCTTAGAAGATGGTGTTTCTTAAGATGAAATATTATGCATTCTTAATTGATAAGGCTTTTTATTTTAGTTAGCCTCTAACAAAATTATATTAATTATAGCCACTTAATGCAAAAGTGCAGATACATAATGTATAAAAACACACAGAGAAGAGGCGAAGGTTAACCCTTGTTGGAGGAACTGGATTTGTTGTGCACATTTTAGATATTTAGGAGAATTGACTAGATCCGAATTTCTACAACTAGGTCAATGCTTGGATTGATGATGAAGCAGAAGAATCATAACCAAATGGATGGCAAGTGGCTGTGTTCAGCCGCCGCTGTTTAACTAAACTGCAGGAGTGCAAAGGGATGAAAATCCAGGTCCCTTCTTTGAGACATTTTCTAGAATCACATGGGTGTCTGTGGGCCTAAATGTCACACACAGGGCTGCTGTCAGCACAAAGATTTCTGTGGCAACTAAAAAGGGAAGAATTCAGTAAACTAGAAAGAAACCTGCATCTCTCTCTCCAGTGATTATTAAACGATCATCTGTAAATATTGTGAAAGTTGTCAGAATCAAAATGGAGTCACTTGTGTTAAAAACCCTGACAAATAGAGTTGGGAAAGGCCAGGAAGAGAGTGGTCTCATCATGAGTGTCTGATAACAAGAACTACCACAAAAGACTGCAAAAAAGGCCATTGCAACCTTATACACACACACACACACACACACACACACACACACACACACAAATGCTTCTGCGGGGACATCTGCTCAGCAACTGCCAGTCTAACCTCATACTGGCGCCACCCTTGTTATTGATCCTTTCAGCCAAGGATAATTATCTCAAAACAATTATGCAATCCTCATTTTTTCTTTAAAAACCTTTGTCTTCCTTTACCTCCCTGCAGATGCACACAATTTATTATGGCATGCATATTCCTCACTGCAGTGCCCATTCCAGAGTAAATATTACTTTATTTTAGACAGTCTCCTTCTCTGTTATTTGGTTTGACAATATTTTGCTACATTGATAAATGTATTAATCTGCTATTAATTTCTTTCTTAACATATTCTTTCCTGTGTATTATTTTTTTTTTTTTTGGTCAATAACAGAAGGTTATAACTGCTTGATTTGCTATTTGATTTAAGTAATAACATGGAATAAATAAGACAAAGAAAAAATCAATAGAATTGTCTGGTCCAAGAGGTTGCTTGTTGCATTCTGCCAGAAATATATGGATCAAATATTCAATTTATTTATTCGTTTAATTTATTGATTCAATTACTCATTGCCTTCATTGTGGAAATAGCAGATAAAACATGGTCTTACACCTTGGTAATGGTAAAGTATAGGAAACATATGGAATCCTATCTTGGAATCCAGTACCCAATAATAATTTTTTAAAGGACTTAATTTTTAGATGAACATGTTGTTAAATAGTGACCAGATATGGCCCCAAATTTAAAACATAATTATAGGCCAGGCATGATGGCTCATGCCTGTAATCCCAGCACTTTAGGAGGCCAAGCTGGGGGGATCATCAGATCATGAGATCAAGACCATCCTGGCCAACATGGTGAAACCCCATCTCTACTAAAAATACAAAAATTAGCCGGGCATGGTAGCACGTGCCTGTAGTCCCAGCTACTTGGGAGGCTGAGGCAAGGGAATCACTTGAACCTGGGAGGTGGAGGTTGCAGTGAGCCTCTGAGATTGCGCCGCTGCACTCCAGCCTGGTGACAGAGTGAGACTCTGTTTCAAAAAAAAAAAAAAAAAAACACAAGAGAAACATAATTAACATAATTATAATCTACACATAATCAAAGTCTTGGTGCTTTCATTTCATGCCTGCAATATAACCTGTTGAAAAGCTGATTGAGAGGTAACTTCTGCAATGTCTCTCTTCTTTCAGCAATATGTATTTTCTTTTAACAACAGAAAAGCTACATCAAGATATTTGGTAATAGCATTTTTCTAGATCCTGTACTTTGGGAAGGAAACAGACCGTGAGACCTCTAAGTTCTTTCTTAAAATTTTTTCATGATTAGGAGAACATATTAACCATGAGAAAATTTTTCTGTATTCATCGAGATAGTTCCAATTTCTAGGCTTCTAGCCTGCCGATGAGGTCCTACCCTTTGTGTAAAACCACAGTGCTGCTGATCTATTATAATCATTTCCATGGAGAATCATATAATATTCACTGGGGGAGGAAACAGTGGAGATTGTCCTTCTGAGGCCCCTCATTTGGCAGATGAGCTTGAACATTTGAGTGTTTTTTTTTCAGTATAGGTCAAAACCTACTCTAATGAGACTGATGGATGGAACAATAGATTTTATTACAATGGAACACAAAAGAAGCATAGAATGTTCATTATTTTTAAAATTTGCATACTTAAATGTTTAGCGTGCCCCTTATTTTTACAATTAGTAAGGTGGAGGAAAGAAGGAAGCAAATGCAAATTTGGGGGGACCTGGAGCATTGGGAAGAATAAATGTTTGTATTTCCTTTATAATTTTATTTTGGTGCAAGTTGAGGTCACCTTAACAAAAATCTTCATGTTTTGCAAAGGGTTGCAGAGTTTCTCTTTTGTTTGTTTGAATTTACTTACTTATGTAATCCATGTATCAAAGGTTCCTGTAGCATGAATGGCCTGGGCTATCTATTGTTGTTTAGGAATATTTCTTGCCTTTAAGTCTATTCCTTCAGAAATACAGGAGAGGAGCTGAATTTTACTTCCTGGTGTCTCAGTAACTCCAGAGGCTGTGAGAACCTGCAGGGACCACTTGTTCCAGTCCTCTCATGTTACAAATAAGAAAACCAAAGCCTGAGGATGTTAAGTGTCTGCCCAAGGTCAATGGCAGAGCTGCCACAAGGAGCTGGGTCTCTTGCCTGCCAAGTGGGGCAATTTTTCTACAACATCTCTTTTGTCTTGTGGGCATACTCCCTTCTCAGCAATTTAATAAAGATCCTCATTACCTTTCTCAAAGACAGTAACTGAGTCAAGTGTTGATGATTTGCCTGAGCTCTCTGTCAGCACCCACTGTACCTTTCTAGGGTGACTGGGACCTTGCCTCAATTCATTCGTGCTTCTTACCTTCTTTCAACAAATGGTGACAAATCATTCTCACCTCTCACTAGACACTACTTAGGAACTGCTGAACCCACTGATGACTGTTAATGACAGTTCCTGGTCATCACCCTTTCCCCAGGGAAAGCTGTGCTAGAGACTCCCAGAACTACCTAACACAGGGGGCCAGGTGGGGACAGGCTGCCTTCAACATGTGACATGTGAGTGTGAGGAAGGAGGAGCATAAGGTTCAGGATACTTGTTTCAAATCTGGGCTCTACAACGTGGGCACGCTACCTATCCCTGTGTCTCAGTTTTCTTATTTATAAAGTGGGAGAATAATAGCAACATTTCCTTAATAGAATTGTGGTGAGGATTTAATGACTTAATACATATAAAATATTTTAAATATGGACTAGTACATAGTAAATGCCCCATTAATAGTGGCCAATATTATCAGTATGGGTTTTACTATATGAACAGGATCATATTCATTTTGGGTCAAGATAGTGGTCTGACGAGTAAGGGGATTATTTCTGCACAGAGTTTTCTGTGTTCCAGCCATAGCGGCCTTCAGTTCAAGGAGCAAGTTGCCTTTTTTTTTTTTTTTCCTGTGTTACGGCCTTTGTATATATCATTCCCTTTGACTGTTAGGTTTTCTTTCTTTGCTTTTATCTTATTAGGTCCTATGTGTCCTTCAGATCTTAGAACCAGCCTTACTTTTTCAGGGAAACGTTCCATGACCTGCTAATACTTTACTACATATTCTCATAGCACAAAAATCTTCATAATTCTTATAACTGACATAATTTTACAGGTAACAGTGATCATTTGATCAAAGCCAGTCTTTCTCACTAGACTCTACACTGCATTAGCATAGGGATTTTTTCTGTTTTTGCTGACCATTCGGTCCCCAATGCCTACACAGTATAATCCATGTTGCAGACATTCAATAGTTGTTTGTAGAATTAATATATAAATGAATGAATGAATGAAGGTGAGTCCAATAGAGTTTTCATCCCAAGATGAAACTGTGTGACAATTGGGTACAATATTGAGCTCTGAGGGAAGGACAGGACAAGTAGGTTGATGGAATGAGATCAACGCCATCACAGTATTATGTACAACGTGCCATGGTAATATGGTTTGGCTGTGTCCCCACCCAGATCTCATCTTGAAATCCCATGTGTTGTGGGAGACAGGTTGCTCTTCACACTCATAAAGCCAGAAGTCGTTTCTTCTTTTTATAAAAGAGAAAAATCTAACTTCATAATTTTATTTTATTTGCTTTACATATTTATTAAAAAAAAAAACAGAATGGGTAAGAGAACAATCATCAAGGGTGTAGGTGCCAGACAAGGGCAGAAGATAGCTAGAAAAGTATGCCTTAGGGAAGTTAAGGGTCTAGCCTCATTCCTACGTTGTTTTAATAGCTGTACCTAACATAAATAACTAAGCTTTCCATTGTTCTAGATTCCTCTGCCCCATCTACAAACATGGCACAGCCGGCTTGCCTTGCAAGGCCTCAGTTGAAGGACCCCATGTACACATAGGCCAGTACAGCAGTACTAGGCTAACTAGAAGGATCTCATCCCCATATGTGGTCTCATTTCAAGTCTATGGCTGACTACCTTCATGATTGTGTGCGAGATGGTTTCACCCCTTGAAAATATGGCCACTTCAGCATAAAATAGTTAAATCTTTATAATGATCAATTCATCCTACTTCCTTTTACATGCAGCTGAAAAATGATAAGCTAGGGACATCGAACATTGTGAACTTTATACTGTTAGAATCACCATCCATTAAATGATCACTAGCTAATAGTAACTAAATTTACAAATTAAGGAAATTATATATAGAATACTGCAAAAACACAGTAAAAAGACTGAAGTTTGCCCGTTTCTGCTCAGGAAGTCTCTTTACTCCTAAGCTTCATATGTGGTCCTTCTGGCTTCAAAATTTCTGCTATTATTACTGTTTTTCCTCCTTTTGATCTTCCTTTTGTTCCCCAGTGCCAGAACTTCCAGAGCCTTCTCGTTCAGTTGCCATCTTTTTGTATGCCATTTTGAAGAGCTTCAATGATGCCTGCTGAAGAGAGGATGCTGCCTGTCTAATGTTTTCTCCTGTTTCACTGTCTTTTTAGCTAGGAGCTCCCTCACTTTGGAAATCTCTTCTTTCAGCTTGTTGCACTATCAGCAGGTAATTGGTCCTTGAATTCTTCCATCTTGGTTTCTGTGTCATGAATGATGCCTTCAGCCATATTAACTGCTTCAACTCATTCCTTCCTTCGCTGGTCTTCCTTAGCATATTTCTCTGCATTTTTAACCATATTTTCAACATCATCTTTGCTTAACCCACCAGAAGACTGGATTACAATCTGCTGCTCATGTCCTGTGCCTTTATCTTTAGCTGAAACATGTATGATCCCATTGGCATCAATGTCAAATGTAACTTTGATCTGAGGAACTCCACGAGGGGCTGGTGGAATTCCAATCAAAGTAAACTGTCCAAGGAGTTTGTTGTCTCCAGCCATCTCTCTCTCACCCTGACACACTTTAATTTCCACTTGTGTCTGCCCATCAGCAGCAGTTGAGAATACCTGGCTCTTCTTGGTTGGAATAGTGGTATTCCTATTAATAAGTTTGGTAAAGACACCTCGCAGAGTTTCAATACCCAGAGACAGGGGAATGACATCAAGGAGCAGCACATCTGTGACATCGCCGGCCAACACATCTCCCTGAATGGCAGCTCCAATGGCCACAGCCTCATCAGGATTGACAGCTTTACTTGGGGGCTCTGCCAAAAAAAGTCCTGCACAGTCTGTTGAACTTGGGCATCCTAGTCATGCCACCCACAAGAATCACTTCTCCTATATCACTCTTGCTGACTTCTGCATCTTGCATAGCTTTTTGGCATGGAGCGATAGTCCTCCTGATTAGATCAGTGACAATCCCTTCAAATTGAGCATGGGTCAACTTTGTATTCAAATGCTTGGGTCCAGAAGAATCCATTGTAAGATAGGGCAAATTGATGTCAGTCTGCACAGATGAGGAGAGTTCACATTTAGCCTTTTCAGCAGCTTCCCACACCCTCTGAAATGCCACGTTGTCTTTGGTCAAATCAACCCCCGTCTCTCTCTTGAACTCCTTCACAATGTGCTGTAGCAAGGCCTGGTCAAAGTCTTCCCCACCTAAGAAAGTGTCCCCATTTGTGGATTTCACCTCGAATACTCCTTTCTGAAATTCCAGGATAGAAATATCAAAAGTTCCACCACCTAAATCATATACAGCAATGACTTTGTCTTTTGATTTGTCTAGACCATAGGCAAGAGCAGCAGCTGTGGGTTCATTAATCACCCGAAGCACATTCAGTCCAGATATCTGGCCAGCATCTTTAGTGGCCTGCCTCTGCAAGTCATTGAAATAAGCTGGGACTGCGATCACAGCATTTTTTGCTGTGTGCCCCAAGTAATTTTCTGCAGTCTCTTTCATCTTCATCGACACAAATGCTCCGATCTGACTTGGAGAATACAGTTTCCCATGAGCCTCAACCCAGGCATCACCATTGGAGGCACAGACAATTTTAAAGGGAATATTTTTAATGTCTTTCTGTACTTCAGGATAGCTGGACAATGAGACATTTGGTAGCATAGAATGCATTGTTTGGGTTGGTGACAGCCTGTTGCTTGACTGGCATGCCAACAAGTCGCTCACCATCTGCTGTAAAGGCCACAACTGAAGGGGTAGTTCTGGCACCTTCGGCATTCTCCAGCACCTTTGCTTGTTTACCTTCCATAACTGCCACACAGGAGTTGGTAGTACCCAAATAAACACCACCAGCTGCTCCATTGATTGCTTCTGACGCATAATCCTGCCTTGAAACAATTCTAAAAGCCTCATGACTAAGGCCATTCCAGCCATCCTGCTGGCGGGCGGCCGTAGGGCCCGGGGAGGCTGCGGTGCCCCTGAGACGGGCTGCTGCAGCTCGGCTGGCACTTATTATGGCGGCTGGATGGAGGAGTATGAGGCAGCAAACAGGCGCTCAGGCGGCCGGGAGCTGCGCGGTGCAGTCATGATTTTATGATATTTAAAAAGTTGCTTGCAATCAAGTGCATAATATTAAGCATACAGTTCAAGTTTTGATAAACAGTAACCTTTATGACTAGCACTATAATCAACTGGGCTACTTCTGTCCTTATCTACTGCCATTGTCTTGAATAGTTTGGCATCAGCCTTCATTGGTCCTCTCACTTCCATTTATGTTCCACTTTGACTCATTCTCCTCCAGCAGCCAAACTAATTCAATTATTACATAAGCTAGATTATTTGATAATAACCTCTACTGCTTAAATTTGCTTAGATTACTTGATACTTGATTCTACTGCTTAGATTATTTGGTAATAATCTCTTAAAAGCCTCAACTAGCTCCCAGTTGTAATAGAATGAACTCAAATTCTTTAACATGGCCTAAAAGGCCCTGTGTGTTCTGGCCCCTACCCTGCTCCCAGCCTTGTCTTGCACCATTCTTCCCCTTGCATTCTGTACTACCGTAACATGGATCTTCCTTCAGTTCCTTGAATTTGCCAAGTTCTTTCTTACTCTAGAGTCTAGATAGAAACACTCTTTTTCCACTCCTTTGTATCCTGCAGGTCTATGGCAGGCAAATGGTGGCCTCCCAAAGACGTTCATGTCCTAATCTCCAGGAACCAGTGAATAAATTACCTTACATGGCAAAAGGAACTTTGTAGATGTGATTAAGTCAAGGATATTGAGATGAAAAGATATGCCTGGATTATCCGGCTGGGGACAGTTTAATCATAATAGTCATTATGAGCAAAAGAGGGAGGCAGGAGAGTCAGTCAGCAAAGGAGATGTGAAAATAGAAGCTGGGTTGAGGAGCTTTTAGGCTTTGAGGACAAAGGTGGTGATGAGCTGAGGACTGCAGGCAGCCTCTAGACACTGAAAAGGAAAGGAATGGATTCTCTTCTAGAGCCTCCAAAGAAACACAGCCCTGCCAGCATCTTGACTTCAGCCCCATAAGACCCATTTCAGACTTCGAGCTTCTAGAACTGTAAGGTAATCAGTTTATGTGGCTTTAAGCCGTGAGGTTTCTAGTTATTTCTTACAACAGCAATAGAAAACTAATGCAAGTTCTCTGCTTTAAATGCTATTTTTTCATAGACATCTTCCCCTAGCCACTCCATTTAAAATAGAGCCTGATATGGTTATGGTTTGGCTCTGTGTCCCCACCAAAATCTCATGTAGAATTGTAATTCCTAATAGTGGGAGAGGGACCTGGTGGGAGGTGATTGGATCATGGGGACGGATTTTCCCCTTGCCATTATAGTGATACTGAGTGAGTTCTCAGGAGATCTGATTATTTAAGTGTGTGTGGCACTTTCCCCATTGATCTCTCTCTCCCGTTACCATATGAAGTTGTGCTTGCTTCCCCTTTGCCTTCTGCCATAATTGTAAGTTTACTGAGGCCTCCCCCACTATGCCTCCTGTACAGCCTGCAGTACTGTGAGTCAGTTAAACCTCTTTTCTTCATAAATTACCCAGTCTTAGGTATGCCTTTTTAGCAGCATGAGAATGGACTAATACAGAACGCTTTACCCCATCCCTTAACAGGCTCTCAACCCCATTCCCACCGAGCAGTCTCTACACCACTCCTGGGCTTGTTTCCTGTAACACTCACCATTTGTATTATAGTTATCTTTTACTTATTCTTTGTCATCATTTGCCAGAATGTGTGCTCTGTGAGGACAGGGATAACATCTCATTTACCACTGTATCTTCAGGAACTGGTATTGCAGCTGCAATTTTTAAATTATGGGCTTAATCAGTATTTATTAATGATTCATTTCTGTGCTGTCCAATATAGTAACCACTGGTCACATGTGGCTTTTGATCATTTGCAACACGGCTAGTCCAAATGAGATGTATTGCAAGTGTAAAATACATTTTGAAGTCTCACTATAATAAAAGAATGTAAAATGTCTTAATGATACTTTTTTTGTTGATTATATGTTGAAATGATGACATTTTGGACATACTGGGTTAAATAAATATATTATTGAAATTAATACCAAATTATTAAAATTAATGTTACTTATTTTTCCTTTTATGAATATGGCTATCAAGACATTTAAAATTATGTATGTGATTTACATTCTGTTTCACAGGGCTTAGATTGTGGATATCTTGAAAGAAAACCCCACATTTTATTTCACTTTGTATGAACCAAAATTATTTGCACATAGTAGCTTCTCAATAGTTTGCTGCATGAATGGGATGTTTGTTAACTTATTTTATTAAGAATATGTAACATTGGCCGGGTGTGGTGGCTCACGCCTGTAATACCAACACTTTGGGAGGCTGAGGCGGGCGCATCACCTGAGATCAAGAGTTTGAGACCAGCCTGGCCAACATGGTGAAATGCTGTCTCTACTAAAAATACAAAAAAAAAAAAAAAAATAGCAAGGTATGGTGGCAGGTGCCTGTAATTCCAGCTACTTGGGAGGCTGAGGCTGGAGAATTGCTTGAACCCAAGAGGCAGAGGTTGCAGTGAGCCGAGAATGCACCATTTCACTCCAGCCTGGGCGACAAGAGTGAAACTCCATCTAAAAAAAACAAAAAAACAAAAAAAAAAACCCATGTAACATTGTACCAATGCATAAAATTGGGCCAAAAGAGAAGATTTGCATTCAGCAATTTTTACCTATTAGATATTTGTGGTTACATGTGGTATTTTTTACCGGATAGACTTTCTAGTAGCTTTAAAATTAATGCTATTAATATATGTTATCAATCTGCAATTGAAAATAGATCTAGATGGCAAATGTGATGAATTAGACATTCTTATACTGTTTAGCGCGATGAGATTCTACCTTCAGGGGCACAGCTTTTTCCTTAGAACACCCACTTTCTTATGAAACATTTAGAAGTCTATCTAAGAAAATGTGCTAGGCACTGCTTCTCAGTCTTTGTCTGAAAATTACTCTGAATGACCAAGGGAAGGAAGTATGTATACTCGTGAGTTGGGAAATGGGGGCATTTAGGACCTAGCCTTGGGCTCCGCCCTCTCTCAGTTTGCTTGAATTTTCTTTAACATCCATTATTTTGTCTGAAAAATTCATGACAATATTACATTCTACTCCATAATATGTCTGTATTTGTCTTAGTGTAAAGATATTCCTCTGTAGTCCAAATCCTTAAATAAAATAGATACTCCATGCTTTTGTCTGAGGCTCTTTGTACTCTCCATGTAGTGATCCACCTGGGGGCACTGGTACCGCACTCTGAGAAGAACAGAATTAAGAGTGATGTCCTGAGCCTTGACTTTCTGGGGAGTCCTTATATGGCTGTAATGATGATTGGTTAAGCAGTGAGTTGGGCAGCAGCTGGTGGGGAGGGGATGAAGTGGTTCTCCCAGTTGATGTGGGGCTGCAGAGTGAGGGGAAACAAGAACAAAAAAGCATTAGCAAAAATATGGAGGCCATCTCAAGGCCCGTGTTTATGGCCAAGATAAATTGACAGATGGGCCTTGTCTCTATCCACCTTTCATTTCCTTCTGGCTTCAGGCTGCCTTTTGGGATTGTTGTATGTGTGTGTGCCCGTGTGTGTGTTTTGTGTTTATGTGCCTTTAAAAGCAACACTTGGAATCCACTTGCCTATATAAAAGTTAGAAGAAGGGGCAGGGCACGGTGGCTCATGTCTGTAATCCCAGCACTGTGGGAGGCTGAGGCAGGTGGGATCACTTGAGGTTAGGAGTTCAAGACCAGCCTGGCCAACGTGGTAAAACCACATCTCTATTAAAAATACAAAAATTAGCTGGGCGTGGTGGCGTACGCCTGTAATCCCAGCTACTCAGGAGGCTGAGGCAGGAGAATCGCTTGAGTCCAGGAGGCAATGGTTGCAGTGAGCCGAGATCGCACCACTGCACTCCAGCCTGGGTGACAGAGCAAGACTCTGTCTCAAAAAAAAAAAAGTTAGAAGAAGGGAAAGACAGAATGTCATTTTTCTAGACCATTCTCTTCCTTGGAGATGGCCCCTTACTTAAACCTAGTGATAGCCTGACCCATCCTCCTTGTTTTGGTAACTGGCAATTTACATGCACTGTGTTATTTAATCCCCATTTCAGCCCTATAAGGTAGAAACTGGTTATTACCATTTGACAGGTGAACAAACTGAGTCTGCCCATAGTCTACCCGGCCTGTAAGTGCCCAAGTCAGGATTATGAGATTGTGGTTTTTTGCTTCCCCATCACAGTTTGCTGCCTATCCAGCAGGTTTAGAGGCCATTTCAACTTGATTCTACAATTTCTTTTTAGTGCCTCCTACATCCTAGGGATCATGCTGGACTTAAAAGAATATACAAAGATAAATACTTTTCCCATATATGACACTCAAAGCAGGATGTAAGAAAGATAGGAATTATTCAATTACTTTCTTGGGGCCATTCATCCTGAATAGCCTAGAGTTAAACTTTAATTTCTTATTCAACATAGGTAGGTGAATGAGACAACAATGTCTCCACTAGAAACAAAACAAAAGTAATACAAAAAATTGGCACTTCAACAGAAAATATGAACCACCACTGCTGCAGGTCCTTTGTCTCAATCATTCAGTAGAATGGAAAAAAAAAATCACTTCATAAATCAGTCGAACCTGGTCTCATTCTGCCATTCACAGAACATGGAATTACTTGCTTCGACTGATAAATGGATGTCTTTGCCAGAGTACTGTCACTGAGACTTATATAACTTACATTGCAATTATTACTTATGTCTTAGAAATAACTTATTTATTTTAGCTTATATCATCTTTTCATTCTTGAAACATGTCCTTTATGTATTTGCTTTTGAAAACTGGAGTAGATGCCAGTATAGAAAGAAGCCTTTCTATTACCATATCTGAAATATAGTTTTGAAAGTGGGTGATATGAAACAGTATGTTGATTTTTGGTATTATATCATCATAAGCCAGAGCAAAAGGAAAATAACAACTGCATTTTAATAAAATTAAGGGTATTTATGATTTGATTCCAGTAAGTGCTAAAACCAGAGTGTGTGGAGTAGTCAAGCCTTAAATTTGTTAGTGCACAAAAGGTTGATTTATTACATTTTAGTTGTTAGAGTCCAAAGGAGATAGGCACAACTTATCTACATATAAAAATATACATAGAGATACATACGTGTGTGTACCCAATATATACACGCAGACACATAATACACATAAAAGCTTATTAAAAACAACCAAATTCTATTTTAATCCTCTTAAAAAGGTAAAAAGCTGCATCGTCAATTTTGCTGTGCGTTTCCCATAATCTCAGTTAATGCCTCTGGGGAAGAGAGCTGAATTTTGGCAACAGTATGTAACTTGGTAATTGGACACAACTCCAAGTCATTTGCTAGGACTCCAAGTTTTTCAATGAAAGTTGAAAATTAATCTGTAAACCATTCATTTATACACACACACACACACACACACACACACACACACACACACACACATATTTTGGAGACAGAGTTTCGCTTTTGTTGCCCAGGCTGGAGTGCAATGGCGCAATCTCGGCTCACCGCAACCTCCGCCTCCCGGGTTCAAGCAGTTCTCCTCCCTCAGCCTCCTGAGTAGCTGGGATTACAGGCATGCACCACCAAGCACGGCTAATTTTTGTGTTTTTAGTAGAGACAGGGTTTCTCCATGTTGGTCAGGCTAGTCTGGAACTCCCGACCTCAGGTGATCCGCCCACCCCGGCCTCCCAAAGTGCTGGGATTACAGGCGTGAGCCACGGCACCCGGCCTCATTTTCATATTTTTAATATGTGCATCGTGAATCTTTTTCTTCTTAGCTTATGACTGTCTTTCAGAATGGAATTAGGATGGTAAATTTTAATTGGTAATCATTCCACTTTTGATATGTAACCTGGGATTACCCCGTGTCTTTCTGATTCTCAAAATCAACAATAAATTACCTAAATTATTACCACATATAAATACCTATTTAGTTTGCAGCCAAGCAGGCATATTTGCAACATCTTGAAACTAGAAGCATTTTTTATGCTTTTGCATGTAATATGCTCCCCCACACATCTCTGCAGAAACAACTCTCCATGTTTCTTTCCTAAATAACAAATAAATACAATTCTTTAGTAAAATGTAGGCTATTTCCCCTCAGTCCCCATTTTATATTATGTTATCATTTAGAAAGTCATATTTACAGTTATTTTAGAAACATTTTCTAATAAGGAAGATCTGTTTGGAAGAGGAAAATTGCCCGGTTTACTGTAAAGGTAGACTATCGCCCTTCCACCTAATTTCCCAACCCCATGCTCCACCGGCCAAGACATGATTGAATAACTCAGTTGTCCTTTTTTTTCTACTTACCTTCTAAAAAAGGTTTCTACTTGATAAGCGTGATGGATGTTAGATAACACCTGAAAGACCAGAGGGGGAAGTTGCTGTTGCTTTTTCTTTGTAACTCAAACTTACCTTTGTCACACATATTTTTCAGGTTTCTGCAAGTAGCCACTACCTTGCCCCTTTTGGCCTCCTCTTTTTCTCTAAGTTTTATTCTCCTTCTTATTTCTGCGAAATGGACTATTATGGAAACAATACTACTGAAAAAGAGAAGGCCAGACACTAACCGAGATCCACATTTTGACTTTTTAAAATTATACACTCTAAATTATGTTTGGATTTTTTCATTGATTTCAATGTTTACAATTCAGCTAATTTAATAAATTACCTTTTTTCTCCTTTTCTAAACTCTCTTATCCTCCCTTTTCCTCTCATGATCCTGTGTCTTGTTGTAATTGTCTTACCTGGCCTCATAGGCCTCATAAAAGCCTGGAAGTAGGCTGGTAAAAAGGAAACTCCTATGGGGTGGAAAATGTACAGGTAAAGCCGAGTGGGCAAAGACAATTTTTTTAAATATATGGAGTGGAAGGAGCATGGGTCAAGGTTGACAACATCATATATTAATTTTTATCTTCATTCCACTGAAATTGAGACATATAATTTCTCTTTCCCATGTAGACTTTTCTTTCCTCACTGTCAAATTTTCTGTCTTATTTCCAATTCTGGAATTGAAAACTATAGCTTCAAATCTCCTAAAAGGAATTAACCTGTAGCATTTGAACAGAGACACCGAATACTTACATATACCAACGTAGTATATGTAAATATTACTAATTGGTATATATTTATGCTAATTATTTGCATTATTACTGGTCATTTGATGAGGCAAATGTTCAACAGAAAGTAGATCTACCCATCCTGTGGACATAGTCTTGGAAGGTAAGCTTTTTAGAAAGAGGTATATTCTTTGCATTCCGTACAGCATCTTGGAGTGCATGATGGTTGTTCTATGAATATTATATAATGAGAAATATGATGAAGCCACATTTTTTGGTAAGTCTATTCAGGCCTAAATGAAATAGTTTTTTAAAAAATCTAAACACAGGGTTAAACATCTTCCAACGTTGAGGCTGATAGCTGATGTCTCTTTAAAAGATGTAAACATTTTGGAGACTATGCTTGAAAAAATACAGCCACACACAGAGAAATAGAAATAAGACTGAAATATATTTCTTAAATATTTGGAAATCTTACAAATTTTATAAAATCTGAGACCTTGTCAATTGAAAAGTGTACCTTATTTTGTATCTCTCTCACACACACGTGTGCACACACCCATGATGCTTGTTAGGATTTTTAGTTTATACATAGTGGAGAGTTATTTTAAGACTTAATTATGAAAATATTTTTAGAATTGATACTTCATTCTGTGTACACATCAAAAGGAAAAGGAAAATAAAGTAAAAATGGCTGAGGCATTCCTAAAATTTGTTCACATGCAGACTCCAATTCTCTGGAAATCCTGTTGGCTCAGTTGCTGGGGTTCATGATTTTCCTCACACTGCCATCCTCTGTGCCATTCAGAGTGTTAATGATGAAGAACTTCTTAAAAGAATGCTCCAGTATTGTCTCTGGGATTTTCTTTGAAGCAGTTGATCCTTAGTTGGAAGATTTGATGCCTGTGCTTACTTGACTATCTGAGGTACCAATAGAATATTTTCACATAATAGCCAGGACTCATATTTTTTCCTTAAGTGGGCCTGAAATGGTTTGTTGACAGAAATATTGATGGGTTGTGATTGTCCAGTTGGGTCACTAGGAATGACAACTGAACTCAAAGATGTGCAGGTGATGATAACTACTTTGCAATTTTACCTGACTGATAGCAATTGTGAGATGCATTCTGATTTTATAATGCAAAAACACAAAAGCAGGCTCATCTCAGAATTAATAAAAAATGATGGACATTTTATTAGATACCAGACATCATGTTAGATTGATTATTCTACAATGTAATTTGAATTAATCACTCATTTTACCATTATGTATCGTTAAACATAGTGTATTAGTTCATTCTCAGGCTGCTATGAAGAAATACCCAAGGCTGGGTAATTTATAAAGAAAGTGGTTTAATTGACTCACAGTTCCACATGGCTAGGGAGGCCTCAGGAAACTTACAATTATGGCAGAAGGCACCTCTGCACAGGGCAGCAGAAGAGAGAATGAGTGCCGATTGAAGGGGGAAGCCCCTTATAAAACCATCATATCTCATGAGTACTCATTCACCTCCACGAGAACAGCACAGGGAGAACTGCCCCCATGATTCAACTATCTCCGCCTGGTCCCACCCTTGACACGTGGGGATTATGACACTTCAAGGTGAGATTTGGGTGGGGACACAGTGCCAAGCCATATCACACAGCTTCATTCTGAAGTTCATTGACTATATTTTCACTCATCTTCCTTTTTTGTTGATTCCTGATCTTAGGGAAATTATGAAGTATTGAAACATTTTGTGGTTAGATTTCAGACTTGTTTCTTAAATAAAAGGTAGCAAAAGCACCTGATAATTGTCAATGCTTAGGTCCACTCTCTGGGTATTGATGCATAATCTTGTGGGGGTGGGTAACTTGCAGTGTGACAATGGCATGGACTTTAAAGCCTGTTTTTGGATCTAAATCTTGATCCTACAAGCAGTAACTGAAAAATCTTGAGAGAGTCTCTTAATTTCTCTTAAATTTAGCTTTCTTTCCTACATAAAGCATGATATTAATATTTATTTGTAGGATTATTTTAAGGATTAGGATTGTTGAAACCTAGTGGACACTCAACGAAAGGTTAGATGTTATTATATGTGTCCTACCCCAATCTGGGTATCAGAATGACACCTTCAACTATCATTTGGGTGCATTTAATTCAGTACTTTTGTTTAATTTTTACTTACAGTAATCTTTAGCTTGTGATTTTATGAAGACTAAAAACTAAAAAATCGGATAAATAGGTGATATAGTTTGGCTGTGTCCCCACCAAAATCTCATTTGAATTGTAGTTCCCATAATCCCCGTGTGTCCTGGGAGGGACTCAGTGGGAGGTAATTGAATCCTGGGGGTAGTTTCTCTCATACTGTTCTTGTGGTAGTGATTAAGTCTCATGAGATCTGATGGTTTTATAAATGGAAGTTCCCCTGCACAAGCTCTCCTGCCTGCTGCCATGTAAGGCGTGACTTTGCTCCTCATTTGCCTTCTGCCATGATTGTGAGGCCTCCCTAGCCATGTTGGACTTGTGGGTCAATTAAATCTCTTTCCTTTATAAATTACCCAGTGTTGGATATGTCTTTATTAGTAGCATGAGAACAGACTAATACAACAGGTTAAACCATGTAAAGTTTTGAAAATGACTTATACTCAAGTATACATATATACATGAACTTCTGTATTAATCAGGGTTCTCTAGAGGGACAGAGCTAATAGGATAGATGTATATATGAAGGGGAGTTTATTAGGAGAATTGACTCAGATGGTCACAAGGTGAAGTTCCACGATAGGCTGTCTGCAAGCCGAGGAGCAAGAAAGCCAGTCTGAATCCCAAAACCTCAAAAGTAGGGAAGCCAACAGTGCAGCCTTCAGTCTGTGGCCAAAGACCCAAGAGCTCCTGGCAAATCACTGATGTCAATCCAAGAATCCAAAAGCTGAAGAACTTGTAGTCTGATGATCGAGGGCAGGAAGCATCCAGTGCGGGAGAAAGACGGAAGCTAGAAGACTTAGCAAGTCCACTTTTTCCAACTTCTGCCTGCTTTATTCTAGCCACACCAGCAGCTGATTAGATGGTGCCCACACAGATTGAGTTGGTGGGCACCAGTGCAGCTTTATTTTAGCCTCACTGGCAGCTGAGTATATGGTGCCCACCCGGATTGAGTGGGTGGTGTACTCATTAGATGGTGGGCACCATCTAATCAGCTACCAGTGTGGCTAGAATAAAACAGACAGAAGAAGTAGGTCTGCCTCTCCCAGTCCACTAACTCAAATGTTATTCTCCTTTGGCAACACCCTCACAGACACACCCAGGAACAATACTTTTCATCCTTCAAACTAATCAAGTTGACACTCAGTATTAACCATCACAACTTCTAATGATATTATAGATCAATTAGGATGTAGTTTTGGCACATTAATTCCCAGTTCCTTCTCATGAGATGGGATTGGTTGAATCTTTAGACAAGAATGGCTGGGTTTCAGTCGTTGAAGAATGGCTGGGCTTCACATTTGGTCCTGCTCTGAGTCCCCTTGTATCAGTATCTGGCTCAGCAGCATCTTCCGCTCCACTGTAGGGACTCCATGTGGATCCCTGTCAAGCTCTGATGGACTGGTCATTTTCTTCTATCATTGGTTATGTACCAGTGACTGAGAGCTTTCAGTCTCATGTGCAAAGCAAGGTCTTGAACTTGTCAAGATGAATCAAGTATATTTCTTTTGTGCTAATGCTCCTAGCCTTACAAATTACGACATAGTTCTTCTAAGGCTTACATGGTCTACAACTCCTCTGTTAAAATGAATGCAAACTGCCTTCTGGTACTGCGTGACCAGGGTTTTTATAAGACTATCTCTTTTCATTGATTTTTGCTCAGAAGTCTTTTTTTCCAAGTTTGTTTCCTTCTTCTCACTCTTAAAAGTCTCCATTGGCTGCAGCAGCTAGGGTCACATCCAGCTTGTCTCTCTGGGTTTTCTCTAAAATTCACCTACATTTGGAGGTGAATTTGGAGGTGAATTTGGAGGTGAAATAAGAGATTCCACCTACATTTGGAGGAACCTCACTTCCATAGAGGTTCTCTTTGATAAGTGCCACATTGCTGAAATAGTTGTCTCCACAAGTCCCAGAGGACAGGATAGTGCCTATTAACTATTAATTCAAGCAGTATTATATAGTGAAAGGGGCATGTAGATGGGATTTAGGTAACCTGAGTTTGAATTTTCACTCTGCCACTTGCTAGGAAGGTGACCTTGACCATTTCATATAATACTTCTGAATCTCAGTCTTCTCATTTATAAAATGGAGATATTCTTGCCTTGCTGAGTTAACATGGGGACTAAATCAGATGAGAGAAGTAAAGTGCTTGTCACAGACAAAGGCTTCAATAAGTAATTGTAATTATTAAGTGCATCATCATCCTGCATTCACTGAATAAACTACCTGGCATTCAGATCTCCCCTTTGGAAGTTAGTTTACCTCCCTTAGACTGATGCAGTTTCTGGACCCTGCCTTGGGATATCTTATTGCTGGTGGGGAAGAAAGGATTGCCTTTCCTAGTATAAACAGTGTAGCCACAGTACCTACATTTCTGAAAAAGTGAAACCCTACTAAACCTTAACGATCCATTTTCTCCTACTGCTTGAAATTAAATTTGCTTTCGGTGAGAAGGACACTTCTGAAATATTCATTCTAACCTTTTTTCTAAGTTGCATAGAAGACCAGCATTTTACCACATGGACTGTAGGTCACAGTCCTCAGATTCCTTCATGTCACTAGAGCTAGATGTTCTGATTTAATGAAGCCTTCGTTGTCTTTGCCTCTGTTTAATGCACAGCATGTTTCTAACATGCATTCCCTTTACCATCCGCTGGTGTTTGAAATCTCTACTTTGGATAGCGCTTTCATTCATGGAACTGTTAAAAAGATTAACAGGAAAGAGTAAATTTACATTTTCTCATACTTTCTTACAAAGATGGAAGAAACATGTCAGGAAAAAAATCTACTTTTAAAAGATAAAACATTATATCATATATGTAGAAATGTTGGTACTTCATTTAGGAATTAATATTATTTACAGTGTCTGCTAGGTATTATTTAAGGAATTGTTTATTCTATCAAGTATTCAAAACATGTACCCTCCTCCATTCCAACACGTAAAGACCTCGGCAAATAATGTAGGGTTTATAGTACCAGGAGCTTCATTTTTTAGAACTAATTTCGCTGATATATAATTGCTGGTGTAAATGTTGGCACTCCCTTAACTAAAGTTGTGGTAACGAGCCTTGCTATAATGAAAACAAATGAGATTAATGGTCTTTTCCAGGTTTTTATCGGGCAGTGGCTGTGAGATTGAAATTCCTTTTGCTTTGCCTCAGATAGGGTTGTTTTTTCCCCTAATCCAAATGAAATAATACAGAATTTACCTGCTCAGTCTTTTTTAGAATATACAAATGCTCTCAGGAGCATCAGAATGGGTATTCATGTTGAGAAGAACTGTGCAAATGTAAAGTTGTCTTTAAAAAAAAGTAGTTGCAAATTCAATAAAAAAGCATACATTTCTGCTTGTAAAATGAGCATTATTTGATGTAAATAATAAATTGGTAAAAAAAAATCCCTTTCTCTAAATATGGTGTACAGTATAGCCCAGATAATTCAGAGTTTTAATGTCAAAGCATAAAGTTATTTTAGAAATGTGTCTTGATTGACAAGTCTTTTTGCAGCAACCTAGATGATAAAATTACAGTGTATAGCTGATATTATAGCTTCATTAAAGAACTGCACTTTGTGTATTATACTATTGCTTATTTATACTATTACTGCAGCTATTTCGTATATTAGACACTAGCTTCCCACTAAGCAGTAGAACTTGTCTACCTAAAGGATTTATTTAACCGGAGTTTTAATCAAATAATAGAGAGTTTCTAATGAAGAGTTATGATTCTCCTGTGCTAAGAAATGGTACAGTCCATCAGTTTCTTCCAAGAACATATCAAGAGATTAAACGTACTTTCATTATTGTATTCCAGAACAATATTGTTGAGTAAATATTTGCACCAATATATTGCCATTTTAGTATTTCCTGATGTGTACATAGTCTCACAAGGTGAATAATTAAAGGATCTGCCGCCTTAGGTAGCACAAAGCAGTGCTTGATATAGGTTTGATTATTTCACTTGTCTCAAATAATCGATAACTGTCTTCTGTAATTATTTGCATCATCCAGCCAAGCAGAGATAAAAGATGGAACATGTTTCTTTTGCCTACTCCCAAGGAAACCCCATTATCCTTGAAATGCCACATGACCACGTAAAGCCCAGTCAGGGTCCAAAGAAGCGGTCGGCAAGGACAAGCTGAGTGTGAGCCGAAAATGAAGTTGTTACCAAACAGCAAACCGCAGTCCTCGCTTCTTATGAATATTTGAATGAGTAACTAAAAACAGCTCAGTAAACTTTAAGCAAATGTGACAGCTGAAACTGCCTGGAAACCAGAAGTCCACCAGGACAGTGATGAAAAGATCACCGGTTACTTTGTACCTCACACTGCCATGGGTCTACAAAGGGACAGTATCGGATCTCTTTTCCTCAAATATAAGTTATGGAAAATCTGATTTATCTCTGCACTTTCAGAAGCCAAACAGCCCCAAAAATCTCTTCTGTTATTTTGAATTCATTAAAATGCCATGATTTCTAACAATCTTTTCAAGGAAAGAGAATAGCCATGTTTTTTTTCCAGATCCTGAAATATTGATGTTGCTGTTGTTTTTACTCATAGAAAATTGGACATAGTCAATCTTTCATGAATATCTTTCTGCTCATTCCATGTAGCAAGAAAGACAGTGAGAACAGAGGCCCTGAAGCCTGAATTACAGATTTTGCCATATAGAAGAGTTCCAGAAACTATTTGTGGAAGATACATTTCAAAAGAAAACTAAAAAACAATTCATTTTTCCTGGGTCTTCTTTAATATATAGACAAAAAGTTGCTACTATGATTATTATCTCCAATTTACTGGAAAATACAATAGTACATAATTTTCAAGTTGATGCCTTTAACTGGAAGGAAAGGGTCAGTTATTTAGTTCCTCTAAGTGTGTATAGTAAATTCTACTTAAACCCACTTAGTTTTGTTCATTTGATGAATGCTTTAAATATAATGAGAGCCCTCTTATAGTCTTAAATTTCTAGTAAAGAAAAAAGCTATGCAGTATGTGGATCTAATGTACAGATTGCTACAGCTCAAATCTAGTAGCTAACTGAAGATAAAATCAAACTAAGGGGAACCTTGGTGAAGTTATTGTTTATCCAGTGGTTATTTGTAAAAAGTCTCTGAAACATGAAGTTTCAGTCAGCCTCTTCAGAAGTTCCAGAAGATAGCAGCCACAGACTTTATTGCTGAAGAGTTTATGAGTATTTTTAATGACAATGGGGACTGCAATGGTTTCCTAAGAGGCCACTACAGGGACCTGTCTCTTCATCATTGGAACTGAGAGCCCTAATTCCATCTCAGCTGTAAAATTACTATTCCAGTTCCTTGGAGTATCTGAGCAATGTCAACCACAACATGCTGTTCAATTTCTCCTTTCTCTTTGGCCATGTGTGGATTTAAGATTGGTGTTACATATTGCTGGATTTTAAGTTCTGCAGTGAAAATGGAAAGAAATACACAAAATGCAATTGTGGTTTATGCTCATACCGTGGACAAATGGAGAGCCTTTAGAGAGAAAGTAACTAGACAGAAGGAATGTTTGTGACGTCCACATTAGAAACCCAGACCCTGGAGACAGATAGGAACATAGTGACTCTGAAGCAGCAGGAGGAGACAGAAACCTATTTTAATATTGAGTGTTAGGCGGGATTAAGGCCATTTGCAAAATCACACTAAACCCATCAATCTCACTGGATGTCATGTTGGATTGGAAGTTAGCACTGTTGCTAGCTATGTGGGCTTCAGAAAAAACACTTACATTCTCTCACCTATATGGTGTAGATCAGGGGTCCCCAACACCTGGGCCATGGACCGGTACTCGTCCATGGACTGTTAGGAACTGGGCCACACAGCAGGAGGTGAGGGGCAGGCGAGCAAAGCTTCATCTGTATTTATAGCTGCTCCCCATTGCTTGCATTATTGCCTGAGCTCCACCTCCTGTCAGATTAGCGGTGGCATTAGATTCTCACAAAAGCATGAACCCTATTGTAAACTGTGCCTGCGAGGGATCTAAGTTGCATGCTCCTTATGAGAATCTAATGCCTGATGATCTGTCACTGTCGCTCATCACCCCCAGATGGGACCATCTAGTTGCAGGAAAACAAGCTCAGGGCTCCCACTGATTCTACATTATGGTGAGTTGAATAATTATTTTATTATATATTACCATGTAATAATAAAAGAAATGAAGTGCACAATAAATGTAATGTGCTTAAATCACCCCAAAACCATCCTGCACCCCCAGTCTGTGGAAAAATTGTCTTCCTCAAAACCGGTCCCTGGTGTTAAAAAGTTTGGAGACTGCTGGTATAGATGAGAGAACATTTATTCCGAATGGACAATTACAAAGGCAGTTCCAGGAACAGAACAAACATAGATTTTAGAGTCAGAAGATCTGGATTTGCATTCCCGATCCATCATGTACCAGCTGTGTAAGTTTCCTTGAACAATCTTCATTTAGGATCCATGGATAGTTCCCCTGCAAGAAGGCTGTGAAAAACAGAAGAGGTGATCTCCAAGGAGTGTCTACACATGCAGGTGTTCTGGTAAAAGTTAGTTTTCTTCCTCTCTTTATTCTAAAGTCTTTTCCAATTTGAAATTCTACAAAGTACTAATGGACTAAGATCAAGTTTTCCTGCAGCATGCTTGAATAGGTTTGTAACTGCTGCTGTCTCAGGGGTATATGTGACACCTGGCGCATGTGAAGGATTTTAAAATTTAATGTTAGGGATGCCTAGCAAATATCAAGAGAGGAGTGAGAGGTGAAGAAGGACCAGTTGATATCATCAAATATGCTATCTTTGATACTTGCTCTTTTGTTTTAGAGTCTGTGATGTAAAGCTGTTTTGTATCACAGTGTAGTAGTATAACTTTGAAGGTCATAAGTAGGTCAGAGTTTGAAAATGAAAGTTATTTCCAAACATGTACCGTGGGACATGAATATTCGTGGACTTGTACTCATTTTTCATTCATTATATTGCTTTTCAAGATAAATTTTAAAAAATCTTATAATTAAGAGATCTTAAAAGTGGACTCAGAAAACAAGAGAATACACACTAGAGGTGTAATTCAGCATCTAGTTGAAGTAGTTTCTCAAAGGTTTTACTTAAATGTGTAGGAAAAATCCCCTCTGAAAACAAACAAAAACCCCAAACACCTGTGTTACAAGTCTTGTTAAAATAATTCAGCAATAAGACCCAGCAATCCCATTTTTAGATATTTGACCTGAAGAAATAGCATCACAATTGGGGTTCATATGTTTAACGCAGCATTTTCTTTAAGAGTAACTAATTGGAACTGACCTACTTTTCCCTCAATAGGAGAATAAACAACAGTACATACGTACTATGAAATATGATATTGCCATTAAAAAGAACGAGGCAGATCTATGCATGCTGCCATAGGAAGACATCTCTGATTTATTGTTAGGTGAAAAACAGCAAATTACTGAGCAATTTGCCTAGTATGTACCCATTTTGAAACAAAAAACATTTTTGTTTATATATGTGCATAAATGTATCATACAAATGAGTGTGTGTGCATGCGTATTAGGCTAACATAGAAAAAGATTTGAAATAATACTTGCATAGCTATTTACAGTGACAAATGTTTTTTTTTTTGTATCAAAGAAAATATTTTATTCAAGTTCCCAAAACAAACTTGAGGAGTTATGCTGGGTTTGAATTGAAGAAAAAAGGCCAAGTTAAAATAGGAAAACAAATGGTTTTCATTTGGTGGCAGTTGAAATAAAAGTATACACGTGTATACATTGTAATCCGTCATCTATCCCATGTGGCATTTTCCAAGGTTTTAAGAGTCTACCAGGCCAAACCCTTTGCCACTTTCACTGCTTTTGCTTTGTTTTTCTCCTTTCTTTTCTCTCGCTTTGCCTTTAGCCTTTTTCTTTGCCTTTGGTTCATCCATATTGGGTACTGTCCATGCTGGTCTAGAAGAGTCTTTTTGTTTCTCTTAATATCAGTCTCCATTTTCATGTCATCTTTTTCATCTTTTACCTCACATTGCATTTTCTCTTGGCAATGTTTGGGTTTGGGTACCACCACAGTTGCTATCTCTTGAACATCTTTCATTAAAACGTCATCGTCTAGTTTGAGAATACTTTTAAGCCTGCTGACCTCCTCTGGGGCATTCTTTTTTCTCTTTTCAGCACGCATCTTTCTTTTCCACTTACTCCATAAGCTTTTAGCCATATTTTACCTGAGAAACGAACACACACACTTCAGGATCACGCCGACCGGCGACAACTCTTGAGGTTAGTGGTTTTTGTCTTTATAATGCAATTCTATAGTGATGTAACTTATTACCACAAATGTAATAATTTTACAATCAAAAATAAAATGTAAATATGAGTCTTGGTCTTGAAATGACTTGGCAAATCAACACATTTCTTCTGCTCCTGTCCCCTTTCCCACCTCCCCAGTTATTTAACACTGAAATATTAATACTTCAAAGACCTAAGGACTAAATATAAAATAAATTAGTTCTTAGTGTTAGCTCTTGTGTTATTCTGCCCTGAATCCAATCCTGACACTTCCACTAGCTACTTGTGTATTTCAGAAAATATACAAGTTCCAATGCTCAGCTTCCTCACCTATTAAATAAAAAAAAAAAAAAATTGACATAAACAAAGGAGTTGGGCAGAGAAATTTTCTTCCATTTCTGAGATACTGTGTTTTCTGTTGAAACAAAATAAATTTCATGGTCCTTTGCAGCATAATACTTTCTCCCATGTACTTCACACTTTATAGTAAATAACTCATTACTTTACTGGAGGAATGACTAACAATGATATCATAATGCTCAATTTAGTCCTGATTTTTTTGTTGTTGTTCTGAGTATCTTGAATGTGAATCTGTGGACCACTAACACACCTTCAGACCTTCAAAACTTCTGCACAAGGAAGGTTCAGAGGTTCTGACCTTCCTTTTGGAAAATGGTGACCAAGTGCATCCTCATGTTAGGGTTGACAAGTATTGAGGGTACACTGTGCTCTTCTCATTCTCTCCTGGGCTTGCTTGCATTTGAAGCTAGCTGCCCTTTTCCTACCCTGCAGAAGGCTCAGAATTGTGGCTGGCAGACTTCCTGGAACATTGTGTCACAAACCCTTGTTCTTTTTATTGCTCAGCTGGTCCAGGGCATATATTTGCAGCAAGCTGGCCTTTCAAGAGAATGCATTATGAATAAAGGCCACTGCGATTTGTTTGACACCATTAAAGTTATTTTGCTTTCTCTGACCAGAGTGAGATCATCAATTACTTTCCTTCTCTGAAGAACTGAGTAAACATGACTCTAAGGATCACCCATTACTTGCAGAGCAATGAGAGGCACAGAAGACGCTTTGCCTGCCCTTGGAAGTTTAAATTTGTATTGTGGGAGACAGAAGGGCTAAAAAATAAATCACAAATGTAGAATGTGATGTGCCATTTAAAAAAGCAGCAAAGATAAATGTACTGAACAAAGAGATATGAAACTATGTTCTGAGGAAGTACTGAAGTGGCTTCTTGAGGACTTTAGAAAAGCACTTTCCCCAGAAACACATCAGGGAGAAAAGTCAGAGATTTGTATGATATCACTATGATAAAGGAATTTCTAGAACAATTTTTATAGTAATAGTTTAGGCCACATTGGACTGATTTGTATTTATCAAGCTAAAATAAAGTTATCACTTTTATATTTCCAGTAGATTAATACTCTATAGGAGTTCAGATGGCCAGAAATTGAAGAGGTGCTCTCTATGGCAGTCTTCCTCTATGTGGGGTCTAAACAAGACCACCTATTGTGGAATAAAGAAAGAATACTAGATCTTTCAAAATTTTTTTTTACACTGTTCTCTAAAATGTTCTACCTTTGTATTTGTTTTATAACAGTCATGACACATTAGTAAATATTACAAGAATATAATTTCTAAATATACACTCATGGTTAGGGTTGCATACCTAAAGACACTTTAATTTGTGAAATATGTATTTGTTAAATT
Organism: Homo sapiens; assembly: GCF_000001405.40. Taxonomy (NCBI): domain Eukaryota; kingdom Metazoa; phylum Chordata; class Mammalia; order Primates; family Hominidae; genus Homo; species Homo sapiens. The sequence goes on along the minus strand of NC_000002.12, from coordinate 221,942,435 downwards.
TTACTTTAACTCAGTTATTTTGAACATTTTGATTAGTAGTTTAAATGACACTTGTAGAAATATGATAGTCAAAAAATTTAGAAATCAGTGCTTTTGAAAAAAATAACTCCTAATTTAATTTGTACAGTAAAATATAATCTTTTTTATAAAGGAAGCTTACTCTTTTAAAAGCAAATCTAGTGTTTCTTCTGAATTTCTTACATATCAGAACAATCTTTAGTCTGAAAAAGTTGGCAGAAAAATCCATGATTAATAGATAAATAGTATTCTTTTCAAATGCTTCTGGCTTTTAAGCTAAGCCACCAGGGATTTGCATGTGGGGAAAGAGTTTTGAAGGTAAGAGGTTTTTCTTCTTATGATTTGAATGCAATGCTTTTGGGATTTCTGTGATTTATTGGTAGTAAAGTGACTTTGGTAGGATGAGCTACTTGAAGCTTTTCTTGTCACTGTGCTGTTACTAATACCTGGAATCCACCCTATCTCCAGAGTCCATCCCCTGCACCAGGTAGACTGTGGTCATTTGGTGCCACCAGCTCTGTCTTTCCATTTTATTCTCTGTCAGGTTCCCTCTCACACCCTGCAGCAGGTGGGTTATTCTTATTGAATTCATGTGTAATTATGGAAAATTTCTTGAATACCAATATGACATTTAGTTTTGATCAAGGGATTCCCTACTAATTCCGTGGCTCATGGAAGGGGTGGAGATTTCTATCTTCTTTCAAGAGTACCTTTTCAAGAAAGGGTAAATTGGCATTTGGACAAAACTGTTGTAAACTGGCACATCCTCTTGATTTATAAAATGATTTTCTCTCCTTCAAATAAAAAATGAGAATGGAATTTTATTAATGGAATAGTCATGGTGCAAGATATTCTTAATATCTGTATTAGCCTGGGGTCTCCAGAGAAATAGAACCGAGAGAGAGAGAGAGAGAGAGAGTGTGTGTGTGTGTGTGTGTGTGTGTGTGTGTGTGTACACACCCAGAGAGAGGTTTTAAGCAATTGGCTTACATGATTGTGGAGGCTGTCAAGTTCAAAGTCTGCAAGGTAGACTGGCAGGCTGGAGACCCAGGAAAGAGGTGATGTTGCAGGTGGAGAACAAAGGCCGTCAGCTGGCAGAATTCTCTCCCCTGGGGACATCAGGCTTTATTATTGTTGTTGTTATTATTATTATTATTATTATTATTATTCTTAAGGCCTTCAACTAACTGAGTAAGGCCCACCTACATTACGGAGGGTAATCTGCTTTACTCTAAGTCTACTGATTTAAGTGTTAATCTTATCTAAAAAAATGCCTTCACAGAAACATCTAGAATAATGTTGGACCAAATATCTGGGGACTGTGGCCTAGCAAAGTTGACACATAAAGTTAACTATCACAATATCTTGAAAAACCTCTACTCTGAACTTTCTTTCTTTCCTTCTTTCCTTCTTTCTTTCTTTTCTTTCTTTTTTTCTTTTTCTTTCTTTCTTTCCTTCCTTCCTTCCTTCCTTCTTTCTTTCTTTCTCTCTCTCTCTTTCTTTTCTTTCTTTCTTTCTTTTTTTTTTGACCGAGTTTCACTCTGTCACCCAGACTAGAGTGCAGTGGCGTGATCTCGGCTTACTGCAACCTCCACCTTCCAGGTTCAAGCAATTGTCTGCCTCAGCCTGCCGAGTAGCTGGGATTACTACTGCACATTACATATTCTACAAAATTCCTCCTTACACACCCCTCTGTACTAGAAAATAATTATAGTTCAGTGATGTCACTTCAACAAAAGCATTATGGTTATTTCTTTTACAGAGAAGTCAGAATAAGCTTTCCTTATTAAAGGCATTATTATATCCTTTTCAGAGAAGTTAGAAATAAGCTTTCCTTATTACTAAAGGCATGAACTTGCTGTCTAAAACCAAACTGTTTACCAGTTTTTCTCTCAAGAGCCAAAATGAGGAGGGTGTGGTATGGATTAGAGTGCTGGATGCCCGCCCAAGTATGGAGTTCAGAAAAGACCAGCAGGTGACATGAGGCAGAGGAAGTCTCCCCAAGCACCTCCCCAGTGGGCAAAGCAATCATTTTCTCTTTTACCAGATTCATACCTTTCTAAAGAAATACATTTTTGTAAATGTCAGCCCTTTTTAAATTGGAAAACACCCAACTACTGTGAGAAATTAATATTATTAAAAGTCGCAGTTAGCCCTCACATCCAAAATATCTTCCAGAGTTCAATTCCAAAACTGCATCTCCCAAAGAGCTCACATTTCCTTTCCCTGAATTGGATATGCCTATAGATAAGCATTAGAAAAAGAATATTTCGGCTGGGTGCGGTGGCTCATGCCTGTAATCCCTGCACTTTGGGAGGCTGAGGCGGGTGGGTCACCTGAGGTCAGGAGTTAAAGACCAGATGGCCAACATGGCGAAACCCCATCTCTACCAAAAATACAAAAATTAGCCAGGTGTGGTGGTGGGCGCCTGTAATCCCAGCTACTTAGGAGGCTGAGGCAGGAGAATCGCTTGAATCTGGGAGGCGAGGCGGTGGTTGCAGTGAGCTGAGATCCGTCACTGCACCCCAGCCTGGGCGACAGTGCGAGACTCCGTCTAAAAAAAAAAAGAAAAAAAAAAAAAGTCCAGGCGCAGTAGCCCACGCCTGTATTCCCAGCACTTTGGGAGACCGAGGCGAGTGGATCATGAGGTCAGGAGTTCAAGACCAGCCTGGTCAAGATGGTGAAACCCCGTCTCTACTAAAAATACAAAAATTAGCCAGGCGTTGTGGCGGGCACCTGTAATCCCAGCTACTCGGGAGGCTGAGGAAGAGAATTGCTTGAACACAGAAGGCGGAGGTTGCAGTGAGCCGAGATTGCAACACTGCACTCCAGCCTGAATGACAGAGCGAGACTCCGTCTAAAAAAAAAAAAAAAAAAAAAAGGAAAAAAGAAAAAAGAAAAAGAATATTTATTTTCTTTCATTTCACATTACTATAACACAATGTTCTTTATTGTTGAGTTGACATTGCTGATGCATCTGAGGTGCCCAATGCCATTTGATTCTTCCACCAGGAATAAGCCAAGCCTCTGCCTTCCACTCGCTTTGAGGGTCACCTCCTTTGGTATATATTGGGGCATAGAGTTGGACTCCTATCCCTCCCGAGTCATCTCTTGCTCTATCTCACTGACTTTGGCTCTGCAGGAGTGACTGCTCAGTCCTGTCCACTGCCTTTGATGGCCTAGAACTCCTGGCAGTGTCCCTTACTGTCGGGTTGCATCCTTCTTGGGCCCAGCAAAGGAAGAATATGGGGCAGAACCCGTCTGCTTTTACCACCTTGTACTTTGTCCTCCACACTGCATTGTGCACAAGTGGTTATATGACCTTCTCAAATGCTGTTAGGTGAGGGTTGGGGGTCAGAAGGAATGAAAATGAAGATGGGAGAATATGTGAGGGAAACTGAGCCCCTAGCAAACCAAAGTCCACTGCAGTGGGTCCACTGCAGTTCCTAGCTTTCCTTTCTTCCCCAGTGTTCAAATTTGTTTTCTGTTGAAAGAGAGCTCCCTTCTACTTCATCTGTCTTTTGAAAATGCTGCCTACTCACTATGGAGTCATCTCATCCCATCAGTCTGTAAGTCTAAACTAATATCCTGGAGGCTCCAATAGGGCATGTGCTACTCTGAGCCTCACCTCCAGTCCAGTCCAGGTGTGAACATTTAAGTTTAGCCTCTTCTATAGTTTCCCACCAGTGTGAGTTGCAGATAGGTCTCCTAATTCTTCTGTTGTCCAAGTAGGTAATCATTAGGTAATCACACACACACACACACACACACACACACACACACACACATCAAGAATAACTGAACTCTCAGAGACAGTGAAATCTAAATATATATGGAAATGACATTTTTCTAGCTGTTTCTTAGCACAACTTTGCTCACAAAGGATGCCAAATGTTTACATATTATGCAGAACAGACATAGTTACTTTTTCTTTTCAATTTCACACTGTGCAGCCGGGCTTGTGAGTGTAAAGACTGGCTAAAAGATTGTGGCCATTACTGAGCCATTTGCCCAGTGAGGAATCTCCTTAGGACACAAATGTCCAGCTTTACAATTACCCTTGTTTTAAGCTAGCTCAAATCAATTTTTAAAAAATGCATTGCCATTCCATTTTTCTTTGTCAACAGAAGGAATATAATACAAGAAAGTTGTCTGTTATTAAAATGTCATCATGGTGGTTGTGGCAATGGTGATGGTGAGACTCATGATGGTTTTCCACTTGAGCAGGAAAATGAGAGGTTACATTGAGGTGGTCACTATTTTATCTAAAATAAATGAGATATTTTAAAATTTCTTTATATAGAGAAGTTAGAAAAATATTTTACTGACTGGTAATTTATTCCCCCTGAGGGAAAGAATTATATTTGGGGAAAAACCTTGATAAACTCCTTGAAAGTGGAAGGTAAGGCATTTAGAAATATATTAGAAGGAGGAAATAAACCCTGGCCAAACTTCTTTTTCAAAAAAATAGGATTGATAGGGAGAGTGGGCAATGGAGAACAGAGGAGATTTAATGAGGTAGAAGGGAAAGTAGGAGGTGCTGGGTCAACTTATAAAAATTTGGATCTTGAGTTGACAATAATCATTAAGGTTAAGAATAGAGAAAAGTGATGTCCAATTTTCAATTGTCCATTGACAATTTCTCTAAGGCGAGGCACAGTGGCTCATACCTGCAATCCCAAGCATTTTGGGAGACCGAGGTGGGAAGATTACTTGAACCCAAGAGTTCAAGAATAGCCTGGGCAACAGAGGGAGACTCTGTCTCTATAAATAATAAAAAAATTAGCTGGGCATGGCAGCGCATGCCTGTGGTCTCGGCTACTTGGGAAGCTGAGGCAGGAGGATGGCTTGAGTCTGGGAGGTCAAGGCTGCAGTGAGCTATGATCGTGCCACTGCATTTCAGCGTGGGGTAGTTGACAAAGTGAGACCCTTTCTAAAAAAAAAAGGAAAGAAAAGAAAAGATCTCTAGCATTTTCTCATTTTCTTCAGCAAATGTTTATCTCTAAGAGCTGCCTTGTGTGGGTGAGATGGAGGAGTGTGTGTTAGTACTGAGGGGTTGGCAATGTGTAAATAGAAGACACCAAAAAAAGAATAAAGGGCCCAGTCACAAGACACAAAATGCAGGAGAATATTGAATAGAGCTGGAAATCGGAGCCAGGGCTAACAAAAGAATAATAGAAACCCCAAGAAATTCTAAATATGCCCATGAAAACCTTCAGATTTCCCGCAGTATGTAAGCTCATAGTTGAAAATCATCTTATACAGATTTTAAGTGGCAGGGGTGAACCAAGATCACACCTTGGTTGAATTGTTGTAACTTAAAAGGATGACTCAGGAGCACTCATTGAAATAAATGCCAAGTCTCATTAGCAATATACGACAAAATAGGTGGTTTCGAGGCAGTGAGGCAATAAATTGGGTGTACACTTTATCTTAAGTTCATTCAATTGAATGGAACAAAGATGTACCCAGGTAATCATAAGTCTGTGTTTTTTCAGAAATTTCTATCAAATTACCATTAGCTACAGAGAAGAGTAAATTTTTTTAAATTTTTTTTAAATTTTTTTTTTTTTTGAGATGGAGTTTCGCTCTTGTCGCCCAGACTGGAGTGCAATGGCGTGATCTCGGCTCCTGCAAGCTCCGCCTCCCGGGTTCACGCCATTCTCCTGCCTCAGCCTCCCGAGTAGCTGGGACTACAGGTGCCTGCCACCATGCCTGGCTAATTTTTTTTTTTTTTTTTGTATTTTCAGTAGAGACGGGGTTTCACTGTGGTAGCCAGGATGGTTTCGATCTCCTGACCTCATGATCCCCCCACCTCGGCTTCCCAAAGTGTGGGGATTACAGGCGTGAGCCACCGCGCCCAGCCGAGTAAATGTTTTTTCTCAGGAGTCTGGAGCTCAGCCTCTTATAGAGTGTTGCAGTTCCCCCCACACTTCTCCATCAAGTCTTTGAAAGCTCATTAGGAAAAAAATCCTAAACAGTCATTAGATATTTGTATAACACAATATAATCAATTCTTTAGTTCTTACATTGAAATTTCTACACACAGTATTTATGGGTAAAACCGACACTCTAAGAAAATTCTCCACTCCCTGTATCCAAGCCTACTCTGTATTCTCCTCTCAGCTTTTAAAGTACATATTTTAACCTATTTATTGACTGCCTTCCCAGGTAGTATGTAAGATCCAGAAGAAGAGGGAAACTTCATTTTATTTATTGCTATAACCAGGGTAGGAGTTTAATACACATTTATTGAGCACATGCATAATCTTTGGCTTGCATAATCCTGCCACACTTCCCTTTATATCCCCAAAGTTATAAGTAAACTAGTCAGAGAAGTCTTGGGTAGTAGAAGTATCAAAAAAAAATCCCAACTCTTCTGTTTCAGTGTTCAGCCATTCTGTTTTCTCTCCCAGGCCATAGGTGGCACATAAGGAGCCTTGGTGCAAACTAGAAAAGGTGCTTATGGCTAGGGGGAGCTGAGCTAGGTCTACCTGGTACTACCCAATGATCTGGTCTCTCTGGATCTCCAAGGTGTCTCTGATGGTCTCTGCCTCCTACCTGAGCTCCGGAAGCAAGGAGAGATTGGACTGGCCCACACAGCCACCATCTGATAAAGCACCTCTTTTTTTTTTCTTTTTTGGAGACAGAGTCTTGCTCTGTCTCCCAGACTAGAGTGCAGTGGCGTGATCTCGGCTCACTGCAACTTCCGCCTCCCGGGTTCAAGCAATTCTCCTGCCTCAGCCTCCTGAGTAGCTGGGACTACTTGTGCCTGCCAGCACGCCTGGCTAATTTTTGTATTTTGAGTAGAGATGGGGTTTTACCATATTGGCCAGACTGGTCTCGAACTCCTGACCTCAGGTGATCCACCCTCCTCAGCCTCCCAAAGTGCTGGGATTCCAGGCGTGAGCCACTGTGCCTGGCCAATAAAGCACCTCTTTATTGGGCTGCTCCTGGCCCAGGCTTCAATCCTTTGTCCTATCAACGAAGGCCACGTGGCAGGATTTCCTGGTTTTCTCAGAAGAAGATGACAGTAGACTATGTAATTTACAGGCTTGGTCTGCCCTGGCTTTCTGAAATAAGAGGGCTACAAATTTTTAATAGCAAACCTATGTCTACAGTTTAGAGAAACAACCATAGATACTGTCACATTTTGCAAGTGAGAAGGCAAAAAAAACCTTGTCACAGAGTTAATATCAAAAATGTCTGGAAACTTACTGTGGGTTGCTTTTCTATGTTATACTTGAAGTATGTCTGTAACTGTCACTTTCATTTTATGTTCACAAACCCTGTGTTGTGTTGTTATCTTATTTGATGGCTGAGGAAACTGAGGCCCAGAAAGGATCAACTCTTCTAAAGTCACACAACTATCACATGATAGACTCAAGAATCAGAACACAGATGTTTTGTTTTCTCCTTGTCTGTTATTTTTCATTTTTTTATTTTTTACCACAGCACTTTTATTTCCAGGATAGCCCCACAGGATGAGGTTGTTAGAGATGGTGATTTAGATGATATAGTTTTCTTTTATCTCCAGTTGTGTTTTATTTTTAAAACACATGAACAACTGCCTAAAATTATTTAATGGGACAAGCATGACTCAAATTGTAGTATTCACTTATTTTTATCACTTCAATATTCACCCAATCCCTTCATTGTGATGGTTCATCCTTGTAGAGGATCTTCCAAAATCATTGGATTGGTTTTTTTAAAAAAAAAAATCCTTGCTGGGAGTGGTGGCTCATGCCTGTAATCCCAGCATGTTGGGAGGCCGAGGTGGGTAGATCACCTGAGGTCAGGAGTTCAAGACCAGCCTGGCCAACATGGCAAAACCCTGTCTCTACTAAAAATAGAAAAAAAATTAGCTGGGTTTGGTAGTGGGTACCTGTAATCCCAGCTACTCAGGAGGCTAAGGCAGGAGAGAATTGCTTGAACCTGGGAGGGGGAGGTTGCAGTGAGCTGAGATCACACCATTGCGCTCCAGCCTAGGCGACAAAAATGAGACTTCATCAAAAAAAAAAAAAAAAAGAAAAGAAATCCTCTCTAAAAAAACAAAATTTTAACTGGGTTGATATTTATATATTGTGCTATCTTTTTCTCCTTTTGACTCCTAATACCAGAGCAACCTCTAAATGGAAATATTCTGTTAGGTATCTCTCAACCTTAGTTCTCAAGAACAAAAGTAAAGTCAAATATGACTGATGTCTTTTTTAAAGATCTGCTGACAGATTTTCAGTAGCCCTGTAAAAATCTCTTTTTAACCCCGGGTGCAAACGTCCAGCTCTTCATTTAAAGCCATTTGTCTAGGAGATGCCAGACCCAGTAAATAGTTCTGGCCGTATAGTTTGTAGACTCCTTAAATAATATGCATATCACATTCATAGTGTGTATATCATATGTCTTTTTGTTTTTATTCACTATTTTGCTCATAAGCTGCTTTCATATTTTCAGTTTGACTTTTGCCTCATTAAAAAAAGAAAAGTCAGTTTGTCCCAGGTACACAACATAATAAAAGGCCTATATTCTGCTTCAGATTTATGTAATCGTATTCTTTCATACCCCACAAGACTAGAAGAAAAGTTGCAAAAATAATAGATAATGTTTCTAGAATGCTTTTAGGTCTTCTGAAGGAGGAGCTGTGAAAATGCAAAGTGATGATGATGATGATAATGTGCTTATCGTTAATGATGTGATTGAAGAAGAAAAACCATTTTGGTTTTCAGAAAAATAAGTGAATATCCTTAGATAATAGTGACAGACAAAAGAAAAGTAATATTCTTATAAAACTGTATAATGTAATATTTCTTCACAATTGCTGAACTTTGAGTTTTCATTTTCAGTAAGTCAAGGCATCTTCTGATTTGTCAACCTAGCATTATAAAAAGACTTCATGTAGCTGCTATAGGGAGTAAATTCTTTTCTATGTGTCTGCTTGTTAAGGGGCTACCATTTTAGAGAATGTTTAGTTTAGGTTGCTCAATAAAGCCAACTAGAAAAATCAGCCAATGCATCCTGTTTTCCTTCAGATAATTTCTGCAGTTCCAAGGCCCTGATGGGAATGTTGCATATAAAGGAATTCAGAGTCTGAGGGGATAAGGAAACAAAGACTTACTGAGAGTCTGTATTATGGACTAAATGTTGTGCCTCCCCCAGATTCGCATGTTGGAACTTGAACCTGCAGTGTGTCTATAATTGGAGATGGGGCCTCTAAAGAAGTAATTAAGGTGAAATGAGGTCATAAGGGTGGAACACTGATCCTATAAGATCAGTGTCCTTATAACAAGAGACACCAGAGAGCACTGGCTGCTTCTCTCACACTTCCCCCTGTGCACAGTGAGAAGGTGGAATAGAGACTTCACCAGAAACTGAATCCTGTGGGAAACTTGGTCTTGGACTTTTCAGCTTTCAGAGCTGTGAGAAAATAGATTTATGTTGTTTAGGCCATCTAAGTTGTGGTATTTTGTTAGGGCAGCCCCAGCTGACTTCTGCAGTCTGCTACTGCTAATACTGAAGGACTGAAACGAGGTGTTCTCAAGAACTTGGAGGTGATGGAAACAAGACTCTGTCTGTGGCTCCAAGACCAGCAACACTGGACTGAAAGAACATTGACAACATTAATGATATCATTATTCTATTCATTTTGTACCTACTATATGCCAGGCATGTGCCAGGCACTTTCTTTAATGTGTAAGTCATTTATTATACCCATTAGACATTTACAATGATTAAAGAAATACTTATTCATCAAAAGCAGTGACCATTGCCTAGTGAAACTCTCATGGATTATATTTCACTTAAAATGTACATGGTGGCCTTTTTTAGTGGCCTTTTTTATCCTTTCTCCAGGATCTGCATACATGGAGTGTCATATTTTCCATCTGGTGTTTTATTGTCACTCTTCTTTAACTCCAATTCTGCCTTTTCTTTCTTCAGAACAGTAATATGTACAAAATATTGCCAGTATCAAAACCCTAAGGGTGAGCAGGATTGGGGGAAAAAAATCTCAACTAAGCAAATAATTAACTTCTTAAATAAAATAAGATTTATAATGTCAAAAAAGATCCCTTATCATATATAATTTTAGAGTAGGTAGTTAGATTTTTATTTATCAAAAATGTATAATATATGTGAATTTGGTGATACCCATGCTTGCCATTCTCACATTTTCATAGCATTTTTAAATTGTATTTTCTTTTAAATTTATTTTTATTTTTTTATTGTACTTTAAGTTCTGGGATATATTTGCAGAATGTGCACATTTGTTACATAGGTATACATGTGCCATGGTGGTTTGCTGCACCTATCAACCCATTAAATAGGTTTTAAGCCCTGCATGCATTAGGTATTTGTCCTAATGATGAGCCAGGCACTTTACAAGCATTAAATCATTTAATCATTCGACAGCTCTATTAATAAGTCTCTCTTTTTATTTGTGCCTTTTAAATGTAGTCGTAGAGTGTCAGGCAGTTCAGTAATGCTCAAGCTCACACAGAGATAAAGGGATTCAAACTTCGGCTGTCTAACCCCAAATCCCGAGTGCTTAATGACCTTGTCCACACTGCAACTCTAGTGACTGCATTTAATACCTAAGGAAAGAGTGTGGCTATCAGAAGAGTGGTGTCAGCAATAAAGCACAGACAATGAAAACTACAGACACCAAAGCTGGTATAGTTCATCTTGGGATTTCCTCTGAGTGATAAATCCACTCTTGGTGCTGCTCAAATCAGCTTCCAAAATTGCAATGCTTAGAGCCTACCTCATTCATGTTCATGAGCCCCCTTCACTCACACTCATGGTGTGTCTTCAACTGGACAGACCATGAAGACATAAGCTTGAAGACATGAGCTGTTTAAGACCTGGAGCGATGAATTTCTTCAAGACTGTGCTTAGCATGAAGCAATGTCAGGTATATAGCTAGTGCTAATAGATGCTGGTGGAATCCTATTAATCTGAGAGCTCACCTTGTTAAGTATGTGTTAAGAGATACAAAGATTAACTTGGAAACTGCTCATTGTATTCATGCCTCCCCTCCCTGGTCTGTAGCTCAGCCCAATAATGTCAACATTGACTATCTTATACTGACCATTTCCTGTGTTTCTGCGGCAAACGATAAGTAAGAAATAAGCAATTTAAATCTAAAGTGTCTTATATGTTCTATTTCCATGTAGCTCAAAAATACTATAAATTTACTAAAATTACAATAAATAAATTTCAAGTCTTTAAAAAATATGTGTCCACAAAGATCTATTTTAGCGTCCTGTTTTTACCACCTCTTTTTATCAGCCCACACTTTCTAACTGACCCTTTCTCCTCATTTCTTCACTCCTAACCAGAATACGGGTCCCCATAGGCATTGCTTTGTTCAGACTCTCCATTTTCAAAGGTTAAATGCATCTATTTCTTTTATTTATTAGGCTTTTAAGTAAATATGCCCATGACTCGATTCTGATAAGTAAAGTGAGTCTTGGAAAGATACGGCAGAAATGTGCAAAGCAATCTCAGAAGTGGGAGGTTTACTATGTCAAGAAAATTTGAGGATGACACATACTCATTTTCGTGAAAGCTTGGGAGTGTGGATAGCAAGGAAAATTTTCTACTACCTGTAGACTGAAGTCTAGTCTAGAATATTAATGTGACAGTGCTTATTTGCTTCACTGGAGAGAGGAGTTTGTGGGCAAGTATGTGGATAAACTTAATCTCCCCTTAGGTATCAGGTCTGCTATTTTACTATGTTGCCATCACCTGGATGGAAGATCCTGGCACAAAAAATCAGGTTTTCTATCGGCTGAACTAGTGGGTGAAAGAGATTATGCCCAGATTCTTGATAATGTTTTCTGGAACATTGATTGTTAATGCCTGGCTCATATCCCCTTGGACCATTTCTGTGTTCATTTTGCCACCATGGTGGACAGTTCCTGTGCATACTGACTGCTTTCACCTCCAAGTGTTGGTAGGTCTCCTTTCCTCTGCCAGAAGCTCTTTCCAGCACTACAGGACCTGCCTGGTCCTTGTGTGGCCAATGACACCAATGAGGATGGAAGTCACTGCTTCACTGGGGGATAATTCTGTAATGTGAAATGCATGATACCTCAGCGGGTCCTGGAGCATTGAGCCTCAGTTTTCTGCAGCTGCCACACCCTCACTAATATACCCTTCCTTGGCTTCTCTGTCTTGAAGACTAGTTAAAACAATAGAGATAACACAATGCCGGATACAGGTTTTGGTCCATTTCTAAGGGAAACTCTTGTAAAATTGTCTCTTAACTATGCAGCCACTTTGCTCTTTGTTGCCATTGCTCTTTGTATGCTCCTTTGGAAAACCAAACACACCTTGCCTTTAGTACTGTATGCTTCATGAAGGCAGGAGCCATACCTGTTTTGTTTGTATCTGTACCTTCAGCAGGTAACACAAGACTTAGTACACGGTAGACACTTAATAAGAATTCTAAATGGAATTTTATCTATCAATCTCCTATCTATCTATCTGTCTGTCTGTCTGTCTGTCTATCTATATCTATCTATCAACTATCTATCCATGCTTATCTATTCATCCACTTATCTATTCAGTGTATAATTTAGTGGATTTTACTGTATTCACAAAGTTATGAACCATCACTGCTATTTAATTCCAGAACATTTCTATCACCCTAAAAAGAAACCCTGTACTTCACAGCCCTGCCCACAACCCACTGCCAATCATGAATGTACTTTCTGTTTCTATGGATTTATTTATTCTAGATAATTTAATATAAATGGAATCATACAATATGTACCCTCTTGTGTCTGGTTTCTTTCACTTAGCATGTTTTCAAGGTGTAGCATGTGTTAATATTTCATTTCTTTTTACAGTTGAATAATATTCCTTTGTGTGGATATGGAACATTTTGTTTATCTATGTATCAGTTGATGGACGTTTGGGTGGTTTCCACTTTTTGGCTATTATGAGTAATGCTGCTATGAAGATTCATGTACACACAGATGCACCATTTCACATTCCCATCAGCAGTGGATGAAGGTTCCAGTTGCTCTACACTCTCACCACTTGTTATCATCTTCTTTTTATTATATCCACCTGAGTGTCAGATTCAATTTGATTTGAGAAGAATGGTCTTTGGAGAACCTCTCAGCTTCCTTTTTATCTAGCAATTTGCTTTTTCTTGAGTTTGCCCTCATGTTGCCTCGATACAGAAAATAAACTTTATAAAGCAGCTGATATTGTTGACTTACATAAAAGCTGTGGTTGTCTTAATTTTCCTTGGCAGTCCCCTTTCCAAGCCCAAGAAAATCAGAGGTGTTTCAACATCATAGAATGTGCAGCTCTGACCACCGTCAAGTTGTGTGGCCATAAGAAAGTCACTTCTCGATGGACCTTAGGTATTTTGTCTGTATATTGAATAAGTCCTGTTCAATAAATTATTAGAATAAACTTTTAAAGTTCACTTTTATTTTTAAAGTTCAAGGCAAGCAGTAGTGGATAACTTTTTTTTTCCATCTCTATATCCCTTCCTTTGGAAATTGTTATTCATCTGTGGCAATTGATTTTGATGTAAATCTTAGAGTTAACATCTCTCACTCCAGAAGTGTAATCAACTGAAAAACCTCTTCCTCCTGGGCAGAATGATCAGTTCAAGGATAGGCACATGACTCATGCTGGGAAAATCAGGGCCTTTCCTGTGATTTCTCAGCTACAGCTGTCAGGGAAGATGCCATCTGCTACTGGGGCTACTATGCTGAAGAAACGTGAATCCTGTACAGCTAATGGCTATTATGGACATCACAGAGAAAGGACCTATCTTAGAAATAGTGAGATAGATAGCATTGTTTGAACTCCTGGTTCCAACTGGGCCTGAAATCAGACATACTCCTCTATTTTTCAGTCAATTTATTTATTTATTTATTTATTTATTTATTTATGTGTTTATTTATTTATTTTTGAGACAGAGTCTCACTCTGTTGCCCAGGCTGCAGTGCAGTGGTGCGATCTCAGCTCACTGCAACCTCCACCTCCCGGTTCAAGTGATTCTCCTGCCTCAGCCTCCCAAGTAGCTGGGACTACAGGTGCGTGCCACTGTGCCTGGCTAATTTTTGTATGTTTAGTAGAGACAGGGTCTCATCATGTTGGCCAAGCTGGTCTCGAACTCCTGACCTCAAATGATCCACCCACCTCGGCCTCTCAAAGTGCTGGGATTACAAGTGTGAGCCACCATGCCAGACCCATTTTTTATTTAAGTTGAGTTTCATTGACTCCTATTAATCAGAAGCCACACACAAATATTTACTGAATGCTTTGTGGTAGATACTTTGAAGTAAACAAAGAAGTGTAAGTCCATACTTTCAAAGAGTTCATAGACTAGTTTAATGGTCACAAGGTGGAAATAACAAGAATAAAATAAGAAATAAGAAAGCCAGCTTTGCAATCGCCCTTTTCTATATGAGGAAAATGCTTTGGCTGTCTACTTTACTGATCAGTTTCTTAACCAGCACACCATTTCAGAGACTCTGCAGTTTCAAAGCACAGCCTCTCACATTGTTTTCATGTCTGATGGCCCTGAATGCTCTACCGCATATTAGCTGCATGACTTTGGATATGTTTTCTTAATGTTCAGAACCCCATATTTTTTGTCATCCATAAAATAGGGGTAATATTATTTAGTTAATGGGTTGTTTTGAAGATTAAATGAAATAATTCAGACAATTCAGTGCCTAGTATATCATAGTAAAATAGATCTCATATCTTTTTTCTGTGTAGAAACATCCTCCATCTTAAAAAATCAAACTACTGCAAAATTTTAAAAAACACATTTAAGCAAAAGCAAGCTTTTTTCCCCTTGAAACAGTGATATGAAATAGTTCTTCAGCTACATCTTAAAATAATAATCATTTATGTGGGATAATAAATTCGCAAACACATTTAAACAACATAATCTGATTGTTAGCCCAGAGGTTGGTACATTTTAGGAAAGCTAATAGGCAGAGATTGATATTCATTGCCCATAACTAACCCTCACACAGAATGAAGAGGATGACAAGAAATTTAAACAACAGTGAAAATTTATGTATTAAAAATTATTTTTTCCTGAAGGCCTGGATGTTCTGATTATGTGCTTAATTATAACAATCTCCATATCATCTTGGTAACATAACCAATAAATCCATTTATCATTGACCCCAGGACTGGTTGGCACAAAAATAAAAAGTGAAAATAATGTAGTAACCCAAAGGGCATCCTAGTGAACCACCCCATATTATTATTATTTAATGGGCATACATGATAAATTAATGTTATGTTAATGGATAATCATTGTATCTTCTATCGACTCCTGGCATGTATAAAGTGTTCATTTGACTTTAAGTTGCATTTCTAGTCATCTCAAATCATAGTTACTCCTATTAGCCCTTGTTTTTATGGGCCTGACTCTAACTGCAAGGTGGCCAAAATTTTCTGAAACAGTAAAGAAGCAATTGAAAATATTTAAAGATATTTGCTGAAAAGAATTGTTAGAGGACATGTATAAACTGAAAACCTGAAATGGGGATGAGGGTTGTCATTTCAGTCTAAAACAGTGGCAAGTTTGTTTATGGAATAATCATCCTATAAATCAATTATTTTTCTGATTAGATTATACTCATAAAGAAATGAATACAGTGCCCTTTAGAAATGCAATATAGTTATGAAAAAAGAAGCCCACCCTCTCCCTGTACATTTTAGTGATTAGCAAAGCTACCTCATGGTTTGGATGGAGGCCCAGAAAATGATCCAAATGGGATTATATTTTCTTAATCTATTAGAATAATGTACAACTTGCTTTCATATTGCTACCCTACCCCATCTAACTTGGCAGGTATTGTTAGCAGACGCTGAAATGGTGATATGCCAGAGACAGACTCATATACAGTTTATCATCTCCAGACACTGTGTCTGTCATAGCCTGAGATCTGAAGAAGAAAGTATTGCTGACTAGAAGAGAATTCATGTGTTTTAGAATTTGATTGATTATATGCACCTAGTTAATAGTCAGTGTGATCAGCGTTATGCAAACATAGAAAGGTCATAGCTCTGGTTTGCTAGAAGTGATTGTCATGCACACACATCAACCCACTTCTAACCCCTCCACTCAATACACATAAAGCTTGAAACAGTGAGCGTGGAGTTTCAAATTCATAATCGAAATGTGGAAAAACCAAAGGTGATTAGGAGAAGTCATTTCTCAGCACCTGTTTTTCAACTGCATGCTTAGTCCAATAAGCATAAGCACTGGAGTAAAATGCTGTTTTGTACAGAGCAGGAGGCCCTGGTCAGGCCAGTTCAGAATTAAGGAGCTCAGAATAAAAACTGACGTCTACTCAGAGAGGAAATCAAGGCCTTACTATCTGCTAGGATGATTTGTTTAGACATGACTGAGAGATCCGTGGATAAGAGCAAAAGACACCAGTCATACCAAAGAAAAGGGATGCCACTCTTTCTTCTCCCTGTGGATACCTAGTCTGCCCAAGAGGCATTGGAGAATCTTGCCTTCTGGGAGAGGGCACCACGAGCTAGGAAAGCATGCTTATTTTGTCTATGAACATGCAAGCAGAGCTTACTTACTTACAGTACTGGCAAGGGGCTGAGACTCTGGATGGATGCTGAGAGGACCAAGCAATGCAACAGCTCAATGAGCTTTGAGACTCCTGCACAGCCTCTAGGACTCTTGGTCTGCATCTACTGCTTATAGGCTAATTCTTTTCCTGTGTGCTACCCACAAGGTTATGACCAAGCTATCTAACGATTCTTAGAATGTCACTGACATGACATTTCTGGAATCAGCTCATTTATTTATTGAATTTCTCTAGTGCAAAGAAGCAGGTTAATAGATAGTCTTGAGGCACCATACAAAATAATAAAAGCTATAATGGAGCTAAAAGTTTCTAACATCGTTTCCAATTTTATTTTTCATTCGTTGTTCCATTCAATATTGCAATACTTGTGGAAACATATGTAGTTATGTAAGCCAGCTATTTAGGAGTCCAGAGGTGGGGTTGTTTAAGTTATGCCTCTGTGAGGGGTGATTTTTGCTTCCAAATATATATTTGTCCTTTAGATTCTTAACCTTTAGCCAATTCCATATTTGCCATGATTTATTTCCTATATGTTTTTGACCTTCTCTTGGCAGATGGATTCAACATTATTATCTTCATTGAGAATGATTCTGACACTGCCTAGAGAGATACAATTGTATTCTGTTTATGTAATATAGAACGCCAGAGCACTTTTTTAAAAGCTATTGTCATGTATCACTGTCAGTATTTTGAACCACTAAATTGTGATTAAAAATTCAGAGACAATAATCCATTTTGAGAATACCATAAGAGAAGCAAATACTGTAGTGACTGATTGACATTTTAGGAATAACATCATTTAAGACATGCTAATTTCCCTGAGATCCTTTCCTTGGATAAATGCCTATTGTATACATAACTTTGGTTTCCAACCCCTTCCCAGCAGTTGCTTTCAATGAGGGATGCTGAAATGAGATTTCCTTGTATTCTGCATGGTTCTACAGCCAAAACTTTTTTTTAAGTTAAAAAACAGCCTGCTTCATAGATACAATGAATGCCTTTGTTTACTAGCAAAGAGGTTTTTGGATCACATGGTTTCCATTATTTTTCAAGAAACAAACAGCTATAATAACCACCAAAAGTGTCTTGTGCAGTGGTTTAGAAGGAGCCAGCTGCAATGAGAAACATACTAGACAGAGAGTCAGGGAACAGGAGAATTCTGATCCCCACTCTGCCCTGACAAAGCTGTCAACATGACCTTGAGCAGGGGATTTAATTGTCTATAGCTGTAGTAGGGCTTTGAGGTTTTGTTTCTGTGCTATTTCTGTTTTTTAATCAAGGATGTTTGGGTGCGTTCTAGCTCTGGTAGCCTATGATATGATGCCTTAGGTAAAAATATAAGAGAATACTTCATTGATATATTTTGTCTACATTCTTTAAGGAATGATAATTCTATTTTTTTTTCAGTCAAGAGTGAAAAATTGACCTTCTAGTCCTGTAGTTTTCAAATATCTTCATCCTATAAGCCATTTTGGCGGGACAAAACACTCACAGATCATTTGTCCAACAACTTTCACTTGTCACTACAAAAGAAAAGAATAAATAAATGGGCTCATTAATGGAAAATATGTTGCTTCTTTCACTCAGATGCTAATGAGAATGATCATAAACGCATTGTTCATGCATTTTGTACCAGAAAGCATAGATTCCAGTATGATAAAAGGATGGAGAGCAATAATTTGCATCTATGTACTGTGCCAAGTTTATGAAACAGTTGCATTTTTAAAAGTCTTATTTGACCCTCAAGAAACAGAGTATTATTTTTTCTGTTAGATGAGAAAATTGAAGCTGCATTATGAGGGAGAGAGTCAAATGAAGAATCAATCCCTGGCCTCTGGTTTTTACTTTGGTTTGCTGTGCATTATGCCATATGCCACCATAATCTCATAGGAGAGTATTGCAACCACCATTGATTGAGTGGCCTCAACATTATTTTGGGACATTGGGATGGACACTTAATCTTTATACTAAAAAATGTTCATTTGAGAAAGAACTACTAGGAGAAGACAGTATTAATAATGGAGGGATTATTGTGATAATAAAGAGCCCCTAATATTTGTGTAGAACTACATGGTTCACTAGTGCTTATTTCATGGCTTTCTTACTACAAAAGTCTAGCTAGGCTCTCTGACGTTTGGTTGCAGATGTAGAAACCTGTTCTAAGAGGCCGAGAATCTGTGCTTTATACAAATCGTATATGGCAGAGCTTGTGGCCCCCAGTGGTCTCGGAAATTACACAGTATGAAATTACTATGCAGCTCTGCCATATACCACTTGTGTAAGACACAGATTCAGATCTCCTGGCTTCAGGCCTAGTGCTGTTTACATAATTCCATATTATGTAGTTTCAGACACCATTGGTGGACACATTTTAGTTGTCTTCTGAAAGTTCAGGTTTTTTTTTTTTAAACCGATAATCACTCTTTGACAGAAGAAAGCGTGAGTGCATAAGAGGTAGGCAATATAAAATACCAGATAAAAATATGAGTTCTTAAGTGAGAAAAAATTCTACTTCTTGCTTACCTACTAGTGTTAGGATACTGGATGAGGACCCACCTGTACCTTTCAAGACCCCTTTACAAGGAATCTCTCAGTACAATAGGAATCCTTTTTTTTTCTTTGTCTCCTACCTAACTGCAATGGAATTAAGTTCTGCACCTAGCAATTGATCTACTCCTTCCCTTTCCAATAAAGTTGGTTTCTCATTTATGGAGTTGCCAAAGCAAAAGTCACAACCATTTGTCAATTAAGCAAGTATTTCTTTAAATATCTGAGATACATTAATGCCAGAAATGATAAAATCTCAGTTTGGGGCTTGCACCCTCTTTAGCCATTGCCTCTTGTGTTTACTCAGCATTAGTTCAGAATTTAACTTTCAGAGTGCAGCTGAAAGAGGAGTCAGTACTGGACTATGATGGGTTGAATACAGCTCTATAGATCCTAATAACTCGTATCACTTCAATGCTCTGGGTCTTTTATGTATATAATTGAAAACCTCTCATTCAAAATGACACCTGAATTACTCATTGGTCAGTCAAAGTAGATGGCACTCTTGTTCCTCTTACTGTGTGGACAGCAGCAAGAATCTGGGATTGGCTGCTCCATTTACAGTATTGGTTGGCATCGTGATGAATAAGGTGAGAGGGAAGTTAAGATACGTCAAAAAGGACAGAATGGGCTTAGAAGACTGTAGCATGTCTTTCGTTTGTCACTTTCTAAGGTATTCCTCAATATTTCTTGTCTGAAAGCCAAAAGCATTTTTATGTTCTAAACAGCAATCCACTAGGGTGAAGGGCAGGAAGTTAGTGATGAAATGGTCCTAGGTTCATGTGGATGGATGTGTATGCACTTGTAATACATTTGAAATGCATCAGTAAACTACTACGTACATTCACATGTTCACAGCGTATGTGAGAATTCAACAAGACATCACCTTTAAGGCAGTAAATACTACATCCCATTGGGAACTGCTTCTTGTCACAATAATGATAAAAATAAAAAGCATAATAATAAGAACCATTGCTCAGAAATTGGGTCCCATAGGGCAGAAGTAGGAAAATGAGTGCCTTGGAATGGAATAAACAAAAGGAGGAGAGGGGGCATTGCTTTGTCTGCTTTGAATTCTGGCCCCAATCAGGTATGAGGTCTGGGTTGTCTCCTTGACTGCCACTGTTAGGCTTTCTGATTTAATGCTTTTGTGGTTTCATGCCCTCACATTATTATGGTGGTCTCACACCATAATTATATCTCCTCCCACTAAATGCCAGGAGGATCTGTTGAATGAAAAAAGGACAATGAGGTCAGAGCTGTACAATTGGTCAGAGCAATACAAATTGTGGTTGCTGGCATTATGAAGACTGAATATGCAGAACTGAATATTAGATGCTTTTTGGGAACTGGAATCAAAGGCATTATTAGACTTACCATTGACTTCCACAACCTTTTCAGCTGGAGTCTCAGTGTTTAGTATCAGTGGCCTGGAGATAAATAAGTGTCTTGGTCCTGGGAACCAATGGTCCTTCTCTAATGGACCATCAGTCCAAAGGAATGTTTGTCATTTGGGGTCCACAGTAAACGTTAACTGGCAAATGCTTTTTAATAATTCTACAGAGAGAGATACGGCAATGGAAAATGTTCATGAATACACTCCCCATCTCTCAAATAACTGTTTCCACCTCAATCCATTTGTCTTAGGTACAGTAGATCGCAAGATTTCTAGTAAATTAATTTAGGTGAGAGCAAAATCCATTGTTCATAAATTTTTCCCTCAGGGAAAAATGCTTTTCAAATCACCATCTGCTTATCTGCCACTTTGTGTTTGCTACTCTTCAAATCCAACAGGAGGGCAGAGGGCTCAGAGCTAGGTAGGTGTTTGACAGCTGTCATGGACCAGGACATATGAAGGTGCTCTCCAATGCTTAGAGCCAACACGGTCCCACTTGTTCAATGTGGATCACTTGCAATAATAGCACTACTCACTTTCCACCCAAGGTGTCCAAGAATATAGCTCTAAAAGATTATCTTTCTTTCCAAAAATACAAGCATATTTAAGATGGAAACCCTTTTTGCCTTCCTTTTCTTCTGAGTACAACTTTATAAGTAGGATGATGTCAGAACTGCCAAGGAAAACAAATCAATTTCTTCTGGTTTTTTAAAAATGAACAAGAAATGCTGAGTGAATCAAAGGCAATGAGGCAGGGTTCACTAAATGCACCAGCATCAGGAGGGAGGTCGAGTTAAGATTCTGTCTGACTGTCGGAGTTTACTAAAAAAATTTAAGTACCATTACCGGAGACAAAATATTGTATGTGTGCATTAGCTCTTGGCTAGATAGTCAAAACTCGTGTCCATGGTATAATTTTTATATATAAATTGATGCACTACAAATCGATGTTCTTTACTCTCAGCTGTGCCCTGAATACTGCTCAGAAACCCTGTTATTCATCTGACTTCCTATCACACTCTCCCTGTGGGCTAGTATAAACCTTTGTAACTGACTGGCTCCACTCCCACATACTCTAGCTGATGGCTTCTTCCCCAGAGGCTCCCTTTATTTTCCTTTTCTTCCAAGCAAGACCCTTCGTGTACGGCTTTGCTTTCATTCATTTTCATTTTTATATTGTCTTAGGACCTCAAATCTTCTCGTTCAGTCCTCCAGCATTATCTTTTGAGCTTTGCAAGGTGCCTGCTCTTCTTTCCTTCTTTGTTGCAAGAATTTAGGCTGGCTAAAGTTCTCTGTTTTCTGAGCTCCATAGACTCCCTTGCAAAGGCCTGAGATGGGCTCAGGGCAGTCCTTTAAGCTCAAGCGGGACCACTGGGTTTGATGACCACCATCATAGGGTTTGATGACCACCACCGTAGGGTTTGATAACCCCCATAGTAGGATTTGACTCTGGCTTTTGCAGGAACATTTCAGAGCCTATCTTATCCCCTCACTGCTGTCTGCAGTCCTTATCTCTCTGCATCTTCAGTGCTATCTACTTCATGGAATTCTCCATTTCCACAATACTTACTGCCAAAATACTCAAATCTGATATTTCTTCCAGCTACTGATTGTCTATCTGTTCTTTCACTGCTAAGCTTCTGAAACACATTTTTATATGGATTGCCTCTGCTTTATCACCCCCTTACACACTGGGGAAAAAAAATTCCTTTAACTTTTGAGGAACTGCATTTTTCTGGTTTTTCTTCCTTTCTGCTGGATCCTTCTCATGTGCTTCCTCCTTCTCCCAGTCCCTAGTAGGCATTCCATATGATTAAGATTACAACATCTTGGAGATTTATTTTATTTCTTTATTTCAACAAATATCCTTATGCTAGTAACCCCAAAATCTACATCCCTATCCAATCCTTTCTCCAGAGCTCCAATTACCTTTTCACAACTCTATTGATAATTTCCACCTGTATATCCATTAATACTCTGACCTCTTGTTTTTAAACTTTGCACATTATCTCCTCTTCAACTCTCTCTTCTCGTCTTTTCTAATTCTGTTAATGACATAGTAACAAAATCACCATCAAAATCTTAGTGTTATCTTCCTTTCCTCCCTTTCTCTTGTGCTACCTGCAATTGATTACCATGCTCTCAGGAGCCTAACTCCTTCTTACTGCCTTCCCATTTCTCTTCCTTCTGTCTTAGGCCAGGAGTCCCCTTCTCTTGCCTGTGCCCTTGGAGTTCCCCTCACTGTTTTTCTGACTAGGGGCATCTCTCCCTGCAACCTGTCTTCCACATTCCTCTTGGAATTTTCTTTCTTAGACTCGGCTATCAACTCACTATGTCTTCACGTTTAAGAATGTTTGGTGCCCTTCTGCCTAAAGAATCAGGCTCAAAACACATTTTATATCATTTAAAGTCTTCTACACCGTGGCCCTGGTCTTTTTCCTTCTGTTTCCTATAACTTCCCTTTGCTCATCCTATGATCAGTGTTTTTTCTCCTTGCCATTTCTTTCTGTTGACATCAGACCCATTATTTAAGGACTGGTTCAAGACTCAATAGACACTCCTTGTACAAAGCCTTCTCTGGATACCCTATTAATAATAGCTTCCTTCTTCTCCTTCTAGCTTCTTTTGCTTGTCTTCTCTAGACCTTTCTTCTGCCTTTCGTTACTGTCCGGTGAGCAACTCGAGAGTCTAGGTTTAGCTGCTGGCACCTTGAGGAAGTACTCAATGCTTCATAGATTAAACGGAAGTTAAGGCTGATTGTGATGGAAACAAGAACCAGCTGTTTATAATTTTGCAATCGTTTTAAAAGATAAACATTTTCAAAGATCTTTATTCGGTAAAATCCAAATAAGGCAACTGATCACTTTTCATGGTTTCTAATTTATTCAATCAGACAGGTGTAAAATGGCTGTAGAAAAGCAGACATGCAAATTAATTATCCATTTAACCTCTGACAAAAGAAGATAATCTGACACCTTTTCAAGACTCTTCCTTTTCCCCTCTCAATCAGGGCAATAATGTAAAATTTAACTGATATGTTTCAAGGAAAGTGTCACGTTCATGGCCCTTTGCTACATAGTCTCCTGCCTCCGCAGCTGAGCAGACTGTGGATAGGAGATAAAAGTGGGTAAACAGAGGAAGGCAGGTTTATATGTGATGCACCTGTGATCAAGGGAAAAGCTGCTTGTACTGGTGAGACTTACATGTGCGTTAACAGAAAGCAGGATAGCAGGGTTAATGACTCCCTATGAGAAGAATGAGTAAACACAGATTAGGATTATATTTTTGGAATCAACAATGCAATATTAACCAACGTAGGAGTATACTGTCTGATCCCAATTCCAAGAATTTCCTTGCTGAATTTCAGAAGTTTCCATCTGATAGATTTATTACACAGAAAACTATGAAGAGTTTTCTTTGCTGGGTTCTTAG
Organism: Homo sapiens; assembly: GCF_000001405.40. NCBI lineage: Eukaryota > Metazoa > Chordata > Mammalia > Primates > Hominidae > Homo > Homo sapiens. Next base: position 221,918,444 of record NC_000002.12, on the reverse strand, counting down.
CTTCTTTGCTAAGAGAGAACGAAACTCAATGTAAAGACACTCATTTTAAGATTGCTTTAACAATATTTAGCATCGAATATCATTTGTTTTCTATATGGCAATATTTCTCAGGGCATTTTTTTAAGAAATGACGGAAAGAGAAAAGTGTGATTGTCTCCCATATGGGTTTTTGAAACATTATGAAAACACGGCTTAGATAACTCGCAGAACTTCAAACACTTTAAAAAGCTGAGAGTGGCTGGCTTTGAACTTAACATCTTGATAAATAATTTCTTAAATGAGTACATTTAAGGCTAAATTAACTTTTAAAATGGTCACTTATTCAGCAGGAAGGCATCTGTAGCCTTTCTTTTTTAAAAATGGCCAATTATATATAAATCACCTACTTTTTATGGTACTAATTCAACACTTTTCAAAATGGAAGTTCTATCCTATTTTCCTACTGGGTATGCACTGGATATTTGCAAGTGCCTTGAATTCAAATAACAAACTGAACTGTAGCCTGATGTAGACACTAAGGGACAGGAAGCAGGGGGTGGAAGTCTGGCTTAGACTGTGCCATAGATCACATGCACACGCCAGGTGCCGGCCTTCCACCACCATTACTAGCAGGGCTTTCAGAAGAAACTAAAATAACAGGAACAAGTTACAAGAGAAATGGCCCAATACCCTAGGCCCACCCCGAAGGGATGCTGGGTCTGAGAGATGGGGAGGTCAGCCCTGATTGCCAGCTGTAATATCCTGTGAAAACATCATTCCATTGCTTCCTTTGCCTGCCCTACTTTGAAAGGAGTTTCCTTCATTGGCTGCTTACATTTCCCCACCACAACTTGGAATCAAGCTTGGGACTTCACCAATTTACTGACTGTATTTCAGAAAGGTCTGCCAGTCACCAAACCAAGGTCCGTTTCCTGAGTTCTCATCCTGTGCTATATCCCAGCCATGTTTGAAAATATTGAGTTAGTGGCTACATTTCTGTTCTAGCCTCCCTTGATAATAAAAAGGTAATCAGGTCTTGTTTGTATATTTTAAAAATTAAAAATCATGCTATTATATCATAATATATATAGTGTATGTAAATACATATATAGGTCTATTTAGTTCATCTATGTCTATGAAATGTCAGAGAATAGAATTAAACAAAAAGTAAAGAAAATGGCTTATTTGCTTACCACTATTTTTAACACCTTGGTTTAAGTTCCTCCTCATATCTTTTAAACACCTTGGTGTATATACCTCTGACTGTTAAAAATAAATGTAAATATATACACATTTGGAATCACACACTGTTCCATGACCTATAACTTTAAAAATATTTAAGGTATTTAAGTACCTGCCCATGCTAACACATACCTGCTTACTTTGGGTGGGTGGGCTGATTTTTTAGCACTCAGATCCCCCTGCTGTGCCTTTGTTCTTAGGGCCAGTCCCTGTAAACTACACTTCTTTTTCACAAGAGCTTACTTTTAGTCCAGTGGGAAGCAGTGGGAGAATGAAGGGTGGGAAGGTGGAACAGCCTGGGTATTTCTCTTCGTCTCTGTTTTGGTGGAAGTCTCTGGCAGGACAAGCTACATAATTTCTGGGCTTCTGTGTAAAATGAAAAGGAGGGTGCCATTCAAAAATTATTAAAAATTTCAAGGCCGGGCGCGGTGGCTCACGCCTGTAATCCCAGCACTTTGGGAGGCTGAGGCGGGCGGATCACAAGGTCAGGAGATCGAGGCCTTCCTGGCTAATACGGTGAAACCCCGTCTCTACTAAAAAAAAATACAAAAAATTAGCTGGGAGTGGTGGCAGGTGCCTGTAGTCGCAGCTACTTGGGAGGCTGAGGCAGGAGAATGGCGTGAACCCAGGAGGCAGAACTTGCAGTGAGCAGAGATCGCGCCACTGCACTCCAGCCTGGGTGACAGAGCGAGACTCCGTCTCAAAAAAAAAAAAAAAAAAAATCAAGATGGTGGCAGCAAAGCATTAAACCAGCACACTTTTGTGCTTGGGGCCCTTCCAAGTGGGAAGCTCGGTGCAGCTGCACAGATTTCACTCCAAGAACACAGCTCTGGTCTCTGGCAGGGGCTCCATCTCTTCTGTGACTCTGATTCAGGCCATATGGCCTTGCCACAGAGCTCTCTGGGTGACTGCTTGGACAGCCTCTCTCCAGTTGTCTTCGGCACTATGGGGTGGTGTGGCTTCCTGCAGTGGTAAATCTGGGGGTTGTCCCACTTTCCCTGTTTTCTCTTTCAGCTTTTCCAACATGTGTGTAACTAGCTCTCCCTGTTAAACTTCTCCTACGGAACTCCCTGTCTTGACCCTCACTGATTGCAACATTAGGGATGGCAAGAACCTGGTCATCATGCTGCCATTTCCTTTATCCTGCTATTGTTGCATCCATTACTCATTGGTAACAGTTTTGTTTCTTTGAGACTAAACTCAACCTCAGAATTCTTCTCAACACAGTGCTTAATTTCAGTTGAAACATGACATAAAATCTGCATGGCCTCTGTACTTTACCATCCTTTTAAACAACAGCATGTTTTCTACTGTAGTTACAGTGCATTTTATTTAACTAATCCCTAATTCATGACAATTAATATGTTTAAAATTTTTCACCAATTCAGTAGTGAACAGCCTCGCATATGTGTCTTTATTTCTTCAAGTGTCTTAGGACAATGTCTTCGAAGTAGAATTGCTAGGTAAAAGAATATGCACATTGTATATTTTGATACATATTGCCCTCTCAGAATGGTTGTATGAATACTAGAATGTTTAAGTAGGAAATATGTCTATAGTATGCTAAGACTGATCTTTTTTCCCTTCAAAATGATTAGGGTTTTATACACTTATTTCAACAAATTATTTCTGTAATTCTGTGAAAATTGTCTTTAGATCCTGTTTCAAAGGGACTTAAAAGTCACCCTATTAGTACAACTTATTTTTAAGTAAAAATAGTATTACTAAGATGAATTGCCTACCCTGGTCTCTGGACTTGCTTTCAATGGACTTTTGATTATTTTTCAAAAATATAACTCTATTTTCATGCATTGAAGCTTCCTTATTTTTGAAGACAGTCAAAACAATAGCCTGCTGTCCCTGAAGGCTTGAATCGAAGAGCTGGAAACTCTTCTAAGAAATTGCTACAGCCTTATTTAATCCTATAGCTTCCCAGGGTAACCCCTGTGGGAGAGAAAATACTCGCTAAGATGTGTAAAGTTAGTACATTTGTTTACAACCTCAGTTGCTTTATGTTATCTAGGTACCTCATCTTCATTAGCAGTAGGTTAACTCTACCTATAATTCCTTTAATTACAAACTTTTGTCAAAGGGGCTGTAAAATATTTATTTAGCTTGATTTCATTGACAAAGCAAAGGAAATATCTCATTTATAAGTACCTCATCTTTCACCTGGAATTGTTCTGACTGAAAACAATGTTGTTGTTTTTTTAAGTATGCAATAAATTATGCTTCTTGATTTTAAAAGATAGCCCACCCTTCAAAGAGCTTTGGGTCATTTCATTTTGCATACTCTGTCCAAGGTAATTTCTAATTTGCTCTTTTCAGAAACAGCATGGGGGAGGTGCTGTTATACTATTTAATGTTTTCTCATTCCTTTCTTACCAAAAATATCATGCAGCTCTCAAATCATCACAGAGCAAACAAAAACACTCTCTCTCCACCCCTCTGGCTAAAATCTGTGGGTTTAAAGGCAATGTCTGGTTTTAGTAATATGAAATTCTGTGTTAGCCTTAGAGATGAGAGATCAATGACTTATTCTTGTAATCCCTTAACTCTTAAACAGTCTACCAGAAAGCTGGTTTCAAAAAATAAGACCAGGCTTTGCATTTAGATAGAGACTCAAATGAGTCACTGGGAATGTATGTGCTCCTTTTGGTGCTGTGTTTTCGTCCCATCAGACCCATAAATTATACTGGTCTCAGCTCTTTAATTCCCTTTAGGAGGACTGGGATAAAGAACATCAGCCCATTCTAAAAAATCCTGCTGTTTTTATGACACACAGAAATAGCTACAAGAAATACCTTAATCATTTTTACTTGCGGGGTCATGTAACATTTTTTTTTTCCCTCAAAAGTTAATGATCACAAGAGGCCCGCACACATACACACACAGATCCCTAGCCCTTGGGTCTACCTAAGTCACCTTTATGGCACAGCCCCAAAATGAAACTATACTTAGTTCTCTGAATTTGCACTCTTGTTATACACTTTTCAATTTATAGGTTTCCATTTCATTTCCTCTGCAAGCCATGTTGTAGCTATAATATTTCGGTTCTTGAACAAGATATTTACTTAGCAGGTCTAGACTAATAATCCAGCTTAAATTTTCACTCATGGTGTGAAATTGATTGAGGCCTGTCTCCATTAATCAGAATCTTACAGACTACTTGGGATTTTCATTCCTATATTTATACTTTTAGGTATTCTTGTGCCTGGAATGACCTTCCTTCTGATAGATGCAAGAGGCAGATAAGAGGGAAGGTCCCCAGAAAATCTCCTGTGCACTGGGAGGATGGGGTGGAGCCACGGAAGTTCAAGCCCTTTGCAGGGGGAGGAGCCTGGCCCCTCCTGTTCCTGTGTGGTAACTTGGGATTCAATCTGTGAGATGGGGGCCTGTTAACAGGAATCCTTCTCGCTTTGTTGTGTTGTTTTTCCTTTTTCCTTTTCACCCATAACTCCTCACCCTTCAAAGTGTCTGCTAGCCTAATCTTTCCTGGTCATGTGACAAGAACCTGGATTTTTCTACAACACTTCTCCATTCCATCTAATGAAATTCCTTCTTCCATCAAAGCTCAGATCAAGTTCTGCTTCCTTCCATGAATCTTCTCCAATTTTTAAAATTATTAGCACTACACAATTCTCTTTATTCTCTGAACTCTTATGATATGAAATACAATGTTTTGAACTTTTTTTGGATAATTGTTTTCTAAAAGAGAATGTATACCACTTATGGACAGTTGGCATGGCATATCTCCAGAAAGCCTTCTTTCCCAAATCTTCCTAGCATGGGGTCAGGGCGAGAGTCAAACCGAGGTCCTCACATTGTCTCATTGTCTTTATTGGTAAATCAATCTTCATGTAAGAAAAGATGTGAAAATATAGGGATTTTACTTAATCGATTCAAAGTGAGGTCTTGATGACAATAACTGTTTTGCTCATTTTTATTGTGTTGATGTCCAAACATCAAATATATAATATATAGTTCATGAATTTTATGTGGGTCCTGTTTACCACAATCCTATTCTCTTTCATTGTTTTCAGTTTTCAAACATTAAACAAATCACCTATTTGGAAAATGTATCTTTCTGTTTTTCTTTTTAGCCTTTTATTCTTTTCTGAACTCCCTCTTTAATATTTTCCATTTCTATCATTTTCTCACTTTGTTCTAATTTTCAAGAATCTAAAGGATTAAAAAAAGAAAATGCATTTGTACTCAAAGCATACTAGAAAATATTTTTATCAAAAATATAAATTCAAGTAAATGTCAGTTTTTTCCAATTAAAATGATTACCTTTCAAAATTTACTCTCTAAATTATTTAAAAATCTACTAAGACTAGAAGGGCAAAAGTTAGTAATAACATAAAAATCTAAAAAAATTATGTTAAAATGAACTTTAAAATTTTACTTAAAAATCATTCTCTTTTGTAAAAACATACTATGTACAATTTCAAATATGTAAAAGTAAACGAAATAGTATAATGACCCCCACATACCAGTTATCTGGCTTCAATAATTGATCAGCTCATGGCCAATCTTATTTTGTCTGCTCCCAGCCCACCATTATTTTGAAGCAAATCCCATCTATCATATAATTTGATCTGCAAATATGTCACTATATGTCTCTAAATGGTAGATTTTTAACATAATCATACTATCATTAATACATCTAAAACATGTCAATAATTTTTCTAGAGACTAGGTCTGACTCTGTCGCCCAGGCTGGAGTGCAATGGTGCAATCAAAGCACATTAAAGCTGTGAACTCCTGGGCTCAAGCAATCCTCTTGCCTCAGCCTCCCCAGTAACTAGGACTACAGGTGTGCACCACAACACCTGGCTAATTTGTTTATGTTTTATGATTCATTTATTTATTTGAGACAGAGTCTCACTCTGTCATCCAGGTTGGAGTGCAGTGGCTCTATCTCAGCTCACTGCAACCTCCAGCTCCCAGGAGGTGAAGGCCTAAATCCTATTCCACAGGCAGGAAAACAAATGGAATGAGTTGTCCCAGCACCAGCAGCTAGACAGGAAGAATAGGGCTAATTTCTCCTTCCTCTGCTTTTTTTTCTATTCAGTCCCTGAACAGATTAAATGGTGCCCACACACACTGGGGAGGAGACTATTTTACTGAGTCTACCGATTCAAATGCTAATCTCATTCAGAAACACCCTCACAGACACACCCAGAAACAATGTGTAATCTGGGCACCCTGTGACCTACTCAAATTGACACATACAATTAACCACCACAAAGTCCCTTATTGCAATTTGTTGGATAATCTAAATCTCTTTTAATCTTTAGATTTTTCTCTTTGTCCTTCTCTCTATCTCTTGCTTTTCTTTGCAATTTGTTTGTTAAAGGAACCACATTGTTTGCCCTATAGAATTTTCTCCAGGCTGTTTTGTTTATTACATCCCTATTGTGTTATTTGACATTTTAAATATTTAATTAAACTTTATTTAATATCTTGCAAAATTGTAAGTATTTGCACTGTTAGCATTCAACATCAAATTAGTTGCCAATATCAAGAATTGGTGTGTGTGTATGCATACATATTTAAGAGTAAAATAAATTGCTTAATATTGCAGAATTTTCCTCAGCCACTGTGTGTAACTTTTGCATTTACCGGGTGAATTCACTAGTATTTCCCAGAACCGCAATTGGAACCTGAAGAGAAGCAACAAAAGAGATGCGTGACCCTATTGGGAAACTATACTTTGTTATGCAAGAAGCTATTGTATTCATGCTGAGAGGAAGATTTCACAAGTTATTTGGTTTGTCTTTTACTTAAACTCCATCTCCATACCCCAAGTCCTCCTTGCATTCTGGGGCATTTTGTGTTTCTGATGCCAGGAGCAGCATAACACACAAAGCTTTACAACCTTCTGGTCCGTATGTGTCCCCCAGAAATTTGTATGTTGAAATAATAACCCTCAAGGTGATTGTATTGTGGAGTGGGACTTTAGGGAGGTGGTTAGGTCATGAAGGTAGAACCTTTGATGGGATCAGTGACTTACGAAAGAGGCTTTAGAGAGTTTATTCACCCTTTCCACCATATGAAATTACAGTGAGAAGACAGCCATCTATGAGGAAGCAGACACTCACCAGACACCAAATCTTGGGGCCAGCATCTTGCTCTTGGGCTTCCCAGCCTCCAGAACTGTGAAAAATAAATTTTTGTTAATTATAAGCCACCTACTTTATAGTATGTTTTTTATAGCAGCCCAAATGGACTAAGACAAGGACATCAGGTAACGAATGGCAGAAGCATTTCCCTGGCACCTGAATGACACTGGCCATGCAAGCAGATATTAGGACTTATAGATTGTGTGCTGCTAGTACTCAGTGTTGGATTCCAAATAGACGGGCCTGTGTATGCCCATTTTGTGTGTATGTGTGGATGTGGATGTGTGTATTTGTGATATTTGATACCCATTAATGTGCAGGACCCAAGGCAGGGGCTTTCCTCCGTGACTGGGTCTAGTAGTTCTGTCTCCTGGGGTGGGACAGTGTTTTACAAGCCTCAGTCATTTGAGTTACTACCTTCATGATTTTTACCATTGCTCCATATCACTTGTTCTGTTACCTACTCTATTAGTTTTCTATTGCTGTATGACAAATTACTACAAACTTAGCTCAGCTTAGCTGGATTCTTTGCTCAGAGTCTCACAAAGCTGAAATCAAGGAGTCACAAGATGTCAGTGTCTCATCTGGAGGCAGTTGTTCTCTTCTAAGCTCATTTACGTTGTTGAAAGAATTCGGTTTTTTACAGTTGTAGGACTGAGGATTCTGCTTTCTTGCTAGCTGTCAACTGACAGCAAGTCCCCCTAATCTACTATGACATTGTTTTACATGACATAATTTAATCATGGCAGTGACTATTCCATTATATTCAGTTTCCTCCCATACTCAAGGGAGGACATTTATGTACCGGGGGTGGGTATCTTTGGGGCTATTTGAGAATTCTGCCTACCACATTTATATAACATGTTTCTTTAAATCAACTCACTTTTAAAGTTTAAATACATTTGTGAAAAGTATATATCATGGATTTGATGTGCTAAGAGTGTGTGTGTTTGTATTTGTATATGTCTTTTTCTTTTATTTATTTATTTATTTTTAGACAAAGTCTTGTTCTGTTGCCCTGGCTGGAGTGCAGTGGTGCCATCTTGACTCACTACAACCTCTGTCTCCCAGACTCAAGAGATTCTCATGCCTCAGCCCCCTGAGTAGCTAGGATTACAGGCAGGCACCACCATGCCCAGCTAATTTATTGTGTTTTTAGCAGAGACAAGGTTTTGCCATGTTGGCCAGGCTGGTCTCAAACTCCTGGCCTCAAGTGATGTGCTCGCCTCGGACTCCCAAAGTTCTGGGATTAGAGGATTGAGCCACCGTGCTTGGCCATGTCTTTTTCTTTATGGACACACACAGTAAAATAAATATATAACCAATAAGATAAAAAGTATTTATCAGCATATCTCCTAAAATTATCTTGCCTCCCCAGGGCTCATGTACCACACTGGGAAACAATGTTCCTGGGAATAACATTTAAAACTATTTGTTGAATGCCTGGTGATTAAAATAGCTATAGATTAAAGAGCTTTGTTTTCATTGAAATCAAATAGTTTATATTTCTATGACTACATTAATTTTATTTCTCTCCAAAATTATACAAATTGTATATGAGCATTCATCGAAGCAAGTCATTTTCTTAACTGTGGAAAAGACTGTGACTTGGAGGTAACCTGGTGCCCATAAATACATGGAAGCTTCTGTCTTTTATGACTTTGAGATCAAAATGAAAGAGTCTGGTAAGCCAGATATTTCCTTACGTGTTTTCAGTATTTACTGTAGTGTCATTTATTTCAAAAAGGCATAAACCAGTTAAGTTCCACATTATCATAAAGAGGCAAAGATAAGACAGAAACATCCATTTATTTTTCCGAAGAGAAAGTAAAACTTTAGTGATGATAGGTGTATCTCTGAGGAATTGACTAGTCTCTTTCTTATATAATCTCTGTGGCCCTGAGACACTTCTGATCACAAGAAATCTATTGGTCTGATCGTTTTCATGCTCCAGCTCCTAGTCCTGGCCTGAAAGCCTTTGGATTCACATAAAATCAACAGATAAACTTGTTTGGAAAGAAGCCACATCTCTCTGTTTGGACAGCTCTGTAGATTTACTGTGGCTCACTTATCTGATTGCTGATTGGAGAACCTCTGATTTTTAAATGTTTGCCTGGTTTTGTCCCATGATAAACCAGATGATGACTACTGGAGGAAAAAAATCCTCCATCTCAAACTGACCTGTTACATTCTCTTTGGCTTTGAACATTTTTCCACCCAGACATAAGTCCTCTTGGCCACGTAGTCCCACCGTCCTACCAACTGGAGGTTCACCCTTGATTTAAGCCAGTAACTGCCTGTACGTTCAACAGAGATGATAGGAAGGAGGCCAGTGTCTCAGGCCTAAGGCATCTGAAGCTGTATTGGAGAGTTATCGTCCCTCTGGTGGTCTGTTTCCTCCCAGCTGGTATAGTAATCCTTCCAATCCATAACAATCTCCACATTTTCTCAACTGGTAGACTGCATATTGCCTAAAATACTCCTTTCAGGGATACTGGCCTTTCTTTGTTAATTAATTCTAGTAATCACTCCTTATTATTGCATATGCATTTTGAGTTTTTGAATAAAGTGACCATTTCTTGCATTTTTTTCTAGCTTCTTTCAATGTCCAGAACAAACAGATTATGAAATATTTGTTGAGTGAATAATTGCTCAGTTTCCTCAGTAGCCAGTAGATAGTTATGGTTGAGAGGTAGGGAAGGCTCATGGCACAGTACAATCTTTGGCTCAGGAATGTTACCAAATACTCAGCACCCTTTGTACCAAGAGGTACTTAGCACCAAGCACCCTACTGTTTTCCACACTGTGCTAGCTTTGCTCTTACCTCAGGCTGGATTCCCGTGGGGTTCCAAGATGACTACAGCAGTTCCAGTCATCATTCTCAGATATCAGAAAGCCAAGAGGAGAAAAGACCATTATTCATTATGTGCCTCCCAGCAGACATCCCCTGTCTTGTTGACCTGCATTTCATCAGGTACCCATGTCTAAAGCAAACCTTGGAGAGGGGAATAATGCTATTAATGTCATGGCTTAAATTAATTAGGCAACATGCCTAGAGCTGAGATGGGGGGACAGTCTCTTGACTTCTTCAGGGAAGGGGTTGATTGGATTCCTGATAAAGGAAGTGGGAAAATACCAAAAGCTTCTTCTACTGCCATTTCATTAAATGAGAAAAGTTAAACAAAAAAGGAGGTAATTTGCTCAAGGAGGTCACAAGGCTGATCAGTGGGATCCAAATCTAGAATGCAAAATTGCCAGAATGAATCTTAAAGATCATTTGGTTCCTCCTCCTCAGTTCACAATTTGGGAACCTGTGGGCCAGAATGTTTTATCACTTGCTCAATATCATAGGTATCTAATTAGTAGCAGAGGCATGACAGAACTCAGTTCAGCTGCATCTCAGTCCTGTTCTCTTTCCATTACTACACTGCGGTTCCATTCGTGTGAATTTCTATCTACCCTATGTGTAATTATGCAAATGAAACCTGCTAAAGCACTGCCTAGCACATAGCAGGTTCTAATATTTATTTGTCGATTGAATAAGTGTTCCAATTAGTTCCAAGATGCTTCCTGTAACTGCAGTTCTGTGGTCTATACATTTTCCCAGTTCTCTCCCCATTCTGTTATCATTTTGAGACTTTACATAGATACGGACTAGGCAAAGGAAAAAGGAAACAGCATGTCCTGTGTGGGGAAGCACTTTATAAAGATGATATTTAAGTAATACAGACATTAATTATTATGCAATGGAGAATGCAAATTCAATGAAAGGGAGCAGGATAATGGTAGTTTTTCCTAGGTTTTCACTTATGTCAGCCTGGAAAAAGTTGAGAAGTGCTGTATTAAGCTAATAGCCTGCACAAGCTTTTTCAGGATAAAGATATAATTAGCTATTAAACCATCAAAGAGTTGTTTATGAAAATAAATAAAACAGCAGCATGTCGCCTGTTTTCCATTAATATTGGAGGTTTAATCATCATAGAAATATTTTGGTAGAATTATTTGAATCTTCTACATCAAAATAAATGTATTTTATTCTCTTCTGATTTCATTACTGTCCATGAAGGCATTATTTTCTTGGCTTTTGTACGCTAGGTTTACTATGGCTTCTATTCCTGTTAATACCTTTATCTGGCTATATTAATTTTCTAAAGCCACTTGTTTTTGATTGAAGTGAGACATACATACATATATGTGTATATAAGGACATATAGTTTGTTATATAGCTCAATAAATTATTTAAAAAGTGAACATATGTGTAACTGCCACCCAGACTATTATGTTTAGATCACAGGAGCCCACCTAGTACCCTTCCCATTCAGTAGGCCCTGGTCAAAATTAATCACTATTCTGATGTCTAACTCCATAAATTAGTTTTTACTGTTTTTTGAACTCTGTATAAATGGAATCATGCAGTAAGCGCTCTTTCCTGCCTTGTTCCTTTGCTCATGATTATGGGTGTAAGATCTTTCCACATTGTTGTATGTTGTCACAGTTTTTCTATTTGTGTTGGTTTTATGGTGTTCCATTCCATGTCAGACAGAGAGATGCAAAGGTCAACCTGGAAGAGTGGGCTGACAGCCCCTAGCTACAGCGTTTTGGGATCCACTGAAGCAGCAGCAAGTTGTGGACATACTGTCTGTGGGCAGCATCCAGCCAATGACTGGGATACGAAGGTCTTGAGTATTTCTGCTCGATGTGGCACTCCTCCATGGACATATTTGCACTGGGGCTCCCCTTTGAACTGGCTGAGACGTTGTCAGAGCTACATCATCATCTGAGGCTCCTCTCTACCCAATCCTCCTTTCTTCCCCCTCTCTTTCACAAATGTCAGACCTGCTTTGCAGTTTGAAGCCTTACCCTGCCCTCTCCTGCCCCATTTATTTCACAGGCATTACTCTCAATAAATCTCTTGTACCCTTAACTCTTTCCATCATTTGCTTACCAGAGGATATGAAAAGATACACATTATGCAATTGTAACATAACTTCTTTATCTGTTCTCCTTTTTTTTTTTTTTTGAGACATTCTGTTCCCTAGGCTGGAGTGCAGTGGAGTGATCACGGCCCACTGCAGCTTTGACCTCCTGGGCTCAAGCTATTCTCCCAACTCAGCCTCCCAAGTAGCTGGGATTATAGGTGTGAGCCACCACACCTGGCTAAATATAAAAAAAATTTGTAAAGACGGAGTCTTCCTATGTTTCCCAGGTTGGTCTCAAACTCCTGGGCTCAAGGGATCCTCCTGCCTCAGGCTCTCAAAGTGTTGAGATTACAGGTGTGAGCCGTCATGCCCTGTTCTACTGTTGATGAGCACTTTATTTCCAGTCTTGGGGCACTCTGGAAAGTACTGCAATAAACATTCTTGTACATGTATGTAGGTGCACATTTGCATGCATATCAGTGTGAAATAATTGGTTACAGGTTATGTGTATGTCAGCTTTAGTAGATCTTGTCAGAGTTTAACTAAATGATTTTACCAGTCTACATTATCACCAATACGATATGAAATTTCCACTTGCTCCCTATACTTTCTTACACTTGGTGTTGTTGGTTTTAACATTTCTAGCCATTTAGTTTCTCTGAGGTCTAATAATATTGAACATGTTTTAATATGTTTATTGGTCATTTGTCTATTCTTTTATGTGAAATGTCTATTTATATGTGACTATTTTTCTATTTATCTGTCTATATTTTGCTTCTTGATTTGCGGGAGTTCTTTATGTATTCTGGCTATGAATCCAGAGTATCTTTCCCTACTCTGTATGATGCTTTAATACCCTCTTAATAATGATTTTGATATATAGATGTTCTTAATTTTAATATAGGATGATTTATCAATTATTATCTCCTTTTTTAGAGCTCTTTTGAATGTTTATTAAATCTTTGTTTTTTCCCAAAGGCCATAAAAATTGTTGTCAATATTTTCTTCCAGAAAATTTTATTGTTTTAGTTTTCACATTTTAGGTTTACAATCTACCTGCAGTTGGTTTTTGTTTCTAATGTATCTGAGGGATTATGATTTATTTAAAAAATATGTAGACATCCATTAAATTTAGCATTATTTATTAAGAAGACCATCCTTTCTACACTGCACTGCACTGTCAACTTTGTCATAAATCATGTGGTCTTTTCCTTTACTTTCTGCTTTGTTCCATTAATCTATTTGTATATCCTTGCCTTAATATGGTGCTCTTTTAATTACTTAGCTTTATGATAATTTTAGCTATCTAGTGATTAATTTTTCTATTTTTTTTCCTTTTAACCCATGATTGTCTTGGCTATTCTAGTATTTTCATACATATTTTATAATCAGACTATCAAGTTAGACAAACATACTGTTGGAATTTTTAACGAGATCGATTGAATCCATACATCAATGTGGAAAAACTGACATCTTACCATGTTACCATTGAGTTCTCCAATTCATGGGTATAGATGACCCTTCATTAATGTGGAGACTCTTTAAGTATCTCAATAATGTTTTGTGATTTCTATTTAGACTGTTTTCATAGGATATGTTTGATTTATTCCTATATAGGTATTTTTGATAGCATTATAAGTTTTATTTGTACGTTTTCATTTTCTAGTTACTTGCTTCTAGTGTACAGAAATGAACTTAATTTTGATGTTGATCTTGTATGCAACAAATTTACTAAAGATACATGAAGTTAATTAGATTCTTTATGATTTTTCTATGTATGTATTTATGTTATCTGCAAATAATAGACCTCTTACTGTTTTATTTCAGATCTTTATACTTCTTTTCTTTTTTTATTGCATTAGCGAAAACACTCATTACAATGTTGAATAAAAGTGACTGCAGGCATTCTTGTTTCCTTCTTGATCTTGGGAGTGACAAGGGGAGGGCTTAATGTTTTACCATAAGCTTTTGTTTTTTAGGTAAATATTCTTTTTTAGATTAAAAATTTGTACACTTGTCTAAAAGTTTTTTTTTACTATGAACTTATATTAAATTGTATGAAACACTTTTCTGCATCTATTGAGAGGCTTTCTTGTTTATCTTGCTAATATAGTGAATTGATTTTTTTTTAACGTTAACTTATCCTCCTCTTCTTTCTCTGGAATAAATCCCACTTACTAATGTTGTGTTATTCATATTATATTTTTGCTGTGTACAATTGATTAATATTTGCTTAAAATTGCTGTGTCCAAATTTGGATTTTTCTTTCTCATAATGTCCTTATCAGGTTTTTGTATTAAGGTTATTCCTACCTCATAGAATAAATTGTAAGATTTTTTATTTGTTTATTTTTTATTTATTTATTTATTTATTTATTTAGAGACAGACTCTCAGTTCTGTCACCCAGCCTGGAATGCAGTGGTATGATCTCTGCTCACTGCAACGTATGCCTCCTGGGTTCAAGCAATTCTTGTGTCTCAGCCTCCCAAGTAGCTGGGATTACAGGCATGCACCACCACACCTGGCTAATTTTTGTATTTTTAGTAGAGTTGAGGTTTCACCCATGTTGGCCAGGCTGGTCTCAAACTCCTGGTCTCAAGCAGTCTGCCTGCTTCGACCTCCCAAAGTTCTGGGATTACAGGTGTGAGCCACCATGCCCGGCCTTATTTGTTAATCTTTTTATATTCTCTGAAAGAGTTTGTTTAATATTTGTTCTTCAACTATGTAGAAGGTTTCACCAATGAAGCCATCAAGGCCTGTAATATACTTTATGTATAGAATTTACATTATAAAATAAGCTTCCTTAATTAATATGGGCTATTCAGATTTTTAATTTTTTTGTGTCAGTTTCATTAAGTAAACAAAAGTTTTCACTGCATATTTACACTTTGACATCTAAGATGTCAAATTTTTGGCATGAAGTGGGTAACAGTACTCTCTTTCTGTTTTTTTAATTCCTGCAGAAACTGTAGCGGTGTTCTCTTTTATGTCCTGGTGTTATTTGTGCCTTCTGTCTCTTTTTATTTTTTCTTGTTCTATATTGCTAGTGATTTATCAGTTTTATTAACAGTTTTGAAAGAAACCTCCTCTGTTTTGTTCTATTGTATGTTTGCTTTCTATTTTATTGACTTCTGCTCTTATCCTCCTTCCCTTTATTTACTTTGAGAATCTGTTATGTTCATGTTCTTTTCCTTGAGTGGGAACCTTAAATCATTGTTTTCACATACATATAAGTTTATTACATGTGAATATTTCATATATTGTGTATGCAGTATGTGTATGTATTTAAACTATCATTTTCTAAGAATTGCTTTTCCTTCACCTACAAATTTACATAGGTTGTGTATTCATTATTCATATTAAAATATTCTCTAGTTTACATTTGATTTCTTCTTTGGCCTGTTGGTTATTTAAAAGCATATTTTAAAATTTTCAAATAGTTTGGCAGTTCTTAAATTAGCTCTTTTATATTGTTTTCTACCTTAATGATATTGGGCTAACAATTTTTTTCCTTGCTGTATATGTATCCAGTACATTGAAATATGTTGAGACTTACTCTAAGTCCTCTAATATGGTCAGTTTGAGTAAATAATATATGTGCATTTGAAAATGTATATTCTACAGTTGTTCTTTGCAGTCAAATTCTTAAGTGAGCTGGCCAAATCTTTTATATGTCATAGCATTTTTATTTGTTAGTTCTCTCTTTTATCAGTTACTCTAAGAGTAACTTTTAGTTACTGAGTGAGGTATGTTTAAAACCTCCATTGTGGAAGACAGTATGGTGATTCCTCAAGGATCTAGAGCCAGAAATACAATTTGACCCAGCAATCCCATTACTGGGTATATACCCAAAGGAATATAAATTATTCTACAATGAAGACACATGTGCACGTATGTTTATTGCAGCACTATTTACTATATCAAAGACATGGAACCAGCCCAAATGCCCATCCCTGATAGGCTGGATAAAGAAAATGTAGTACATATACACGATGGAATACTATACAGCCATAAAAAGGAATGAGATTATGTCCTTTGCTGGGACATGGATGAAGCTGGAAGCCATCATCCTCAGCAAACTAACACAGGAACAGAAAACCAAACTCCGCTTGTTCTCACTCATAAGTGGGAGTCGTGGGAGTTGAACACTGAGAACACATGGACACAGAGAGGGGAACAACACATACCAGTACCTGTTGGGGGGTGGGGGTGAGGGGAGGAAACTTAGAGGATGGGTCAATAGGTGCAGCAAACCACCATGGCACACGTATACCTAGGTAACAAACCTGCACGTTCTGCACATGTATCCCGTTTTTTTAGGAAGAAATAAAAAATAAAAAAAAATTGAAAAAAAAACACTGGAAAAAAAACTCCAAAAAACAAACAAAACCCCTCCAACTATAACTGTGGATTTGCCTGTTTTCTTTATAATTCTATTAATTTGGGACTTTGGAAATATTCTTTGTTTTTAGTTTCAGCAGGTTTACTACAATACACCTAGTTGTAGTTTCCTTTGTATTTAACCTATTTGGGGTTTGTAGAGATTCGTGAGTCTGTAGTGTGATGACTTATCAGTTTTAAAATATTTTTGGTCAATATTTCTAAATACTGATTACACCCATTTTCTCTTTTCTCTTCTCTTGGGACTCCAACTACATGTGTGCTAGACGTTTTCTCCTCGGTCTGTATGTCTCTTACATTCTTTTTGGTGTTTTCCATCAAATCTTTTTCTCTATGTTTCGATCTAGATATTTTGTACTGAACTATCTCCCAGTTTACGAATTCTCTCCTCTGTTGTGTTTAATCTGCTATTAATAATAGCCCATTTACTGAGTTATTAATTTCATTAAAAATGTAATCTAATTAAAATTTCAGCTTTATTAATTTATTATTGACAATAAAATTATATATATTTATGGTATATGATATAATGCTTTGATATATGTCTACATTGTGCAATGATTATATCAAGCTAATGAACATACCCATCGTAGTTTCAGTTGTATATTTTAGTTCTAGGCTTCACATTTAATTTTTAAAGGCTTGGACAATTTATATTTTTGTAGAGAGTATTTAATTAATTGGTTAATTAATTGATTGTATTTCTTGCAGGAAGTTGGTTTATTTTCAGTTTTTCCTGAGTCCTTGGGTGCTGATATTCAGGAATTTCAATGATAAACCTGGAGTGTTAACCAGGGCCCCTTGTCCTTGGCAGGCCCTGAATGCCAATTTTTGTCTCCTCAGCTCTGTAGGAGAGCTGAAAACTCTACTTAACATTTAGTCTCTTAGTAGCTACGTTTGGCTTCGTTTATTAGCCTCTTGCTTCACAAATCTTGGGATTTATCAAATGCTGAAAGGGCAGTAGCTGCACACTGTGTTAGCCCACCTTCCCTGAGACTGTCTTTCTTTTCTGCCTCTGCTGCCTAACTCTTAGTTACCTTGGTTGTTTATTCAAAGCCTGAAATAGCTGCTGTATGATTTTATTTTGTTTTTTTATCATATGCAGCTTTTACGGTTTTCTTAAAGAGAAGTTTTATATGATAGAAGCTAGTTCTCCAGTTCTCCATCCATATGATCTTTATGGAACCAATACATAATTGTTTTTATTTGAATTGAGTATTTTATTAACACATAAAGTCTACAAAGTTGTTCAGAGGGAAAAAAAAAAAACTTTACTGTGGTGAATGCATCCTTTTTCCCCAGGTGGAGAACATCTACTCATTCATTTATTCATGTACTCATTCCACAGCAAATATTTATTAAGCATCCTTAATATGTTTACATGAAATATGAAATATGCTAGACTCTGAGGATATAGAAATAAATTTAGCTATGCTTATTGAATTTGAGGAGTATACAGCCTAGTAGATTGCATGAGTGGAGAGATTAGAAAGTAGGAAGATAACAGGTTTTACACTCAGATGAACCAGGGTTATTTATTAGTTGTGACCTTGAACAAGTTATTCAGATATTTCTGAGCTTTACTGGTGAAAATATTGAGTGCTATAAAGATTAAACACAAAGTATGTAACATGCCTTTCGCTGTGCCTGCAACATAATAAGAAATAAATAATTTATATTTCTTGTTAGTCTAGGTGGAGAGACTTATAAAGTGCAAAGTCCCTGGGACTCTTTGTGAAAGATAAAGAAAGATTTTACAGTGATTAAAATATAGAAGGGATATAGTAGATCACCAACTAAAGTAGTTGGTAAAGTAGGAGTAGTGTGTGTGAGTGAGTGTGTGTGTGTGTGTGTGCACGTGTGTGTGTGTGTGAAAGAAAGAAAGAGGCATGGGAGTGAATTTAGGAGTTAGGAAGAAGTCACTGATATCAAGGGAACTATACATGCATCTCTTTCTTTTATATCACAAATTGAGCAGTTTTATGAGTCTGGCACAATTTCATGAGGATGCAATGGTGAATAAGATAGATATGTTAGACTGACCTACTTTTAGAAAGCTTACTGATGGTGAAAGATACAGACAAGTAGGCAATTACAAACAGGATTGTGCTGTACATCTTCTTGAATAACAACTCATCCATTAGTTATTACACTTTTCTCTAAAGTGGGCCCTCCATTAGATGCCTAATTTAACTGAAGCCGGTAAGATTATGGCAGAAATTTGGGAATGTCATTCGAGAACATTTCATTTTCCACATATGGCTAGATCTGTGGCCTGCCATGTTTTTCCATATGGCTAGGGAAGCAGAGAAAGCTAGCCCACAGACTGGCAGGAAGGAAGTAGATATGCAGAAGTTAGCAAAAATGTGAGGGAGAGAGAATCCTATCAACTTTCAATTCCTGGTTCTAGTTCTTTCCTAAGGCCCGATGTCAATCCTGCCCCTTGCACTATGTAAGATAACACCATACTGGTATATTTTGCTTACATTCCCTCAAGCTGACTTTCGTATCTTGCAACCAAAGAGTCTCAGCTAATAAGTTGATGATGAATACTAAGATGGGGAAGGTATACTTTGGCAGAGTATCACATATGAAGGTCATATTATGCCACTTAATTGGTAGGACAGGGAAGAATCTTGGAGGAGTGAGGTCTAAGCTGAGATTGGAAGGATGAGCAGGAATTACCCAGGTAAGGGGAAGAAATACGATTCTCTGAGTAGAGGGGAAGACATATGTGACCTGGAGAGGAGAATGGGTGAGGAGAGTCACTGCACAAGTTCTGTCTATTGTGGTAGAGTGTTGAGAGGCTGCAAAGGAGGGAGTAGGAAGATATCAAGTCAGAGAGGTAAATGGCTTCAGATCATCTAGGGCTTAGTTTATAGGGATGAGTTTGATGTGGATCCTCAGCTCCTCATAATTCCATGAAGAGAAACTTCCCTAGAGTCACAGTCCAGGCATACTCCATCCCTTATTCACTTCTCCATGGGGACAATTGAGGTATCTGGTGGGTGAGTGGTAACGATTGTTCCACATATCTCAATCAGCTGGAGCTTCAGGTTAAGTTCTGGCATTTGGTCTCATTCTTTCCCTCTCTGCCTTCCTTTTTAACTCGCTCTTTAGAGAATATAGAATGATGTGCCAATAGAATGATGGGTAACCATTTCTAAAATGGCTGATCAAAGGAGATTTAAATACTCTTACCATGGAGTGGGAAATCCAAATGACAAACTGGTTAGGACTTTAATAAAGGATTCTATAAGGCCCATGAAGACACGTAGTATTGATTTATTCTAGACACTGCTAGGTAAAATCTGAGAAGTGAGTTAAAAGTTAGCAGTAAAACACTTGGGTTTATTTAAGTAAAATATTCTCTCTGGTGTTTTTTACCCTGTTTATAAACAACTTGAGTTATTTGGAGAAATGTGTTAAATAATTATGCAGTTACTAAATACTTCATTTTTATAATTGACACTTCTCTTAGGTTGGTATTAAAGAGTGTGACTTTTATTTTAGTAATTTTGCATGTGGGAAAAGCAGACTTGTGTGGTACATTGCTATTTCTCCTAGGCTCTATAGCGATACTCCTGGAACAGAATTGCAATGCCAGTGAGTGTTGGAGACTGTTTCCCCATTTCTTCCTTCTTTTCTAAAAAGAGGGGTCATATTTATCCATCAATTACAGACCTTTCCCTTTATACTGCTTAATCAGAGGCAGGATAAGACTGGATCTGGTGTATTTCCTTTCTGTCCTATCTTAGAACTCTGCATATTTGACTAGACTCACACTCAGACGATCCATCAGTCATTCCAGATGGCTTTATTGCTTGTCCCAGGGTAATACCAGTTTATCTAGAGCAGCCACGTTCTCTCCAATCAACATCTAATGTCAAGTGACAGCTAGCCTGAGAAGGATTTGGAGGATGATAAATCAAACGGAAAAATCAATGAAGTCAGAGAATAAGGAATCTATGTAATAATCATACAGGCTCATGGGAATGGTAAGAGATATATTCAGAGTATCCCAACCATGTGAGACTAGAAGCCTATGGAACCTGTGCATTTTGGGGTGGTGGTGGTGGTGGTGAACTGTGCATTTGGCAGGGGGTGAGATCTGGTTGCCTTTAATGCTGGGATTACAGGTGCGTGTCACTTTTTAAAGTACTCTCTAATAAATGCTGGGTTAAGTATTTTTCCTGGTTTATCTTATTTAATATAAGCAAACTTATGAGCTAGATGCTACCATTGGCTCCAGTCATTGATGGTCCCACAGAATAAAAAATAATGGAGGAAGACTTGTGACCACTGCTCTGTGTGATTTCATGTTCCATGACCTTAACCATGATGATGCACTACCCTGTCCCTATGGGATGACTACTTTAATATGCCTTTTTCCTTTAGTAGCTTGACTTTACCCCACCTATCTGTTGATTTGGGCTAGATGAACATTGTTTACCTTGCAACTTTCTCAAATTCCAGCCTGGTTACGCTTGATAATAATACCTTCTTATTTCCTAGTATTCTCATGATCTGGATACCAGCCCTGCCTATGTAACGTCAGGTATGAACGAACGTGGTTCGGCATCAATTCCCAGAGAGCAAGCCAGCAGAGCGCCTCAGCGTTGCTCTCTGTGCTCCCTGCTCGGCTGTGACTCCTGACACTTTTCTTGCTTAAGAAAACAGCGTTAACATTATCCACATTTGCTTTTGGCTTTCGCTACCAAGCAGCCTGGCACCAACCCCCAGCCACACCACAGCAGACTCTCTGCCGGACTGTTCCTAACGTCAGCTCTTTCTGCCCCTTGTGACTTCTTCCCACTCCCACACCAGGGTGGGGCTTTAGCACTGTAACAGACTGGAGGCCCTTTGGAAGGGCCCAGTAGTGAGAGGAGTGAAGAGCAGCTGCAAGGAATGCGTGAACTATCAGTCCTTCGTCCCTTCCTCTAGTTACATTTCAACATCTTGGCTGAAATGAAATTTGAAATGCAAAAGGTTTAAAGAACATTTCTCAAACCCACAATTTCCCAGCAGCTTGAAAACCTCTTAAAACATTACCTTCAATCTGCTGCTGGTGATGAGTGGATGTTGAGTACTTATGTGAACGATGTCATGCTGCTTAGTCATGAGATGCCTTCCACATCTCCCGGGCTCACCCACAAGCGAGCATTCAAACCAGTGAGGCTCCCTTTGGTTTCTGGGAAGAACAATCCAACTCTGAGAAAGCTGATACCTATGGTGTCTCTGCTGAGGAATAATTCCCTAAATGCATAAAGGATGCTCATCTAAATAAGGAAATGGAGACTTAGATTAGAGGGTGCAAGAATAAAGAGAGGATTTATCCTGCAAACAAAAGGAAGGAGAACTCTTTCCACTCTCCCTCCTTTGGGGTAGGCTTTGAGGTTGATATCTTAGTTGTGACCTATCTTTGGCAACATCGTCATTCTTATTTAGGGTGAATGAGGCTCCTGTGAGGGCTTCAGTGGGAGTCCCGTTGTCAATTCTGCATTAAAGAAGCATTAAAATAAAGTGTTACTGTAAGAAGCTCTGTCTGCTAGACAGTTCTCAGAAGAGCTTTGTGCCTCTTCTGAGAGCTGCTTGCTTTTTCTTTCCATTTTCAGGAGGGGAAAAAAATGTTCCTAATGAACCAAACCTTTTTAATTGATTATAAAAACAGAGGAGAACATAGCAGTGGGAATTGTTGGCAAGGCTTTATAGCATGTGGCGAATCACTGCATATTCATTTGTCTCTCATTGGCCAAGATGAATCCTCTTTTGGTATTAAAGCAAATGTGCTGTGAAGTTGCAGAGGACAGGGTTTAACAACTTTTCCTGGCTTGAGGCCTGGGTAATTTTTTTTTGGTGGAGTGGTAGGAGGGCCAGGAAGCGGCGGGGGCAAGGAGCCGAGTGGGGAGCAGTGAAGTGGGGGAGTGTTTTAGGGAAGGCAAGGAGCTGCGTAGCACTGAGATAGTCTCTGAAGTAGCTGAGAAGAATGGCTTCCTTCGTGTAGGTGGGAGGTGGGAGAGCTGCATTACAATGTGGAAACTGCAGGAATAGTCTGACTGCAGAGTGGCCATACTTGGCATAGAACACAATTACCTTGAAAGTCCAGGAAATGGGGCTGAAATGAATTCTTTTATGACAGAAGAGAGGACATAGTTCATCTGACTTCAGCTTCTTTTCACTGTGTCTCGAGGAGTGGGAAGGGAACATGGCTATGTCGTATGTAAACTAAGAGAGCGGGTTCTGCTTTCTCATCCTCCATTCCTGCTCCCTGACTCAGGCTCTTATAACCACTCATCTTCCTTCTCTTCTATCATTGTGTTCCTCACATCCCCTGCACCATGTCTGCCTTCTTCTCCAGTCCACTTGGACTCAGGTTATTCAGTTTGTTTAAAGAGTCAGTTTCTTCCCGCCTCAGGACCTTAGCACATGCTATTCCTTTCACCTGAGTGCCCTTCTCCAACCCCCTGCTTCTCTCCACATGGGCCTGGCTGACTCTACTCATCCTTCAAGCCACAACTGAACAGTATCTCATCAAGGAAGCCTTTTGGGAACACCCTGACCAGCATGGGCCCCCCTGTTAGGGATTCTTTACACAAGGTACTTTTCTTTTGTAGCAAGTATTGCAACTGTGATTACATAATTGCTTGCGGTAATCAGCATGATATGAATGTTTCTGGCAGATCTTTAGGAGATATTAATAAAAAATTGACAAATTGTTTGTTTTCATTTATACCTTTCATCATGAAATATTTACAACATTTTTAGAGATAACGGTGATTTCAATAATTGTGATTGTTGACACAGCAGCATAGAGTACTCCCTGCCTGATTCCAGAAAGGATTAGAAAAGTTTATCAATCAGATGTTTGTCCTTGTGAGAGATTCAGAAGCTCATAGAGTTCTACAAACTCTTTCCTAAATTGCATCAAGTTCCAAATAGATGATGCGTGTTTAACAGTGCATATGGTAAACATTTTAAGAAATATTTCAAAAGGCTTAAATGAGCATGTGCTTAAACTCTTCACTAATTCTTATTTTGTCACTTGTTACTTCTGAATCAGCAGGCAAATTTCCCCCAGTCACTGAAAGTTTGTTCTTTGGATGGAGTGACCAAAGAAAAATCATGACCAGTTGAACCTCAGGGACATGTATGATAAACACTATGTTCAGAGGAAAAACTTTTATCTGAATAGTCTAAGACTGGCAGTTGGTTAATCACGTCTTTTAAAGCAGTAGATTGGGAGGGGAGAGGGTGGATAAAACATACATTTAAATGTTTTATTTTAAGTCAGAACATAAATATACATCTATTTTTCAATCTTATGATGTAGACCTAGTCCTTTACTTTCTTTTTCTCTTCTTTTTTTTTGAAATGGAGCCTCGCCCTGTCACCCAGGGTGGAGTGCAGTGGTGTGATCTCAGCTCACTGCAACTTCTGCCGTCTGGGTTCAAGCAATTCTCGGGCCTCAGCCTCCCGAGTAGCTGGGATTACAGGTACACACCACCACCACCACGCCTGGCTAATTTTTTTATTTTTAGTAGAGATGGGGTTCCATCATATTGGCCAGTCTGGTCTCAAACTCCTGACCTCAAGTGATAGGCCCACCTCAGCCTCCCAAAGTGCTGGGATTATAGGCGTGAGCCACCACGCCCAGCCCCATTCCCTTACTTTCTGTTTGATGTTCACTGACTAAAGTCTTCCATCATCTTTCTTGTATCTATCACACTCAAAATGCAGTATCTACAGTTTCCAGTTTTTTAAAAGAGAACTAAAAGACATTTGAGTGTCACTTTGAAGGCAGAATCCTTTCTAGTTTGTATTTGTCTCCTGAGTCTTTTACAGTTGCTTCGCCCACATTGAGTTTAATGGCCTCTTTTAGTCGCTTGTCTTGATTGCGTCTTTCTGTAGCATTCATATAGTTTTCATGGAAACAACTCTTTTCACACTCATATATAATTTGCGTAACATGTATCTAAACTATTTAATTACAATAAATTATACAACTGGCATTGACGGGCTTGGGAGTAAACACAACTGAGTCTTGGAAAGCAGGGAAGAGGAACAGGAGTGGGGGTCTTGGCAGAGTGCTCAGTGGCTGTGAGCATCCGTCAGGAAGTTTACAGAATGAAGGCGGAGTGTCGTTTAATCTCTCAAACTGTTAAGTAGCAGTTAAAAGAATTTCTTCTATGTCTAAATGTGTTTAATATTTGATTAACGTGAATCTCCTTTGCCAGATAGAAAGTTCCAAGGAGCCAAGGACAGTTCCTATGTATAGGAGGTGTATTAGCCTGTTCTGACACTGCTATAAAGAACTACCTGAGACTGGGTAATTAATGAAGAAAAGAGGTTTAATTGACTCACAGTTCCACAGGCTGTACAGGAAGCATGACTTGGAGGGCTCAGGAAACTTACAATCATGGCAGAAGAAAAAGGGGAAGCAAGCGCCTTCTTCCCATGGTGGCAGGAGAGAGGGAGAAGAGGGTAGTGCCACACACTTTTAGATCATCAGATCTCATGAAAACTCACTCACTGTCCTGAGAACAGCAAGGGGTGAACTGACCCCATGATCCAATCACACCCCACCAGTACCCTCCTCCAATTTGCATGAGATTTGGCAGCAACACAAATCCAAACCATATCAGGAAGTGCCCAGTAATCACTTGTTGAGTGAATGAATGGTCTCCTAAGTGCAAAGTTCACTCTCCACTTGTGCTTTTGCTGAACGTTTTCTTTTTTTTTTTTTTTAATTGATCATTCTTGGGTGTTTCTCGCAGAGGGGGATTTGGCAGGGTCACAGGACAATAGCGGAGGGAAGGTCAGCAGATAAACAAGTGAACAAAGGTCTCTGGTTTTCCTAGGCAGAGGACCCTGCGGCCTTCCGCAGTGTTTGTGTCCCTGGGTACTTGAGATTAGGGAGTGGTGATGACTCTTAAGGAGCATGCTGCCTTCAAGCATCTGTTTAACAAAGCACATCTTGCACTGCCCTTAATCCATTCAACCCTGAGTGGATACAGCACATGTTTCAGACAGCACAGGGTTGGGGGTAAGGTCACAGATCAACAGGATCCCAAGGCAGAAGAATTTTTCTTAGTACAGAACAAAATGAAAAGTCTCCCATGTCTACCTCTTTCCACACAGACAAGGCAACCATCCGATTTCTCAATCTTTTCCCCACCCTTCCCCCCTTTCTATTCCACAAAACCGCCATTGTCATCATGGCCCGTTCTCAATGAGCTGTTGGGTACACCTCCCAGACGGGGTGGTGGCCGGGCAGAGGGGCTCCTCACTTCCCAGTAGGGGCGGCCGGGCAGAGGCGCCCTCACCTCCTGGACAGGGCGGCTGGCCGGGCGGGGGGCTGACCCCCAACCTCCCTCCCGGACGGGAGGCTGGCCGGGTGGGGGGCTGACCCCACCTCCCTCCCGGACGAGGTGGCTGCCGGGCGGAGATGCTCCTCACTTCCCAGACGGGGTGGCTGCTGGGCGGAGGGGGTTCTCACTTAGACGTCAGGGCTGCCGGGCGGAGGGGCTCCTCACTTCTCAGATGGGGCGGTTGCCGGGCGGAGGGGCTCCTCACTTCTCAGACGGGGGCGGTTGCCAGGCAGAGGGTCTCCTCACTTCTCAGACGGGGCGGCCGGGCAGAGACGCTCCTCACATCCCGGACGGGGCAGCGGGGCAGAGGTGCTCCCCACATCTCAGACGATGGGCGGCCGGGCAGAGACGCTCCTCACTTCCCAGATGGGATGGCGGCCGGCTGGGAAGAGGCGCTCCTCACTTTCCAGACTGGGCAGCCAGGCAGAGGGGCTCCTCACATCCCAGACGATGGGCGGCCGGGCAGAGACGCTCCTCCCTTCCCAGACGGGGTGGCGGCCGGGCAGAGGCTGCAATCTCGGCACTTTGGGAGGCCAAGGCAGGCTGCTGGGAGGTGGAGGTTGTAGCGAACCGAGATCACGCCACTGCACTCCAGCCTAGGCACCATTGAGCACTGAGTGAACGAGACTCCGTCTGCAATCCCGGCACCTCGGGAGGCCGAGGGTGGCGGATCACTCGCGGGTAGGAGCTGGAGACCAGCCCAGCCAACACAGCGAAACCCCGTCTCCACCAAAAAAATACGAAAACCAGTCAGGCATGGCGGCACGCGCCTGCAATCGCAGGCAGTCGGCAGGCTGAGGCAGGAGAATCAGGCAGCAGTACCGTCCAGCTTCGGCTTGGCATCAGAGGGAGACCGTGGAAAGAGAGGGAGAGGGAGACCGTGGGGAGAGGGAGAGGGAGAGGGAGAGGGAGAGGGCTGAACATTTTCATCAGGCATTTCCTGCCCTCAACAATTTTTCAAAAACCAACTTTACCATTTGATTGACTGATTCATTGATAAGATCCAGAACCATAGGAGCAGCAGTGATATCCTCAAGTTTAGGCAAGAAACTTTAGCTTTTCTTTCTCCACTAAGAGGACTAACTGTTACGGATTGTCTGTCAACCCAGAGATTTTCATTTTCAACAAAAGTATCAAATAGTCCCTCGTACTAACAACTATAGCATAACATGACAAACAAAAATGTAATCACATTTAAAGTCACAAAAATGTTGACGTGGGAGGTAGATATTTATAGTAGAACTAGAAATCAAACCTGAATCAAAACTAGAGGGATTTTATAAGGCTTGATCATTTAAGTTTTTATGCAGCTCTAAATACTGATATCAGAGGAATAATTCTGGATGCACATGTTTGAACCTATAAGCAGATATTTTATAAGAATCCAATGCTTGACAAACGCCTTGGCAGTGTTGAGGGGCTATGATTGCTACAGATGAATAAGGCATGGTCCCTTTCTTTGAGAAAATTATCATCCAGTAGACCCGACTGGTTGAAATATAATCTTTTTATAAGGCACAGTGAAGAAAATATACTATGATGAAGGAGCATTGAAAAAAGAGAAATTCTATTCTACTGTAGAGACTAAAAAAAGAGATTTCTGAAGCTATACAATGGTTACCAACAGAAGAAGGCACACTTAACCTGCTTTGGAATATTGCCTAGGGATGTTGGCTTCGGTGGAAACAGTTGTCTAGGACATAGGAAAGAGAAAACCCAACAACTTGGAGGCTCTGTTTCTCCTTCCATCCCTGCCCTTTGTCAAGACTAGAGTCTAATTTCTCTTAGTAAAGAAAATAATAATATCAAGAAAATCAAATTCTGCTCCAAAGGTCAGCAGTTCCTCCTGATTAGCAGTAATGGCTGAAGTGTGGACAGATGGGTGGTAGGAGGCTTCTAGGCAGAAGCAGCAAATGAAAAACTGGAGGCTTCAAAATCTGCCATAACTTCATGGGTACAGTCATTTCTTGAGGCCCATGGATTTTTCCAGGCCATCTGTGGAAATGACATTCACTCTGCCTCCTTCCCCACGGTCCGAGGGCGTGTGCTGGGGACAGATAATACCAGGTTCCACCCTTCTGTGTGGTGACAAGTGTATTTTCCAGAATCTCATGAAAAATGTCAGGGAGGTGTGTGATGGAAAAAAATGAATATAGCAAGAGTTCCTATTGAACAATAGGAAAAGAAGAATTTATGCTGGATGGCTAGTGGCAGAAACTGTCTTCATAATTTCAGAGTGAATGCTGGTGATGATGAAGAAGTTGGGTTGTGTGATTGAAACTGGGAGTTTGACTGTGATGTTGATTTTGATTGCAGATTATTAACAAATGTCTTCCATGTGACTTTCCAAAGATCTCTGAGTGTAGTAAGGAGACAAATTAAGACTCTCCCTTTACTTACTGTTTCCAACTCCCTTCTTAATTCTCTGCCACTCAGTTACTTACAAAACTTAGTTGGTGAACTAAGTGAGCACCTTAGCTTTTAGGAAGAATAAACATTTTTTTTTTTTGAGTTGCTGATATAGACCCTATCTGTGGCTATGAGGTGTTGCTTTAGAATATCTTCTAGGATCATGAAGGAATCTTCAAGAATGTAAGTGGTGTAAACTGGGTAGTAGAAGAGTTGATTGCTGTGATGGGGTCATGGTTTCCTGTAGGAATAGTGCTGATCAGGCAGCAATGGTTAATTGTTTTGGGTCCATAGATGTTGACCAAACACCAACCTTCAAATAGTAAGATTTATCAAAATTCTTCAAATGAAGTTCTCATAGGTTGGTAAATTGCCAGAACACCGAGGCAAATTTACCTTGACATTTAAGAGTGATCAAATTTTTATGAAGTACCTAGAGGAAAATTTCAAGGAACCACAAACCTCAGGTTTATTAATATTTCAATTCCAGAAAACTATGCCTATACTTCTGATTAACTAATGGCCATGTGGCCACTGAAAAGGCCCTAATAAAATGGCATTTTCTTTTGTATAAACAGACAAACAAATTACACATGTATTCTAAATATGCTGTGCTATCACGAAGCTGGCAAGGTTCTTCTTTGGTGCTTTATGCACTTCTCTTTCAAATGTGGCCCCCCTTCTCTTGCCTCTTTAGGCATTCAGAATTCTCAAGACTTGCCATCTCTGCTCCTTCTACCTGCACTTCCTCCTCTCAAAGATTGCTCTTATAAAAGGATCTGATGTTATGTATATCCTGATGCAAATTTATTAGTGTGTTACCTGGAACTAAGGGACAAGAAACAAAGATGGGAGTGGGGGGAGTGCTATACATTTTAAACAACTGTGGAAAGAGACAGTACTTATAATTTGATTTTTTGAATAGGTAATACATCCATATGGCTTAAAAATCTTTCTTGTTTTGTATCATTCAAGAATTTTTATGCATGTTTAAGAAAAACAAAACATAAATTATGATACCCTCTTTTCTCAAAAAGTAGCATATTAAATGAACTGTTCCCATTTTACTTTCTTTACACGTCTTGAAGATCTTTATCAATACACAGAAATATATTTATTCTTTTTATATTTTTACATCTACACAGAATTCCACTTTATGGATATGCATAAATTATATACTCAGTTTTCTATTTAGGGACAGCTGAGTTATTTTAATCTTTGCTGTTAAAAACAAATATACAATAAAGAATAATTTCAGAAGTCATTTCGAACATATGCAAATATATCTGTAGAAAATCTTCCCAGAAATATTCTCACTGGGCTCAAAGGTATATGTGTATGTAATCTCAATAGATATTGTCAAATCACCTTCAACTGGACTTGTACCCATTTACTCTCCCACTGGTGATGTACGAGAGTGCCCATTTCCCCATAGCCTCAACAACAAAGTGTGTTATAATGAAAGGGTTTTAATCCTTCTTAACCAAATGTCCAAGATTAGAGAGCTTTTGAGAAAGAAAATTGTTTTATATCTAAAAATCTTCTCAATCTTCTGAAACCACTTCCCTTGGGCAGAAGCAACAAAGCAACACTTGCTATGTTCCAGGCACCATGCCAAGGATTAGGGATAAAAAGGTAAATGCGTTCGTTTTTACATTTCTTTTCCTTCCCTGCCTCCCTCCCTTCAAAGTTATCAAGGCCTATTGATTTTATGTTTCAGGTAGAATGCCTATCTTCTCTCCATCCTTTATGTGTGATTTCCAGAGCTTCCTAATTGCTTGCCTTTCTGCTGTTCCTCCCAGGTCCAATCTATAGCCTATCTTTGCCTACGTGATCTTTCTGTGATATAAATTGAATCTTGTCACTCTTGCTCATTTCTTTATGGTTCCTCTTGACTTTTGGAAAAATGTCCATTTTCCTTCCAAGCTCAGCTCTGATGGTTTCTATAACTTCCTCTTCTGTAATTCTCTTCTTTTTCTTCTCTACCTGGATAATTCTCTCTCATCTTCTAACTTTCATGTTATGCACCATCTCCTATTTGATATTTTCCAGGACTGTGCCCCAAACTCCGGAATGCCAATTATAATTAATTTTCATAACTTCTGATACCTGTAATATTGTTCTGTATGCTTATTACTCCTATGCAACAATAGGCTCATTGAAGAAGGAACTACTTCTTACCCATTTTTAGATATTCAATGCTCAGAACCGTGTCTGGTCATCCCAATAACTTTAATTATCTTATAATAATTAGTTGATAAAGGTTCTGGGCCAGTTCCAAGATATGTTCTAAAGAGAAATCATCTCAGTCTCATGGCTGGTGGAAATGGAAATGAATAACCTCAAATTCAATGAGCCATCTGTCTGAGGCTCTTTTGTCATAAATCTAGGTTGAATTTGTAAGTTTACATAGGTAAATCTACCCAAGACCTGGGTAAGATTGTGGATAATATGGCAGACTTCACACAGTGGCAGAGAATGGTCAAATGGTGACCCTACCCATTCTTCTTCTCCCTACACATAGCTGGACAGCTTCTCCCAGCTGACCTTGAAGTTAGGTGAAACCATAGACTGAGTTTAGACCCAAGAAATATGAATGGAAGTGAATGTCACTTCCAGGTCTAATACCTTAAAAACTCCTACGAAATGTTCCACACTCACTCTCTTCTCTCATTCCTGCCTGGATGCAGATGGCTTAGTGGAAAACTGTGAGTACCTAGAAAATAGTGGAGTTAGATATCAGAACCACTACGTGGAAGACCACTCACCACATGTCCAATTGGATTGTAACAGGATTAAGAAATAAACTCTTTACTGTGTTCAGCCACCAGAGTGATAAGGTTGTTACAGCAGTTAGTTTATCCTGAAAATACAGACTTGCAAATATATATACACATATTCATGTTATGTAATCTAATGACCACTTGGATCCTTTACCAGAGGGAAAAAAAAAAGGGAGGTAAGTACATGTGCAAATAGAACCAAGTCAGAGTGAGACATCACCTGTTCCCCTCCAGAGGTAGCACTAGGAAAAAGCCTGCTGGTCTTTCTCACCACCTTGCTGTGTAACAAGCATGTGGGCAAGGCGGCTGGCAGCACTTATTCAGGTGCCAAAATGCCCGATTATAATTTAATAAATGCTTTCTCTTCCAGTCAGTAATGGATGCTCTTTATATACAGAAACCACTTTCATTCTTCTTGTCTATAAACATCTTTGCATAACTTCTTTTTAGGCCAGTCCTAATTCACAAATGAAAACCCATTGCTCTGAGTTCACTGTCACCATACAGCCTCCTTTTAGGTTCCTGAATATTAAAAAAGGATTTACCAAAGTATTCTTCTGCACAGCATTAGTCTGCTTTTTCTTAGATGAAGTTGATCAGCATAAATTGACCTAGAAGTTATTTCTAGAATTGGTGTTCTTTTTTCACTAAGTACCATACTTACACATTTCTTTTTTCTTCTGTACATACTCATTTCCTTGGGAGCCTTATCCCAGTCTTGCAACTAAAATAATCTATGTGCTGATGACTCTAAAATACACATGACAAGCTCAGTCCTTTCTCCTGAACTCCAGATGCATATGTTCACTTGCCTGCTTAATAACCTTTGCATGTATAGTAGGCATCTCTAATAAAAATGGGTTTCTGATCATTCCCGTCTCTCAGATGTTCACATCTCAGTCAATGGCAACTCCATCTTTCTAGTTCACTTCCTCAGGTCAAAAACCTGTGTCTCTTCCCTCTCTCTCTCACCTTACTTTCACTCTCTGCAACGTATCTGGAATTGGACCACTTCTCATCACTGCTACTACCATAACCTTTGCCTAACCACCGTTATTTTCCACCTGAACCAGTACAATAGATTCCTACTAAGCATCTTTCCCTCTCCATTTACCACTCCCTCTTATAAACCATCCCATGGCAGCTGGAGTCATCTTGTTAAAATGTGAGGCAGATAGGCCGGGGGTGGTAGCTCACACCTGTAATCCCAGTACTTTGGGAGGCCAAGGCGGGAGGATCACCTGAGGTCAGAGTTCGATACCAGCCTGGCCAACATGGCGAAACCCTATCTCTACTAAAAATACAAAAATTAGCCAGGCATGGTGGCACATGCCTATAGTCCCAGCTACTTGGGAGGCTGAGGCAGGAGAATGGCTTGAACCCAGGAGGTGGAGGTTGCAGTGAGCCAAGATTGTGCCACTGCACTCCAGCCTGGGCAACAGAGCGAGATGCCATCTCAAAAAAAAAAAAAAAAAAAGTGAGGCAGATAACTCCACTCTGCTGTTCAAAACTCTCTTAATGGCTCCACCTCCATGTTCACCAGGCAGGTCAGGTTCTGCTGCAGAAACAAATGTTCCCAAATAATCTCAGCGGCTTAAGGCAGCAAAGCTTATATTTTTCACTCAAGTGAAATCTGATGTAGACCAGATGGTTCTTATCCATTTCCATTTGGGACAGCTGAATTTGAAGGTTATGGGCAATAGGGTAGAAAGGTGTTGAGGAAGCACAAGGTCTCTGCTGCCTTAGCCCAGAAGCCATGCATATTACTTCTGCTCATGATCCGTTGCTGACAGCTAGGTATATGGCATAAACCCAGCTGCAAAGGAGATTGGGATAAGTAGAAGAGTGCATGGTGATTCTGTGAGTACTAACTCTCCGAGTCACACTACTTCTCACAGAGGAAAGCAAAAATCCTTTTTATGAACTACAAGGCTTTCCAGGATCTTTTCTCTTCTCGTATCTGCCCCCTCTGCCCTGTGAGCTTTCTCATTGCATTCCCACCAGACTCCTCTTCATTCTCACTACTCCAGCTCATTGACCTTTTTGCCCATATCAGGGGCACTCCTGCTACAGAGCCTCTCATCTGCTTTTCACTCTACCTGGACGTTTCTTCTTCCAAACATCTGAATGCCTCAGGTGTGGCCAGCATCTGGCCCTGCATTTCCTATTTCTCTTCCTTAATAGTATTGTACCCCCTTAATTAGCATGGTATTATCCAGCATATACACTTTTCTTACTTATATTGTTTATTAAGCATCTCTTCCACCAGAATATAAGTTCCATGAGGTCAGACCTTTTTGTTACAATATCTAGAATGAGGCTGGTATGTAAGTGGCATGCAAATATTGGTTCAATGAATAACTAAATCACTCCTCTGTAAAGTGTTGTATGATTTTTTTAGTATCACTTCCTTCACCCTCAAATGATACAATCCTAGATCTCTAAGTTTAGCTACCTTCAGGCAAGATGTGAATAAACAACCTGCAACATATGTCTGTGACAAAAACACTATTAAGAAAATCAAAAAATCAATTCAGCAGACATGGCTTGTGAATGATGAAGCAATATGTTATAAACAGAAGACATCATATTTAACTCCCGCTATCTATCTGTCTGTCTATCTCTGTTGATGTAAAAACTTCCAGCAGGAGTCTTTCATTCGTATATTTAATCCAAATCTAATTTAAATATTTTTCTAGTTTGTTCCCATGCAGAACAAAATCCAGTCCCTCTCTCTGTCTCTCTCTCTTCTCTTTTCTCTCCTTTCTCTCCTCTTTCTCTCAACAATGGTCTAAACATTTGAAGGATAAGTCATCTTTCAACCTTATAGCTCTATGTTATGTTACACAACTTCTCTGACCTTCCTTATACGTGCAATTGCACATCCCTAAAATTATTTTTAATCATTTCTACTGCTTGTTATTGGAGAATAAAAGCATACATGTGGACAGAGCCAGTTGGAGGTAGGAAGTGAAATTATGGTCTAGGTTCTTCCACATAAAGGATTATTCCGCTGGGAGCTGCCCTCATTTAGTGAGGGATGGTTAGCACCTACCACTGGTTTCCTAGCAACACAAAGCTTTCCTGCAGCTAGGACGGAGGGTCATTTTTGCATCTTCTCTTCATTTTCTCTTGGACTCTGTGAGGAGAGATTTGTCTGGAAAATTTCCAGAACAGAAGATGTACTGAAAAATGTGCATGTTGGGGGGCAGTGGGGAAACTGGTGGTGGGCTTGGGGCGGGGGTGCATCTGGAGAGGGAGATGAGAAAAACAGGAGAGGAGAAAAGAGGAATGACATAAAGGGATTAGAGAAAGGCATCTTAATAAAAATGTCAGAGGGACCAGAAGACTTTTAGAAGTGGCTATTCTCCTTGCAACCCAAACGTTTATTCTAATAGAGGCAAAGACAAATGATGCTTGTTTGCCAGCTTACAGCTTATTTTGTTGGCTGCATACATTGCATAAACAAGCACTTTAGACCTTTACTCTCCTTTCCTTTTATGAGCAGAATCTACAGACATTCCCTGTCTAAATTCT
The DNA here is from genome assembly GCF_000001405.40 of Homo sapiens. NCBI lineage: Eukaryota > Metazoa > Chordata > Mammalia > Primates > Hominidae > Homo > Homo sapiens. The sequence goes on along the minus strand of NC_000002.12, from coordinate 221,883,678 downwards.
GTAGGTCTTTTATAAGATAGCTATGTTTAAATGATGTTTCCTGGTTACCTCTGTTCTCCACCCACAGAGGCTGTCTTCTGAAGGGAAAACATACCAGTTTTGAGACCCCAGACAGGACTGGCTTCATTCTCTGATATCCACCTATTAGCAATGTGACATTGACAAATTATTTAACCTCCTGAAATCTCATTCTCCTCATATGAAAATAGGGATAGTAATATCTGCATGTGCAGGCACTGCTAATCTCCTAAGCAGTATCTCTTCTTCTTCATTAACAGTACCCCAATTTTGTTTGGTGGAAAAATGTGCCCAGCTTTAAAAGAAAAAAAGATTCTCAATTTTCTAGGGTCCTTAGTGGATATGGTTATAGGATAGTTCTGGACAATTAGATACAAATACAAGTCTACTTGGTGGAGCTGCCAGGAAATTTGGTGTTTTTCTGATAAAAAGGAACTGATTCAGCTGAAATGAGCCTTTGATCCCTTCTCAGCTCCTGTCTTCAAAACTGGAACTCAGACAAAATACCTAGATTTTGAGACTATGAAGATGAGAGCTGTCCTTTGAGGCTGGTTGAACATAAAGACAGCAAGAGCTCACATCCTTGAATTCGTCCAGTGTCCATACCCACTGTTTATCTCCCGGAGGGTTGTGACATGTTTAAAATAAACCCCTTACTTTGAAGCCACTGTTTTCTTAAAAACAAAACAAAAAAGCCAGCAAGAAACACACAACTGTGATGATTCTTTTTAGACCAATAGGAATCATTTGTAGCACAAATAATGTATTGATTCCGTAAAATCTGATTTGACTGCATTAGGCTTTCTTTAAAATGTCCAAGACCATCTTTATTCCTTTAAAAAGAACTTTGCTTTCATCATCATTATTTTTCAAATGCCTTGTTTTAGAAATTATAAATCAGGGATTTTAACTGTTATATTACCAATCCAAATATTTTCTTTCAAAATATTTCAGGACCTTTTTCTACTTATGTACTCCCACTGTCTCATTTAATGTTGTCTGCGTGCTGAATTTTAATTTAATACCTCTATGTTTGAGGTATTAAATGTTTGAGTTCCTTTCTTCCTTTAGCCCATATTAGACAAATAAAAATAATTTATGATGGCTGAAGTTTCCATAAGAGCAAGAGAAACAGGTCTCAGTGGCAGAGTGGTCTATTGTAAAATATTTTGAGAAGATATTTTTGTGGAAAGAGGATGTTTTCAGCTCAGTGCATGTTGGCCTGTTAATCCTCAATGCTTTTCTTTAATAGCTTGAAGATTCTGTTAAAATTTTTCAAAAGTCATGATATTTTTGTGTTCATGCTTGATAACTTATTTTGAGGATTATTCTTATTTTATCAAAAAATTATTTCTCTACTAATGCTATTTTAAGGACTTTTATCATTCTTATTTGGTTTTATTTCATTTTGTTAATTTTACATGTGTGTCAATATCTCCTATAACTAAAAGAAAGTAAAAAATTGGACTCATATAAAATAATTCTTTAGGCAATTTGTAGTTTATTCTTTAAATGAGATAATTCTTATATCCAACTTTATAATTACAAGCATGAAAAAAATTAAAATTTAAAGAGTTTTTTTAAATTTAAGAATGCTTTTAATAAAATAAGTCATATTTAATGTTGACCAGTGCTTCTTCAACATTCTATAGTGAAGGAACATGTATGTTTTCTGAGAAAAAAAATGCAATGCATTACAGACAAATACTTTTGCAAAACACAATAAAAATGTATTACCAAAAAAGTAGAAAAAATACAGATGTGCAAAATGCAAGCTCTCAATTTTATTCTTTGAGTTAATAGGCAGAAAATTGCTCTGTCAAATTGCTAAAAGAACTTTTCTAAATGCTTACTTTTCCTCTCTATACTTATCTACTTACAGGCTGGTAACAGTTTGCAGATCATCATAGTCTGTGGAACATACTTTGAGTTGCAATGATATAGACTCTCAGATATTCTCATGCCAACTTAATCGAAGACATAAAATTTAATTAAATGAGAACTACTAATATACTGATCATGCAAGAGTTTATTAATTTCTTGTTCAATCTGTCTTTTAATATTTTCTTAGCCTTAAGAATTAAGCTTCTGGTGAACTCAACATCCAGCATGGTCCCTTACACACTCAATGCACTCAATGGATATTATTTTATGTTCTTATCTCAGCCAGAAGTAATCTTTCTATTAAATGAACTCTCAAAACACTTAGTGATTTTGCTTGAACATATTCTATTAACATTATTTATGCAGATTCCTCTCATTAGCTAAACTGAAAGTTTTCCATGACTTAGGATTAGGCTTATTTTTTTATTCAGACATTACTCAGTCTTTGGTAGACACAAGAAACACCCTGACCAGATCCTCCAGATTCCTAGGAAATGATAGCCGTAGGAGTATAAAGACCAAGCCATTGTGGCCCCAAATAGGGCATTTTAGTGGACAATGCTATTTTCAGAGAGCCCTGTGGGTTGATTGAGAATTTGCTGTGCCTGAGTTACAGCTCAACATCTCCTTCTACCCAGTCTTGCTTCCTTCTTCTAATGAACATGTTGTACCACAAACTCCAATTCAGCATCTGCTTCTGATGAAGTCAGCATCCAACACAGTTTCTTGTACACTTAATAGGTAAGTAAATAAAACTCTCATGCTCAGCTTCATCAGTCTGGTTCAAGAGAATTTCTTGGTGGAGTTGGATTAAGAGAGGAATCACTGTAGGTATGGATCTTAGGGTAAGAGGAGATAAAGATCAGATTGAAGAATTACTCGATGATGATGATGATGATGACTGCAGCTCTTACTATGTGATATATACACTTCTATGGCAACACTATTAGACAGGTACTGATATAGTTTGAATATTTGTCCCTGTTTGAATCTCATATCAAATTGTAAGCCCAGTGATGGAGGTGGGGCCTGGTGGATGATGCTTGCATCATGGCAGCAGATTCCTTATGGCTTGGTGCTGTCTTTGCAATAGTGAGCGAGATCTTGTGAGATCTGCTTGTTTAAAAGTGTGTGGCACCTCCCACCTACTCTCTTGCTTGCTTCTACTTTCACCACATCATTTATCTGCTCCCCTTTTGCTTTCTGCCATAATTGTAAGCTTCCTGAGGGCTCCCTAGAAGCTGAGCAGATTCTAGCACCATACAGCTTATAAAGCCTGCAGAACCATGAATCAACTAAACCTCTTTTTCTTATAAATTACCCAGTCTCAGCTATTTCATTGTAGCAATGCAAGAATATGCGAACACAGGTAGTATCATTCTCAGTTTAAAAATGAGAAAACTGAAGAACAGAGAGGTTCAGAAATGTGCCCCTCACCCAGTGAGTAGCAGAGCCAGGATTTGCATCAAGTCTTTTAACCACTACTTATTTTACTTCTCTACAGTGAACGTTCCATGATGGCAAAGATTTCTGTCTGTTCTGTTAACTACTGCATCCCTGAGAGCTGAAACACTGCCTGGTATATAGTTAGAGCTCAGTAAATATTTATTGAAAGATCTTCTTGGTATTGATTTCTATTTTTATTACACTGTGATCTGAGAGCATGCTTTGCATGATTTCCATTTTTTAAAAAAATTTATTGAGGCTTCCTTTACGACCAAGCACGTGATTGATCTTAGAATATGTTTCATGAGAAGAATGTATATTTTGTGGTTGTTGGGTGAGGTGTTATGTAGATGTCTATTAGGTCCAATTGGTCAAGTGTCAAGTTTAAGTTCAGAGTTTCTTTGTTAGTTTTCTACCTCGAGATCTGTCTAATGCTGTCAGTGGGGTGTTGAAGTCTCCCACTATTATTGTGTGGTGGTCTACGTCTTTTTGTAGACCAAAAAGAACTTATTTTATGATATGAGTTTCCAATGTTTGGTGCGTATATATTTAGGATAGTTAAGGCTTCTTGTTTGATTGTATACTTTATCATTGTGTAATGCCCTTCATTATGTTTACTGGTTTAAAGTCTGTTTTATCTGATATAAGAATAGTTATTCTTGCTCTTGTTTGTTTTCTGTTTGTATGGTAAATCTTACTCCATCCTTTTATTTTGAGCCTCTGGGTATGGATACATGTGAGTTGGGTCTCTTGACGATGACAGATGGTTGGGTCTTGTTTTTTTTTTAATCCAGGCTGCCACTCTGTGTCTTTTAAATGGGGTTTTTAACCCATTTACATTTAAGATTAGTATTAATATGTGTGATTTTGATCCTTTTATTGTGTTGTGGATATGTGCTTAAGTGTGCTTTTCGAAAGCAAGTGCTATTCTTTTAAATTCATGTTTGGCACTCCCTTAAGGATTTCTTATAAGCATTTGCTTGTCTAAGAATGATTTCATTTCTAATTTGCTTATGAAGCAAGTTTGGTGTAATATCTCAAAACTACACAAATACATGAAAATTAAACAACCTACTCTGGAATAACTCTTGAGTGAACATCAAAATTAAGGCAGAAATAAAAAAATTAAATTAATGAAAATAGGAACACAATTTACTAAAGTCTCTAAGATACAACCAAAGCAGTGTTAAAAGGAAAGTTTATAGCACTAAAATGCCTTTATCAAGAAGTTGTAAGGATTTTAAATTAACAATCTAACTTTTTACCTAAAGGAATTATAGTAAAATGCCAACCTAAAAGCTAGCAGAGGAAAAGAAGTAATTAAAATTAGGAAAGAATTTAATGAAATTGAGATTTAAAAAATCCATAGTGAAAAAAGTCTATGAAATCAACAGTTCTTCAATAAAAACAAATAAGATTGATAGACCACTAGCTAGATTAACAAAGAAAAAGAAAGATAAAATCCAAATAAGCACAATCAGAATCAACAAAGATTGTATGACAACTGATTCCACAGAAATACAAAAGATCCTCAGAGACTACCATGAATAACTCTATGCACACAAATTAGAAAATTTAGGGAAAATGGAAAAATTCCTGAAAGTGTACAATCTCCCAAAATTGCATCAGGAAGAGATTGAAATCCTAAGTAGACCAATATCAGCTTCTGAAATTAAATCATAATAAAGAACCTACCAACCAAAAAAAAAAAAAAAAACCCCTGGACCAGATGAATTCATGGCTGAATTCTACCAGATATTCAAAGAACTGATACTAAGCCTACTGAAACTATTCCAAAGAAATCGAGGAGGAGGGTCTCCTCTGTAATTCATTCTATCTAGCCAGCATTAGCCTGATACCAGAATCTGGCAAAGACACAACAAAAAAAGAAATCTTAAGGCCAATATCCCTTATGAACATAGACACAAAAATCCTCATCAAAATATTAGCAAAACAAATCCAACAGCACAACAAAAAGTTAATACAGTGTGATCAAACAGGCTTATTCCTGGACTGCAAGGCTGGCTCAGTATATGCAAATCAATAAGTGTGATTCACCACATAAACAGAATTAAAAGCACAACTATATGATCATCTCAATAGGTGCAGAAAAAGCTTCTGATAAAAATCCAACATCCTTTCATGATAAAAACTCCAACAGACTAGGTGTCAAGCAATGTACTTCATAATAATAAGAACCATTTATAACAAATTGAAATCCAACATCATAATGAATGGATAAAAGCTTAAACTATTTACCTTTTATCTTGGAGCAAGACAAGGATGCCCACTCTCAACACTCGTATTCAACACAGTGATGGAAGTCCTTGCCAGAGCAATCAGGCTAGAGAAAGAAATAAAAGGCATTTAAATAAGCAAAGAAGTCCAACTATGTCTCTTCACTGATGATATAATTCTATACTTAGAAAATCCTGGTGGCTCATGCCTGTAATCCCAGCACTTTGGGAGGCTGAGGTGGGCGGATCACTTGAGGTTGGAAGTTCAAGACCAGCCTGGCCTACATGGTAAAACCCCATTTCTACTAAAAATACAAAAATTAGCCAGGAGTGGTGGCACATGCCTGTAATCTCAGCTACTTGGGAGGCTGAAGCAGGAGAATTGTTTGAACTCAGGAGATGGAGGTTGCAGAGAGTACAGATCATGCCACTGCACTTCAGCCTGGGCAACAGAGTGAGATTCCATCTCAAAAAAAAAAAAAAAAAAAAAAATGGAAATCCTAGAAACTGCCTAGAGCCAATAAATAACTTCAGTAAAGCTTCAGGATACAAAATCAATGTATCAATATACAAAATCCAGTAGTATTTCTATATACCAACAACATCCTGGCTAAGAGGGAAATCAAGAACACAATCCCACTTACAACAGCCACAAAGAAAACAAAATATCCTAACCAAGAAGGTAAAAGGGCTTTACCAGGAGAACTACAAAGCACTGCTGAAACAAATCAGAGACCACACTAATAAATGGGAAAACATTCCATGCTCATGGATTGGAAGAATCATTACAGTAAAAATGATCATACTGCCCAAAGCAATTTACAGATTCAATGTTATTCCTATCAAACTAGCAAGGTCATTCTTCATATAACTAGAAAAAAAAACTATTCTAAAATTAATATAGAAACACGAAAGAGCCCAAATAGCCAAAGCAATTCCAAGCAAAAAGAACAAAGTCAGAGGCATCACACTACCTGTCTTCAAACTATGCTAGGAAGCCACAGTAACAAAAGCAGGTTGGTATTCGTACAAAAATTGACACACAGACCAATGGAACAGAATAAAAAACTCAGAAATAAAGCTGCACCTCTAAAACCATCTGATCTTCAACAGGGCCAACAAAAACAAGACATAGGGAAAGGACTGTCTATTCAATAAATGCTGCTGTGATAACTGGTTAGCCATATGAAGAAAATTGAAGCTGGAACCCTACCTTTCACCATATAAAAAATTAACTTAAAATGGGTCAAATGTAAAACCTCAAGCTATAAAAATCCTGAAAGATAACCTTGGAAATACTCTCTCAACACCAGTCTTGACAAATAATTTTTGTCTGAGTTTTCAAAAGCAATTGCAACAACAACAAAAAAAAATTGACAAGTGGGATCTAACTAAACTAAAGAGCTTCTGCATAGCAAAAGAAATGATCAACAAAGCAAACCGGTGACCTACAGAATGTGAGAAAATATTTGCAAACTATGCATCAGACAAAGACCTAGTATCTAGGGTCTACAGAGAACTTAAATCAACAAGCAAAAAACCAATAATCCCATTAAAAATGGGCAAAGGATATGAACAAGCACTTCTCAAAAGAAGACATACAAGCAGCCAACAAACACATGAACACATGCTCAGCATCACTAATCAATAGAGAAATGCAAATCAAAACCACAATGAGATACTGTCTCACATCAGTTAGAATGGCTATTATTAAAAAGTAAAAAAAAATAATAGATGCTGACAAAGGCTGTGGAGATAAAAGAACACTTATACTTCTAAAAGGGAACACTTATATTTATAAAAGGGACACTAGTACTATAAATTAGTTCAGCCACTGTGGAAAGCTGTCTGAAGATTTTTCAAGGAACTTAAAATAGACCTGTCATTCAACCCAGCAATCTCATTACTGGGTGAATGCCCAGAGGAAAATGAATCATTCTATCAAAAAGACACATGTACTTGTATGTTCACAGCACTATTCACAATAGCAAAGACAGGGAATCAATTCAGGTGCCCATCAGTGGTAGAGTGGATAAAGAAAATGTGGTACATACACACCATAAAATACTATGCAGCCATAAAAAAGAATGAAACTATGACCTTTGCAGCAACATGATGGAGTTGGAAGCCATAATCTTAGGCAAATTAACATGGGTACAGAAAACCAAATACTGCATGTTCTTACTTACAAGTGGGAGCTAAACATTGAGCACACAAGGACGTAAATACGGAACAACAGGCACTGCAAACCACTAGAGGGTAAGGGAGTTGGGTTAAAAAACCACCTAACGGGTATTATGCTCACTACCTGGGTAATGGGATTCATACCCCAAACCACAGCATTATGCAATATTCCCATGAAACAAACCTGAACATGTACCACCTGTATCTAAAACAATGGTTGAAATTTAAAAAAAAAATATATATATATATATATATTTAAAAGTGACCATTAATTAAGACTTCCTTGTCAAATTCAGAAAAAAAGCTTGCTTTGAGACAGAGGTCATTTCCTTTTTAATAGATAGACCTATGCTATATAACCGTGTTTTGTACATTGTAAATACTCTATGGAAGTTTGCTGAATTAAACTAAGTAAAAATAGAACTTGTATCAATTAATGTTATTAATGAGGTCAACATTTACACAGCCCAATTTGTACCTGCTAACTTAGTCTTTGCAAATTAAACGTAGGGTCTCTCCTGGACTGCCCACACTTTGGGAGAGCCTCAGGAGAACTGTCCATTGGCATAGAGCCTGTATCTATTAGACCAGCAGTCCTCAACCTTTTTGGCACCAGGGACCTGTTCCATGGAAGACAATTTTTCCACGGATGGGGGTAGGGGAGTAGGAGGGGCACTGGTCCGTGGCCCAGGAGTTGGAGACACCTGTATTAGACACCTCTTAGGTAAATCCCCTGAGGTACAGCAACTTTCCCTCTTCAGGTTATAATTCCCAGGACCCAAGGTTTGACACTTAGTGGCTAAATGTGTACTGAGGGACCCTGAGCAAGACGATGGAACCCAGGATAGTCACTTGGCTTAAGCTGCAATAATGGGATATTTTGTCCTGTGAATCTAACAGTAGAACAAAGAGACACCAAATATGAGAGTTTTTGAATCCCAGTTAGCTTAAGTATAGAACAATAATTAGAAGGTCTATAAAATCTTACAACTGGTGTCCCTGGGGCCTCCTTGTTTACTGCCCTAGCTAAGGCTTCATCGTACCTTCACTGCGGCATATACCACAGTAGTCACAATAAATATCCCCTTTATTTGAATCATTAGCATGGGTTTCTGTAACTGGCAACACAAAGACCAACGCAAACACCCTTTGGGTCAGGAGTATCCATGCTCATGTAGCTGTGGGACATAAGATAAAGGATCAGATGTTTGCCAGTCAGGTAAAATGCCAGTGCCTGAGTTTAGTGGAGATGCTTGTAAGACCTTGGGTGGAGATGCATGTGAGACCAAGGCTGTGGTTACTTGGGATCTTATTTATAACATTAGCTGGTCAATTTCAGTTCCTGTGTGTGAAAAGTCAAGAGCAAAGACTGATAGAAGCATTGTTACTTGTAATTTTGGATTCAGGGAAGAGCCAAGTTTCTTATATTACTGTAGGCTTACCGGGTTTGCTTGATAGAATTTTTAAAGTCCCACCAACTTTTGTGCCTTTTGTTTTCTACTCGAGAAAGATCATGAGAGTGAGGTCTCTCTCATGCCATGCTCGCATTCTCAAGAAATATTCATGATTGGATTATTTCCTAGGCAATATAAATCAAACCCGATGGCAGGAATGTGTTTATGGCTTGAAGCAAGTGAAAAACAAATTAGGAAAGAAGAAGGCCTGGAGTAGCAAAGACATAAATTTAAAATTTAAATCTCAAAAGATGAAAAACTTCAAAAAGCCATTTTGAAAACTTGACTTTAGACTCTTTTAAATGAGTCAAAATGGGAAGCAAGGGGAATAATTAGGTGCATATGAATGAATTGTGTTTACATATAAGTGCTTACAACTCTTAACGGAAAAGTCCACATGTTCTAAACAATACCAAAAGGTCCTTTCAAAAGTTTTGATGGCCTCAAAAGAAGTAACTTAGAATGTTCTAAAACATTTAAATAATAAGAATAGATTGCTTGTGGCATTTGAAAAGAAAACCTTATATTGATTGTATTCAGTCATCAAACTAGGCAAATCTACTAAAGATGAATTTATTATGTTCATTGGTCTTACTTTTGTTGTATTTTCTAACTTCCTTTTTCCACAAGGCTAAATGCACATAATTCAGAATTTACATGAGCTATTGAAACCAATGGGGGAAAAAATATCCTTAAGAAGGGGATAGGCTGGCACGGTGGCTCACACCTACAATCCCAGCACTTTGGGAGGCCGAGGTGGGCAGATCACAAGATCAGGAGTTCGAGACTAGCCTGGCCAATATGGTGAAAACCTGTCTCTACTAAAAATACAAAAATTAGCCAGGCATGGTGGTGCATGCCCATAATCCCAGCTACTTGGGAGACTGAAGCAGGAAAATCACTTGAACCCTGGAGGCGGAGGTCGCAATGAGCCAAGATCCCGCCACTGCACTCCAGCCTGGGTGACAGAGTGAGACTCTGTCAAAAAAAAAAAAAAAAAAAAGAAGGGAATAAGGGAAAGTGGATGGTGGTCAAGTAAGCCTTGACTTTGAGCCTGTCTCTTAACCTGAATGATTTGGGCAAGTCTTGCCCCTGTATACCTCAGTGTTCCCAACTCAGAACATTTGACAGAAACGAAATGGAATCTGTGCTTAAACCAAATACCATAGTGCCCTAGCTCACAGTAGACACCTAATTATCTAATATTAGATATCTAATAATCAGTAAATAGTTCTTTCCTTCCCTCTAAAACTTGAAACTTAAAGCAAAATTTTAATTTATGTAAATTTGTCCTAGTGTAGACAGAAACAGCTCCCTTGTGGCAGAGATAACAAGGATGATTCTACCCAATTAATAAAAAGGTACATTTCTAGTCTACAGAGGTTTTATTCTACCAAATCTTATTCGAAGTTTCTATGTCTAACTGTTTATACACCCAGTATTTATCTGCTGCTCCTGCTCACATCCTTTTTCTAAGGGTTGGGGTAGAGTGGGATCAGGTTGTATGCTATTAAATCAGAATCCAAGGTGAATTGCATTCAGAGTACTTTAGATTTATGAAGTTTAAATACAGTTTGAATGAGTGCTTTTAAAAAAAACCTTTAAATATTTGACTATTCAAACTTTATCACCCCTTTTCATCTTCTCCTCTTCCTCAAACCAACATAATATGAAGATAAAAGTATCTCTTTTACAGAGCTGTAGATCCACATGTCCATGTCAAATCTTAGAGAAATGCATAACCTAAATCGACAAAGGCAAAAGCTGGCTCCCAATGCTTGAGTTTCATATTTGGGGCTGGTGTTGCTAGTCAGTGAGTGGAGACAATTTGAGTGGAGGTGGGATGGGGAGGAGGATTTGATGTAGTTTGTGTCTTAGTCTGTTCAGGTTGCTACAACAAAATACCATCTAGTGGGTGGATTATAAACAATAGAAATTAACTTCTCGCAGTTCTGGAGGTTGGGAAGTCCAAGATCACAGCACTGATGGATTCAGTGTTGGGTGAGGTTTGTTTCCTGATTCATAGATGGCAACTTTTTGCTATTCCATCCTGTGGCGGAAAGAGTAAACAAGCTCCCTCAGGTCTTCTTTTATAGCAGCACTATTCCCATTTATGAGGGCTATGCCCTCATGACCTAATAATGCCCCAAAGGGCCCCATGTATTAACAAATAGGAAACTGAAAAAGTAGAAAGAATACCAATTACCACTCAAAGATAGCCACTGATGAAGTGGTCATAAATTTCCTTCCGGGAAGTTTCCCAGGTTCTGTCTTGCTGCGGTTTCAGGCACTACTAGGGTACAAAAAAAAAAAAACTCCTGCAGCTAGCTTGGTGTCTGCCCAAACAGCCACCTAGTTTTGTGCTTGAAACCCAGGGCCCTGGTGGCGTAGGCACATGAGGGAATCTCCTGATCTGTACATTGCAAAAACCATGGGAAAAGCATAGTTACCTGGCCAGGCAGCACAGTCCCTCATGGTTTCCCTTGGCTGGGGGAGGGAGGTCCCCCAGCTCTTTGCACTTCCCAGATGAAGCGACATCCCACTCTGCTTCTGCACACCCTCTGTGGGTTGGACCCACTGCCTAACCAGTCCCAGTGAGATGAACTGGGTACTTCAGTTGGAAATGCAGAAATCGCCTGCCTTCTGCATTGGTCTCCCTGGGAGCTGCAGACTGGAGCTGTTCCTATTCAGCCATCTTGGTCCCCACCTAAATTTCCCTCTTAACACTGCTTTAGATGCATCTCAGAAATTCTGGTATGTTGTGTCTTTGTTCTCATTAGTTTCAAAGAACTTCTTGATTTCTGCTTTAATTTCATTAATTACCCAGGAGTCATTTAGTAGCAGGTTGTTCAATTTCCATGTAGTTGTGTGGTTTTCAGTGGGTTTCTTAGTCTTGAGTTCTAATTTGATGAACTGTGGTCTGAGAGACCGTTTGCTACAATTTCAGTTCTTTTGCATTTGCCGAGGAGTGTTTTACTTCTGATTATGTGATCAATTTTAAAGTGCCATGTGGCAATGAGAAGAATGTATATTCTGTTGTTTTTGGGTGGAGAGCTCTGTAGATATCTATCAGACCTGCTTGATCCAGAGCTGAGTTCAGTTCCTAAGTATCTTTGTTAATTTTCAGTCTTGATCATCTGTCCAATGTTGTCAGTGGGGTGTTAAAGTCTTCCACTATTATTGTGTGAGAGTCTAAGTCTCTTCGAATGTCTGTAAGAACTTGCTTTTTGAATCTGGGTGCTCCTGTATTTGGTGCATATATATTTAAGACAGTTAGCTCTTCTTGTCGAATTGAACCCTATACCATTATGTGATGCCCTTCTTTGTCTTTTTTTATGTTTTTTGGTTTAAAGTCTGTTTTGTCAAAAACTAGGATTGCGACTCCTGCTTTTTTCTGTTTTCTATTTGCTTGATAAATTTTCCTCCTTTTTTTTTTTGAGCCTATGTGTGTCTTTGCATGTGAGATGGGTCTCTTGAGGACAACATATCAGTGGGGGCTTGACTCTTTATCCAGCTTGCCATTCTGTGTTTTTTTTTAATTGGGGCATTTACACCATTTTCATTTAAGGTTAATATTTGCATGTGTGAATTTGATCCTGTCATCTTGATGCTAGCTGATTATTTTGCAGACTTGTTTATGTAGTTGATTCATAGTGTCATTGGTCTGTGTACTTCAGTGTGGTTTTGTAGTGGCTGATAATGGTTTTCCTTTCCATATTTTGCACTTTCTTCAGGAGCTCTTGTAAAGTAGGCCTGGTGGTGACAAATTCCTTCAGCATTTGCTTGTCTATAAAGGAACTTATTTCAGCTGGGTGCAGTGGCTCATGCCTGTAATCCTAGCATTTTGGGAGGCCGAGGCAAGTGGATCACACGGTCAGGAGTTTGAGACCAGCCTGGCCAACATAGTGAAACCCCATCTCTACTAAAAATACAAAAAATTAGCTAGGCGTGGTGGCAGGCACCTGAAATCCCAGTTACTTGGGAGGCTAAGACAGGAGAATCACTTGAACCTGGGAGGTGGGGGCTGCAGTGAGCCGAGATTGAGCCACTGCACTCAACCCAGGCAACAGTGTGAGACTCTATCTCAAAAAAAAAAAAGAGGATCTTATTTCTCCCTCACTTATGAAGCTTACTGTGGCTGGATATGAAATTCTGGGTTAGAAATTCTTTTCTTTAAGAATGTTGAAGCCAGGCATGGTGGCTTACACCTGTAATCCCAGCACTTTGGGAGGCCGAGGCGGGCAGATCACAAGGTCAGAAGATCAAGACCATTCTGGCCAACATGTGAAACCCCATCTCTACTAAAAATACAAAAATTAGCTGGGCATGGTGGTGTGTGCCCGTAGTCCTAGCTACTTGGGAGGCTGAAGCAGGAGAATCGCTTGAACCTTGGGAGGTGGAGGTTGCAGTAAGCCAAGATCACGCCACTGCATTCCAGCCTGGCAACAGAACAAGACTCCATTTCAAAAAAAAAAAAAGAAAAAAAAATTGGAAGGTTGAATATTGGCCCCAAATCTCCCTGACTTGTAAGGTTTCTGCTGAGAGGTCTACTGTTAGTCTAATGGACTTCCCTTTGTAGGTGATCTGGTCTTTCTCTTTGGTTGCCTTTAACATTTTTTCTCTCATTTTGACCTTGGAGAATCTGATGATTATGTATCTTGGGGTTGATCTTTTCATGGAGTATCTTACTGGGGTTCTCTGGATTTCCTGAATTTGAATGTTGGCCTGTCTTGCTAGACTGGGAAAGTTTGCCTGGATGATATCCTGAAGTATATTTTCCAACTTGGTTCCATTCTCCCCATCTCTTTTGGGTACCCCAATCAATCATTGGTTTGGTGTTTTTAAATAAACTCATATTTCTTGGAAGTTTTGTTCATTCCTTTTCATTCTTTTTTCTCTATTCTTATCTGCCTGTCTTATATCAGAGAGTCTTCAAGCTCTGAGATTCTTTCCTCTGCTTGGTCTATTTAGCTATTGATACTTGTGATTGCACTGTGAATTTCTTGTGTTGTGTTTTTCAACTCCATCAGATCAGTTATGTTCCTCTCTAAACTTGCTATCATGGTTATAACTTCCTGTATTGTTTTATCATGATTATTAGCTTCTTTGCATTGGGTTAGAACATGCTCCTTTAGCTCAGTGAAGTTTCTATTATCCGACTTCTGAAGCCTACTTCTGTCAATTCATCCATCTCAGCCTCAGTCCAGATCTGTGCCCTTGCTGGAGCAGTGTTGTGGCTATTTGGAGAAGAGGCACTCTGGCTTTTTCAGGTTTCATTGTTTTTGCATTGATTCATTCTCATTTCTGTGGGCTTAGCTACCCTTGGTTTTCAAGGTTGTTGACTTTGAACGGGTTTTTTTGTGGAGTCTTTTTTGTTTATGTTGTTACTTTCTGTTTTTTGTTTGTTTTTCAGTCAGGCCACTCTTCTGTAGGGGCATTGCAGTTTGCTGGGCAACCACTCCAGTCCCTAATCACCTTGCTCCCTCCTGCACCTAGGAGTTTCACCAGTGAAGCCTGTGAAACAGCAAAGATGGCAGCCTGTTCCTTCCTCTGGGAGCTCTATCCCAGGGGGGCACTAACCTGATGCTGGCTGGAACACTCCTGTAGGAGGTGTCTGGAGAACCCTGTTGGGAGGTCTTACCGAGTCAGGAGGAATGAGATCAGGGACCCTCTTAAAGAAGCAGTCTGGCTACCCCTTGGCAAAGCAGGTACACTGCTGGCCACCTGATCTCTCCAGAGCTAGCAGGCAGGAAAGACTAAGTCGGCTGAACTGTAGAGATAGTGGCTGCCCCTCCTCCCGGGGCCTCCATCCCAGGAAGAGATCAGAGTACTGTCCCTATAACCTTGGCTGGAGTTGCTGAAATTCCCACAGGGAGGCCCTGCACAGTGAAGAGGGGTGGATCGGGGTCCCATTTAAAGAAGCAGACTCTCCACGATCCAGCTCAGCAGCTGTGCTGTGTTGTGGGGAATTCTTCCTGGTCCCCGCTGCTGGCAGGCTAGAGCACTAACTCAAACCACAGATATGGTGGCTGACCTTCCCATTGGGAACTTAGTCCATCTCAGGCTGTCTCCAGCCTGCTGCCACAGGTCAGCTGGAATTCCAAGCTGGTGGATCTTAACTTGTGAGGTTCCATGGGAGTGGGGCCCATGGAATGATGCCACTTGGCTTCCTGGATTCAGCTCTCTTCCTGGAGGAATGCCCAGGATCTCCTGCTTTTCCAGAATTCCCAGGGCTGGAGTATACAAAACTCCTGGGCTTCCCTGTATGCCCAAATGAGCAAGTGGCTGCCCTGCTGAGACTCCACACATGCCTGTGCTTTGGACCCAAGGCCTTGATGGTGTGGGGTCACAAGAGAAAGTCCATATCCACAGGTTGCGAAGACCCATAGAAAAAGTGTGGTTTCCTGGGCAGGGTCACACCATCACTCACTGCCTCCTTTGTCTGGCGTTGGGGCAGACAATGATGGCCATTCCAGGGTGGGCCATCACCCTGTTTTTCCTTGCTCTCCATGGGGTGAGCCATTTGCCTAGTCAGTCCCAATGTGAGAACCCGGATACTTCAGTCGAAGGTGCAGAATACACTCATTGTTTTGTGAGAGCCGTGGACTGCAGCTGCTTCTAATACGCCATCTTGGCCCCTTCCCCCAACAGAATTTTATTCTTTCATAGTTCTAGAGCCCAGAAGTCCAAAATCAAGGTGGCAGCAGGACCATATTCCCTCTGATAACGCTAGTGAGGATATCCTTCCTTGCCTCTTTCAATTTCTGGTGGCCCAAAGCGTTCCTTGGCTTATTGCATAATAATTCCAGTGTCTGCTTCTGTTGTCATAAGGCCTTCTGCCCAGTGCATCTCTCTGTGTCTTCACATGACCTTCTTATAACGACATGAGTCTTTGGTTTTAGAATCCACCCTAATCTAGTATGATCTCATTTTATCTCATTACATCTAAAAGACTCTATTTTCAAATAAAGTCACATTCTGGGTGACTTGAATTTAGAGACTACACTATTAAACCCAGTACAATTAATAAACCCTAATTTATTCTAACACCCTGTTTTACCTCTATTGCTTCCCCACCTCTTTGCTTATCTTCCTGCCTATGGTCTTATATTCCCTAACATATATTTGTTTTCCTTACAGAAACTACAAAGATTTTTCTAAAATAAAAATAAGATCATGTTGCTCCCTGTTTAAAACACATCAGCACTCTTCCTATAAGACTCAGAATAAAGTCCAAACTCTTTAACGGAGGCTAATTTCTCTAAAATGTGTATTCTCAGATCTTGTTCTGGCCACCCTGGCTCTATGCTTCTGTTATACTGAAATGTTGAGCAATTTATCCAGTTGTTCAAGTGGTTCACTTTCTTCCTTTCCTTTAAGCCTTCCCACTTGCTGTATCTTCTATAAGTAATTCTAGACCATTTCACACAGTTCCACTTCACAGGACTGACTCCTAGTGAGTTTCCAGATCTCAGATTAGATATTTCTTCTGTTGGGAAGCTATCCCTGATCCTCAGGCTCTGCTCTAACTTGGTTCATCTATGGTCTTCAATAGTTCCTGAATTGTATCACATTTCCCCTTAATATAATGCAATTGCTGTTTTATATATCCTAATTCCCCACTCATCTCTAATGGCTGTGATGACAGGAACCATGGTGGCTATGTTTTCAATGCATCATCAGTGCCTACTGCAATGTCTGGTGCACAGAAGGCACTAATAAATATTTGTGGAATAAATGAGTTAAGAACATCAAATGGTATTACATTAAAGGAACAGAATGTTACATCTGCCTCACAGTGATATTCTTAATAAATACTTCAAACATTTCTTCTTCCTAAAAATAACTTTAAATACAAAAATATAATAGAGATAATCTTTTTTAAAACAAAGGTGGAGTCAAGATTTAAGTTACATTTTATACTTCTCATCACTGGTTCATAAATTTAAAGAGCTGTTATAATCTTTAATTTTCAGGATGTGTGATAGTATTTTAGAACATGAAGAGGATAATCTTGATATTGTTCTTTCCTCCATGTCCAGGGGTGAATAGTGACCTTATATACTGAAGTTGATATTCCTATCATTTGCTATAATAATATTAGTTGGATGAATGTTCATTGAGTAGATATTTGGTTGCAGATCCATGACTAGGCAAAATGAAGGATAAATGGGCAAGTGGGAGAGTGGTCATCAGAGGAATTTGGACTGTTCTTGAATGTTTAAATCTTGTCAGCTCCAACTTGGCAAAGAACCTCATGTACTTTTAATCTTATCTCTTCCTTTTTCTTTCTTTATCTTGAAAACATTTTCCCCCATATTTGTAGCTCCATGTGAGAGGTTTGCTACTACAGCATTTGGTTACCCAAGTCAAATCAAATATGCCTGGATATAAAATGGAAATGGGCTATGTGCACCAAATTAGCTTCCAGCTTCCTGCTTTCTCTTTTAAGATTCAGGGGTTTGAGCAATAAATATGCAGTCCATAGAACTAGAAAATTTCAACTTGGGGAAAATCAGTTGATAGGCTTTTCTCATGCAAGGCACCTTCTATATCACCTGTAAACTTTACCAACCTATAAATGATTTACAACCGAATAAAATGCCAACTTGAAGAAATATGACAAAACACAAAAATTAGATAAGTCACTCACTGTTTTATGAGCTATAATATTTCAAAATATAGTTTGTGAATTCTTTCCCATATCTCTGATATTTTTGTGATATAAAAAGAATGCTCTAAGTGACATCAGTAAAAATGGTGGAGTAGGGAACTTCAAAGCACTAACTCTCCACAAAAAGAGCAAATAATTTGGCAACAACAACAACAACAAATACAACAAAAAACGCTCTGTCAAAATCAGCTTTGTCACAACTCTAGAAGCCAGCTAAAGATTTATAGTAACCAGAAAAACATTTAATCAAGAAAAAGTGACTGAATTTCAGAAGAACTTTGTAGGGTTTTAACTTGCCTTGGCCCTCTCCTCTTTCCCCAGCTTGAGAATAGTCTTGAAGACAGCAGCCTGCATTTCTGCTGTGGTTTTCTTGTGCTGGCTGAAGCAGAGCAGACCTGTTCCCAAAGAACTGTGGTTGTAGGTGGGTCCCCAAATGTTGGCCTTAAAGGGCTTGCCTTATGTAACCTGGGAGAGATGGCTACAGAGGGAGCATTTCTAAGAAACATTTAAAAGCAACTATATTAACCATTGGCACTTGAGGCAAGGAATAACAATTGGGGTAAATAATAGACACACTGAAAAGCAGGGGAGTGGTAAATTTTGTAAACTTCCAGGAGAGTTTGAAATTGTGATCTTCACACACACAGGGTTTATATGCAAAGACTAGAGGAGTTGGGGTTGGGGAGGAGGTTCTAGATGTTTAAAAATATATAGGTCAAACCACTAGCTCAACACTAAGCTAGCCAGATAGAGCCACCAGTGCACACATGACAAGGAATACAAACTTGACAAAATTAGTTTAGAAAAAAAACAGCAGCCACAACAAGCAGCAACAATAAACCCTGGGGTAGGATAATATGATTTCTAGAGTTGTTATGCTATATACTCAAAGTGTTTGAAAAGTTAGGAGGCATTCAAAGAAACAAGAAAGTATGGCACATACATTAGAAAAGTAGAAAGTAAAAACTCTCCCTGAAGAAGCTTAGACACTGTACTTAAAACACAAAGATTTTAAAACAAGTATTTCAAAAAGCTAAAGAAAACCTTGTGAAAGGAGTTAAAGGAAAGCATGAGAATGATATTTCACCCAATAGATAATATAAATAAAGTGATAGAAATTACAAAAAGGAACCAAATGGAAATTCTGGAGGTGAAAAGTACAA